>NC_000012.12:9584650-10209650 GCF_000001405.40 Homo sapiens | reverse complement strand
TATAACCTTCACCTAGATTTTTTCCGTTTGAAAGTAAATTAGAGGACGGGCGCGGTGGCTCACGCCTGTAATCCCAGCATTTTGGGAGCCTGAGGCGGGTGGATCACGAGGTCAAGAGATCGAGACCATCCTAGCTAACACTGTGAAACCCCGTCTCTACTAAAAATACAAAAAATTAGCCGGGTGTGGTGGCGCGCACCTATAGTCCCAGCTACTTAGGAGGCTGAGGCAGGAGAATCGCTTGAACCCGGGAGGCGGAGGTTGCATTGAGTAGAGGTCATGCCACTGCACTCCAGCCTGGGTGACAGAGCGAGACTCCGTCTCAAAAAAAAAAGTAAATTAGAAACATGACACCATCCCAATATACAAATTATATCCCCCCTGAGAATAAGAACATGTTCCTCCATAACCACAATAGTTATTACACCTTAAAAACTACTAATATTTTCCAACATTATCTAATATAGAGCTTATATTTATATTTTCTCAATTGCCCCAAACATACTTTTTTTTCTCCCCCACTCAAGCATTTGAATCTGAAAACAGGTGGAATTTACCATAAAGATAGGTCTGATTTCTTCGATTTAGGGTCTCTCTCTCTCTCTCTTTGTGTGTGTGTGTGTGTGTGTGTGTGTGTGTGTGTGTGTGTGTGTGTAGATGGCGTTTCACTGTTGTTGCCCTTCAGCTAATTGCAACCTCCACCTCCCAGGTTCAAGCGATTCTCCTGCCTCAGCCTCCCAAGTAGCTAGGATTACAGACATGTGCCACCACACCAGCTAATTTTGTATTTTTAGTAGACACGAGGTTTCGCCATGTTGGTCAGGCTGGTCTCGAACCCCTGACCTCAGGTGATCCGCCTGCCTCGGCCTCCCAAAGTGCTGGGATTCCAGGTGTGCGCCACTGCACCTGGCCCAGGGTCTCTTATATTATCACATTTAAATTGATAGATGAAACCAGAATTTTAGTGCATTGGTCTCCAATGACAAATACAATAGCTAGAGGTTTAGTTATTCAGCCATTTTCTAAATTTGCTTGCTAAGCTTGGAATTTAAACAAGGGATTTTATTACTTAATTTGAATTTTTAAATAAGCTGCCATCCACAGATCAAGTGTCAAATACCACCACGATGTGCCTGGCTGACTCCAAGACTAGGAAAATATTTCCTGCCCCTGAACTATACATGAGTGGGTTTTCCTCCTTAATAATTTGTGTGCTTACATTGCTTCATTGCAGCTGCCACTACCTTAGTTTAATCTTCATTTTTTAAAAATTTTGGCTTCGTTCTAATGATCTGTTGCTATATAGCAAACCACCTCAAAGGAATGGCTTAAGATAATAGCATCATCTATTTTGCTCACAAATCTGAAGTAATGGGGCTCAGCTTTGGTTTTAATTAGTGACTGGTGATAGGATCTTCTTGGAAGGCTTCTTCACTAGCAGTTTTGGTAGTTGGACTGGGAAGACTCAAACAATTGGCGCTCCTCAGCCACCTCTTCCTTTCTCTATAGGATCTCACCATGGGTCTCTTCCCATAGTGGCTGCAGGCTAGCTAAACTTCTTTCATGGTACCTATGGGCTCTCTGGGCAAATTTGCCAAAAGAAGTCAGCAGAAAGCACATGGCCTCTTGTAATCTAGTCATTTTAATTTGAAAGGGACACTTCTGCCTCATTCTGTTTCTCAGAGCAGTCACAAAGTTCTGCTCAGATTCAAAGGAAGGTGCCACAGACTCCACTTCTACCTGGAGGAAGTATTGGAGAATCTGAGAATATGCTTCAAAATCACCACTATTGGGCCAGGCGCGGTGGCTCACGCCTGTAACCCCAGCACTTTGGGAGGCCAAGGCGGGCAGATCACCTGAGGTCGGGAGTTTGAGACTAGCCTGACCAACATGGAGAAACCCCGTCTCTACTAAGAATACAAAATTAGCTGGGCGTGGTGGTGCATGCCTGTAATCCAAGCTACTCAGAAGGCTGAGGCAGGAGAATCACTTGAACCCGGGAGGCAGAGGGTGCAGTGAGCCAAGATCGCGGCATTGCACTCCAGCCTGGGCAACAAGAGTGAAACTCCACCTCAAAATAACAAACAAACAAACAAACAAAACATTATTACTCAAACACATTAGTAAATAGTGTTCAGTCTTGTCTTTCCCACTTCTAGGAAAAAGAGAGCTCACTGATGCCAGACTAAATGTAATAAAGCTATATTTCATTGTGTCATTTCTCTTCTTAATATCATTCAGTGGTCAGCATTCTCTGTAATCTTTGGGAGACAGTTCAAATTCTTTACAACGGAAATAGAGTACTTACAATCAGGCTGTTGTTTCTCTCTTGAGGCTCATATATAGCCATTTCCTATCATTGTACTCTATGGTTCAGGCATACTAAATTATTTTCCCTATATTGGTATTGTTTCAGACCACTGGATATTCAAAGCCTCCTTCCTGTGAAAACGTTTTCTCCCTTTTTTTTTCTGACTAGTTTCTATAAAACATTCAGGGTTTAGTTCAGGCATCATCTTCTCTAGGAAACCTTTTGATCTCCTTTGCCTGAGTTCTGTATTCCTTCTAGGCACTTGCAAAGTATTGTGTGCTTATCTTTGCCATAGCACTGATAATGATGCATTGTTCATTAGATAAGATGATGCTGGCTGGGTGTGGTGGCTCACACCTGTAATCCCAGCACTTTGGGAGGCTGAGGTGGGCAGATCACCTGAGGTCAGGAGTTCAAGACCAGTATAGCTAATATGCTGAAACCTTGTTTCTACTAAAAATACAAAAAGTTAGCCAGGCGTAGTGGCTCGCGCCTATAATCCCAGTTACTTGAGAGGCTGAGATAGGATAATTGCTTGAACTGGGAGGTGGAGGTTGCAGTGAGCCGAGATCGTGCCATTGAACTCCAGCTTGGGCAACAAGAGCAAAACTACGTCTCAAACAAACAAACAAACGAACAAAAAACATGATGCCCATTACATGTCCTTTTTTTTTTCGGGTGGGGGGTGCGGGGGGGGATATATGTATGGTTTCAGAAGTAACTACTCTTTTTACATTGACACCGCATGGTTCTAGTGGAACTCACCAATCATAAAATCTCATTGCCTTGGCCATAAGATTAATCAGAATTTTTCCTTAGAATTTCTTACATATGAACTAAAGGAAAGGAGCCCCTTCTTCTTTGATGACGAAGTTTAGATGATGTCTTAGTCCATTCCAGCTGCTATAACAAAATACCATAGACTGGGTGGCTTATAAACAACAGAGATTCATTTCTCACAGTTCAGGAGACTGGGAAGTCCGAGATCAAGGTGCCAGCTGATTAACTATCTGGTGAGGGCCTGCTTCCTCATAGACAGCTGCCTTCTCACTCCAACCTCACATAGCAGAAGGAAAGAAAGAGGGTTCTGTCTCAGGCCTCTTTTATAACGGCACTAATCCATTTATGAGGGTTCCATTCTCATGACTTAATCACCTACCAAAGGCCTCACCTCCTAATAACATCATCTTATGGGTTAGGATTTCAGTGTACAAATTTGGCGAGGAAACACACGTTCAGACCATAGTGGATGCTATGAGATCAGGGGCTGCTATCGTTTTGGTCTCAAGCAGTCACCAGATAAATGAGATAAAGATAACACTCAGAGAGGCAAGTTATATGATAGGGATAGAGAGACATAGAAATATATACAGAGTTTGGGGGAGTTCTAAGGGCATTCAGGTCCCTAGTTTCAGATAGCCCGTTCCAGTAGTGAGAGATAGTTTATTTTCTTATTTTCTGTATATTATGGTGTTTTTACATTAAAAAAAAAATTCTGGCTGGGGAGAGACTGTCTTTACCAGACCTAACCAGTTCTTAGAGATAGCAAGGGCTCAGCTGAGAACCTGCCTTTCATATGCAAACTCACCAATCTAGAGCCATACCTCCTATATCCAACCTGTATATTCCAGGGGGCAACATTTCTCTGCCTTAATCATAGGAGGACCAGTTACCAGGCAACCAGGGACAACCTTTGTGGTTTAGAGCCCATAGAAATATTTCAAACTAAATTCTTTACCCTTCCCTTTCCTGTTTTTCCTATGGCAACCCCAATGAAAGCTTTGACCTAAACCTTACCCTCGCTCCTGTCTTCTTTCCCCTGACCTCCCTGGTGTCTTTCCAATGTGTGGCCTGTATGACATGCTGTGACTGCTATCTCTGCAACTTGTGAGTAAACTTACTCACAAGTAAACACAATTACTTGTCAGAAAATGTTGTTTTCCTGAGTGTCTCCTCTGTCTCCTTTTGTGTCCTCCCTAACTGACTACCTTATGAAAGAGTGCAAAAACAGCGTATATTGTTTTTATCTCCTCAGGGCTTTGGATAGCTCATGACACAAAGACTCAAAATATGCAATATAGCATCATCAAAGGAGCAAAGGATAGACTTCCGATTTGAGACGGTGGAATGAAAAGGTATTTTTGGCTTTGCTGTCTCCTGAGGTGGCACTAAAACAACTGCGTGATGGGTTGAATTGTGTCGCCCAAAAAGATGTGGAAGTTTTAACTCCCATTATTAGTGAATTTGTCCTCGTTTGGAAACAAGGTCTTTGCAGATGGTTAAATTAAAATTAGGTCATTAGAGTGGATGATAGACAATAGGACTGGTGTTCTTATCAAAGCGGGGAAATTTGGACACAAAAACAGTCCTGAATAAAGGAAAGAGGATGTGAAGACACAGGAAGAATGTCATCCACAACACAAAGAACACCTGAGGATCTCAGAAGCTGGGAGACAGGCATGGAACAGATTCTTCCTCCCAGTCCTCAGAAGAACCTCACGCTGCTGACACTTTAATATCAGCCTTTCAGCCTCTGGAACAGTGAGACAATACATTTCTGTTGTTTGAAACATCTACTTTGTGGTACTATGTTACAGCAGCTCTAGGAAATAGATAGACTGTAAAAGAAAAAAGGAAGTAAAAAACTCACAAAATCAGGCCAGGTGCAGTGGCTCATGTCTGTAATCCTAGCACTCTGAGAGGCCAAGGCTGGCAGATCACCTGAGGTCAGAAGTTCAAGACCAGCCTGGCCAACATAGTGAAACCCCATCTCTACTAAAAATACAAAAATTACCCAGGCATGGTGGCGTGTGCTTGTAGTCCCAGCTACTCAGGAGGCTGAGGCAGGAGAATCGCTTGAACCCAAGAGGCAGAGGTTGCAGTGAGCTGAGATCACGCCACTGCCCTCCAACCTGGGTGACAGAGTGAGACTCCATCTCAAAACAAACAACCAACCTCACTACATGAGAGAAAAGGTGGAAAGAGGAATCAGTTTTAAACTCTAGAAAGAAGGCTAACAAATGAGAAATAACTTACAAAGTAGTCTTAAGGAATGAAATCTGAAGTGGGCAGTAAAGAAAGTCTAAAGTAGCCTATTCATTAGATGATTTAGAAAGGTACAGGCATTTTTACTACCAAGTTATCTCCTTACCCCTATATGGCCATGTAATTTCCTCTCTCCCATCCCCGTATAGTATTGAGATTTATTCTTTATAGAGAATAAACAAAGAGTCTATGAATTGGGAAAGCTAGAGGAAAAGGGCTCTGTAGAAGAAGCATACTGAAAACAGAAATATTAAGTGAGAACTTCCATACTAACTCCTAAATCCCCAACCTTCTTCCTTCTAGTCTGTTCCAGTTACTCAGCCCAGCCGACAACCTGCCCAGTAGAAGACCATGGTTGGATGCATGTAGAATTCTACAAGGTTGTTGCATGCATGTAGAATTTCTTTCTTTCTTTTCTTTCTTTTTTTTTTTTTTTTTTTTTTTTGAGACAGAGTATTATTGCTCTGTCGCCCAGGCTGGAGTGCAGTGGCGTGATCTCGGCTCACTGCAACCTCTGTCTCCCGGGTTCAAGCGATTCTTGTGCTCCAGCCTCCCGAGTAGCTGGGATTACAGGAACTCACCACCACCCCCAGCTAATTTTTGTATTTTTCGTGGAGACAGGGTTTCACCATGTTGGCCAGGCTGGTCTCCAACTCCTGACCTCAAGTGATCTGCCTGCCTCAGCCTCCCAAAGTGCTGGGATTACAGGTGTGAGCTACCGCACCGGGCTGTGCATGCAGAATTTCAAATGAGCTTTTGTAGCACTCACTTTTAAATATAAGAAGACAGCAAGTAGTCAAAAATCACTAGGGATTTGAAGAAAAGATCCAATATGACTCAGTAAGAGAAAAACAATTTGAAGAAAATAAAAGATTACTCAGGGAGATAGAAACACCAAAAAATTGTCATTAACATCCTCAGAAAAAGAAAAGGAAAGATTGCTTCTATGAAACAAAAACAGCTGCAGCCAAAGAACATTTAGAGAAAAAAAACCTTAAAAATTGAAAGTATGAGAAGAAAAAATTCAAGAGAAATATTAGAAATAAGTTAAAGGAAATGTCCTAGAAAGTAAAGCAGTAAGACCAGAGAGATAGGAAAAGGGGGCAGGGAATGTAAATTAGAAGTCCCACATTCAAATACGAGGAATCACAGAGAGGCAACAGGGGAGGGAGGTCAGATTTATTTAAAGAGATGAAATGTTAGAAATCCGTCATTCAAACAGTAGGAGTCTCAGAGAGATGATGGAAGAGAAAGAGATCAGCTTTTATTTAAAGATCTGTGCCTTTAATTTCTAAGGGAAATTATTCTCTTCCTAGAATTTTTTTTTTTTTTTTTGAGATGGAGTCTCGCTGTGTCGCCCAGGTTGGAGTGCAATGGCGCAATCTCAGCTCACTGCAAGCTCCGCCTCCCAGGTTCACGCCATTCTCCTGCCTCAGCCTCCTGAATAGTTGGGACTACAGGCACCCACCACCATGCCCAGCTAATTTTTTGTATTTTTAGTAGAGACGGCGTTTCACCGTGTTAGCCAGGATGGTCTCGATCTCCTGACCTCGTGACCCACCCGCCTCGGCCTCCCAAAGTGCTGGGATTACAGGCGTGAGCCACCGCACCCTGCCTTCTTCCTAGAATTTTATAATAAGCTATACTATTGTTTAAGTGTGGGGGTAGCTCAAGACATTCTTAGACATGGAAACTCTCTCAAAATTTACCTTTTTTTTTTTTTTTGAGACGTAGTCTCATTCTGTCACCCAGGCTGAAGTGCAGTGGCGCAATTTTGGCTCACGGCATCCTCTGCCTCCCAAGTTCAAGCAATTCTCCTGCATCAGCCTCCCGAGTAGCTGGGTTTACAGGCATGCGCCACCACACCTGGCTAATTTTTTTGTATTTTTAATAGAGACGGGGTTTCACCATGTTGGCCAGGCTGGTTTCGAACTCCTGACCTCAGATGATTCACCCGCCTCGGCCTCCCAAAGTGTTAGGATTACAGGTGTGAGCCACTGTGCCCAGCCCCCAAAATTTACTTTTAATGTTCTTGTTTTCAGTAAGCACCCCCACAATGAGAAAATAAACCAAGAAAGGAAAAGATGTGGGATTAAGGAAGCAAAATTTACCTTTTAGAAAGAGATGATGAAAGATGAAGATAATCTATAAGATAATCAAAGTGATTAATACGTATTAGTATATTAATATGCATGCTTTACATATGCTATCATATATGAATACATATATATCAACTCCCGTAGTCCTCATATAGTATAATGTAGGTGTACTCATTTTATCATCATTTTACAGTTGAGGAAATTGAAGCCAGAACGATTAGGTTACTACACCAAGATTGGACAGGGAGTAAAGAGCAGAGCCACAATTTTTACCCTTAAAGCCCAGTTTCAGGCTCTTAGCCATTAATGTTCCCTTTCTTGTTTCTAATTATACTGATCTAATCAAAATTATGATATCATCATATTTGGATGATAGAAGGGCATGAGAAATATTCAGATGCGTGATGCTAGCAAAGGCGGAGGTGGTGGTGGTAAAAAAAGAGCCTCATTTTCATCTTCTATAATGGCAAGTCAATAGATTGTGTTCCAAACCAAAAATAAAAATCAAGAATAGCAACATATGCATCGTATTTGAAGAACTGTAGGCCTAAAAATATCAGCTAAAAAGTAGGGAGTAGAAAATGTGTGTGTGGTGGGAAGGTGCTATTTTTCTTCACAAGCCTTGCAGGGCTATTTGAATTTTCAATCTGTAAAGATACATAGATTTAATTTTAAAAAAATAAAAATTAAAAAATAAGAGGATCCAGGCGCGGTGGCTCACGCCTGTAATCCCAGCACTTTGGGAGGCCGAGGCAGGAGGATTACCTGAGGTGGGAAGTTTGAGACCAGCCTGACCAACATGGAAAAACCTGTCTCTACTAAAAATACAAAATTAGCCAGGCATGGAGGCACATGCCTGTAATCCCCACCACTCGGGAGGCTGAGGCAGGAGAATCGCTTGAACCTGGGAGGTGGAGGTTGCGGTGAGCCGAGATCGTGCCACTGCACTCCAGCCTGGGCAACAAGAGTGAAACTCCATCTCAAAAAAAAAAGAGGAAAGTGTTTTTCAGTTTGATGTTTGAAGTCTGACAAAGTTGTTCTGCAAATGACATTACTTCCTGACAACTCACCATCCAAAGCTAAAAAATGGGAGTTTGGAGAATTAAGTGACATAATGCATTAGGTGCACAGTTGGCATTCAAATGGCTGTGATTACTAACCAATTATTTGACTCTTTTTTTTTTTTTTTTGAGACGTAGTTTCACTCTGTCCTCCAGGCTGGAGTGCAGTGGCACTATCTTGGCTTACTTCAATCTGCCTCCCAGGTTCAAATGATTCTCCTGCCTCAGCCTCTCAAGTAGCTGGGACTACAAGCACGCATCACCACACCCAGCTAATTTTTGTATTTTTAGTAGAGATGGGGTTTTACCGTGTTGGTCAGGCTGGTCTCCAACTCCTGACCTCAGGTGATCCGCCTGCCTCAGCCTCCCAAAGTGTTGGGATTACAGGCATGAGCCACTGTGCCCAGCCAAATTATTTGACCCTTAATGAACCTTCTTCTTCTTCTTTTTTTTTTTTTTTTTTTGAGATAGAGTTTTGCTCTTTTTGCCCAGGCTGGAGTGCAGTGGTGCAATCTCAGCTCATTGCAACTTCCACCTCCCGGATTCAAGTGCTTCTCCTGCCTCAGCCTCCCAAGTAGCTGAGATTACAGGCGAGTGCCACCACGCCTGGCTAATTTTGTATTTTTAGTAGAGACAGGGGTTTCACCATGTTGGCCAGGCTGGTCTTGAACTCCTGACCTCAAGTGATCTGCCTGCCTTGGCCTCCCAAAGTGCTAGGATTACAGATGTGAACCACCGTACCCGTCCTCTTAATTAACTTTTGTTCTCATTGAATTGGATTTGCATTTATCAACTTTGGTATTTACTGAGTTTGAAGTTACAACTCTTTGGGAGAGAGAGGATAGTATTCAACCTTACCACTTATGGTAATTAGTATTAATATTGGAGGGGAGAGCAGGTCCTAACTACAGTGTAAGAGAAGAGCACACAAGAGAGATACTGTATAGGCAAGTTTGATATACAAAGTGGGATTAAAGAAAAGTCTAGATACTTGTAGCACTGACATCATTTATCAAACAGGAATAGCAAGAACCAAAAGGCAACATAAACAATTTAAGGTTTGGTACTGGGAGGCTGAGAGAGAAGAGGCGTTAACTGAGTCTGCCTTATTTCATAACTTTTGTCCATAAGTAAGATTTTATCATAGAAATTAAAGAGACATTGCCTCTGCGGTAGCTCTGTAGCCATAATGGTCACCCTGTCTCCTGTATTTTACTTCTCTTATTCATCTTTTAGTGACAACCAAAGCATCTTAAAAGTTACATTATCCCCTTTTCCTCTTCAAGAACTTGCGATGGCTTTCATTGACTGCAGGATAAAGTCCAAACTGCTGAAGCTCACATTTAATGCCTTCCATAAAAAGAAGCCAACCAGGCCGGCCGCAGTGGCTCACGCCTGTAATCCCAGCACTTTGGGTGGCTGAGGCGGGTGGATCACAAGGTCGGGAGATCGAGACCATCCTGGCTAACACGGTGAAACCCTGTCTCTACTAAAAATACAAAAAATTAGCCAGGCATGGTGGCAGACGCCTGTAGTCCCAGCTACTCGGGAGGCTGAGGCAGGAGAATGGCGTGAACCTGGGAGATGGAGCTTGCAGTGAGCCAAGATTGGGCCACTGCACTCCAGCCTGGGTGACAGAGCAAGACTCTGTCTTAAGAAAAAAAAAAAGAAGTGAACCTGTCTTCCAGATTAATTCCTATCACATCACTCCTGGAATTGTTACCAGTCTCCATGATTCACATTCTCATTTTTTTCTATCTTTTTTTATAAACAGAAAATGCCATTACACCATGTAATTAATGTTTAAAATTCAATTATCCTTTAGATTTCAACACTGCTTACTTTTTTTTTTTGAGACGGGGTCTCACTCTGTTGCCCAGGCTGGAGTGCAGTAATGTGATCTTGGCTCATTGCAACCTCCGCCTCCCGGGTTCAAGCGATTCTCCTGCCTCAGCCTCCCGAGTAGCTGGGACTACAGGCGCATGCCACCAGGCCTGGCTAATTTTTGTATGTTTAGTAGAGATGGGGTTTCACCATCTTGGCCAAGATGGTCTCGATCTCCTGACCTCGTGATCCGCCCGCCTCGGCCTCCCAAAGTGCTGGGATTACAGGCGTGAGCCACCGGGCCCGGTCCTACACTGCTTACTTTCATAGTACCCTTCCCAGACTCCCAAAGTTGTGAGGCACCCTGGGGTGGGAAATAGCACAATTCTGGGTTAACCAAGGTGGAGATGCCAATGGAAGACACTGGCCACCACTACTCAGTGATAGCATGTCACATATTTTCCACAGTTGAACTCTCCATGTATCTTAGACAATCCATAAATCACTGAAATCATTTTCCCAGTTGGCTTGCTCAACGGCAGATGTCCCACACTGACTTCTTTGTTACCTTCCAGCCAAGCTACTTTACCCAAGGAAAAGAAAACAAAGCATACCTTCCCCAGACTTTGCCATTTTAATCTCCTGCCACTTAAATTTGTTAAACAATTCCTGTTTCTGCTTTATTTCCATACTCTCATATGCAAGTAAACGCTTAACAGATTAACTAATCAGTCCCTCTGATAAAGTTCTTATAGCCGGGCCGGGCACAGTGGCTCACGCCTGTAATCCCAGCACTTTGGGAGGCCGAGGCGGGCGGATTACCTGAGGTGGGAAGTTTGAGACCAGCCTGTCCAACATGGAGAAACCCCGTCTCTACTAAAAATACAAAATTAGCTGGGCATGGTGGTGCATGCCTGTAATCCCAACTACTAGGGAGGCTGAGGCAGGAGAATCGCTTGAACCTGGGAGGCAGAGGTTGTGGTGAGCTGAGATCGTGCCATTGCACTCCAGCCTGGGCAACGAGAGCGAAACTCTATCTCAAAAAATAAATAAATAAATAAATTAAATTAAAAAATTAAAAAATAAATAAAGATCTTATAGCCATACCTACAAGGCCAACTCAATTAGAACTGATGCTGCAGTTCCTGAGCTAGACCTGGAGGGAAAACGGGCTACTGCAAAGCACTCTATACTGTCGTATTTGCCTGTAAACCACCGACAACTAGGTCATCACAGCCACAGAATGTGTCAGACCCAGCCTCCCCACTGAAGGAGAGTTTGCCCTTGTGTAAATTTAGTAGAGGTTCATCTTTCAGTTTTCCCGCACAGATTAGGAGCTTTATGCTGTCAGGGTCACTTCCTACTGCTATGCATGTGTCAACATCTTCTTTCAGAAATTGACAACACACTGGACGCAGCCCTGACTCCAATAGTTTTGGTTTTAGCAAGAGTCGACAAAAAGAGTCAAACTCTGTAAAATACTTGAAAAGATTTATTCTGAGCCAAATATGAGTGACTATGGCCCATGACACAGCCCCCAGGAAGTCCTGAGGACATGTGCCCAAGGTGGTCGGGGTGCAGCTTGGTTTTATACATTTTAGGTAGGCATGAGATGTCAACCAAACACATTTAAGTAATATATTGGTTTGGTCCAGAAAGGTGGGACAACTCAAAGCCGGTGGGGTGTGGCGGGGGGGCTTCCAAATTTAAACATTTTCTGGTTGACAATTTGTTGAGTTTGTCTAAAGACCTGGGATCCATAGAAAGGAAATGTTCATGTTAAAATAAAAGATTGTAGAGACCAAGGTTCTTTTGAAGTCTTATAGTGGCTGTCCTTAGAGACAATAGATGACAATGATTTTCTATTCAGATATTTAAAAGGTGCTAGACTCTTAGTTAATCTCTTTAGGATTGGGAGGGCCTGGAAGAAAAGATCTAGCTATGTTAATAGAGATTATTATTATTATTATTATTATTGAGACAGTTTCGCTCTTTTTGCCCAAGCTGGAGTGCAATGGCACAATCTCGGTACACTGCAACCTCGGCCTCCCAGGTTCAAGCAATTCTCCTGCCTCAGCCTCCCACTATAAGCTGGGATTGATTACAGGTGCATGCCACCACTCTGGGCTAATTTTTATATTTTTAGTAGAGACAGGGGTTTCACCATGTTGGCCAGGCTGGTCTTGAACTCCTGACCTTAGTTGATCTGCCCGCCTCAGCCTCCCAAAGTGCTGGGATTACAAGCATGAGCCACTGCAGCTGGCTGAGATTCTTTACGGATGCAAATTTTCCCCCACAAAGGACAGCTTTGCAGGGCCATTTCAAAATGTGGCAAAGAAACATGTTTTGGGGTAAAATATTTTGACTTTCTTCTTTGTCACATGTTATGCCAGAGTCAGATGGGAAAGTAAGTCATGATATACAGGGTTAAATAAAATCCATCTGATGAGAATTTATGGTTAGTAGGGCATGACTCCCTAGACTCCTTAGATAGGAATTAGGGTAAGATTTAAAAATCAGAGCTTAGTCCTCACAAGCAAAAAATGATAGGAGGGCCGGGCACGGTGGCTCATGCCTGTCATCCCAGCACTTTGGAAGGCTGAGGTGGGTGGATTGCTTGAGGCCAGGAGTTTGAGACCAGCCTGGCCAACATGACAAAACCCATCTCTACTGAAAACACACACACACGCACACACACACACACAATTAGCAGGGCGTGGTGGTGCACGCCTGTAGTCCCAGCTACTCGGGAGGTTGAGGCAGGAGAATCGCTTGAACCCAGTAGGCGGAGGCTGCACTGAGAGGAGATCATGCCACTGCACTTCAGCCTGGGCGACAGAGCGAGACTCTGTCTCAAAATAAAAAAGGCGATAGAGGATGTGGTTTTCTGTCCAGTGTAATCACCCTTGACAGTAAGTTGAAAAGACCGCAGATTGGAGCTGCCCTGCTCGGAGGGTTTGTGCATATTTATGTTATTTGAGCTGAGAAAGAGGGGCCAGTGAATTTCCTCTGCTTAAAATTATAGGAGAGACCTAGAGAACAATTGTGTTAAAAATCATGTTTTTAACCACTGTTACTTTTTTTTTTTTTCAATTGAGCACAGCTTAGAATTCTGTTGGAAAAAAAAAAAAAGAACATCATTTTACCACCACCTCAATGTTCCTTTTCATGCTCATCATCATCATTTTTTTTTTTTTTTTGAGACAGAGTCTTGCTCTGCCACCCAGGCTGGAGTGCAGTGGTATGAGCTTGGCTCACATCAACCCCTATCTCCTGGGTTCAAGTGATTCTCCTGCCTCAGCCTCCCGAGTATCTGGGATTACAGGCGTGTGCCACAATGCCCAGCTAATTTTTGTATATTTAGTAAAGACAGGGTTTCACTATGTTGGCCAGGCTGGTCTCGAACTCCTGACCTCAGGTGATCCACCCGCCTCGGCATCCCAAAGTGCTGGGATAACAGGCGTGAGCCACTGCGCCCTGCAAGCTCCCCATTTTTAACTAGGATTTTATTTTTTATTTTATTATTTTATTATTATTATACTTTAAATTTTAGGGTACACATACACAACATTCAGGTTTGTTACATATGTATACATGTGCCATGTTGGTGTGCTGCACCCATTAACTCGTCATTTAGCATTAGGTATATCTCCTAATGCTATCTCTCCCCCCTCCCCCCACCCCACAACAGTCCCCAGCATGTGATGTTCCCCTTCCTGTGTCCATGTGTTCTCATTGTTCAATTCCCACCTATGAGTGAGAACATGCAGTGTTTGGTTTTTTGTCCTTGCGATAGTTTACTGAGAATGATGGTTTCCAGCTTTACAATATGCTCCTAGTCAGGATTAAGATCTGCCTTCCTCACATTTCAGCTAAGACCTCAAACTTTCATCAGGGTATGTTTCTTAAAAATTGATCACATAATGGAGCTTTCCTGCAAATAAAATGTTAAGTCACACCTCATTGTCTTCAAGTTCAGTTGCCGAATTGCCTGGTGCGAGGCTGAGCAGTGTGCCACTTCAACTTCATGCGCTGCTCTCCCTTTACGGTATACAAGTCATACTAAACTACTATATGCTAAAGGGAAGAAACTGGTAGAAAGTGAAAAATTAAAGGAGTGAGAGGGAAAAAGATCAAGAGGGTGAGGATGGGGAGAGATGATCTCATTCATGTCCATATATATGAATATACATTTTAACTTGATAGCTTCCAAACTTATATCCTCCTGTCTAAACCCCAGAGTCTCAGAGAGGCGTAACCAACAGTTTCCATGCAGTCTCCAGTGAATTATCTTAAAAACATTACAAAGCTAAATGACTAATGTAAAATTTCTTTTTCTTTTTCATGAATTGAGGCTTTCCTCATTCAATTCCAAGGAAAACTTTGACTTATTCCATTAGCAAGTTTGAGCTTTTTTTTTACTGTTTGGTGCAGTAGGACTTAGCTTAGATTAACTTGGTACATATTTCACCAGCGAATGCCTTATTCCTCACTTTTAGAAATCACTGTTTAAATTTTCTCCTGAATCTGGTCTTCCTCCAGTCTTCTCCATACTAATAAATAGCTGTACTTTCCATGCATCAGCTCAGGTAAATGATCTAGAAGTCATTCTTCACTTCCTTTCCTTTCCTTAATACATTTTCCTCTCCAATTCAGCTGCAAGTCCTGATGATCCTATCTCCAATATATCTCTCAAATTCCTACATTTATCTCTCTCTCTCCCTTTATTCCCACCACACCCATCCTATCCACAATCATCTCTTATCCACTATTCTTCAGTACCTCTGAAGACTTTCCCTGATCTTCTGATCTTTGACTTCTGACCTTCTGACTTTCCCACTCCACTCCATTCTCCTGTAGCATTGAGAGTCATTGTCTTAAAATTCAAATTGCATCAAGTGACTTATTTAAAATCCTTCCACAGGCCAGACGCAGTGGCTCATGCCTGTAATCCCAGCAGTTTGGGAGGTTGAGACAGATGAATCACCTGAGGTCAGGAGCTGGAGATCAGTCTGGCCAACATAGTAAAACCCCGTCTCTACTAAAAATACAAAAATTAGCTGGGTGTGGTGGCTCATGCCTGTAGCTCCAGCTACTTGGGAGGCTGAGGCAGGTGAACCACTTGAACCCAGGAGGCGGAGGTTGCATTGAGCCGAGATCGCGCCACTGCACTCCAGCCTGGGCAACAGGAGGGCAACTCTGCAAAAAAAAAAAAAAAAAAAAAATCCTTCCACCGCTTCTCAATACATGTAAAATATAGTCCAGACTTCTGGTCCGCAAGGTCTCTCTCCTTCCTCTTGAACTTTGTTTCCTGTAGCTGTCTCCCTCGCTCCCTGTAATCAGCTACTCTACTCTCTCTCTCTCTTTTTTTTTTCTTTTTGACAGAGTCTTGCTTTGTTGCCCAGGCTGGAGTGCAGTGGCACTATCTCAGCTCACTGCAACCTCTGCCTCCTGGGTTCAAGCAATTCTCCTGGCTCAGCCTCCAGAGTAGCTGGGACTATAGCCGTGTGCCACCACACCCCACTAATTTTTGTATTTTTAGTAGATATGGGGTTTCACCATATTGGCCAGGCTGGTCTTGAATGCCTGACCTCAAATAATCCACCCTCCTTGGCCTCCCAAAGTGCTGGGATTATAGGCGTGAGCCACCGCACCCAGCCTCTACTCTTTTTCTTTTTCTTTTTTTTTTCTTAAGTTTCCCAGATTTACCAAGGCTTTTCTTATCTTTGAAAATGCTTTTCTTTTACTTTGCTTCTCCCAAGTATCCTCTACCCTCTCCTATCTGTTGTCCCCTTTCAGTCTTTGTTTAGCTCTTTGTATTTATAAATCTGCTACTATTTTATCTTGGTTTTTCTTAATATTCCTAAAAATTTAACTCTGTGAAGATATAAACTCTGTGAAGACCCAGAGGCAGAGGCCCTGTTTGTTTTGCATGCTCTACACTATTCTTGGTACAAAATTTCTTTTCTTTCTTTCTTTTTTTTTTGTTTTTGGAGACAAAGTCTTGCTCTGTTGCCCAGGCTGGAGTGCAATGGTGCGATTTCGGCTCACTGCAACCTCCGCCTCCCTGGTTCAAGCGATTCTTCTGCCTCTGTCTCCTGAG
This sequence comes from Homo sapiens, assembly GCF_000001405.40. NCBI lineage: Eukaryota > Metazoa > Chordata > Mammalia > Primates > Hominidae > Homo > Homo sapiens. The sequence goes on along the minus strand of NC_000012.12, from coordinate 10,193,207 downwards.
TAGCTGGGATTACAGGCACGTGCCACCACGCCCAGCTAATTTTTGTATTTTTAGTAGAGACGGGGTTTCACCATGTTGGTCGGGCTGGTCTCGAACTCCTGACCTTGTGATCCGCCCTCTTCGGCCTCCCAAAGTGCTGGGATTGCAGGCATGAGCCGCCGTGCCCAGTTGGTACGTAATTTCTTAAATCATACTTGCTGAACACACATAAAACCTGTTAAATGATTGTAATGCAAGCACAACTCAAATTATTTATTTATGTATGTATTTATTTATTTATTTATTATTTTTTTTGAGATAGAGTTTTGCTCTTATTGCCCAGGCTAGAGTGCAGTGGCATGATCTCAGCTCACTGCAACCTCCACCTCCCAGGTTCAAGCGATTCTCCTGCCTCAGCCTCCCGAGTAGCTGGGACTACAGGCCCGCACCACCACGCCCGGCTAATTTTTGTATTTTTAGTAGAGACGGGGTTACACCATGTTGGCCAGGATGGTCTGGAATTCCTGACTTCAAGTGATCCACCCACCTCGGCCTCCCAAAGTGCTGGGATTACAGGCGTGAGCCACTGTGCCCAGCCGAGCCAGTGTTTAAAGAGTAGATGTGAAGAAAGTTAAAAAGGATTTTAAAAAATTGAGAACAATAATGATGGTGATGGAGGTGATTAACAGATGTATTAGATTCAGTATAGAAAGAATTGAGGCCAAAGGGGTACAAATAACTAGTGACCAAATGGGGGAGTTACGGGAGTGAGAGACTCCATGTGACTGAGGAGCAGCACATGTGAAGCAGATGAGGAAAAGGCACACTATGGGATGGACACAGGGGACAGGGTAGTAGCATGTCATGGTTGGAAGTGATTCTATATTTCAAATAAGGTGGTAGGGGCTAGGGAGTGGATGTGGGGAAGAGAGATTCCTTTAGGAATAGACATTATGTCTTATCCTTTAGGATAAGACATTATAGGCAAGATTTCCCCCAAGATATTCTAATGCCAATGAACATTTTACCTTTGCCAAGTCTGTGATGTCCTGGTGCCTTAATAGAAGAGCCTAGAATGTCTTTTGGAATGTGTCTTTGATGACTAAATGACTCATTTGGCAGCAGTAAAACAAGGTCCCTTCAGGCGCTATTAGCAATTCATGCATTTCAATAATTCCCAGAGCCAATTTGTTAAATGACTCAGGATAATTTCAGATCCCCAGCAGGTTATACTCAGAACATTTTTCCCTCCGGGCTGAGTGAGCATTCCAAGAATGTAGTTAACAAGGAGCTGCATAATCAGCCAATTCTTGGCTCTGTGTTGCCTCCTTGAGTTCTGGAGTTAATTAATTGCCTAATAAACAATTAGTTTTCTCAAATATTCCTTACCTCTACCCAGAACATATTACGAGGAATCACTTATATCTGTTGCTGTTTACCGCAATCAACAAGTATTTATTGATAAAAACAAAGCCATTTCAGGTGTGACAACAGTAACATAGTTGGCAAAAAGATAAATGGGAACATGGCTCTCAGATAAGTCATAGCAGGCAAGGGAAGGTTAGAAGACAGTAGGAAGAATAACATACATATGCATAACACTTTACAAATCATGCCACATATATTTAGCTTCTTTGATCTTCACAAAAACCTTCTGAGGTGTTATTATTTCCCATTTTTTAGGGAAAAAACGGCTTTAAAGATTTCAGGCCAGGAGCAGGGGGTCAGGCCTCTAATTCCAGCACTTTGGGAGGCCAAGGTGGGCGGATCACCTGACGTCAGGAGTTCTAGACCAGACTGGCCAACATGGTGAAACCCCCTCTCCACTAAAAATACAAAAATTAGCTGGGCACGGTGGCAGGCAGCTGTAATCCCAGCTAGTCGGGAAGCTGAGGCAGAAGAATTGCTTGAATCCGGGAGGTGGAGGTTACAGTGAGCTGAGACCATGCCATTGCATCCCAGCCTGGGCTACAAGAGCAAAACTCCATCTCAAAAAAAAAAAAAAGGATTTCAGTGACTTTTCTAAGGTGAGTAGTTTTTCCCTAAATGTGCGTCACTTCCTCGATTTTCCAATAATAATACTTTGGGAGGTGGTATGTTTTGTGGATAGATTAGCACTGTGCTGCGGCATGGTCCATGGGAAGCATCTCAACCAGGCTTAGTTCAGCATTTAGTTTTTGCTCCAAGAACTCGAGAGATGTGCAGATAGGCTCAAAGGAGAGAGTGTGTTTTCCACCATGGCTCCTCTAGGTGGCAGTGAGGGCCACCACTAGAGACTAGCGTGTGTCACTATAGAGGTGTTGTGGCTTTAAGTGGTCCAGGCAAAACAGGAAAGAAGTAAAGCAACACTATTCCTTTAGAGTTAAAACAGGGTGCAGGTATACATGCATGTGCGCACATATATGTGTTTGCAGTGCGGAGGAACTGAAGAATTAATCCAACTGTGACTGCACAGTATGGAGTTTTTCATACTGCTGAGGGGTAGGACCAGAGAGAAAGAAAGACTGATATTTGGCACTTAAATACTATACTGTGTTCTCTTTGCCCATATCAGCAATGCCATCCCTAGCTTTTAGATATCCGAGTGGGTATGTTGTGCTGTCTAAGATGATCATTGTCATTCGGTGTAAAATCGATTGCTGTCTCAGGAGGAAAGATGCATGCATTCAGTGCATTAATGTCGATGGCTGTGCTGACACTGTTGTCTTTCTTTTCCAGTTAACCGCAGTGGATTCGCTGACAGAGAGAGACACAACTTGCAGTATCATGTGGGTACAGGAATTCTATATGCACTCAATAGTTAAAGGAATTCAAGACACCTTGATGCTTTCCTGGTTTAGTAGTAATCAGTGTGGCTAGAGATTACTTGCAGATTTTGGCCATTGGATACAAAATTAGAGTTCCCAATTAGAGCATTCTGTATCGGAAGATATAAAGGCCTGTGAACGAAGAGTAAGAACCATCTTTCCCATAGAATGATGGTGTTAGATGCCATCTTAAAACTTCTGAGGGTTAGAAAAGTATGTGTTCCATTTTCCCACAGACTCTGGACATCACTCCACTCCTATTTATAAAATGACAGCTCTCATCAGTTCCAAGAGTCAACTATTCGAGTCGACTCCTTCTCTGTTGGAGGCAGCTGCTTTTCTTCAGGTACTGGGGGTAGATCAGGTGCTTTCTGCCCGCACATGGCTACTGTGAAGCGACTCATGTGAAGAGCTTCTTCATACCCTGGGAGGGTGTCCAAAGAGGAGGGCAGCTGGCCCAGGGAGCTGTGGGAGTGAGCCACAGCCAGGATCCTCCGAGCTGCAGGGCCAAACACCGACTGCAGAGCTGTGAAGAAAGAAGGAACAGAGCTAAGAAACTAAGGGAAACAGGACACCCTCAGACAGCAGAGACTTACTTCACACTTAACTGTCGCTTCATTTTTTACAAGTATCCAAACTCATTGTCACTCCTTGCCCCAAATTTTATGAATATCCTTTGAAGCATGTTTACAACCCAGCTTCCTGCTCTGCTAGAAGGACCTGTTTTCTCTGGTAACCTCAAATAATCTAAAGAATGTTTCTGTATCTCTCTCTCTCTCTTTTTTTTTTTTTTTTTTTGAGACGGAGTTTTGCTCTTGTTGCCCAGGCTGGAGTGCAATGGTGGATCTTGGCTCATTGCAACCTCCGCCTCCTGGATTCAAGTGATTCTCCTGCCTCAGCCTCCCAAGTAGCTGGGATTACAGGCGCCCGCCACCATGCCCAGGTAATTTTTGTATTTTTAGTAGAGACAGGGTTTCACTATGTTGGCCAGGCTGGTCTTGAACTCCTGACCTCAGGTGATCCACCCGCCTTGGCCTCCCAAAGTGCTGGGATTACAGGAGTGAACCACCACACCCAGCCAAGAATGTTTCTGCATCCTGCAACTCAACCCTGCCCTTTCCCCTTTCAGACTTAGATCCCTTTCCCCCAGCCCCCGATACTATAGACTCCTTAGGATTATTTATTTTTACCTCATCTCTTTTCTTTTTTTTTTTTTTTTTAGACAGTGTCTCACTCTGTCACCCAGGTTGGAGTGCAGTGGCACAATCTCGGGTCGCTGCAACCTCCACCTCCCAGGTTCAAACAATTCTCTCCTGCCTCGTCCTCCCGAGTAGCTGGGATTACAGGCATGTGCCAACGTGCCTGGCTAATTTTTTTTTTTTTTTTTTTTTTTTTTTTTTTTTTTGAGACGGAGTCTCGCTCTGTCGCCCAGGCTGGAGTGCAGTGGCGCGATCTCGGCTCACTGCAAGCTCCGCCTCCCGGGTTCTCGCCATTCTCCTGCCTCAGCCTCCTGAGTAGCTGGGACTACAGGCGCCCGCCACCACGCCGAGCTAATTTTTGTATTTTCAGTAGAGATGGGGTTTCACTGCGTTAGCCAGGATGGTCTCGATCTCCTGACCTTGTGATCCACCCGCTTCGGCCTCCCAAAGTGCTGGGATTACAGGTGTGAGCCACCGTGCCTGGCCAACAAAAGTGCCTGGCTAATTTTTGTATTTTTAGTAGAGGTGGGGTTTCACCATGTTGGCCAGTCTGGTCTCAATCTCCTGACCTCAAATAATCCACCTGCCTCGGCCTCCCAAAGTTCTGGGATTACAAGCATGAGCCACCATGCCCAGTTATCTTTTTTCTTTTTCTTTTTCTTTTTCTTTTTCTTTTTCTTCTTTTCCTTCCTTCCTTCCTTCCTTCCTTCCTTCCTTCCTTCCTTCCTTCCCTCTCTCTCTTTCTTTCTTTCCTTTTTTATTTTTTGATGGTGTCTCACTCTGTAGCCCAAGCTGGAGTGAAGTGGCGCCATCTCGGCTCACTGAAACCTCCGCCTCCTGGGCTCAAATGATTCTCGTGCCTCAGCCTCCCGAGTAGCTGGGACTACAAGCCCGTGCCACCACGCCCAGCTAAATTTTGTACGTTAATAGGGACGGGGTTTCACCATGTTGCCCAGGGTGGTCTCAAACTCCTGAGCTCAGATGATCTGCCCGCCTTGGACTGAGCCACCGTGCCCAGCCTTGGTTATCCTTTTTTCCTAAGATGACAGTGAGAAAGGGGAGGTAGGAAAGGTGAACAGCAACACATCATATCATTCTATTTTGTTGTTGTTGTTGTTTTGAGACAGGGTCTTTCTCTGTCGCTCACCCAGGCTGGAGTGCAGTGGCACGATCTCGGCTCACTTCAACCTTTGCCTCCCGGGTTCAAGCGAGTGTCACGCCTCAGCTTCCCAAGTAGCTGGGATTGCAGGTGTGTGCCACCATGCCTGGCTAGTTTTTGTATTTTTAGTAGAGACGAGGTTTCACCATGTTGACCAGCTTGGTCTCGAACTCCTGACTTCAAGTAAGCCACCTGCCTCAGCCTCCCAAAGTTCTGGGATTACAGGCATGAGCCACTGCGCCCAGCCATCACTCTCTTTTCAAAATAAATATCCACATTTTGCCAGCTGGTGTTCTGACTGGTACTTGCTCCTCAATTTTAGGAAAGAGCATAGTCCAGGCACAGTGGCTTATGCTTGTAATCTCAGCATTTTGGGAGACAGAGGCAGGTGAATCATGAGGTCAGGAGTTTGAGACCAGCCTGGCCAACATGGTAAATTGTCTCTACCAATAATAAAAATAAACAAATAAATAAATAAAAATTTAAAAAAATATAGCCTGGTGTGGTGGTGGCTGCTTGTAATCCCAGCTACTCAGGAGGCTGAGGCATGAGAATCTCTTCAACCCAGGAGGCGGAGGTTGCAGTGAGCTGAGATTCCCACCACTGCACTCCAGCCTGGGCAACAGAGGGAGACTCCGTGTCAAAAAAAGAAAGTAACCATTTTGGCCAGGCATGGTGGCTCACGCCTGTAATCCCAGCCCTTTGTGAGGCGGAGGCAGGTGGATCACAAGGTCAGGAGTTTGAGACCAGCCTGGCCAAGATGGTGAAACCTCGTGTCTACTAAAAATACAAAAATTAGCCAGGCATGGTGCAGGTGCCTGTAATCTCAGCTACTCTGGAGTCTAAGGGAGAGAACTACTTGAACCCGGAAGGCGGAGGTTGCAGTGAGCCTGAGATTGCACCACTGCACTCCAGTCTGGGCGACAGAACAAGACTCCATCTCAAAAAAAAAAAAAAAAAAAAACCGTCATGGAAAGAATAGAACCACAGAAGAAAAGGGAAAGTGTCTTATAATCATTGAGAAAATGTTAAGGCTAAAATTTAGTGTATCAAGCCTTGAAGAATAAAGAACTGAAAGTACATGTCATTAATTTCTTTAAAAATATAAAATAGTATAGATAATAGAAAAAGTAGATTTCACAAAATCCAAGACGTTTTGAAAAAGGCATCCGTTTGGAGTTCAAAATAGTTTTTAGCAAAGTAACTATTTATAAACTGGCTAATTCTTCCTATTCAATATTTCCAATAGCCTCCAATATTTCACTTCTTTCTTTATCATGAGCCAGACAGACCCTTGAGAACACAGCTTCAGTGACAGCCCAGGTCACTGCACCATCAGGCTTCTGGGAATGGAAATTATTGTGAGTCCTGGAATCTTTAATATTACTCGATCAGTGGTTCTACACCTTTGCACCCTTTTCATTATTCCCTTAAATTGGGTCCTCCTCCCAGGTTAAAAGTTCAGTGTACTCACATGTGATAGTGCTCTGGAGAGTGCTGTCGTGATCGAAAGCAATGACGGTCACTTCACAGGGTGGTGGGCCCCCATCTTCCCCATTTTGCTGGCGGCTCAGACAGCAGCAGCGGAAGCACAGGGACGTCAGGCCACACAGGAGAAGCAGCGCGCCAATTACCACTAGCAACCTGCAAAAGCCCACGGGGCGAGTGGGAGCTCTGGGATCTGGCTTTTTTCCCAGCTCTGCTGTAACCAGTCTTTAATGTCTGTGTTTTGATTCTTGTCTAAACATTTTATAGAATAATTATAAATATTTTAATTTATAATTTTAATTTCAAGGCTTTTGCTTTATAGATACACCTCCTTATTTTGTCAGCTGCAGTAAGTCAATTCATTAGAACAAATAGTAAGACATTTAAGGTAGTTTGGGGGGCTGCTTCTTTTTTCTTTTCTGAGACAGAGTCTTGCTCTGTTGCCCAGGCTGGAGTGAAGTGGCACGATCTCAGCCTCCTGAGTAGCCAGTACTATAGGCACATGCCACCACACTCGACTAATTTTTTTTTTTTTAGACAGAGTTTTGCTCTTGTTGCCCAGGCTGAAGTGCAGTGGCACAATTTCAGCTCACCGCAACCTCTGCCTCCTGGGTTCAATCGATTCTCCTGCCTCAACCACCTGAGTAGCTGGGATTACAGGCATGTGCCACCACGCCCAGCTAATTTTGTATTTTTAGTAGAGACGGAGTTTCTCCAGGTTGGTCAGGCTGGTCTTGAACTCCTGACCTCAGATAATCCACTGTCTCGGCCTCCCAAAGTGCTAGGATTACAGGTGTGAGCCACCGCGCCCAACTTTTTTTGTATTTTTAATAGAGATGGGGGTTTCTTTATTTTGCTCAGGCTGGTCTCGAACTCCTGGCCTCAAAGTGATCTGCCTGCCTCAGCCTCCCAAAGTGTTGGGATTACAGGTGTGAGCCACCACGCCCGGCCAGGCTCTGCTTTTTAATTCACTAAAGTAATCTTCGTTGAGATATTTCTAGAACAGACTCCGAGGGAAGGACACAGTAATGGTTTGATGTTTGCGGAGGAGATGGTATTGAAAAAGGAAATCCTGACATATTGTCACATAGGTAGTGATGAAGTAATGAAATCTTACTCCATGAGATGCTAAGTAAGTAGGCAGGTTGTCATTTTTAATGGCCTTGAGGAATACAGTGTCTTTCTGGGTATTATAAGTGAAACTTACCATATATACCAGAGATGTACCCAGTCTGTGGTCAGGCAACTATAAAGAAAGAATAAAGTTTTCTACATTAAAAATATAGTCAATCCCTGTTATAACTCCAGACTCAGAAATATGAGTTACAATATGATGTGATACCTTGTTATAAATAAAGCACCATGGGTTATGTTTTTAAAATTCACTGTAGCTAGTTGAATCTTTTGCCAAATGATATGCTTTAAATAGTACTTTATACTATAGATGGCATTGTCTGAGTCATTTTGTAAATCATTATAAAACAAACTAGTGATCATTAGAAGTGTCCATAGAAAACATGTCTGTGCCTATTGCAAACATTTATGATAAAAATGACCAAGAAAGGGCCAGGTGCGGTGCCTCATGCCTGTAATCCCAGCACTTTGGGAGGCTAAGGCTGGCAGATCACGAGGTCAGGAGTTGGAGACCAGCCTGGCCAACATAGTGAAACCCCATCTCTACTAAAAATACAAAAATTAGCCGGCCGTGGTGACGCCATCTCAAAAAGAAAAAAAAAATACTAAGAAAGAACTTGGAATGCAAGTTTACAAAGAGTAACTTTGAAAATGGATGTGAAACTTAAGGCTTGTGTATATTTGAGGTCAATAAAATGTAAACATAAAGAAAATTTCAGTTATGAGTATGAAAGTCATACAATCACATTTGTAATTTATCTTTTGCAAGCTGTTGCAACACTCCCACTGAGAATGTAGGAAAAAAAAAACTTAGTTTCTTCCTGCTATACTCTCCCAACCCTCTGACACCAGATGTGGGTGGGTGAGGATTTCCGCACACACCAGGCAAGCAATCTTCCAGCAACAGACAACAGCTGAGCGTCCTCTAATTCAATTCAATGCCAACACCACCTGCTTGGAGATAGGATCCGATCCCATAGGGTGAGGACTCAGTCCCCTAGACGGCTCCCCAGAATTCTGATGCCAATCACAATTTGTTTTGCCTGTGCTTCTGACCTACTGGTTATAAATTGGGGGTTCCCTGACTCCCTCTTGAGGTTGCGTTAATTTGTTAGAGCAGCTCACAGAACTCCGGGAAACACTTACTTACATCTACAGTTTATTACAAAGAATATTACCGAGGATGCGGATGAAGAGATGCGTAGAGCAAAGCATGTGGGAAGGGGCACGGAGCTTGCAGGTCTTCCGAGTGCACCACCCTTCAGAAACCACTGCCTGTTCAGCTTTACAGAAACTCTTCAAATCCATCCTTTGGGATTTTCATGAAAGCCTCATTATGTAGGCGTGATTGATTAAATCATTGGCCATTGATGATCAACTTAAACTTCAGCCCCTCTACTTTCCTTGGATGTTGAGGGGTGAGGCTTTAAGCATTCTGCATTGGTCCTTCCAATGACCAGCCCCATCCTAAATCTACCTAGGGGCTGCCAGCCACCAATCAACTCATTAGCATGCAAAATGATGCTACTTACTTTGGGGATTTTAGAAGTTGTATGCTAGGAGATAGGGACAAAACCAAATATATATTCTCACAATATCACACCCACCGTAAAGAGTACCCTAATTTTTCACATCCAGGATCAAAACTAATTTGCATATCCACTGAGACCAAACAGGAAGAGGGAAAAAAGTAGAAGCCAACTTTACCATGATGAAAGCTAAATAATGTTCTGAGTTCACTATGGCAATTGTAAATTTTCTCTGTAAGAATGAAAAAAAAATAGGGATTGTATGGGAGAAGGAGAAGATAAGTTCAGGAATTGGAGAATGAGGGGAGGCAAAATATTTGTGTATCTTTGAAGAGTAGTAAATTTTGTTATTTAATAATTCTTTCTGATACAGGAATCTACTGAAATCTAGTGAATCTATTTTTATTCTCTGGTCACACATTTATAGAAAATATAGTTTTGTTTTGTTTTTCACTGAACAATGACTCCTCTTGGTTTTCCCACATTTCTTACTTGTTGAAAACTCTTCTAGTTCTAATTAGACTCTGGTTTATAGGAAAGGACTCTTCCTATGGTGGAAGATGTGTAAAACCTCAGAAAGCAGGTGTCAAGTAGTCAACACCCAATTTGCATGTGACAGGTAATCAAGGCTATCACCCTTTCCCTGGGTTTAACAGACCTGGCTATTGGGAAACCCTTCCCATGGCTAAATATGTATTTTTCTTCATCCTAAACACGTTTTTATTCAAAGTGCCACTACTTTTTAAAATTTGTATTTTACAGTTCCTTTAAGTGGAATGATTCTTTTGCATTTTTATCTTCATGTCCTCTGTGTCTACATAAGACTTAAGTGTGACAGGTTTGGATTAGTTGATAACTACATCAAAGTGATAGCTAAATGAAGTCTGCCCAATAAATGTTAACATGCCCTAAAAACTAGAAAATACTTTCCCAATTTAAAGTAATAATGTTACTTTGGAAATCACCCAAATATATATGCCAGTGACTAGATACTAAACCGTCTGTCCTGGTGAGTCACTGAGGAGCAGGGCTAAGGAAGTCTTTTGCAAGTCTCTATGACTGTATAAGTTGAGATTAATCGTGCTGCTTTGATGGGAAGATTGGCTTTGGGTAAAAACATGCTGTCAGCAGTGTTATTTTGAGTGCTTAAGATGACAAAAACACGTCTTTATTTTGTGATAAGTCATCTATGAGATCTATTACTTAAGTAAAAATAAATAAAAAGAAGTCATAGATGTCTAATGACATCTTGACTCTCTTTTGGGGTAGTGATGTTTTGGTCTGTTGCTCCTTCCTCCCAGCTTGAACTCTATACTTACTGTTCAGGATTACCACAGTTTTCCTCACATCTCGTCCCAGAAAGCTGTAGAAAGAGAAATTGTCTTATACAGGGAAATTGTTTTGGCCACTGTGTTCAGCTGCTTACCAATCATCTCTCATGGTTGTGCTGTGTTAGATCAAGCAGTAAGAAGGTCACGGTCATAGGGGCAGTCTATTTAGGACTGCCATTTTCATCTCTCCCATACTTGCTGGCTTTTGTACTTGAGGTAAGGGAACCTTGAAGAACAAATATCTCATCTGTTGTGTTGATGGTGGGTGAGCATCACCCTTTGTGAATGAGAGGTAGCCATTTACATTAATTTGTTTGTAGTAGAAAATTCCTGATCTCTCTGTCCCTTGGGATATTGCCATTGTCCTCCTAATTCCTGCCCAGTTGAATTCTACACCACTGCTCTTTTTTTATCCTGTTAGTGTGACAATGACTATACAAAGGAAGAAGGGGAAAAGCGAGGGGGCCAGTGGGACAGAGAGTCTTATTTATCGAATAGCTACTAGATGCCACTCAGACTGCTAACAAGTTTTTTTTTTTTGTTTTTTTTTTTTTTTTTTTTGAGTCTTGCTCTGTCACCCAGGCTGGAGTGCAGTGGCGTGATCTTGGCTCACTGCAACCTCTACCTCCCGGGTTCAAGCAATTCTCCTGCCTCAGCCTCCCGAGTAGCTGGGACTACAGGCACGTGCCACCACGCCTGGTTAATTTTTGTATTTTTAGTAGACACAGGGTTTCACCATGTTGGCCAGGCTAGTCTCGAACACCTGACCTCAAGTGACCCACCCACCTCCGCCTCCCAAAGTGCTGTTGGGATTACAGGTGTGAGCCACCGCGCCCGGCCATGAACTCTTAATATTTCATAACATTTAATCACAATAACCCTCTTGGTGGGTATATTTAACCTTATCTTGAAAGGTTAAGGGACTAAGGCACAGGGTTTTAAGTAATGTGACCAGGCCAGGCGTGGTGGCTCACGCCTGTAATCCCAGCACTTTGGGAGGCCAAGGTGGGCAGATCATGAGGTCAGGAGTTCGAGACCAGCCTGGCCAACATGGTGAAATCCCGTCTCTACGAAAAATACAAAAATTAGCCCGGCGTGGTGATGTGCGCCTGTAATCCCAGCTACTCTGGAGGTTGAGGCAGGAGAATTGCTTAAACCCGGGCAGTGGAGGTTGCAGTGAGCCGAGATCATGCCACTGCACTCCAGCCTAGGCGAGCAAGACTCCATCTTGGAAAAAAAAAAAAGTGACCAAATGTACACACCTATTGATGCAGACAGAATTCAAATCAAACTCTATCATAGATATGTGTTGGATGAATTAATAGCACTGGGGACAAGTTTGCTCTAACAATTCCTTGACATTGCTATGAAGTCCCTTCTACTCCCTTTACAGAAAACAAAAAAACAAACAAAACTGTCCACTCTTTCTTCTACCTGATTTTTTAGTTGACTTCCTCTTTCAAAAACCCATTCAAGGCTGGGTGCAGTGGCTCACACCTGCAATCCCACCACTTTGGGAGGCCGAGGTGGGTGGATCACTTGAGGTCAGGAGTTCGAGATCAGCCTGACCAACATGGTGAAACCCCATCTCTACTAAAAAAATACAAAATTAGCCAGGCGTGGTGGTGCATGCCTGCAATCCCTGCTACTTGGGAGGCTGAGGCAAGAGAATCGCTTGAACCCAGGAGGCGGAGGTTGCAGTCAGCCAAGATCGTGCCACTGCACTCCAGCCTGGGTAACAAGGGCAAAACTCCGTTTAAAAACAACAACAACAACAACAACAAACCATTTAAGTAAACTCAATTCTAGAAGTTGCTTCTGTCTTCTAATAACCTGAGTGATCTGATATTTCAGGAAAGCAACCACAAAGGCCCTAGAAAAGAAACAGATTTGTAACTATTGGGAGTTTATGGCGGGTAGTGAAGGGGTAAGGAGACACACATTCTCAAGACCTATCAGTTGGAAAGGATCTGTAAAAGGATTAATGGCCAGCCTTTGCAGGTAACATTTGAGAAACCCGTGTTTGTGTTTTCATTGGAAAGAAATGGCCACTAACGATGAAAAAGCGTGTGTTTCCTCTACGCAACCATGGTACTTTCTTTCACTTTCTTCACTAAAGGTAAGAGAAGCCTAAAGTGCTCAGCAGAGAAAATGCTACTTTTCAGGCTTGTTGCAAAGAGAAAAGAAAGGAAAAATGAAGGGAAGACAAGGCAAAGGGAGTGAAGAGGAAGCAAAAAGAAAATATAAGAAAAAATGGATTTTCAGATACCACTTTAACTGTTCTATTAGCAAAAAAAAAAAAAAAACAAACCATACAGCCCACTCTGTACGGGGGCCATACGGGAATCTGAGACTATCCAGTTTTCTTCATTTGCTCTCCTTCTTGCTAGATGGCATAGCTCTATAAACTTCCCTGTGACAATTGTTTAGAATCCCTCAGTCCAGTGACCCTTTTCTCCACTAATGGATTACTCAGAGACTTCTGATTCATTGTGGGGCCCAAAATATTTTAAAAGAGCCCTGCCTCTCTTATTTCTAGACTAGAGGCACCTAAACTGCTAGAACAGGATTAGAAATTCCTGGATGGGAAATTCCGTTTAGGGGAATTACACACCTAGTTTTCATAATTTGTTTGGAATTTTGAGGGATGGGTGATAAGATGCTAAAAGAGATAAAATACTTCAGCGGCACTTCTAAAGTGCCACGGCAATCCTGCTCGTTTCCATGCTCACTCTAATTTCTGTCCCCCTTTTCATTGTCATTGCCATCAGTCACACATGCATCTATGCAATCTCGTAATACTAAGGAAACTTTGTAGTTTATTCATTTCCCTATGACCCCCTGGGTTCTGTATATGTCTCCCCACCCCGCAGTTCATTTCCTTTCAGACTCTTCTGAGAGTTGATTAATCTGGGGAAAAATACTCTTTCTGCCTTTTCACCACTGAACTCACCAGGATGAAATACAGCAGGGCTGAGGCCGCCACGACATGAACTCGGACTCCCATCGGGCTGAATTCCTGCTTCTTCAGAATCTTGCACTGGGCATCCGTTGCCTCCTTTCAATGCTCTGTGCCATATTTTACTTCTTGACCTAGAATTCTTAAGAAGAGAAACTTTTCTCAGGAATTTATCAGCTTTTCTCTCTCTCGTTCTCTCTGTCTCCTCCTACTCGCTCTGGCTGTTATTTTCTATGGCTTTTCCCTCTTCTTTCCTGTTTTTCTTCTTTATTCTTATTACTATTTCTATGGCCTCCACATTTACTTCCTTTTGCCTTCTTTCTTTCCGTTACACTATTAATTCTTTCTACATCTTGAAGTTTCTTTCTCCTACTGCTCCCAAAAAGGAGACATTCAAAGAGGACATATGTGTCCTCTGAATGAAGTATTTTTCTAGACAGCGATGAAAAACTTGGCTTTGAGGATGGTCAAAGGCAGATTGCTGGTGACCAAATATATTCCTTTCTTCATCAGAAAACTGGTAATATTCTTGATCCTTCACCAGAGTACTCCAGCGTGACTGTTGCAGGGTGAAAGTCACCCTGCTAATCTCCTTTCTTCTCTCTCCGTGTGACTAACAACCCCTTCTTGCTCTTTGAAACCCTCCCCTTCACTATGTTGATAATCAACTCTCCTGGTTCTGGGTCATTTATATCCCTAAGCATTGGGGTAAGACTGAGAGGTTGCCAAGTGAACAGGAAAGCCATCTCATCTTTGGAGAAAACAGACTTGAAGATGAGAAATCAAGTCGGAAGATTAGAATTTTCAGGTGTTATCAGTGACATCTTCCTCCTCCCTGACTTCACTTCCCATTGAAATAGATAACTGAGAAAGACATTTTTTTAAAACCAAATTTTAAAAAAGCAAATGTATAGGTTTCTTTCTTTCTTGCCTTTTCTTTGTTCCTTCTTTCTCTCTCTTTCTCTCTCTCTCTCTCTCTTTGGTTAAGGAGTGATGTGATTGAGAAATAAGTCTTGTCACTCAGGAAAATAAAACCTAAGGTTAGAGTAAAAACAAGCACACATGCAAAAGCATAGAATACTTTTTTTTTTTTTTTTTTTGAGACGGAGTCTTGCTCTGTCACCCAGGCTGGAGTGCAGTGGCGCAATCTCGGCTCACTGCAAACTCTGCCTCCTGGGTTCATGCCATTCTCCTGCCTCAGCCTCCCGAGTAGCTGGGAATACTGGCGCCCACCACCACGCCCGGCTAAGTTTTTTTGTATTTTTAGTAGAGACGAGACGGGGTTTCACCATGTTAACCAGAATGGTCTCGATCTCCTGACCTCATGATCCGCCCGACTCGGCCTCCCAAAGTGCTGGGATTACAGGCGTGAGCCACCGTGCCTGGCCTAGAATACTTACAATGAAACAAAGCTATAGACACAAATGTGGCCGGGTGCCATGGCTCATGCCTGTAATCCCAGCACTTTGGGAGGCCAAGGCGGGCTGATAACTTCGGCCAGGAGTTTGAGACCAGCCTGGAGAACATGATGAAACCCTTTCTCTACGAAACATACAAAAATTAGCTGTGTGTCATGGCAGGCACCTGTAATCCCAACTACTTGGGAGGCTGAAGCAGGAGGGCCACTTGAACCCGGAAGGCAGAAGTTGCAGTGAGCCGAGATCACACCACTGCACTCCAGCCTGGGTGATAGAGCGAGAATCTGCCTCAAAAAAGCAAAATATTAAAAGAAACAAAAGAATGCTGTATGAATGATTTATACTTAAGTAGGTGATCTTTTACTTAATACCAAATGTTTAATAAAAAAATTATTATTATTATTATTATTATTATTATTATTATTATTATTATTATTTGAGACAGAGTCTCTCTGTCACCAGGCTGGAGGGCAGTGGTGCAATCTCGGCTCACTGCAACCTCTGCCTCCTGGGTTCAAGCAATTCTCCTGCCTCAGCCTCCTGAGTAGCTGGGATTATAGACACCTGCCACGACACCCAGCTAACTTTTCTATTTTCAGTAGAGACAAGGTTTTACCATATTGGCCAGGCTGGGATAAGAAAAGTAGAAGTTAGTTTACAGTGATATATCTATCTCATAAGAATTGAATAAAACCTCCTTTCAGGACCTTTCTAGCTCAGTAAATCTAATTATGCTGAGTGATTGTGGAAGGGAGACTCTTGGGTGAGCTGATCATACTCTAAGGGTCCTCACACATAGCTTGATGATGGGATATGAGAATGCAGGATATAAACTGGTTTTGTTCTCAGCTAAGGAAAACAAATAATGAGAAAATGGCCTGGTACCATACTGGTGATTTAAAATCTGTCAGTTTCAAGACGAAATGAGCACTGACAGTCTTTTATTTTTTATTTTTTTAAATTAGGCAACTGGGGTTAGGATGAAGGGTGATTTCCAGATTTCAGTAGAAGACTTGGCAAGGTGGAAGGTATTTTATAGGACAAGGAGAGCAGGGCTTTAGGTGGCCTTCCACTAAATTATTATGTAATTCCTCCAGTCCTTAACGTTCCCATTCATACAACAGGAGCAGAATACCCACTTGACCTGCTTTAGATGTTATTTCCTAGAGAAAATAAAATAAGAGACAGGAAAGCATTTTGAATAGGATATTTCTATCATGAGTGCCCTGTACGTAGGGAACCCATCATGAAACTTTCCCTTCTCTTTTTCTTGACAGAAAGACAGTAGAGCACCAAGACCTAAAGCCTAGCCAGGATACCTGGGTTTAAATACTTGGTTTTGTCACTTATGAGCTGTGTGATCTTGGAGCAGGTTATTAGACCTCTATTGGCTCATTTTCATTTTATATAAAATGGGGGTAATAGTAGTAATATTTACTTGATAGCCTTATACAGATTAAATAAGTTAATGTGTGTAAAATGAATATAACAGTCCTGATATTTTTTGTGTTTGCTAAGATTATTTTGATTTTCACTAAAGTTTACCAGTGACCTTTACTTTCAAGATTCTGGATAATTACTGTCCTTTATGCTTCTCTTGTATATTTTTATACCATTCCCTCTCCAGACCACATTTTAGTCTCCTGATATTCTAATTCTTGAATATTTTTCCTTGCTAGCCTGGCCACCTTTTCTCCCAACCACGCCAGCCTTCACCTGCCTAAACAGGTTTGCTGGTTAACATGACTCCCCGCTCGCATTGCACTTTTCTAACACGTAATTGCCATCATCTTTTTGCCCTCCAGCTTCCAAACAGGTTTGAACAAAATAGGTTCTGTTAATGACCTCCTTGTGACTTTCCTTTCTTAGAATTATTACTACCCTTTTTTTTTTTCTCACCAGATTAGTCCCTGGAAAGATAAAAGTTTGTTTTTATCCTAATGAATGAGATTATGCCTTGGGGCAGCTTTAACTCTGAATCCTGTCCCTAACCAAGCCTCCATATAGGGAATGATGAAAGAAGAAAGATAATTCAGACAAGAAGACTGAACGAAGTACACTTTGGACAGGTACAGAAGGGCAGGTAGCTGGGATAGAGGGAAATGGTCTCATTACAATCCTATACAATCTTGTGCAGTTCCATTAAGCTTGTGAATCATTAGCTTATGTCCAGGTAGTTAAGGACTTGGAGTGGAACCAGTAGAGGGTGCATGTACATAGAGTTTTACACCTATGCTTCAGGGAATTGTTATACAACTGGTGTAACAAGTGTAGCCAAACAAATTGCTTACTTCTGGTTCCACTGATCATTCTCCTTTTGACCTTGCCTAAGTCAGGTGGCCAACTATGGATTTCTTTCCTCTCTGTGCCTCAATAAAATAGAGGCCAGGACTCTGAGGCATCAACCTCAAACTATAAGTCAGTGGGTAGGGCCACAGCCCTGATTTCAAAAATAAATAATATAGCAGAAGAAGTTTCATCTTTGCAACCCTTGGGAGATCCCTTGGGAAGTGTTTCTGTCTGATAAGCCAAGATCACAGCATAGGGATTGAGTGACAGCTTCAAAGGCACTGAAATCAGTAAAAAGATTAGAGTTAAAAAAGTTAAACAAGACAGAAGGATTCAGTTTATCATAGAATGTTTTAGGTTGATATGCTGTGTAACACATCACCACAAATTATGTGAGCAGCAAGGTAAAACAATGTACTTTTATTATTTCAAAGTATCTGTGAGTCAGAAGTGTGGGCACAACTTAGTTGGGTCCTCTGCTTGATGTCTCACAAGGCTGCAGTCAAGGTGGCTGCTGGGTTGCACTCTCATCATGCATTCTCAGGTGAGCCTGGGAAGATTCACTTGCAAGCTCCCTCAGGCAGAATTTATTTCTCTATGGCTGCAGGATCCATTTAAGCTTGCTTTTAAAAATCTAGACAGGGAGATAAAGATGGAAATAGGAGAGGGAGAGTGACTTTAGCATAATAGTCACTATACCTTACATAAGCACACGTAGATGATCACATACATTCCAGCACCTCTGCTACACTCCAAGTCATAGGTCTCACTCACACTCAAGGGGAAGGATTACACAAGATCATGAACACCAGGAGGCAGGAATAATGAGAGCCCTCTAAAATTTTTCAAATCTGTCCAGTTATCTGCCACACAAGGACTGTAGAAACTATCCCACTGATCTTTAAAAACAGGATAAACCCAAACGTCCATCAATGGATAAATAAAATGTAGAATGTGGTTTATACATACAATGGAATATTATACAGACTTTAAAAGGAACAAAATTCTGACACATGCTACCACATTGATAATTGTTGAAGACATAATGCTAAATAAAATAATTTAGATACAAAAGGACAAATATTATATGATTCCACCAGTATGAGGTGCCTAAAATAAACCAATTTATAGAAACAAAAAAATGGAACGGTGGTTTCCAAGAAAGGAGAAAGGAATTGGGATTTGTATTAGGTCTGTGCAGAGAAAGAGGATCAATACGCTGTGTACATACATAGAAATAGGTTTATTATAAGGAATTGGCTTGTATGATTATAGAGCCTGGTAATTTAAAATCTGGAGTGTGGGCTGCCAGACTCGGCCAGCGAGTGGAGAACTGGGAGAGTTGATGGCTGAGTTCCAGTCCATAGACAGCTGGGGGATTCTTTCTTATTTGGGGGAAGGTTAGAAGCTTTTTGTTCTTTAGGCCTTCAACTTTTGGATGAGGCCCACCTACATTATGCAGCGAAATCTACTTTCCTCTTCTGATTAATATGTTAATCTCATTTAAAAGCATCCTGTCTGGGAACCCCATGACCCAGTCAAGAAGACACAGAAGGCCAGCACGGTGGCTCACGCTTGTAATCCCAGCACTGTGGGAGGCTGAGGCAGGCGGATCACTTGAGGACAGGAGTTCAAGACCAGCCTGGCCAACATGGTGAAACCCTGTCTCTACTGAAAATACAAAACAATTAGCCGGGAGGGGTGGCGGGCACCTGTAATCCCAGCTACTCAGGAGGCTGAGGCAGGAGAATTGCTTGAACCCAGGAGGCGGAGGTTGCAGTGAGCCGAGATCATGCCATTGCAATCCACCCTGGGTAACAAGGGTGAAACTCCATCTCAAAAACAAACAAACAAACAAACAAACAAAACACATGAAATTCACCATCACAGGAGTTATTGCTTGGTGGGTATAGAGTTTCAGTTGGGGAAGATGAAAAGTTCTGGAGATGGATGGTGGTGATGGCTGCACAACAATGTAAATGTACTTAATGCCACTGAACAGTACACCTAAAAATGGTTGAAATGGTAAACACTTTATGTTCTATAATATTCATGGCATCCAAAATAACTGAGTCACTGTAGAAATGATAATGTGCCCTTTTCAGTGTGATATCGTTTCAGTATTTTTTAATTCTTTTTTTTTTTTTTTTTTAAAGGGAGTCTCGCTCTGTTGCCCAGGCTGGAGTACAGTGGCACAATCTCAGCTCACTGAAAATGAAAAGCATTTTCATTTTCCACCTCCCAAATAGCTGGGATTATAGGCTTGCAACCAGGCCCAGCTAACTTTTGTATTTTTAGTGGTGACAGGGTTTCAACAGGTTGGCCAGGCTGGTCTCGAACTCCTGACCTCAGTGATCCACCCCCCCCCTCAGCTTCCCAAAGTGCTGAGATTACAGGCATGAGCCACTGCACCTGGCCAACTTTTTCAATTTGTTCTCAAATACTCTGCACATAATAAAAGGAATATAGGAAACAGGGAGGAGGAGGGAAATGGAATCCTAATTAGGCTGTCAATATTGGTAATTTTTCCTAATAGTTTCCTATATGTTTTATTTATGTATTTATTTTTCCATTCTTCCTTTGTGTATTCTTTTCTTTGCACTTTTTTTTCCTGGAGTAATTTAAAGTAAATGCCAGATATCATATCATTTTGCTTATAAATACTTCCTTCAGAAGACATCTCTAATAGATATATATCTGGTTAGGAGGTTGTCAAGGGAAAATAGAAAAGTATTCTATCAGTAAATACATATAGACATACTTATGGGTCTCTCATGTAAGCGTCTTTGTGACATGAGTCAATCATGGATTTTACTGAAATACATTATTTGATGGGTAATTCAACTGTGCTGAATATTAGTACTATACTAATAATTATTATTTATTGGCTTCTTATTATGCTCCAAGTACAAAGCTTGTCATTTTTAACCAGCGTGTCATTTGAATTCCTATAGCAACGTGACATTTTTCACAAACCTAGTGTAAAAAAGCTTATTATTTTTACCCAGCATGTCATTTGAATTCCTATAACAATGTTATCAGGTAGACATTATCCCTAATTTCCAGACATGTCATTTGAATTCCTATAACAATGTTATCAGGTAGACATTATCCCTAATTTCCAGACAAAGACATAGATTCAAAGTATTAAGATTTCCCAAGATTGTAGACTAAAGGAAAGTACTGAAACTAGCTCTTTCTGCATTCAAAGTGCTCTCTGCTGCTACGTTACACTGGCACTGCATGAACTAGTAGCCCCAGATAAATTCTAAAATCACCCAGGACACACCATCGCTGGAAATGGGAGCCATATGTGATTCACCCCAAAATTCTTAGATCCATTGCCAGATAAAACAGTGAAAATCAAAAGAGAATATATCTGATTCGTAAAAGACACCATATAGAAACAGTCTGCTAATGAAATTAGCAAACAAACATTGGAATCAAATATTTTGGCCCATAATTCTGGCACATTTTTTACAAATGTAGTGTGACTTACTCTCTTTGAATTTCAGTTTCTGTCTCTGAAGAGTGGGTACAATATCTCTCCTCTGATGCTCATGAAAAATAGTTTTCCCTTTCATAAATTACTTAGCGAAATATCCTGAAACACCTTCAGAATCACCACTTTCTCCACCTGCAATACACATAACTCAAGAATTTGCGTCAGCGAACTTCCCAATATGAAGCAAAGCCTCTCCTTCCTCCTACCAATGATTGAGTCATTCTTCTATTAGATAACAGTAGCTATTTAAATACTTCTGCAGAAGCTCACATATTTTTAGTTTGTTGAAGTTCGTGACTGCTTCACTCTCTCATTCTTAGCTTGAATTTGGAAATGACTTTTGATGACCTAAAGATCCAGACTGTGAAGGACCAGCCTGATGAGAAGTCAAATGGAAAAAAAGCTAAAGGTACTAGGGATGGGAAAATGTGTACAGGGAAAGAATCCCAGTGTTAGCCCCAAAATGTAAATTCACCGAAGAATGGGATTAGAAAGCTAAACACCCAAGTATGGGAAAATAGAATTAATACCATTTACTTAAAAGAAAAACAAGAAGGCTATAATGATGATGATGATGACAACTTATTTATAACAATTTATACTGAGTATTTACTACAGGTTATTCTATATGTTATTCACTTTCAGAGTATTATTTCTCAGAATCTTCGCAATAACATTTTGAGATTGGTACTATTACTATCTCCCTTTTACAGAGAGCTAACTGGGCATCAGGAGGACTAACAACATCATCCAGTTTCACGGAGCTAATAAGTGGTAGAGCTAGGACTGTACCACAAACTCCCATTTATCCAGAATTCTATACATCGGAGGGCTCGGGAACCAAATTTATCTGGTGTATATAACGATAATTTCTGTAAGAGTCCTTCAGGCACTACAAAAACCTGAAGTACCTCATGAATTATGCAGGCAAAGTAAATGATATTCAGTATAGTTTAGCATAAGTTACATTTTGTTGTGTACTACTGCTTTGAAAAATTGTAAGTTCTGTTTGACCCATACAGTAATTAAATTGCATAGCTATAAATTAATTCATAATCCCAATTCCACAGACAATCTGGGTAAATTGCCTTTTATTCTATATCTGTTCTGAGGAAAATGAACAGAATATAAGGAGAGAAAGAGAGACAAGTATTGTCAGAAATTTGGATAAAGAAATTCCAAATTACATTTCCAAAAACAAAACAGAAATTTCTCTCAATAGAGAACATAAGTGTGAGCATGGAGTGATTTAACATTTGAGCCAATGAACTAAATTGCTATAAAAACTGCTGATATTTATAGGTAAAACCAGAAGTGAACAATAGTCATTCGTTTCTTTACTCATTCATTATTTGTGTAGTAAATATTGAGGGTCTGAATTTTACAATAATCATGAGATTGATTTTTCTTTCAGAATCTTGGTTAGATCGGTACCTACTGCAAAGAATCGGATTGGTTTATGATTGGAAAATCACTAGTAGGGGCAGCAGTTGGATTAATGGTCTCTGCCTACCAAGGACACAGGACAAAGAGAATCTATAGAAAAAGGGAACACATACCTTCCTTCACAGGGTCCTGTGATTTTCTTTTTCCTCTAAAAATTTAGTTTTTCATTATTTAAGAGTGATGAGGCCAGGCGCGGTGGCTCACGCCTGTAATCCCAGCACTTTGGGAGGCTGAGGTGGGCGGATCATGAGGTCAGGAGTTCGAGACCAGCACGGTGAAACCTCATCTGTACTAAAAATACAAAATTTAACCTGCTGTGGTGGTGCGCGGCTGCAATCCCAGCTGCTCAGGAGGCTGAGGCAGGAGAATCACTCGAACCCAGGAGGCGGAGGTTGCAGTGACCTGAGATGGCGCCATGGCACTCCAGCCTGGGCGAAGAGCAAGCTCCCCCTCAAAAAAAAAAAAAAAAAAAAGAGCACGATGAGGGTATCTGATGCCCTACAATGTGGAATGAACAGTGACCACAGAGTTGAAAGATTTACATAGAGGTATTTGCCCCTGAGGCTAGAATTAGGCAATTATTTGCAAGAGACACAGCTATCTTCTACAACTTCTCTGCTAGCTTGCCACACACACTCTAGAAGCCAGTAAGTATTGAATCAGAAGATGAACCATATTTATCCCTGTCAAGTTTCTATCTTCTTTTTATCATTTGTGGAGTCTAACACACTACCTTTGACATATGAAAACTTTGAATATATCTGACCACTGCTTGACTGGATCATTATACATTCACACTGGAAATTGTATTATAATATTTCAAGTCATGTAGCTACTGACAATTAGACTAAAGACTTATTTTTGGGTTTTAGCATCTGTGTGATCTTAAGCAAGTCACTAAACCTTTCAGTCTCCTTATTTGCATACAGAGGATAATGATAGGAGTACCTTATTTGTTTATCTCACAAGGTGAGGAAACCAAATACATTGTATGGGATGTTTTCCTACACAACCAGTAATATCTGTGATTTTTTTTTTTTTAGTGGTGGAACACATAATTGTATATTCATACACCTGTGAGCTATGTGATTTTTTTTTCAAAATGGTGAATATTTCTCTTGTAAAATCAAGCCTACACTTGGCGTGAGTGTAGGATATGCTGTTAATATAAGCTAAATTAATATCAAGGTTTCATCCCTACTTTTCTTTGATTAATAACCCCAGTTCCAGGTTGTAATTTTGGTGGACTCATAATTGAATAGCATAAAATTATTCATAAAGTTATTTGAGGTAATCTCAGTTGATTAACTGAAGAAAGCTTGTTTGCTTGATGTCTGATATTTATGTTACTTTTGTGTGCACATGTGTACACGTGGTGTATATTAAAAACTTCAGGCTCTCTGCACTGTGGATGAATTTGATCCAACCAAGCTAGACTGTGAGTTTCTTGAGGAGTAATTGTCGGGAAAGTAGATAAAGTATAAGCTTTAGAATCATATATTTAGATTCAAATATCTGGTATCGAATCCTGGCTCTGAATTTACTGGCTGTGTGACCATGGGTAAATTACTTAAATTCCTTAACTCTCCCTGTTTTCCATTCCTAAATGTGTATGATGAATTATTTGCAGAGCCATTTGGAGGACTAGTGGTATGGAATGCAAACTATTTATGTCTATTTACTAAAACATAAACAGAGTAAATCACCAAGTACAGACAGGCTCCAAGGAATGGTTTGCTTACTTGTTCACTCTTTTTTGTCTTTCTGATTCTATCCTCTGTCACTCTAGGTCTTCAGTTTCTTTACTCTCCATGGTGGTGCCTGGCTGCTGCGACTCTAGGGGTCCTTTGCCTGGGATTAGTAGTGACCATTATGGTGCTGGGCATGCAATGTAAGTGCTAAAATACGGAACTGATGTTTATTGGGGCAGGGGTGTTGGAAATGAGGTTAATAAATATGGTTTATAAGTTTCTTTCATAACAACTACAAACAGCCTTGATATAGATTCATTTTAGGCAAAATGTTTTTAAGAGTGACCATGAAAATAAAGGGGTATATTGTTCATCTTCCAATGGATAGAGCCATGAAATAAAAATTACAATTGGTAGGCATTTTTTTGTTTGTTTGTTTTGTTTTGTTTTGTTTCTTTTGTTTTCATAACTTCATGGATAGGCCGGGTGCGGTGGCTCACACCTGTAATCCCAGCACTTTGGGAGGCCAAGGTGGGTGGACCACCTGAGGTCAGGAGTTCAAGACCAGCCTGGCCAACATGGTGAAACCCCATCTCTACTAAAAATACAAAAAGTAGCCGGGTGTGGTGGCACATGCTTGTAATCCCAGCTACTCAGGAGGCTGAGGTAGGAGAATAGCTTGAACCGGGGAGGTGGAATTTGCAGTGAGCTGAGACTGCACCATTGCACTCCAGCCTGGGCAACAGAGCGAGACTCCATTTCAAACAAAACAAACAAACAAAAAACCAACCTCATGGATAGAGCCTATTTAAATTCTAGAATGATGGAGAAGATAATAACTTAAAGTTACTAATATCCAAGATCATCTGAGAGGCCCAAAAGTAAAAGAAATTTTATTTAGCTTGCTGAGTTTTGATAGAGATAATTAAATACCATTTTAATGTTAAGAACCAGAAACACAATCTTAATAAATAAAACATTTAAAATAAAATATATTTCACATTTATAATAAGAGCATTTAGAAAAGAGAAGATATTGAGGGAAAAAAAGAAGTGAAAAGATGGCCCAGAGTGGCCAAGAAGGAAAGAAAATGGTGCCCAACGTTCACCTGAACTGCCTGTGAATTTAGGTTGTAGAACTGAGTTGTTTAGGCTACCCAGGATCCAGGTTATTATGGCCATTGAAGTGCTATTTGCTTCCTAACTGTTGTTCAAGCTCACAAACTATTTTATTTTAAATTTGTAAATACTTAGGGCCTTTCCTAGTGACAAGGAGAAGTGCCCTTGACTTAGTGGTGGTGACCAGAAAAATCTTTTGAGCCTTTGATCATCTTATAACAGGATCAAAGCTGCCTTCAAACCAAGCGGTCTGCTTTGTATTGCACCATCAAAATTCAGGAACTGAGACATTTGACCCTTAACATGTTATCGCCTGCTTGATTTCACAACCTTCACTTTATCTTCACCCTTCCTAAAATGTACCGTGGCCAAGGGGAAAAAAAAAAGAAAAGAAAAAATTCTTGGAGACTCTTGTGACACAGTGTGCGTGGCTGTCTCAAAAAAGGGGTGTATGTCACAGTTCTTAAAATTAGGAAGTCTGGAAGAGTAGACAGAATGGGAGGAGACACAGCAGAGGAATTGAGACATAAATAGAGTAAATCGCTAATGACATTTCCTACTAATAGTCACTGAGTCTGGTGGGTGTCTGTTTCAGGTTTTCCTTATTTTATTTATTCTAATGCTGTACTGGTTATCTTGTGATTACTTTTCATTTGTAACTCAATAAAAAAAAATCTTGGGTTTTTTTTGTTGTTGTTGTTGTTTTTTATTTTTTTTGAGACAGTCCCCCTCTGTCGCCAGGCTGGAGTGCAGTGGCACTGTGATTCCCCTGCCTCAGCCTCCTGAGTAGTTGGGACTACAGGCGCGTGCCACCACCCTCAGCTAATTTCTTTGGTATTTTTAGTAGAGATGGGGTTTCACCATGTTGGCCAGGATGGTCTCTATCTCTTGACCTCGTGATCTGCCTGCCTCGGCCTCCCAAAGTGCTGGGATTACAGACCTGAGCCACCGTGCCTGGCCAAAATCTTGGTAATTTTTAAAAAAATTACAAGTGTTTGCAATGTTCCTGACATTAAACAAAATACTGCAGGAATATTCAAGAACCTCCAAATCTGTAACTTCTGAGTAAATCTGGGTCATTTTTCAGCAGCTTATCTATTGTCAAAATAGATTTAATTCTGTTTTGATTTCCTCAAAAAGTCCCTGGAGGGATTTTTATTTGGATTAGAACTAGAGTCTTAATGCAACTGTGATTCAGTATCCCAGGTGTCTGACCTCCTAACACAAGAGCAAGCAAACCTAACTCACCAGAAAAAGAAACTGGAGGGACAGATCTCAGCCCGGCAACAAGCAGAAGAAGCTTCACAGGAGTCAGAAAACGAACTCAAGGAAATGATAGAAACCCTTGCTCGGAAGCTGAATGAGAAATCCAAAGAGCAAATGGAACTTCACCACCAGAATCTGAATCTCCAAGAAACACTGAAGAGAGTAGCAAATTGTTCAGGTATTGGGAGAAGGGTGGGTAAGGAGACATAGTGGAAGCTTTCTGTCCAATCATAACTATTTTTTGGAAACAATTCTGGGCTCAAAATTGGTCTATTGTTATGCATATCATTATTCATTCATAATGTTCTATACAAGAAGTTCTCAATTTCTTTTTCTTTTTCTTTCTTTTTCTTTTTTTTTTTTAGATGGAGTTTCGCTCTTTTGCCCAGGCTGGAGTGAAGTGGTGTGATCTCTGCTCACTGCAACCTCCACCCCCTGGGTTCAAGTGATTCTCTTGCCTCAGCCTCCCAAGTCGTTGGGACTACAGGCTCCCATCACCACGCCCAGCTAATTTTTGTATTTTCAGTAGAGACAGGGTTTCACCATGTTGGCTAGGCTGGTCGCGAACTCCTGACCTCAGGTGATCCACCCATCTTGGCCTCCCAAAGTGCTAGGATTACAGGCATGAGCCACCGCTCTCGGTCAATTTTTTATTTATTTTATTATTATTTTTTAATTTTAGACGGAGTCTTGCTCTGTCACCCAGGCTGGAAAGCAGTGGTGTGATCTCAGTTCAATAAGCTTCTGCTTCTTGGGTTCAAGCAGTTCTCCTGCCTCAGCCTCCCAAAGTGCTTGGGATTACAAACATGAGCCACCATGCCCAACTAATTTTTGTACTTTTAGTAGAGACAGGGTTTTGCCATATTGAACAGGCTGGTCTCAAACTCCTCACCTCAAGTCATCCGCCTGCCTCAGCCTCCCAAAGTGCTGGGATTACAGGTGTGAGCCACCGCACCCGGCAAGAAGTTCTAAATTTTTAATCAGAACCACCCTATGCTGTGTCAAATCCTTGAAAAATCTGATTTAATTAAGCATACCTTTTGGTGGATTTAAGTTTTCCTTCTTTATAAGAGCCTCTTCTTTTTAAAATTTTAGTTTTGAGATTTTTCTTTCTTTTTTTTTATTTTTTGAGACAGTCTCGCTGTGTCACACCCAGGCTGGAATGCAGTGGTGTGATCTCAGCTCACTGCAACCTCCACCTCCTGGGTTCAAGTGATTCTCTTGCCTCAGCCTCCCTAGTAGCAGTTTTGACATTTTTCTTGAAGAATTCTGCCACCCCCACCCCATTCCATAGATCCTTATCTCTTTCCATTCCAATGCATTTTAATCACTGTATTTCTTTTTCTAAGGGATCTTTTTGTCCTTGCAACTGTCTACCCCTAACTCTACATTAGCTCACTCTGTGGCATTATTTCTTAAAGTGTACTACATCAACTTATTTTATTTGATTTCAATTTTTGGAGATGGAGTCTCGCTCTGTCGCCCAGGCTGGAATGCAGTGGCCTGATCTCGGCTCACTGCCACCTCCGCCTCCAGGGTTCAAGCAATTCTCATGTCTCAGACTCCCAAGTAGCTGGGATTACAGGCACCCACCACCACGCCCGGCCAATTTTCTTTTTTTTTTTTTGAGAGGGAGTCTCGCTCTGTCCCCCAGGCTGGAGGGCAGTGGCACATTCTCGGCTCACTGCAACTTCCGCCTCCCGGGTTCGAGGGATTCTCCTGCCTCAGCCTCCCGAATAGTTGGGATTAGAGGCACCCGCCACCACACCTGGCTAATTTTTGTATTTTTAGTAGAGATGGTGTTTCACCAAGTTGGCCAGGCTGGTTTTGAACTCCTGACCTCGGGTGATCCGCCCGCCTCGGCCTCCCAAAGTGCTGGGATTACAGGTGTGAGCCACTGTGCCGGGCCCATCAATTTAAATAGAGCCAATGGAGGTAGACTGGCTTGCAAGCCTTACGCAGATACTTCAGATTAGACAAAAATATGAGGAGTCCAAGAAGTCTATTTATATAAGAAGAAATGAGTTAATTTTAGCCGTCTAAAGGGACTCAGAATCCAGAGGCAGGCAGAAATAGTAGCATCTATAAGAAGACTATGATGTGAACTCTGATATTGTTACAGAAGCTACTGTATTATTTGGTCTTTCTGCAGTATGTCATTACATCAGGTATATGGTTTTAGGCATAGGGAGAGTTAAAAGGTGTGAGAGAGAGTCATTCAGAGGTACTTTGTTTCCTTGGAGGTGCGTAAATTAGTGCCCTATTGTCAGGATTAGAGAAAAACTTCCTCTAATAAACAGAGATCTCTCTAGCTTCTTGCTTGCACAATTTACTTAATCTCAACCACATAATTTATTTGAATAAAGAGCATATAATAATAGTTCACAGATACCTAAGCTTTTCCTTGATAGGTGGAACACTGAGACCCGGATAAAGTGAAATGATAATAAAAAGTAATTTTGTGTAAGGTTTTGCAGTTTGTAAATCCCTTCACTATTTAGAGGTCATTTACATTTTCAAAATTAGCAGAAATTTTTGAACAAAATAATTTTTAGCAAGTGTCAAACATTTTTAATCTCTTTAAAGTTGGAGCTTGCAAGGAAATGAATATACCACCTTCAAGAAGGCTTAAAGGGAGAAAGTTTATCTATTAAGGATAGGAATGTTTATAAAAGCGGACATAACCACGTACTAACCAATGGTTTATATCACAGGCAAGGCCAGAAGAGAATTTTGTCTTTATCAGTTGTATGGGATTAAATCTACATCAGGACCATTCAGAACTATCTCCCAGAGATGCCCTGGATGAACAACTAATAAAAAACAATAAGTGATATGTCTGATGCTGGCAGATATACCAAGTAACATGTTCCATTCCTTGACAGTGTCAGATAAAGGCTAATTAGTAGAGATAGCAAATAAAGTTTTGCCTTTCATCAAAGAGCATTTTTTTTTTTTTGAGACGGAGTCTCGCTCTGTCACCCAGGCTAGAGTGCAGTGGTGCGATCTAGGCTCACTGCAACCTCCGCCTCCCGGAGTCAAGCAATTCTCCTGCCTCAGCCTCCTGAGTAGCTGGGATTACAGGCGCCTGCCACCACGCCCAGCTAATTTTTGTATTTTTAGTAGAGACGGGGTTTCACCATGTTGGTCAGGCTGGTCTCGAACCCCTGATCTCGTGATCCACCCACCTTGGCCTCCTAAAGTGCTAGGATTACAGGTGTGAGCCACCAGGCCCGGCCCACCAAAGAGCTTTGAGAAGTCTTTAAAAAGTAATACTAAAATACCACATACAGAAAAAAAAAAAAAGCCAAGTTTTTCCAGTTTGAGGCAAGTTTTATCTTTTTTACTAAAAAGTCTGTGGTCTTCAATGTATATATGAGGAGGGAGAGATGCTGAGAGGTTATTATATGTTTGCTTTAGGCCAACGAGCTAGTGAGATGCAGGGCCTTTGCAGGAATAGACTTCACATTTAGCAATGGAATTTGTGGTGATTCTCAAACTTTACTGTATGTAAATAGATTGTTAAAAGTGGCAGATTACAGATTTACCTCAAGATTCTGTATCAAAATGTCTCGAGAGCAGCACCGAGAAACACTTCCTCAAATGGTTTTAACTTAGAAGTTTGAAAGGTAGTATGTTATAGTGGTGAAACACCCAGACTCTAGAGTTACATTATCTAGGTCCAGATTCTTCTCTATTTGTCAAATGAAGAAAATGACTGGAACCTATCTCACAGAGATACTGTGAGGATTAAATGAGTTAATACCTGTACAGTACTTCCAACAGTTTCTGGCACATAGTGAGTGATATTTGTGTTTGTTAAATTATATAAAAAATAAACATAGTAAGTGATATTTGTATTGTTATATAATTTAACAAACACAAATATCACTTACTCTGTTTATTTTTGTGTACACACACACACACACACACAAAGAAATACAGTAAGTTTAAATACTACATTTTGTAATGTGTCCTTCTTACTTTGTCATAACTGGGAAAACTTGCCCAGACTGTCTTTTTAGTCCACAAAAAACTTATATACATCTAAATATATTTTTTGAGACAGAGTCTTCCTCTGTCATCCAGGTTAGAGTGCAGTGGCATGATCTCAGCTCACTGCAACCTCCACCTCCTAGGTTCAAGTGATCCTTCCACCTCAGTCTCCTAAGTAGCTGAGACTACAGGCGCACACCACCACACCCAGTGAATTTTTGTGTTTTTTGTAGAAATGGGGTTTCGCCATGTTGCACAGGCTGGTCTGGAACTCCTGGCCTCAAGCGATCCACCCACCTCAGCCTCCCAAAGTGGTGGGATTATAGGCATGAGCCACCACCCCCAGCCAAAAACGTACATATATTTATATTTACATAATATGATGGGGTTAGGCAAACTAAGAAGTAAGAAGCTTGCATTGACTGCTTTCAACTTGGTCTCTTTTTCTTTTCATAAGCATCAGTTTGGTGAAAAATCAACTTAGTGTTTTGTATGCTCTTTCTCATTCACTTTTTTCTGTTTTTCAGTCCCTCCTATTTTCTCCTCTCTGATAAAGCCTACTCTTATACATTTATTTAGTGGTTTTATGCCACAGTGAGAATGAAATTAAAATGCTGCCTTTCTCAAAGATTTTAATTTTTCACCTTTTGGTTGTAGTGTAGACCAGAGTACTTTGTTTCCCCTTAAGGAGATGGGAGAGATGATGATGATGATGGTGATGATAGTGATGATTTGAGGGTTCCTGAAAGCATCCATAAACATGTAGACATTGGTATATTTTGCCTATTGTCTAAGTCCTGTTTTTGGTTTGGTGGACTCCCTGTGAATTTTGCTACTGAAAATCTCCTTATTTTCTAAAATCTCGTTTAAATTGAGATCCTCGCTTTATATTAATATACTATTTTCCCTAGAACAACTCTGTACAAAAGAAATATAGTATGTGTTTTTTATATATATATATATATATATCATTAAAATTTCTAGTAACCACATAAAAATGAAAAAGAAGCAGATAAAATTAATTTTAGAAACACATTTTATTTAACCCAAGATATTTGAAATATTATTTCAATACTAATCAGTATAAAAATTTTTAATGGACTATTTTACATTCTTTTTCTTTTTCAAATTAAGTTTTCAAAATCTTTTGTGTGTTTTACACTTATAGTACATCTTAATGCAAACTAGCCGGGTGTGGTGGGTCATGCCTGTAACTCCAGCACTTTGGGAGGCTGAGGCAGGAGGATTGCTTGAGGCCAGGAGTTCAAGACCAGCCTGGACAACATAGCGAGACCCTGTTTCAATTAAAATAATTTGTTTTAAGAAATGCAAACTAGCTATATTTCTAGTACTCAAGAATCACATATGGCTACTGTATTAGACAACACATGTCTGAAAGCAAGACACATAGTATTTAAGCCTAGATTCATTATTCAAAGATATGAAATTTTAAAATGCATAGCATTACTTTTTAAAAATAGCAGAATGGCTATTAAATATCTGTTCTCCCAACCCTCACTTTCTTTATTTCCAACACAACTTTAAAAAATAGATCAGTTTCTAAAATTACATGCTAGCTTAACTTGCTTTTCATCAGGGGAAGTGAAAATGCTAAATGAGAAGTACATTTAGGTTGCTAAAATCAGTATGCTTTCTTTCTTTCTTTTTTTTCCCAAAAAATGAAGAAATAAGGACTCTGAGGCTATTTAGGTATTTGCAGAACCTGGGTAAAATTTTACTTAAGAAGTAGTGTGGGCAGGGCGCGGTGTCTCACGACTATAGTCCCACTACTTTGGGAGGCTTGGCCTACATGGTGAAACCCCATCTCTACTAAAAATACAAAAACAAAAACAAAAACAAAAATAAATAGTATGCACGTGAGAGAACTAAGGGGATCATTGATTTAAGAACTGCAGTACTGCTTTTACACAAACATAACTGACTGATGAGATATACTATCCTTCCCAGCTCCTTGTCCGCAAGACTGGATCTGGCATGGAGAAAACTGTTACCTATTTTCCTCGGGCTCATTTAACTGGGAAAAGAGCCAAGAGAAGTGCTTGTCTTTGGATGCCAAGTTGCTGAAAATTAATAGCACAGCTGATCTGGTGAGTGTTCATGGATATTTGTTGGGGTGGAGTATTGGTTGATAGGGAAATTAATCTGGTTTAAACTGTCACTGGAGGAATTCTTGTTTGAGAGCCAAAATGTCTGTTTTTTTAGCTTAGTCTGATCACCAATTTTGTGTATGACCTTGGACGGACAGGCTCTGTAGTATCTCTAGCCTTCAGTAAGTGTTTCCGTAAAACAGTCAAGGGGATGTCAAAGATACCTTTTGGTTCTTTAGTTTTGTGGATCCAACACTAACTGACTTTCAGATTCTAAAACCACCATGTGGATTCCACAAACTCAGAAACATTACTCCCCACAGGACTTCATCCAGCAAGCAATTTCCTATTCCAGTTTTCCATTCTGGATGGGGCTGTCTCGGAGGAACCCCAGCTACCCATGGCTCTGGGAGGACGGTTCTCCTTTGATGCCCCACTTGTAAGTTTCCCATTCTTTTTGATGCCTCTCTCGTCAGTTTCCTATTCTTTGCTGAACCTGCTAGTGAGGTCACTGCCTGCATCCCACCAATGTCCTCTTCTTGCCAGAGAGAAGCTTGGGGGAATTTCTCAAAGTCTCCTTCCTTACCTCTTTCACAAAAAGATTTACTCATTAACCATTCAGACATTTTCTTGAGTTTTCCTTCCCACATTTATTACTGATTGGAGGCTTTAAGACAAAAAGTTTCAAAAGCTAAGTTTCTGAAACAAGGTGGCAGTAAACCTAAGTTTTTTTGTTGGTTTGTTTTGTTTTTTCCTACCTGCAGATTTAGAGTCCGAGGCGCTGTCTCCCAGACATACCCTTCAGGTACCTGTGCATATATACAACGAGGAGCTGTTTATGCGGAAAACTGCATTTTAGCTGCCTTCAGTATATGTCAGAAGAAGGCAAACCTAAGAGCACAGTGAATTTGAAGGCTCTGGAAGAAAAGAAAAAAGTCTTTGAGTTTTATTCTGGAATTTAAGCTATTCTTTGTCACTTGGGTGCCAAACATGAGAGCCCAGAAAACTGTCATTTAGCTGGCTGCAGAACTCCTTTGCAGAAACTGGGGTTCCAGGAGCCTGGCACCTTTATGTCAACATTTTTGATTCTAGCTACCTGTATTATTTCACCTAGCTTGTCCCAAGCTTCCCTGCCAGCCTGAAGTCCATTTTCCCCTTTTTATTTTAAAATTTGACTCCTCTTCAAGCTTGAAAACCCTCTGAACTCAGTCTTCTTTACCTCATTATCACCTTCCCCTCACACTCCTAAAATTGCATGAAAGACAGAACATGGAGAACTTGCTCAAGTGCAGGCAGAGAGCAAAAAGGGGAAATATGTCTGGGAAAAAGTGCACGTGAAGAAACAAAGAAGGACAGAGGCCATTCCGAAATCAAGAAACTCATGTTCTTAACTTTAAAAAAGGTATCAATCCTTGGTTTTTAAACTGTGGTCCATCTCCAGACTCTACCACTTACGGACAGACAGACAGACAGACACACACACACACACACACACACATTTTGGGACAAGTGGGGAGCCCAAGAAAGTAATTAGTAAGTGAGTGGTCTTTTCTGTAAGCTAATCCACAACCTGTTACCACTTCCTGAATCAGTTATTATTTCTTCATTTTTTTTTCTACCAGAGGACAGATTAATAGATTTAACCCTTCACAACAGTTCTTGTTAGAATCATGGGATGTGTGGCCCAGAGGTAAGAATAGAATTTCTTTCCCTAAAGAACATACCTTTTGTAGATGAACTCTTCTCAACTCTGTTTTGCTATGCTATAATTCCGAAACATACAAGACAAAAAAAATGAAGACACTCAATCTAGAACAAACTAAGCCAGGTATGCAAATATCGCTGAATAGAAACAGATGGAATTAGAAATATATCTTCTATTTTTAGGCTTCTATTTCCTTTCCACCCACTCTTCACAGGCTATTCTACTTTAAAGGAAGCCTTTTTATTTTGCTGCACACAATCTAGCAGGAATCTTTTTTTTTTTTTAAGAGCTGTGTCATCCTTATGTAGGCAAGAGATGTTTGCTTTTGTTAAAAGCTTTATTGAGATATAATTAACATAAAATAAACTGAACATATTTAAAGTGTACTATTTGATAAGTTTTCACACCTTGTGGAGAACATGCATACTACAATTAAGAGAGTGAACATATCCATCATCCCTCAAAGTGTCACAATGCTCCTCCTGATGACTCCTCCCCAGAAAACCACCAATCGGCTTTCATTTTGCATTTTGTAGTTTTATGTGAATGGAATCATATAGTATGTCTTTTTTTTTTGTCTGGCTTCTTTCACTTTGCATAATTATTTTGAGATTCATATGTCTCCATCTTGATGCTCGTATGAATTCATTCTTTTAAATGTTGAATATTCCCTTGTATGGATATACCACAATTCATTTACCCATTTACTTGTTGATGACATTTGGGTTGTTTTAGTTTTGGGATATTACAAATAAAGCTGCTGTGAACATTTGTGTACAAGTCTGTATGAACATAGGATTTCTTTTCTCTTGGTTAAATACTTAGGAGTATAACGTCTGGATCACACAGTAGGTGTATGATTAACTATTTAGGAAACTGACAAACTCTTTTCCAAAGTTGTACCATTTTTCATTCCTACCAGCAGTGTATGAGTGCTCCAGTTCCATCTCATCCATGCCAGAATTTCATATGGTTCGTCTTATAGTTTTAATGATTCTAGTAGATATCGAATGGTATATCCTCATAGTTTTAATCTGTGTATCCTACAAATTTCTGTTTGTTGGTTTGTTTTTGAGACAGAGTTTCGCTCTTGTTGCTCAGGCTGGAGTTCAGTGGCACAATCTCAGCTCACTGCAACCTCCGCCTCCTGGGTTCAAGCAATTCTCCTGCCTCAGCCTCCCAAGTAGCTGGGATTACCGGCGCCCGCTACCACTTCCAGCTAATTTTTGTATTTTTAGCAGAGACGGGGTTTCACCATGTCGGCCAGACTGTTCTCAGACTCCTGACCTCAGGTGATCCACCCACCTCAGCTTCTGAAAGTGCTGGGATTACAGGCGTGAGCCACCGCCCCAGGCAAATTTTTATAAGCTTATTTACCATCTGTATTAGGTAACTTTGATAAAGTAACTGTATAAATCTTTTGAGAATTTTTACTTGGTTTATTTTTCTTACTGTTGAGTTTGAGAACTTTATATATTTGGGATAAAAACCTTTTATCAGATATGCATCTTGAAATGTTTTTCTTGTCTTGTCTTTTTTTTTTTTTTTTTGAGAGGGAGTCTCACTCTGTTGCCCAGGCTGGAGTAGTGCAATCCCAGCTTACTGCAACTTCCGCCTCCCAGGTTCAAGTGATTCTCCTGCCTCAGCCTCCCAAGTAGCTGGGATTACAGGTGCCCACCACCATGCCTGGCTAAGTTTTTGTATTTTTAGTAGAGATGGGGTTTCACCATGTTGGCCAGGCTGGTTTTGAACTCCTGACCTCAAGTGATCTGCCTGCCTTGGCCTCCCGAAGTACTAGGATTACAGGTGTGAGCCACCGCCCAGCCTGTCTTTTCATTCTTTGAACAATATACTCATAAAGCAGAAGTTTTTTATTTTAATGAAGTCCATTTTTATTATTCTGCTGTGGTTTGTAAGAACTCATTGACTAACTCAAGGTCACAAAAATTTTCTCCTTTATTTTTTTCTAGACATTTTATAGCTTCAGGTTTTATACTGAGGTCTATGATTTATTTGGGATTAATTCGACAAATGTAAATTTGTCGAAAAGACTATTTTTCTTTACTAAATTGCTTTTGCACCTTTATCACCAATCAGTTGTCTGTATATTCATGGGATTATTTCTAAACTCTCTATTTTATTCCACTGATTGTTGTATTTTTGTATTTGCGTATTTATACACCACCACCACATTATTTTGAATACTGTAGTTTTATAATAAATCTTAAAATCATGCAGTGACAGTCCTTCAAATTTATTTTTCTTTTGCAAAGTTACATTGGCTGAGCTATGTCACTATATTTTCCATATTGATTTTTGAATTGGCTCACTAATTTCTACAAAAACTCTTTTGGAATTCTGATTGTGATTACATTGAATCTACAAATCGATTTGGGCAGAATTGAAACCTTAAAAATATTGATTTTTCTGACTCTTGAATAAAGTATGTCTCTGCATTTATTTAGGTATTTTAAAATTTCTCTGAGCAATGTTTTGCAGTTTTCTCTTACAGATATTTTTACATATTTTGTTAGCTTACCATATATACTTCATAGTTTCGACGCTACTGTACATGGGAATTATCATTGATAATTTTAATTTCCAACTGTTTATTGCTAGTATGGAGAAATATAATAGACTTTTAAATATTCACCTTATATTCTGAAACCTTGATAAACTTATTTGTTTCTTCTAGTAACTTTTTTTGTAGATGTCATCAGATTTTCTACACAAATAATCATTCTGTGTGCCAGCGGAAGCACTTCTATCTTTTCCTTTCCAATGCTTTTATTCTTTTCCTTGCCTGAACC
Organism: Homo sapiens; assembly: GCF_000001405.40. Lineage (NCBI taxonomy): Eukaryota > Metazoa > Chordata > Mammalia > Primates > Hominidae > Homo > Homo sapiens. The sequence goes on along the minus strand of NC_000012.12, from coordinate 10,156,270 downwards.
TCCCGTTCAATGAGAAATAAAAGTAGTGAGAACAATATCCTTATTTTGAAATTGATCTTGAGAAGAGATCATTCAGTGTTGCACCACTAAGTATGGTGTAAACTGTAGATGTTTCATAGACGTCCTTAATCAGTTTTAGGAAGTTCCCTTTTGTTCCTTGCATTCTTAGAGGACTGATCAGGAATAGGTGTTAATTTTGTCTAATATTTTTCTACATCTATTGAGATGATTATATATACATTTTTATTTTAAAAATATCTAGTATTTTCTTTGTTTTTTTTTAGGTTAAAAATTTCTAGTCTTTTAACATGAATTACACTCATTAATTATATAAGGTTAAAACAATTTAGGATTGCATTATATTAATGGATTAGATCTGTTATATGTATTATATTATGGGTTATTTCTGTTAAAATTTGGCTTAGAATGTTTGCAACTATATTTATGGGTTTTTTGTTTCTGTTCATTTTGTTCTGGTTTTTTAGAGGTAGAGTCTTACTCTGTTGCCCAGGCTGGACTGCAGTGGCACGACCACAGGTCACTGAAGCTTTGACCTCCCAGGCTGAAGTGATCCTCCTGCCTCAGCCTCCAAAGTAGCTGGGACAACGGTGACCACAGGCATGCACCATCATCCCCAGCTAATTATTTTAATTTGAGAGAAAGAGACAGGCTCTTCTTATGTTGCCCTGGCTGGCCTTGAAGTCCCAGGTTCAAGTGATCCTCCTGCCTCGGCCTCTCAAAGTGTTGGGATTACAGGTGTGACCCACCATGCCTGGCCAGTACTTTTTTTTTTTTTTTTGAGGTGGAGTTTTGCTCTGTCGCCCAGGCTGGAGTGCAGTGGCGCGATCTTGGCTCACTGCAACCTCTGTCTCCCGGGTTCAAGCGATTCTCCTGCCTTGGCCTCCTGAGTAGCTGGGATTACAGGCACCCCCCACCATACTCAGCAAATTTTTGCATTTTTAGTAGAGATAGGGTTCCACCATGTTGGCCAGGGTGGTCTCGAACTCCTGACCTCAGGTGATCTGCCCGCCTAGGCCCCCAAAGTGCTGGGATTACAGGTGTGAGCCACCGTGCTTGGCCATGGCCAGTATTTTTAAACATAGTTTTCTTTTCTCTTTATGACTTTGCCTTATTTGAATATCAGATAAATATTTCTCAATGTCAATTTTTCTGGAAGATTTGGTTTAGAATTAGTACTATTTCTTCATTAAATGTTTGATACAATTTACCCTTGAAGTCATCTGGGCATAGGGTTTTCTTTGTAGTAAGGTTTTCAACTACAGATTCAGTTTCTTTTTTTTCTTTTTTTTGAGACGGAGACTTGCTTTGTCGCCCAGGCTGCAGTGCAGTGGCACCATCTCGGCTCACTGCGACCTCCGCCTCCCGGGTTCAAGCGATTTTCCTGCCTCAGCCCCCAAGTAGCTGGGATTACAGGCGCGAGCCACCATGTCCCTCTAATTTTTGTATTTTAGTAGGGGCGGGGTTTCACCATGCTGGCCAGGCTGGTCTCGAACTCCTGACCTTGTGATCCGCCCGCCTCAGCCTCCCAAAGTGCTGGGATTACAGGCGTGAGCCACCGCACCCGGCCAGATTCAGTTTTTTTTAGATGTTGAGCTGTTCAAAGGATTCCTTCTTCAATGAGCTTTGGTGGTTACTTTCAAGGAATTTATGAGCTTCATCTAAGTTGTTTAATTTATTGGCATACCATTTTTAAAAATTATTTGAATATCTGTAGAATCTTTAGCATTGCCACTTCCTTCCTGACAGTGTTAATTGTATCTTTTTTTTTTAAAACTAATCGGCTTAGCTAGAGATTTATCAATTTCATTTTTCTTCTCAAAAAAGCTATTTGGTCAACAGAGACAAGATGGCCAAATAGACGCAGACAGGAAGCACCACTCCCGCTGACAGAAAGGGAGACCGGGAACCCTTTCAGGTTCTGGAACACCAGTGCCAGTTCCTGGCCCTGAACAACCCTTGGCAAGGCAGCCCACTCTTGCTGTGGACCTCTAGGATTCCAGCCACAAGAGATCCTACACTCCCCATAAACATTCGAACTGGCATGGGGATATGCCCTACAAGCAGGCAGAGGCAGAACTCCAGCCTGCATAGAGCCCGGTTTTTGTTGTTGTTGTTGTTTGTTTGTTTGTTTTGCGTTGGGGGCAGTTCCAGTGGAACATGGCCATGCGCACCCATCCCCCAAGGCTCTCCGTCCTCTTCCGAATAACTCTAACCCCACTGACTGCCGCGCAAAGAGAACAGCAGGGTCGACTTTCCCTTCGGAGTGGGGCACTTCTGTTCCGCAGGACCTCCTGCCCTCCAGCCCCTCTCAAGTCCTCTGCCTGGCCGCTCTAGGAGCCTGTCAACGGTGCAGACTCCACTGCCCATCCTGGGTGCTTTGCAGGCCGACATGCCTGACTGAGTTCTTTCCCAGCCGCTTGGGAGCAGTTCCGAGGCCCCGTCGCAGCCCGTGCCGGAACCTGGGGTGCAGGATGGCGGATGTGCTGGCTGGGGCCAAAGCCCTGGGCTGCGGCGTGCAGCGCCGCAGTGCGGGACCCAGATTCATGGCCTGCGCTCCAGCGGGCAAGGAGTCCCGAGTCTCAGAAAACCGAGGGAGTGATATGCCCAGATTAGGGGCAGGCGCGGAAGGTCTGCCAGCCATGGGTGTCCGCCTGAGGGAGCTGCCCAGCCCGGACAGCCTAGCAAAGGAAATGCGGGAATGACGATAGTGACTGGAGAGGACTCTCCGAAGGCTTGAGAGCGGAGCTGGTGGGGTCAGCTCCCCGCGCTGGGCCACACCACAGGACGTTGTTGCGAGCTCGCTGAAACGTAAAAACCCGCAGCGCTGGCCGTTACTCTTATGCGCCATCTGCTGGATGATAGCCCAAATTACACCAAAAATATTCTGCCAATATATTAAATATTGGTCTGTGAAACTCAGGGCAAGAATCCAGCCACAAAGATCTTGTACAGAGCCTTGGCCCTCTGACAGCACTCATAAATGAAGCAAATGACTATATTCAACTTACACCACAGTTAAAGGAATACCAGCCCTCTCAGAAGAGAAAGAATTTTGCCAATTAAAAAGTAAGAGTGTCCCCTTACCTCCAAATGAGCACACTAGCTCCCCAGCAATGGCTCTTAACCAGAATGAAATGACAGACACAGAAATGAGAACCTAGATGGAAAGAAAGCTCACTGAGACTCAGGAGGCTGTTGAAACGCAATCCAAGGAATCCAGTAAAATGATCCAAGAGCTGAAAGATAAAAGACTTTTATTTATTTATTTATTTATTTATTTTTGAGATGGAGTCTTGCTCTGTCACCCAGGCTGGAGTACAGTGGCACGATCTCAGCTCACTGCGACCTACACCTACCAGGTTAAAGCGATTCTCCTGCTTCAGCCTCCCAAGTAGCTAGGATTACAGGCGAACACAACCAGGCCTGGCTAATTGTTTGTATTTTTTGGTAGAGACAGGGTTTCGCCATGTTGGCCAGGCTGGTCTTGAACTCCTGACCTCAAGCGATCCACCTGCCTTGGCCTTCCAAAGTGCTGTGATTACAGGCGTGAACCACCACACCCAGCCTGAAAAAAATAATTTTAAGAACGAACCATACTGAACTTCTGGAATTGACACATTTACTACAAGAATTTCATAATACATTTGGAAGCATTAATAGCAGAATAGACCAAGCTGTGAAGAAATTCAAAGACTGGTTCTTTGAATCAACTCAGTCAGACAAAAATAAAGAAGAAATAATTTTAAAAAAATGGACAAAAGCCCTGAGAAATATGGAATTATATAGAGAGACCAAACCTATAACTCATTGGTATTCCTGAGAGAGGAGAGAGAGTAAGCTATTTGGAAAATATATTTGAGGATACGATCCATGACAATCTCTCCACTCCCACTAGAGATGTTAACATACAAATTTAAGAAATATAAGGCCTGGCGTGTTGTCTCATGCCTGAATCCCAGCATTTGGGAGGCCAAGGTGGGTAGATCACTTGAGGTCAGGAGCTCAAGACCAGCCTGGCCAACATGGCAAACCCGTCTGTACTAAAAATACAAAAATTAGCTGGACATGGTGGTGCATGCCTGTAATCCCAGCTACTTGGGAGGCTGAGGCAGGAGAATCGCTTGAACCTGGGAGGCAGAGGTTGCAGTGAGCCAAGATCGTGCCATTGCCCTCCAGCCTGGGCAACAAGAGTGAAACTCCATCTCAAAAAAAAAAAAAAAAGAAGTACAGATAACCCCCATGAGATACTAGACACAACAAGCATTCCCAAGGCACATAGTTATCAGATTCATCAAGGTTAATGCAAAAGAAAAAATGTAAAGGCATCTAGAGAGAAGGGTCAGGTCGTTTACAAAATGAGGACCATCAGGCTAGTAGCAGACCTCTAAGCAAAAGCCTTATGAGTCAGAAGAGATTGGGGCCTATTTTCAGTGTTCTTAAAGAGAAGGAATTCCAACCAAAAAATTTATGTCCTGATAAACTAAGCTTGACTGGTGAAGGGGAAATAAATTTCTCAGACAAGCAAATGCTTAAGGGAATTTGTTACCACTAGACTAGCCTTACAAGACGTCTTTATAGGAGTGCTGTAAAGATGGAAATGAAAGAATGATACCTGCTATCACAAAAATGCATTTAACCACATAGCCCACCAACAATATAAAGCAACTATGCAATAGAAACTACAAAGTCACCAGCTAAGAACATGATGACAGGATCAATGTCACATATCAGTACTAACTCTAGGCCAGGCACAGTGGCTCATGCCTGCAATCGCAGCACTTTGGGAGGTCGAGGTGGGCGGATCACTTCAGGTCAGGAGTTCACAACCAGCCTGGCCAACATGGTGAAACCCCATCTCTACTAAAAAATACAAAAATTAGCTGAGCATGGTGGTGTCTGCCTGCAGTCCCAGCTTCTCAGGAGGCTGAGGCAGGAGAATCACTTGAACCCAGGAGGCAGAGGTTGCAGTGAGCCAAGATCGTGCCACTGCATTCCAGCCTGGGTGACAGAACAAGATTCTGTCTCAAAAAAAAAAAAAATTATTCTGGTGTGGTGGTGCATGCCTGTAATCCCAGCTACTCGGGGGGCTGAGGCATGAGAATCTCTTGAACCCAGGAGGTGGAGGTCACAGTGAGCTGAGATCGTGCCACTGCACTCCAGCCTGGGTGACACAGTGAGACTCTGTCTCAAAAAAATGAAATAAAATAAAAAATAAAAATACAATCAAACAGGAACTGAATGAAATTGAGTTGCAAAACACCATATGAAAGATCAATGAAACCAAGAACTGGTTCTTTGAAAGAATAATCATGATTGATAGGCCATAAGGTAGGTTAATAAAAAAAAGAAATAAGCACAATCAGAAATTACAAAGATGAGATTACAACAAATTCCTCAGAAATACAAAGGATCCTAAGAGACCATTATGAAAATCTCTATGCAAATTAAAAATCTAGAGGAAATGGATAAATTCCTGGAAACATATAACTTCCCAAGATTGAACCAGGAAGAAAGCAAAAACCTGAACAGACCAATAACAAATTCCAAAATTGAAACAATAATAAGAAATCTACCAACCAACAAAAGTCTTGAACAAGATGGCTTCAGAGCTGAATTATAGCAGATGGACAAAGAAGAAGTAGTACAAATTCTACTGAAATTATTACAAAAAATTGAGGAGAGGGCTCCTCCCTAACTCATTCTATGAAGCCAGTATCATTCGGACAGAACAAAAAAGAAAACTTGAGGCCAACATCCTCAATAAACATAGATGCAAAAATCCTCAGCAAAATACCAGCAAACCAAATCCAGTAGCAGATCAAAAAGTTAATTCACCACAATCAGTTGGGTGCAGTGGCTCATGCCTGTAATTCCAGCACTTTGGGAGTCTGAAACAGGAGTACTGCTTGAGCTCAGGAGCTCGAGACTAGCCTGGGCAACATAGCGAGGCCTGTCTCTAAAAAGAATAAAAATTAATAATACAAAAAAAAGTTAATTAACCACAATGAAGTAGGCTATATCTATGATTCAAGGTTGGTTTGACATATGCAAATCAATATATGTGACTCACCACATAAACAGAATTTAAAATAAAAATTATATGATCCCATCTCAACAGACATGGAAAAAGCTTTCAGTAAAATCCAACCTCTTCTTATGGTTAAAAAAAAAAACCTCAACAAACTAGGCATTAAAGAAAGATAACCTCAAAATAATAAGAGTCGTCTAAGACAAACCCACAGACAACATTATATTGAATGGGCAAAAGCTGGAAAAATTTCCCTTGAGAACTGGAACAAGATAAGGATGTCCACTTTCACCACTCCTATTCAACATAGTACCAAAAATCCTAGCCAGAGCAATCAGGCAAGAGAAAGACTTAAAAGGTATCCAAATAGGAAAAGAAGTCAGACTATCTCCCTTCACTGACAACATGATTCTATACCTAGAAAACTCTAAAGACTTCGCCAGTATGCTCCTAAAACTGATAAATGATGTTAACAAAATTTCAGGATACAAAATCAATGTACACAACTTAGTAGCATTTCTAAACACCAGTAACATTCTAGCTGACAGCCAAGTTAAGAGCATAATCCCACTTATAATAACCACTAATAAAATGATTATTGGGAGTACCACTAAACAAGGAGGTGAAAGATCTCTGCAAGGAGAACTGCAAAACACTGCTGAAAGAAATCAGAGCCAATACAAATAAATGGAAAAACATGTCATGCCCATGGATTGGAAGAATCAATATTGTTAAAATGGCATACTGCCCAAAGCAATGTACAGATTCAATGCTATTACCATCAAATTACAAGTATCATTTTTCACAGAATTAGAAAAAACAATCCTGAGATTCATACAGAACCAAAACAGAGCCTGAATAGTCAAAACAATCCAAAGCAAAAAGAGCAAAACTGGAGGCATCATGTTACCCAACTTCAAACTATACTATAAGGCTACAATAACCCAAAGAGCATGATAGTAGTACAAAAACAGACACATAGACTGAGGGAACAGAATAGAGAACCCAGAAATAAAGTTGCACACCTACAATTATCTGGTCTTTGACAAAGTTGACAAAAACGACCAATAGGAAAGGACTCCCTGTTCAGTAAAAGTGCTGGAATATACTGGCTAGCCATATGCAGAAGATTGAAACTGGTGAAACCCTACCTTTCATCACACATAAAAATTGATTCAAAATGGATTAAAGACTTAAGACCTCAAACTATAAAATTCTAGAAATAAATCGAGGAAATACCCTACTCAACATCAGCTAAGGCAGATAATTTATGGCTAAATCTTTAAAAGCAATTGCAACAAAAACAGTAATCAACAATAGGACCTAATTAAACTAAAGAGGTTTGCATAGCAAAAGAAACTATCAACAGAGAAATTAGACAATCTACAGAATACGAGAAAATGTTAGTAAAGTATGCATCTGACAAAGGTGTAATAATCCAGAATCTATAAGAAATTTAGGCCAGGTGTGGTGGCTCACACCTGTAATCCCAGCAATTTGGGAGGCCAAGGTGGGTGGATCACCTGAGGTCAGAAGTTCGAGACCAACCTGGCCAACATGGTGAAACCCCATCTCTACTAAAAATACAAAAGTTAGCCAGGTGTGGTAGCACGCACCTGTAGTCCCAGCTACTCAGGAGGCTGAGGCAGGAGAATCACTTGAACCTGGGAGGTAGAGACTGCAGTGAGCTGAGATTGCACCATTGCACTCCAGCCTGGGCAACAAAAGCGAAACCCCATCTCAAAAAAAAAAAAAAAAAAAAAAAGAAGCAGCAGCAGCAGCTTAAACAAATCAGCAAGCAATAAACAAATAACCCCATTAAAAAGAGGCAAAGGACATGAACAGACACTTCACAGAAGAGGACATACAAGCGGCCTACAAACATATGAAAAAATGATCATCATCACTAATCATTAGAGAAATGCAAATTAAAACCACAATGAGACACCATCTCTCACCAGTCAGAATGGCTATTATTAGTCATAAAACAACAGATGGTGGCAAGGCTGCAGAGAAAAGAGAATGCTTATACCCTGTTGGTGGGAATGTAAATTAGTTCAGCCACTATAAAAAGCAGTTTGGAGATTTCTGAAAGAACTTAAAACAGAACTATGATTCAATCTGAAAATCTCATTTCTGGATATATATCTGAAGGAAAATAAATCACTCTACCAAAAAGCACGTGCACTCGTATGCTCATCACAGCACTATTCACAATAGCAAAGACATGGAATCAACCTAGGTGTCCATTGACAGTGGATTGTATAAGGAAAATGTGGTACATATACACCATGGAATACTACACAGCCATAAAAAAGAATGAAATCATGTTGTTTGCAACAACATGGAGGCAGCTGGTGGCCATTATCCTAAGTGAATTAACATAGGAACAGTGAACCAAATACTGCATGTACTCACTTACAAGTGGGAGCTAAGCATTGAGTACGCATGGACGTAATAATGAGAACAATAGATACTGGGAACTACTAGAAGGGGGAGGGAGGGAGGAAGGGAAATGTCAGCTGAAAAACTACCTATTGGGTACTATGCTCTCTTCCTAGGTGACAGAATGATCTGCACTACAAACCTCAGCATCATGAAATTTACCCATGTAACAAACCTGCATATGTACCCACTGAATCTAGAATAAAAGTTGAAATTGCTGTCTAAAAAAGCTCTTTGTTTCATTGACTTTGTCTATATATTTTTGTTTCCTATTTCATTAATTTCTACTTTGATTGCTATTGTTTCTTTTTTCTACTTAGTTGGGTTTTAATTTCTTCTTTTTCTTGTTTCTTAATATGGAAGCTGAGTTCATTAATTTGAGGCATTTCTTCTTTTTTATATAGTCATGCAGTGCTTTAAACTTTCCTTTAAATATTGCTTTAGTGGTATACAACAGATTCTGGTATGGTAATTTTTCACATTTATTCAGTTCAAAACACTTTCTAATTTCCCTTCAAATTTCCTCTTTGATTCATTGATTATTTAGAATGTGTTAATTTCCAAATACTTGGGAATTTTCCAGAAATCATTATACTATTAGTTTCCATGTGAGAAGAAACATTTTTAATGACTTAAACCCTTAAATTTATTGAGACATTTTATGGCCAAAAATATGATCTATCTTGGCAAATTTTCCATGTACACTTAAAAAGAATATGTAATCTGTTGTCGTTGGATGGAATGTTGTTAAAATGTACATCAAATAAATGCGGACAATAATTTGATTCAAGTCTTTATTTATTTATTTAGTTTTGAGAAGGTGTCTCGGTCTCTGTCGGCCAGGCTGGAGTGCAGTGGCGCGGGTGCAACCTCCGCCTCCCGGGTTCAAGCGATTCTCCTCTCTCAGCCTCCTGCGAAGCTGGGATTACAGTCATGTGCCACCATGCCCGGCTATATATATATATAGTTTTTTGAGACAGAGTTTCGCTTTTGTCCCCCAGGCTGGAGTGCAGTGGCGCGATCTTGGCTCACTGCAACCTCCGCCTCCTGGGTTCAAGAGATTCTCCTGCCTCAGCCTCCCGAGTAGCTGGGATTACAGGCATACACCACCATGCCCCTCTAATTTTTGTATTCTTAGTTTCGTCAAGTTGGCCAGACTGGTCTTGAACTCCAGACCTCAGGTGATCCACCTGACTCGCCTCGCAAAGTGCTGGGATTACAGGCATGAGTCACCATCCCCAGTCTGGTTGAAGTCTGTTATATGCTTGCTGATATTTTTTGTCTATTATCATATCAATTATTGAAAAAGGAGTATCTAACCTTTGATGATAATTATGATTTTGTCTACTTCTCCTGTAGTTCTATCAGGTTTGCTTTGTATATTTTAAAGCTCTGATAATCAAGGCATAAATATTATGGATTTTCATTCTCTCTTGATGAACTGACCTCTAACCAAGTAAACTTTTTTATTCCTGTTAGTAATGTTTGTTCTGAAATCTATTAGTCTGAAATTAGTACAGCCACTCCTGCTTTTCTTTGATTAATATTGGCATGATATATCTTTTTTTATCCTTTTACTTTTAACCTATTTTTTTGTCTTTAAACCGAGTATATTCCTTTTAGCTGACATAACATTTGGGCTCGCTATTTTACATCATTTAACAATTTCTTTTGGGTGTTTAAAACATTTACATTTAATGAAATTCTGATTAATTATACTTAAGTCTGTCATCTTGATATTTGTTTTCAATTTGTCTCCTTTGATCTATTTCCTATTTCTTTTTCCTCCTTTTTTTTTTTTTTTTTTAGACGGAGTCTCGCTCTGTCGCCCAGGCTGGAGTGCAGTGGCCGATCTCTGCTCACTGCAAGCTCCGCCTCCCAGGTTGATGCCATTCTCCTGCCTCAGCCTCCCAAGTAGCTGGGACTACAGGCACCTGCCACCATGCCTGGCTAATTTTTTGTATTTTTTAGTAGAGACAGGGTTTCACCATGTTAGCCAGGATGGTCTCGATCTCTTGACCTTGTGATCTGCCTGCCTTGGCCTCCCAAAGTGCTGGGATTACAGGTGTGAGCCACCGTGCCCGGCCTCCTGAAGAATTTTTTAAATGTTTTCTCTACTGAAATTCTGTTTGTGATTAATTCTGATTTAAGATGTCTGAAAACATTATTATTTCATCTGTACTTTTAAATGATATTTTCACTGGGTGTAGAATGCTAGGCTGACAGATTTTTTTGTATACTTCAAAAATGTTACTCCACAGTCTTCTTACTTGTATTATTTCTTATGACAAATATTCTATCATTCTTTGTTTCTCTGTACATAATTATCTATGCTTTTGTTAGATATTTTATTTTCGTTTTGTCACAGGGTTTATGCATTTTTTATTATGATGTGCCTTGGTGAAGTTTTTTTGTTTGTTTCTTGTATTCAGAGTTCTTTAGCTTTTGGATCTATTGTTTTACATTTTTCATTAGCTTTGAAAATGTTAAGCATTATTTTTTCAAATATGTTTTCTGCTCCAACCTCTACCCCACTCCCACACACTGTTAAGGGATTTAATACACGCGTATTAGGCGCTAGAAATTATCTCCCAGCAACCTAATGCTCTGCTCTGCCCTTTCCCTCCCGTCCCCTCCCCTCTCTTACTTTCCGCTTCTCTTCCCCCTGCCTTCTTTCCTTTCTATTACTTTCTGTTCTTTCTCCTTCTCTTTTCCTTCTTTTTTTTTTTTTTGAGACAGAGTCTCACTCTGTCGCCCAGGCTGGAGTGCAGTGGCACGATCTCGGCTCACTGCAAGCTCCACCTCCCGGGTTCATGCCATTCTCCTGCCTCAGCCTCCCAAGTACTACAGGTGCCCGCCACCACGCCCGGCTAATTTTTTGTATTTATTAGTAGAGATGGGATTTCACCTAGATAGCCAGGATGGTCTCGATCTCCTGACTTCGTGATCCACCCGCCTCGGCCTCCCAAAGTGCTGGGATTACAGGCGTGGGCCACCGCGCCTGGCCTCTTTTCCTTCTTTCTTGCTTGCCTTCCTTCTTTTATTTTACTTTTCTTTCTTCTTCCCTTTCTTTCTTTTCCTTTTAAAATTATATTCTCTCGGGGCTTCATTTTTAATAGTGACTCTTGTTATATCTCCAGGTTCACTAGTCTTTCCTTCTGGGTGTCCAATCTGCCATTAATACCTTACAGTGTATTTTTAATTTTATCTTTTGTCATTTACATTTCTAAAAGTGTACTTTGGTGTTTTTTTTTTGTCTTCTACATCTCTATGTAACTTTTAAAATATATAAATGTGTTTTGAACACATTAATTATCTTAATGTCTACATCTTCTAATTCTAACCTCTGAGTTGGTTTTGATTATTATTCTCCCCATTATGGGTCATATTTTTGTAACTCTTTGCATGCCTGCTGATCTTTGATTGAAAGCCAGACATTGTTCATTTTACCTTGGTCGATACTAAATAGGTTTGTGCTCCTATGAGTTTTATTATGAGATATGTTTAAGTTTCATAGAAACAGTGTGACGTTTCTGTTATTGTTTTTATGATAGGCAATATTAAAGAATTTCTCATTCTGGGGCTTAATTATTTCCCACTATGAAGGCAAGAGTTTCTGAATATCCTACTGAAAGCCTCACTGAACTATGATCTTTTCCAGCCTTGATGTTGGGAAAGGGCACTGTTCCTTGCTGTGTGTGAGCACTGGGAAGTGTTTTCTCTAATCAGTTTGGATGTTTCTTTCCTTGGACCCTCTGGTAGCTCCTCACACTTGTGCTTTGATCTGAACTCTGCTGAGTCCTCAAGCAAGATCCTCTGTAGATCTCTGAGTTCTTTCTTGATGCAGCCTACTCTTCTCTTGTACTCTCCTCTGAACTCTGTTTGCCTTTTTCTTCTCTGGCTTTCAGCTTTATATATCTTTAATCCATGGAGTTTACTAGCCTCATCCTCAGTTCCCCTTCCCTGTGTGTGGCCTGGAAACATTCTAAACTTGGTAAGCTAGGGCGATTATAGAGCTCACCTTGCTTGTTTTCCATCTCTCAGGAATCACTGTCCTTGATTACTTGATAGCCAGTGTTTTAAAAACTATTGCTTTATATATGTATATCCTTTTGTTTGTTTTAATTTGGAAGGTGAATTGAGTCCTTGTTACTCTATTGTGGCTATAAGAAAAAGTTCAAGATAACTATTTTGTAATTAGGTATTTAAGCTTCTCTTTCTGTTAGGGCTACTGATATCATTGAACAAAGATAAGTTGAACTGAGAGTATCCCTGGGGAAAAAAATTGTACTTCAATACTGAAAGATGGATTCTTGACTTTGTGTCTGGTAGTTTCTATTTCAAAGTTGATGACAGAGCTATCTTCTTTAGCCAAGCTGATAGTGCCTGTGAGTCATTGCCCATTCGCCCTTACTATTTCTGTCTTCAATCCTTATAGACACTGGTGCATTATTTTCTTAAACCTTAGATTCAGAGGCAATTGCCATGATCTGATCTATCCTGGGGATAACTCTTTCTATTAGTTCATATACTGCTTTTTGATCCCAACTATATCATTTAAATCAGGGCTACAACTTCAGCTCTTGGCCTGAGGGCTGTTATGTGCATGCTGTGATCTAAGACTAATTTTTACATTTTAAAAGGGTTATTAAAAATATGTGCAGCAAAGACTGAAAGTGGACTGCAAAATCTAAAATGGTTACCCTCTCTCCCTTTTCAGAAGATATTTACTGACTCCTGATGTAAATAAACTATTGTTCATGCATGCATTTCTGTAATGAGAAATAAATATGATAGTTAAGCACAAGGGCTCTGAAGTTGAACTGAGTTCAAATCCCAGTTAATTACTGAACATTTCTGTTGTCTAAGGCAAGCTATGTACCCTCTTAATGCCTTGAAGTTCTCAACTGAAAGAGGAATACCACTAATAGCTACCTCAGAGATATTTGAGGATTTAATGGAATGATGTTTATAAAGTCCTTCACAATGTGCCTAGAATTTGGTAAGAGTTCAAGAAATGTTAGCTACTCATATATTTGTTTAATTTTTTTTATCTTCTTAAGGCCCTATAAATATTCTGGTTTTGATTGTCGATTCTTAAGTTCTTAGAACATATTGGTCAAATAATCTAAAGGACCTGTTAATTAGGTTTAATTGCACTGGTAAACATTGCTTTGGATTCTTTGTTGTTGTTGTTGTTAAAATAGCATGCTGTGGAACATATCCTGACTTGGCCCTTCTTTTACTAACCATAAAAAGTAACATCCAGCATTTCTGCAGTTTTTTTTTTTTTAATTGTGGAGATTTGTCTGAGGTTTATTGGGGCTCTGAAAGAAAACTTGAGTTGGTATGGGAACAGATGGTATATAAGTGAATGTAATTTCAAATATCCAATTACCTTAGAGTATTTCATACAGTAAACTTTGGGCTGTGCTGGCTTAGCAGAATGTGTATACTTTCCTGAATTTATTGTTTAAGGTTTTTTTGTTTGTTTTGTTTTTGGTTTTTTGCTTGTTTATTTATTTATTTATTTTTTTGAGACAGAGTCTCACTTAGCCATCCAGGCTGGAGTGCAGTGGCGTGATCTTGGTTCAATGCAACCACTATCTCCTGGGTTCAAGCGATTCTCCCATCTCAGCCTCCCGAGTAGCTGGGATTACAAGCACCCGCCATCATGCATGGCTAATTTTTGTATTTTAGTAGAGACAGGGTTTCACCATGTTGACCAGGCTGGTCTTGAACTCCTGACCTCAGGTGATCCGTCCGCCTTGGCCTCCCAAAGTGCTAGGATTACAGGCGTGAGTCACCACGCCAGGCCTGTTCAAGTTTTTAAAATGTAACAAGTAAAATGAGCAAATTTAAGACATTCCATCTTTATATTAATATCTTCAAATGTACTTCCTTTGCATCTGTGTTTATCTCCCAGATCCTCTTAATCTCCACTTTTCCATGATCCCCCTCATCCCATGATGGATAACACCTGTAAAAATGTGCCATTTTTACTGATGGAGTACTCGTTTCCTGGAAGTAAATTAAAAATATATGGGTATATTTTTAATATTATTCTTTACATATGCATATATTTTAATTGTTATTCATATATATATAAAAGAATTGAGGAGTTCTAAGCATTGACAGAGTTGGGAAGCACAGAATTAAGTAGGAGTATCATCCATCTGACTTGTATGTGGACCATAAGGAAATCTGAGGGCTTTGATAATTATTAAACTGAACTTTGGTGACAACACAGTTAAATTTAATGGTCCATGTTATATTCCAACAAACAGTCAAATGTCTCAGATCTTCCCTAGTTCTTTTACTCCTTTAACAGCACAGCTGATAGATAATTTGTATCTCAACTCTCAGATAACATACAATCCAATAGCAATATTATAAATAATTCAAATTCAGTAAAGCATCCTATAATACTGATAGCAGAAATCTATCTCAGTATATTCATAAATATCAAATTGTCTGCCTTCGGTAAGCTTATACAACACTGTCTTATTTATTTACAATAAATACCAAACCTTTTACAAATTAAAATAATTACTTATGCCTGTCTTATTACTTTGTTATATTTTGAAAATGCTACAGGATATCTACTATGTACTTTTTTTTTTTTTTGAGACAAGGTCTTGCTCTGTTGCCCAGGCTGGAATGCAGTGGCACGATCTTGGTTCACTGAAACCTCCGCCTCCTGGGTTCCAGCTATTCTTGTGCCTCAGCTTCCCGAGTAGCTGGGACTACAGGCATGTACCACCATGTCAGCTAATTTCTGTATTTTTAGTAGAGATAGGGTTTCACCATGTTGGCCAGGCTGGTCTCGAACTCCTGGCCTCAAGCAATCAACCCACATGGGCCACCCAAAGTGCTGGGATTACAGGTGTTAGGCACTGCACCTGACCAGCTGTGTAATTTTTAAAAGGCTGAATATATACTTCAGTAAGTTAGATAAAAAATAACAACTTCAGATATTTTGATTTCCCCTTCACTCTTATTTTTACAAAGATATATGGATTAGAATTGTTTTTTTCTCATTTTTGGTTTATTCATTAATTAATTCATTTATTTATCAACGCTCTAGTGAATACCTTCTTTCTTTAGTGCTAACAGGGTTGACAGTAATGAATATACTTAGAACCTGTTCTCATGGTGCCTACAGTGTGGTATGGAGGAAGAAAATAAACAAATTAAAAATAGCTAGCTATATGATCTTATTCATCCATTTAATGTAGTCAGTGCATCACTCTAGGCACTGGGAGTTGGTACTGAGCAAGATATGTTCCCTTCTTTCTAGGAACTGATGGTGGCAGAAATTTAAAATTAAAAATAAATGTACATGGTAATTATTGAACTCTAACAGGTGATCTTAATAGAAGCTAACTCCTAATGATGATAATTCCTTAGGAATGAAGAACCATAGATGCCTTTTAGCAGAATGAAAGTGCCATTTTTATTATGAGACAGGTCTAGCCTGCAGAAATTTTTCAGTTTTACTTGCAAATGAATAAAATAGATTAAATTCCTCTAACTTACCTTGAAATTCCTAAAACGAAGCAGCAGATGGCACCGTCACCTCATTCATGCCTGCTGATTTTGCCACATCATTTTGGTTAACTCATGCTGGCTTAGCTGAGCTCAAACACCACAAGGAATCTATTTTTATCAGTTTTTCTGTACTTACCTTATTTGCCATACAAGGATCCCAACAGAGATTTAAGACCCATTATCATTTTACTGGTGAAGAAGCAAGCATAGAAAATTAAACAATATATCTAAAGTCATACAGTCCATCAGTGACAGAGTCAGAAGCAGCAATGCCACATGCTGCATTTACTGGGTAGAACGTAGACTCTGAAATTCCAAGCTCTACAAGTAACTTGAAGTTTTTTCCTTCTTATGTAATTTAATTCACCTATATTGAGCTGTTTCTTTTATTTATTTATTTATTTATTTTGTTTCGAGGTGAGGTCTCGCTCTGTTGCCCAGGCTGGAGTGCAATTGTGCAATCTCTGCCTCCCGTGTTCAAGCAATTCTCTCACCTCAGCCTCCCGAGTAGCTGGGATTACAGGGGCGTGCCACCATTCCTGGCTAATTTTTGTATTTTCAGTAGAGATGGGGTTTTACCATGTTGGCCAGGCTGGTCTCGAACTCCTGACCTCAGGTTATCCACCCACCTAGACTTCCCAAAGTGCTTAGATTATAGGTGTGAGCCACTGTGTCCACCTTTTTTTTTTGTTGTTTGCTTTTTTAGACAGAGTCTTACTCTGTTGCCCAGGCTGGAGTGTAGTGTCAGGATCTCAGCTCACTGCAGCCTCCTCTGCCTCCCGGATTCAAAGGATTCATGCTTCAACCTCCCGAGCAGCTGGGATTACGGGCCTGTACCACCATGCCCTGCTAATTTTTGTATTTTTAGTAGAGATGGGGTTTTGCCATGTTGGCCAGGCTGGTCTTGAACACCTGGCCTCAAGTGATCTGCCCGCCTCGGCCTCCGAAAGTGCTGGGATTACAGGTGTGAGCCACTGTGCCCGGCCTGTTACCCCTCTTTTAAAAAGTGAATGGAATTTGTCAGGTGACTAGCTTCCAAATATTTTCATTGCTCAATTGCTTTTTTTCTAAATGAAATTGTATATAAAATTTCCACCTATCAAAAAAGCAACATCAGAGATGCTCTGGTTGAATCAATATTGGGACAGTCCAGAGACCTTCCTGTTTGGCCTGTCCTGCATCACATTCTGCTGTATTTTTCTACTAAAGATGATGCTGAGTTATAGGATACAGAACTGAAACATGGATGTCCAATAAAGTAACAAAAGTGAATGCAATGGAACACAGAGCCGCTATGGGTAAAATAAAGAGGGATGACCCACAGGTAACCTAAAGCAAACAAATAAACATACACAGCTGAATTTTGCTTCCTATGCCATTTTTTTTCTTGACTCCCACATTTGGAGATGCTTTTTCTTCTCTTCCAAGGTTTCTCCATTTGTACCCACGACAGGAACTGTCTATTTCGAGGGTAGATTTTACCTCCATGCCATTGCTCAAGAGTCTCCTGAAACTATCTCCTGCAGTCAAGATGAAAATGGCCAATTTGGGACTCAGTGTCCTTGGTCAACTGCCTTGTTCTTGCTTCTTCCATTTTATCTCACTGAACCCCAGGACTCCTTTTCCCAGCTACTAGGGAGGCTGACGAAGGAGAATCGCTTGAACCCGGGAGGCAGAGTTTGTGGTGAGCCAAGATGGCGCCACTGCACTCCAGCCTGGGCAGAAGAGTGAGATTCCATCCCTCCGAAAAAAGACAATTCAAAATTCAAGTAAATGATAAGTTTAAAAATACCAAAACTTGGTTTCAGGATTAATTCTAAAATTCATTTAATTGAATTTTTCTCTGATTGTACTCTTGAAAAAGAAGTAAGTGTAATATCGTATTGAAATGGTCAGAAGAAAAGGAGGGAGGAGAAGAAATAACACTTTTTTAAAAAAAGAGGACATAGAAAACTTATAAATAGGCTGTTTATTTATTGTATATGAAATTTACTTATAAACTCATAAATAGCCTATTTATAAGTTTTCTATGTCCACCTTTTCAAGGAAAAGGAGTCCTGGGGTTCAGTGAGTTAAACTGGAAGAAGCAGGAACAAGGCAGTTGACCAAGGACATTGAGTCCCAAACTGACCATTTTCATTTTGACTGCCCGAGATAGTTTCAGGAGACCCTTGAGCAATGGGCATGGGGGTAAAATCCACCCTTGAAATAGACTGTCCCTGTTGTGGGTACAAACGGGATTACAGGCACCTGCCACCACACCCAGCTAATTTTTGTATTTTTAGTAGAGACAGGGTTTCACCATGTTGGCCAGGCTGGTCTCGAACTCCTGACCTCAAGAGATCTGCCTACCTCAGCCTCTCAAACTGCTGAGATTACAGGCGTGAGCCACCACCCCCAGCCTGAATTGCCTTTTTTTCTTCCTATTTCCTTCTCAACATTATTTCTAGGTTCCTTACCTTATCACAAAACCTCCATGTGTATCTTCTACACTGTTCTTTCCATTTTCTCACTACTTAACATACCTGGTTGTACTTCTTTATTTTTTCCTCCTCTCATTGCCATGACTACAATCCCTTCTCCTGAATCTTTTGAATTTTTTGGCTCTGTCAATTTAGATTTTCATTATAATCTGACTTCCTAAGAAAAAAGAAATGTCAAGTTATTTTGTCCTCTACTTAAAACTAATTGCCAGGATGCTCTGCAGCTTGAAGTTAAACTACCAGGGAAGTCTTTTAGGACAATGCCTCATACTCTTCTGTTTGATTTGTCTTGCTCTTTTTTCTTGTTTGTTTGAGACAGCCTGTAGCTCAGGCTGGAGTGCAGTGGTAGGATCTCGGCTCACTGCAGCCTTAATCTCCTGAGCTCAAGCGATCCTCCTGCCTCAACCTCCTGAGTAGCTGGGACTACAGGCACATGCCACCATGCCCGACTAATTTTTTGTTGTGGTGATCGGACCCAACACCAGGTCGTGGGGGTGACGAAGTCCAACAGAGTCAAAGGAATGAGAAAAGACAGTTTGAGAGAGAAAGTGGGTCCAGGGGGCCAACACTAGTTATGGAGGCTGCGAAGGCCCCGAGCTCCGGAAGCCCAGACTGTTTATTGGTGATCAAACAAAGAAACAGGTGGTGAGAACGTGGGGGTCGAAAGGGAGCGTTGCATTAAGCACATGAGTTACAGCTGTGATGGTTTAGCATTTATATGGCCAATTCTGAGACACAATCGATCTAGGAGCCTGGTAGGGCGAGAAGCAAGGAGCCAGCAAGTCTAGACACATTCGAGAGCCATGAGCCCTGGATTCTATCCAAGCCACGAGGGGTTTTATGCCCTGAGCTTAGATTATGGCGCATCAGGGTAGCCTTCCACCCTTAGCACAGAGTTTGGTGTTCCAAAGGCCATGAGAGGTTTCAGACTCTGGACCTGGACATGTTCCAACACTCTTTTATGTTATGTCAGACATGCAAGCCCTGCTTCAGCTTCTCCCAGCACTCATCTTTTCCCAACAATTTTTGTATTTTTTGCGGAGACAGGGTTTTGCCATGTTGCCCAGGCTGGTCATGAACTCCCGAGCTCTAGCTATCCTCCCACCCTGGCTTCCCAAAGTGTTGGGATTAAGGTGTGAACCACCATGTCTGGTTTTTTTTTTTTTTTTGGCTTTTTTAATCAAAATGTCATTAAAGGCCAGGTGAGGTGGCTCATGCCTGTAATCCTAGCACTTTGGGAGGTTGAGGCAGGTGGAGTACCTGAGGTCAGCAGTTCGAGACCAGCCTAACCAACATGGAGAAACCCCGTCTCTACTAAAAATACAAAAAATTAGCTGGGTATGGTGGCACATGCCTGTAATCCCA
The DNA here is from genome assembly GCF_000001405.40 of Homo sapiens. Taxonomy (NCBI): domain Eukaryota; kingdom Metazoa; phylum Chordata; class Mammalia; order Primates; family Hominidae; genus Homo; species Homo sapiens. The sequence goes on along the minus strand of NC_000012.12, from coordinate 10,136,377 downwards.
GCTACTTGGGAGGCTGAGGCAGGAGAATCACTTGAACCCGGGAGGCGGAGGTTGCAGCGAGCTGAGATCGCGCCATTGCACTCCAGCCTGGGAAACAAGAGCGAAACTCCATCTCAAAAATAAATAAATAAATAAAATAAAAAGTTATTAAAGATTAATTTATATGGAATAGTTTACAGTACCCATTCTCAATTTTGCATTTCAGGGACTATTAAAGGGAAGAACAAAGGCCTCTGGAGGGGGGTGCTGGGAAGAGCAGATGCTCTGTGCCCTGGCAGTGAGTCCGGCTCCTTTAAGGAAGTACTAGAGACCTGCCAGGTGTCAGTTTATTTGATGGCAACTAAATGTTAAAAGCAAAGTCACAAAGAAGAAAGGAGGAGCATGGGCTTGGCAATTGGGAGCTGGGGATCCCTGGCAGGGAAGGTGGGAGAGCTATGAATGACTACACCATCTAAAATGAAGCATTTGTAAGTGTTGTGAGTAAAGCTAAGTAAATTTGGTGCTTCAGTCAATCCAAGGGATACCGAAGTAATTTTTTTTACATGTCTTTCTTCCTCAAATATAATGAGAAATCAATTAGGATTGGGATTGAGCCTCAGGTTTGTGAATATAGTAAATATTCAGTAGATATTTAATTGTTAATGGATGAATAGAGAAAACAAGGAAAGGAAGGAGGCAGAGAGTCAGAGAAGAGGAAGAGAGGAAAGAGGCCCAATTTAGCATTCAAATTGGAAGAGAAATTTGATTTTTTTTTAATTGGGAAGGTACTTTGAAATGTTGCTATCTTCTGAGGACTGAACATGTTTTTCTGCAGTGGTTCTTAAGTTTAATGCTTAGTTTGGTTTTAATAATCTTGTTTTCTTTGTTATTTTTATTATTTTTTTGAGACAGAGTCTTGCTCTGTTACCCAGGCTGGAGTGCAGTGGCGCCAGCTTGGCTCACTGCAACCTCTGCCTCCGGGGCTCAAAGAAACCCTCTCACCTCAGCCTCCCAAGTACTTTGAACCACAGGCATGTACCACCATAGCTGGCTAATTTTTTGTATTTTTTTTTTTGTAGAGATGGAGTTTTGCCATGTTGCCAGGCTAGTCTCGAACTCCTGGACTCAAGCCAACCACCTGCCTTGACCTCCCAAAGTTCTGAGATTACAGGCATGAGCCACCGTGCCCAGCCATAATCTTTTCTATTTAATTCATGTATCCATTTATTTCTATATATTCACATGTTTACTTATTTCTCTTCATTTATTTGTATGAATTTTCCAGAAAGTCACATTAGACATATACAAAATAGATATTTGTTTGAAAAGAATGCTATTTTTTGAGGTTTAATTCTGAGAGTAAACACTACTACTTAATGTATATAGCAGTGAGTGAGCAGACTGACTCAGCTATTCTTTTATTTTTTATTTTAACAGGTTTTGGGGAGCAGGTGGTGTTTGGTTACATGGATAAGTTTTTTAGTGGTGATTTCTTATATTTTTGTTGCACCCATCACCTGAGCAGTGTACACTGTACCCAATGTGTAATCTTTTATCTCTCACCCACCTCCCGCCCTTCCCTCCAAGTCCCCAAAATCCATTGTATCATTCCTATGTCTTTGTATTTTCATAGCTTAGCTCTCACTTATAAGTGAGAACATACAATGTTTTGTTTTCCATTCCTGAGACTCAGCTATTATGAATTCGGTTCTTTCAGCTATTTTATTGATGTAATATTCAATCTACCTCTGGGTTTCATTAATTACAATTTTAGTTTATAAAATGTGTTTTCCACTTCTAAGAACTCTTCTCAGATTGCTCATTTTTCTTTTTTCTCTTTCTTTCTTTTCTTTTTTTTTTTTTTTGACAGAGTTTTTGCTCTTGTTGCCCAGGCTGGAGTGCAGTGGCACGATCTTGGCTTACTCTTGGCTCACTGAAGCCTCTGCCTCCTGGGTTCAAGCAATTCTCCTGCCTCAGCCTCCCAAGTGGCTGAGATTACAGGCATGCGCCTCCACGCCTGGCTAATTTTGTATTTTTAGTAGAGACGAGGTTTCTCCATGTTTGTCAGGCTGGTCTCGAACTCCTGACCTCAGGTGATCTGCCTGTCTCTGCCTCCCAAAGTGCTGGGATTACAGGCATGAGCCATTGCACCCGGCCAGATTGCTCATTTTTCTTGGATGACCCACTTGTTTTATAGATGAAAGTTTTCAACAAACTTCACTGAAAATGTAAGTTAGATAACTGGTTTGTTTTTTGTCTTTTCTTTTGTTAGGTTGGTTTGTTTCCACCTGTTTCTTTCCTTTTTTTTTTTTTTTTTTTTTAGATGGAGTTTCACTGTTGTTGCCCAGGTTGGGGTGCAGTGGCACGATCTTGGCTCACTACAACTTCCACCTCCTGGGTTCAAGTGATTCTCCTGTCTCAGCCTCCTAAATAGCTGGGATTAAAGGCACCTGCCACCCCACCCAGCTAATTTTTTATATTTTTAGTAGAGATGGGGTTCCATCATGTTTGCCAGACTGATCTCAAACTGCTGACCTCAGGTGATCCACCTGCCTCAGCCTCCCAAAGTGTAGGAATTACAGGCCTGAGCCACCATGCTCGGCCTTCCACCTGTTTCTTGCATTAACATTTAATGAGGGGTATTTTTCTCTGAATACCCAGCCTATCTCTCCCACTGTCTTGAAATACGAAGGGTATTGTTTTTCTAGTTTGTCAATGATTTGCATAATTAATGTTTAATTGCTTTATTTTAGACAAAGAGACAAAAAAGGAGAATAATGAGAATTAGACTAAAGTTTATGTTTATTGAAAAATTTCTTTGACCACTTAGAGAGTTAACTGTTTTCATAGGATTGTGATTAAACACAGGGTGACAGTCAAAGTCACTATAGGGAAAAACTCTCCCACTGGAGGTCTGATTTGATAGTAAAGACAGCTTCTTATTACTGACTGCAAGGTACTCCCCTCATTATTGTTCTCTAGTTCTCTATTTCTATTTAAGAGGTCGACCCTTTTTCCTGGAGCCAATGTATTCACTGTTTGAGAAATTCCATGGTATCCCTTTGTAGGGGTGAAAGATTCCTTTTCCTCACTCATTGCTAGGTTCACGGCATCTACAATAAAACATAGATCAACAAGAGAATAGCATCCAAATTTATTTAATAGAAGTTACCTGAACAAACAGGCCTTGTTAAGTTCTACTCAGCTTATTACCATTAGATTATACCCTTTTGTTCTCCAGTCATACTTCTGCATAACTGTCCGTAGAAATACTCAGTTTTCCCTGCGTCTTCATTTCAGAAGGCTCTCTTGTCGTATAACATTTACATGCTTTTGTTTTGTTAATCTGTCTTTTGTTATAGGGGTCTCAGTCACGAACCTGGTGATGGGCAAGGAAAAGATACTACTTTTTCTCCCCTACGTTGGACAAGGAGGGTATGATCTAATGCTAATAAACTGGAGGGAGCTTAGCAAGACTAATTTGTTCAGATTCTTCTTGGCATCTCTGTATCTTCAAAGATAAGGAAGTTTCTTTCCTCTAGGAAACAATACTTCTAAAATAAGGGTCTTATGATCTGCTTCAGGGCAGAAAGACGGGGAAAGGTGTGAGAGTGAATTTCCTGATTCTGCTGTTTTCTCAAATGCCAAGAATCCATATTTTGGGGTTGCATGTCCTGAACCTCATACGCTGCTTTCCAAGCACTGCATTATAGGACTGAAACACTGATGAATGTTGAGATTAAGATCCACATTACCACTTTGCAACATGTCTACAAAAACTTAGTAAAACTTTTGTGGCAGCTTAAGTAAGGCGGGAAGCTCATTTATGTACTCTCTTGAGCTCTCTTCCATTTTGATAGGTGTTAGACTGTCAGAACTGCAGAGCCCTCATCATATAACAACTCCTCCCAAATCTCTGCACTAGAGACTTGGCAAACTCTAGCACGCCTTCTAGTAGCCTAAGGCAAGGTCCATAGGATGATTCAGCACTACTTAAAAGGCCAGCCTGAGGAAGCCCAATGCTGCTAGGAGAATTTACTTTTTGTTCCAGTTAAAACTTGTTAACAGGCCAGGTGTGGTGGCTCATGCGTGTAATCCCAGCACCTTGGGAGGCCGAGGCGGGCGGATCACGAGGTCAGGAGATCGAGACCATTCTGGTTAACACGATGAAACCCTGTCTCTACTAAAAATACAAAAAATTAGCCAGGCATGGTGGCGGGCGCCTGTAGTCCCAGCTACTTGGGAGGCTGAGGCAGGAGAATGGCGTGAACCCAGGAGGCAGAGCTTGCAGTGAGCCGAAATCGCGCCACTGCACTCCAGCGTGGGCAACAGAGCGAGACTCTGTCTCAAAACAACAACAACAACAAAAAACTTGGTAACAGATAGGCTCCTGAATTCCTTTTAGAGCAGTTACTTTAGAAATCTTACAGTTAGGCCAGGTGCAGTGGCTCACGCCTGTAATCCCAGCACTTTGGGAGGCCGAGGCAGGCGGATCACCAGAGGTCAGGGGTTCAAGACCAGCCTGACCAACATGGAGAAATGCTGTCTCTACTAAAAATACAAAATTAGCCTGGCGTGGTGGCACATGCCTGTAATCCCAGCTTACTCAGGAGGCTGAGGCAGGAGAATCGCTTGAACCCGGGAGGCGGAGGTTGTGGTGAGCCGAGATCGTGCCATTTGCACACCAGCCTGGGCAACAAGAGCGAAATTTCGTCTAAAAAAAAAAAAAGAAAGAAAAGAAAAATAAATCTTACAGTTAAATTCTTTCTCTGCCCTTTGAGAAGCAAATCTACCACACAGAACTGTTTCTTCAAGGACTTGGGAGCTGTTTCTTTGAAATGCAAACATTCAGGGAGATAAATCTTGCTCTTTCTTTCAGATGCAGCATAAGGACCAACTTAGCTGGGTGCTTCACTTCAACTATCACCATGTCCTTCTGTCATATAGATAGGCAAAGTTTCTCTGTCCTCTGGATAAGGGCCAATTAACAAATCCAGAGAGTCTAGTCACATTAACTTTCCTTAACACCACTCAGTATCTTTTCCTTAGCAAACTCCACTTTAAAATGTCATCAGCTTTACTTTTGGGGAAGTTGAGTTCAGTTAATGCTGCACTGGTTCCTGTTGCAATAGTATTACTGAATAAAACCTGTCCTCACCACATTAACTAGTATCCAGATTTGTTGATCCTTGACAACACTCAGATGTCTCCTGCACTCTACTGGCTTCAAGGTCGGATAAATGAGTTGAACACCTCTTCAGTTTCCAGCAATGTTAGGTGTTTTCTATATTTCTTTGATTTGATCATTACTATGGAAACTGGAAGAGAGGGAAAAAAAATCAAACATCTAACATAATATTTCAGTCCCAACACCTTCCATAAGCTGTTCCTTGCAATATAAGTGTATGGAATGATGAAAGAGGCAGTGTAGCGTAACAGAAAAGACCACGAGTTTTGCAGCAAGAGTCAGCTTTGATTTGATTCCTTGCTCTAAATTTTTAAAATTAGCTTCTTAAACCTGAGAAAGAGGCTAAATTTTCTGTCTCATTTTTTCATTTGAAAATAGAAATAATAATGCCTACTATATAGACTTGGAAAAGTGAGATTGAACAAGAAAATATGTACAACATGTGGTACTTAGCTCATAGTAATTGTTCAATAAATGTTATTTTGTGTTAATATCTGATAATTCCCAAAGAGATTTGTTTTCTCTGTCTGTTGTTACAACAATGCATCTCCTCATGCCATCCCTCATTTACCTATCTATATATTTCCTTTATTAAGCAATGAGTTTCTTCATAGGTATCATTTTTCCTTGTATTGTAAGCTCCTACCAATTGAAAAGGTGGGCATCCAGTACCTGTTTATGTAATTTAAAAAATACATGAATAAATACATGAACAAAGTTATGGTAAACTTGGAGCACCAAAACTGAAATAGTTTGCATCGGTTAAATTAATTAATGTCAGACTTAGTTGTGAGAGTAATGAAGGCAGCATAAGACATTAATGTATGCATTTTTCTTACATTTGGTCTGAAACAAAGACTCATCTGCTATGCTGCCTTTTAGTTTTCCTGAGTCAGCAGTCTCAGAAACAGGATCTAAAGGTACAAATGGAAAATTACCACAGCATAGTTTCATTTCCTGCTCTTGAATATCTGGTTGAACTACTTAAGCTTAATTTGTTAAACTCCGGTAAGTACCTAGCCCACATGATTTGACTCAGAGATTCTCTTTTGTCCACAGACAGTCATCTCAGGAGCAGAAAGAAAAGAGCTCCCAAATGCTATATCTATTCAGGGGCTCTCAAGAACAATGGAATATCATCCTGATTTAGAAAATTTGGATGAAGATGGATATACTCAATTACACTTCGACTCTCAAAGCAATACCAGGATAGCTGTTGTTTCAGAGAAAGGTATATATATGTTTTTTCTAATGTGTGCCTTTAGCTCTCCCGTTTGAAAAGATATAAGGGGAGGCTAGGCATGGTGGCTCACACCTGTAATCCCAGCACTTTGGGAGGCCGAGGCGGGTGGATTGACTGAGGTCAGGAGTTCGAGGCCAGCTTGGCTAACGTGGTGAAACTCTGTCTCTACTAAAAATACAAAAATTAGCCGGGCATGGTGGTGCACGCCTGTAGTTCCAGGTACTTGGGAGGCTGAGGCAGGAGAATCACTTGAACCTGGGAGGTGGAGGTTGCAGTGAGCCAAGATCATGCCAATGCACTCCAGCCTGGGTGGCAGAGCAAGACTCCATCTCTGAAAAAAAATAAAAATAAAAACAAAACAAAAAGATATAAGGGGAGAAAATTTGAGAGCCTCGTGATGTGTATATTTTTATGGATATACTTTTAAAGGCTTCAGATGTCACTGAAGATAAATTGAATGCACCCTAAACCTTTTTTCATGAAAATTATTCAGTGACCAATTATTAGTGTTTAAATTAATTATGTCTGATGGCAGAAAATAGAATTTCTCTTTTCTATAGATATAGACATTTCATCAGTGAGGAATTGGTAATAAGTGGGATAATACACAAAGATAAAGGATTTCTGTATGAGTGACTTGTTGCTTGTTTGATAGAAAGGCTAGATTATCGAATGGAGGCCAGGAAACTTAAAGAAGTATATATATGAACAACATTTTTTTTTTGTGGTAAGAGATTAATTTAAATTGTTTTTAAACAAAAAACAATTATTGGTATACCAGTGATGGAAAATATATGAACATATGGTAGATAAAAACATCCCACCAGCAGGACATGAGTCTTAAACAAAGTGTAAATGAAATGAAATAGAAAGAAGGGCATTGGAGGATCTCTGTATTCATAGAATGGGTGATTTAGCCTACTCTACGATTCTCCTATGTGACAATTCTATGAAATGTCCTGACAGCTTAGTCACAGTGGAAAGCAGAAATACATTCTGGTTATGGCAATGTTCATACAAAATTAGTTCCCTATTATCTTTGAGAGAGAGAGATCATTTGTCGGTTTTGACACCAGAGTTTGCTTTCTTCTGCTTTCTGGTTATTCACACTGCACAAATATTTTCCTCTCAGCACTGATGTAATTCTTTTCTTGGGCAACCTATTGAGGAAGCGTGGAAAAAGTGGATGAGGCAAGAGGTAGGGAGACATGCGCATGTTTATGCATATGTGTAGGCAAACGGTATCCTGCAACAACACACCTATCATGTGCTAGCAGTCTCTAAACAAGGTGCTTTTATATGTGTTAGCTCGTTTAATTCCCGCAATAATCCTTTGAGATATTATTACCCCAGTTTCACAAAGAGGAATAAAAAACAACAAAGGGAGTAATTTGCCCAGGGTCATGCAACAAACATATGAAAAGGGAAAATTACCCTTAGTAATCAGTGCTATCTCCCCAACATTAAGCTATTTCCTCTAAGAATCAGTGGGATTTCAGGGATCCTACTAATGTCAAGACCTGTAGATGTCAATGTGGAACTGAAATTAGGAGCATACAGTTATCAAGCCAATGTGCCGAAATTACAATTCCAGCAATTGAAGAAGAAGGTATCCTTACTGGTGGAGAAGCACAGCAAATCCTAGGTGACCAGGTAACCTAGGCAGTGATTAATAATTCACTTAAAAATTTGCCAGTATTTTTTGTTGTTGTTGTTGGTGGTGTGTGTGTGTGTGTGTGTGTGTGTGTGTGTGTGTGTGTTTTAACAGGGTATCACTTTTTTGCCTATGCTGCTCTGGAATTCCTAGGCTCAAGTGATCCTCCTGCCACAGCCTCCAGAGTAGCTGGGACTACGGGAGCTCACCACAATGCCCAGCTAATTAAATTTTTTTTCTTTCTTTGTTTTTCTTTTTTTTTTTTGGTAGGGACAGGGTCTCCCTGTGTTGCCCAGGCTGGTCTTGAGCTTCTGGCCTCAAGCAATCCTCCTACCTCAGTCTCCCTTCTGGGATTACAGGTGTGAGCCACCGTGCAAGGCCAGATTTTTGATGAACTGTAGAATTAAACTGCCCCACCATCCGTCATTCTCTTTCTTTATTCCATTTCTGCCCCCTCTGGCTCCTCAGGATCGTGTGCTGCATCTCCTCCTTGGCGCCTCATTGCTGTAATTTTGGGAATCCTATGCTTGGTAATACTGGTGATAGCTGTGGTCCTGGGTACCATGGGTGAGTATTTGGTGGAGGAGATTAACAACAGACAATTTAGTAAGCAATTATTATGTGCCAGGCACTCTTTTAAGGGCTTGACATGCATAATCTACTTTAATTTGTATATAATCTGGTTTTATCTGTATTGGGTTGGTGCTGTTAATGCCCATTTCACTTATAAAGGGTGTGAGAGACTGAGAGGTTATTTTACCTTTCCAGGGTTATAAGCTAGTTAGTGGTGGGACCATGATTAGAAATTTGGGTGATCTGTCTAAAAAACTCATACTCTTAACTACATTGCTCTCCTACCTCCCTTACATAGCTGGTTTCAAAGCTGTGGAATTCAAAGGATAAATTAATGAAGAAAACAAGCGGAGCTGAAGAAGAAAGTACAATATGGTGCTGTCTTCCTAATGAAATAAATTCACTAAATGGACATTAAGCTATTTTTATGATTCACATTATTTAAGGAAATTATTTCCGATCTTTAATATAAACACCTTTGAATACACCAGAAATTTCCTGAGGCACTTGGTCTTAAGTCGATATTTTGTAATGGATTAATATTTTTTTTACATTTTATATCACATGCAATCTGTTGTCAGTCACCTTCAGAGAGTCTTCATGACATTCCTTAATTAGTCAAATGTTTATTGAGTGCGTTCTATGTTATAGGTACTGGGCAGTTTCTCAAGGATCTCTCATTTTTAAATAACAGAAGAAAGGTGAAAGATGTTGCTATTTCAAATCTGTCATGGGTCCAATTGACTCTATGACATTTGCCTCTTGCTGCCTCCCTCATTCTATTTCTTCTTCTCCACCTTCTTTTTTCTTTTCTTTTTTTTTTTTTACTATACCTCCTTTATAAAAGTTATGTATTTCTTTTCATCTATTCTATCAATCGTCTTTATCTCTCCACAGCAATATATCATCTATTTATCATTAATCAATAATGTATTCTTTTATTCCAATAACATTTGGGTTTTGGGATTTTAATTTTCAAACACAGCAGAATGACATTTTTTCTGTCACTATTATTATTGTTGGTATGTGAAGCTATTTGGAGATCCAATTCAGGAAGCAACACATTGGAGAATGGCTACTTTCTATCAAGAAATAAAGAGAACCACAGTCAACCCACACAATCATCTTTAGAAGACAGTGTGACTCCTACCAAAGCTGTCAAAACCACAGGCAAGGGCATAGTTAAAGGACGGAATCTTGACTCAAGAGGGTTAATTCTTGGTGCTGAAGCCTGGGGCAGGGGTGTAAAGAAAAACACTTAGATTCAATGATTGTAAATTTAAGGCAAATACACATATTAGTATTACCTTAGTGTAATGTATCCCTGTCATATATACAATAAGGTGAAATTATAAGTACCCTATGCAGTTGGCTGGACAGTTCTAAATTGGACTTTATTAATTTTTAAAATCAGTAACTGATTTATCACTGGCTATGTGCTTAGATCTACAGGAGATCATATAATTTGATACAAATAAAAGAAAAGTGTTCTCTCCCCTTACAGAATTGACATTTTAAATGCGATACAGTTAGAATAGGAAATATGACATTAGAAAGGAAGAATGACAGGGAGAAAGGAAAGAAGGGAAAATGTTGCCAAGAATAAGGAAGCTATATTAAAAATATACAAAAGAGGTAGACCTAATACACATGTCCCTGAAAACTCATCAAATTTGTTTAATCATACAATTTCATTTACTTAATTACAATTCTATACACACTTGACTTTTACTTCTAATTGCATCATAATTGACTATGACTTAATGTTTTCAGTTCAATTTTTCATCTCTGGACCCATACCTTCTCACTATTTTTATTAAGTAGCTAATAATATATAACAGAGATAGTGTATAATATGAATAATTGGCCTATACTTTTCTCACTTGGAAAGTCACATTATGAAGTAGATCTTACATCATAAAATAAGTAGCAATATGAAATTGCTGTGTACCTCAATGACTGATTGTGAGTGGACTTATTTTAAGGAGTTATTAAGGAGAAAGGTAGTTTTGAGCTGAATTAGAAGGAATAGAAGACAAGTGAAGAAAAAAAGGATGGTTGGCTGCCTAAAATACTATTTATAGCTAGTTTGTTTTTAAATTTTAAATGAATAGGAAGATTTTAATGTATTCTCATCTGTAAAATCATATCCCTGTAGTTCGAATTGACAATGAAATATAAAAATGGCAACTAATTGGTTATTTCATAAGTGTCCTTAAGATGAATGGTGTTCACACTAAAAGAGTGAATTGGTATGCTATGAACCTCATGGTACTAATCTTTTATTTCCAGGGGTTCTTTCCAGCCCTTGTCCTCCTAATTGGATTATATATGAGAAGAGCTGTTATCTATTCAGCATGTCACTAAATTCCTGGGATGGAAGTAAAAGACAATGCTGGCAACTGGGCTCTAATCTCCTAAAGATAGACAGCTCAAATGAATTGGTAAGTGTAGACTTCTGTTATGATTATCTGTGGTGTGTATCCTGAAGGAAGATAGAGGGAGATTCCAGGTAATGACAATTTTTCCTAAAATGAAGTCTTTTTTTTTTTTTTTTTTTGAGGCAGAGTCTCACTCTGTTGCCCAAGCTAGAGTGCAGTGAAGCCGCGACATCCCAGGCTCAAGTGATCCTCCCACCTCAGCTTCCTGAGTAGGTAGGACTACAGGGTGCACCACCACACTCGTCTAATGTTTTTTTGTATTTTTCATAGAGACGAGGTTTCTCCATATCATCTGGGCTGGTCTCAAAATCCTGGGCACAAGCGATCTGCCTACCTCGATCTCCCAGTGTTGGGATTACAGGTGTAAGCCACCATACTTGGCCAAAATTCATTTTTAATATCTCTATAATTATAATCATAGCATGCCTTAAGCACATAAAGTGCATAGTATATGCTTTTATTTTTAACTAATTTAAAAAACTGTGTTTCGCCTTAAAACAAATCCTTTCAAACATACTCCATGTATGCATGACTACAATAATCAGGACACTACCCATTTTTGTGAGTTTGTATTTCAATTTTTAAATATGGTGGAAGTAAAGTAGAAAATTCTTCTCCTTGTCATCATAATTATCAAGAAAAATGGCAACAATGATAATATATGTTTAGAAATTATTTACTCTTTGCAAGATACTGGGAAAGGCAAAGAGGGTTAAAACATAACCCTGCTATCACAGGACACATATAATCTTTTAAGTAAAAAAAAAGCAACTCAGCAGCTATTAAAAGTTAAATATCTGGCATTAGCAATAAATTCTATAGGAGTTTAAAGAGATCCCCGTGTTCCTAAGAAGTTTTCAGAAAAAGTGGCACTTATAACACATCATGAATGAAGGGTAGAGCTTCAATGAGGTAAGATAAGGGGTTAATAGGAAAAATTCTATGTTATAAATCTAAACCAGTCTATAACTTCTACACCTACTTTCACTATTCTTATTTTGTTTTTGTTTCTGTAATGTCTTACCCAGTAGTAATAATTTATATTAAAGTTAATGGAACTAGATATATGGCAAAGAAAGAGTACTGGATTACAAGTCTATCTGACTTTTAGGCCAGCCTATAATTGAAAATAAATTGTTATAGATTTGTAAACAATTCAGATATCTTCACTGAACCTCAGATTACATATTCATAAAATATACAGTTGGACTAAATTATTTTTAAGTTGTTACCTAACTCTGAGAAGTACTTCTTAACGAAAGTAGCGTCAATTTATTTCTTCAATTGGAGGAGAAGACAATGGCTAATCATCCATGAAAACTGCCTAGGGGGACTGTCATCTGGGATTTTGTCAGATAGGTTGAATGGAGGCAGTACAGTCCTCACATTACAAATCTATTCTTTTGGAAAATTAAATGATAATTACTTTAAATAAATAAGATAGGCCTTTTGAGACATTCAATGACATTCAAAAATTGGCACTTCTCTCTAGGTTGATGTCAGGTTAGGCATGCATTCTTTTTTTTTTTTTTGAGACGGAGTCTCGCTCTGTCGCCCAGGCCGGACTGCGGACTGCAGTGGCGCAATCTCGGCTCACTGCAAGCTCCGCTTCCCGGGTTCATGCCATTCTCCTGCCTCAGCCTCCCGAGTAGCTGGGACCACAGGCGCCCGCCACCGCGCCCGGCTAATTTTTTGTATTTTTAGTAGAGACGGGGTTTCACCTTGTTAGCCAGGATGGTCTCGATCTCCTGACCTCATGATCTACCCGCCTCGGCCTCCCAAAGTGCTGGGATTACAGGCGTGAGCCACCGCGCCCGGCCTTGCATTCTTTACCAAAGTGATTCAATCAGTTGTCTTTTTCTCAGCGTCCATGATAATAGTTTCTTTCTCTCTCTCTCTCTCTCTTTATTATATATTTGTATATGTTTCATTACAGGGATTTATAGTAAAACAAGTGTCTTCCCAACCTGATAATTCATTTTGGATAGGCCTTTCTCGGCCCCAGACTGAGGTACCATGGCTCTGGGAGGATGGATCAACATTCTCTTCTAACTTGTAAGTGTTTGGAGAGACAATGCTTCATCCTTTTTCTCAGAGAGGTTTCCATCTCATCTATGAAAACCTCTGTCGAGCAGCTAAGAACCTGATTTGCTCACCATATATGAGAAAGAGAGGGAGAAAGATATAGAAGAAGAGAAAGAGTGAACTAGGACAAGAGGAGAAAGATGAGGAGGACCTTAGAGTGAAAAAGAGTGAGGCCATCTAGTAGCATCAACACAGATATTCTTCTGGTTTTCTTACTAGGGAGGCATCGACATGTTTGAAGTTGTCCAGGCAAGGAGCAGTCACTGTCAGTCAGTGTAACTCCCCGGTTAAGAGCATGGGTTTTGAAGCCAGGCCTCAGTTTGGGTTAATGATTACCCCACTCACTGATTGTGTGACACTGGGGATAAGTCACTTTTCCTCTCTGAGTCCCATTTTCCATAAACAAGAATAGAAAGGTGCTCTTGGCCAGGTGTGGTGGCTCACACCCGTAATCCCAGCACTTTGGGAGGCCCAGGTGGGCGGATCACTTGAGGTCAGGAGTTTGAGACCAGCCTGACCAACATGGTGAAACCCCACCTCCACTAAAAATTTAGCCGGGTGTGGTGGCATTGCCTGAAATCCCAGCTACTCAGGAGGCTGAGGCAGGAGAATTGCTTGGACCTGGGAGACAGAGGTTGCAGTGAGCTGAGATTGCACCATTGCACTCCAGCCTGGATGACAGAGTGAGACTCCAGTGAGACTCCAACTCAAAAAAAAAAAAAAAAAAAAAGAAAAAAAGAAAGAGTGCTTTCCTCTTAGAATTGTGAGATGGGTATAAAAGTAAAATAATTTAGCACAGTGTCTTGTACATAGTTAATGTGTGAGACTTATTATTAAGTTAAAAAGCAACCACATTTTCACATTTTGCATTTTAGAAAGATATTTTAAACGTATTTCACATTTGCCTGATGATACATTATTCCTTATTATGTGGTTTCTGTCACTGCTGTTGTCATTCATTTGCTTTTTAATATCTGCAGAATATGAAATATGTCTCTTTTAAGTTCTTATTATTAGTGTGTGTGTGCACACCTGTGTGTGTTTTTTCATCTGTCTCAGTAGGAGTACCGTTCAATTTGGTTTTTCAAAGAAAGTAACTTTTGACTTTGTTGACTCTGTCTTTTTATTATTTCTTTCATTAACTTTTATTCTAATCTGTATTACTTCCTTCCATCTAATTTATTTTTATTTTATTTTGTTTTATTTTTTGAGACAGAGTCTCACTCTGTCACCCAGGCTGGAGTGCAATGGCGATCTCGGCTCACTGCCAGCTCCGCCTCCCGGGTTCACGCCATTCTCCTGCCTCAGCCTCCTGAGTAGCTGGGACTACAGGCGCTCACCACCATGCCCGGCTAATTTTTTGTATATTTAGTAGAGACGGGGTTTCACCGTGTTAGCCAGGATGGTCTCGATCTCCTGACCTAATTTATTTGTTTTAAATTTGCTATTCCATCTCAAACTTCTCGTATTGGGTGCTTGCCTCATGAATTTAAGCCTTCCTTTATCTCAAGTATGTAGACTTAAGGCTATAATTTTAATGTATTTTCATTGTCTTTCAGTTCAAAATACTTTCTGATTTCCACTGTGAGCTGCTCTTTGACCCAGGAGTTATTTAGAAATGCATTTCTTAATTTACAAACATATGTGTTTCTGGTTATCTCTTTGTTTTAGGTTTCAGGCTTAGTTCCACTGTGATCAGAGAACATGCTCCACGTGCTTGTAGTTCTGTGATTTTTACGTGCTTCTTCCTCTTTCCATATGAAAAGAATTGTGTTGAAATCTTCCGCTGCGATTCTACTTACAGTTCTGTAAACATTTTATTCGATGTGTTGAAGCCGTGTTATCAGGCACATAAAGATTTAGAATTGTTACTTTTTTTCCCCTTTCTTTCCTCCTTTTTGGACGATTTAACACTTTTTCTTATTCTGTTTTTTTTTTCTGTTCATTTGGAATGTGCTCTTTCATGTCTTTTACATCTCTTTTACTAATCTTTTAGTAGTTGTTCTAGGAATTACACATGTATACTTCACTCATCAAAGACTAACATTAACTGACATTTTTATGTTCTTCCTGACCAATATAAAAATCATAGAGCATTCCTTTACTCTGTTGACTCTCTCCTCAATTTATATGCTATTATATTAATGTATTTATTTTTATTTATTTATTTTTATTTTATCGCCCAGGCTGGAGTGCAGTGGGGCAATCTTGGCCTACTGCAACCTCTGCCTCCTGGGTTCAAGCGATTCTCCCACCTCAGCCTCCTGAGTAGCTGGGACTACAGCTATGCGTCACCAGCTGGGTGTGGTGGTGGACGCCTGTAATCCCAGCTACTCAGAGGTTGAGGCACCAGAATTGCTTCAACCCGGGAGACGGAGGTTGCAGTGAGCCGAGATCGCACCACTGCACTCCAGCCTGGGTGACTGAGCCAGACTCAGTATTAAAAAAAAAAAAAAAGAAAAAGAAAAAAGAAAAAACTAGCCCTTGGGCCGGGCGCGGGGACTCACGCCTATAATCCCAGCACTTTGGGAGGCCGAGGCAGGCGGATCACTTGATCTCTGGAGTTCGATACCAGCCTGGCCAAAATGGTGAAACCCCATCTCTACAAAAAAAAAAAAAAGATATAAAAATTAGACAGACAAGGTGGCGCACAGATTTATGCAGTTAGTATTCATTTCAATTTGCCCACATATTTATGATTTTAGTTGTTTATTTCTTTCTTCCTTTCCAACTGTACATTACAGGTATTTTTTCTTAAGACTGATATTTCCAGTAAGTATAGAATTAGAGGTTTGTTGTTTTTCCTCTCAGCCACTCAAATATATTATTCCACTGTTTTCTATTTTTTACTGTTGTTTTTGAGAGGTCATCTGTTTGAAGGTAATATATGTTTTAAAACTAATGTGTTTACTCAGCACTGAAAAATTCTCAGCCATACTTGCTTCATATTTTGCTTTTCCCCATCTTTTTTCCCTTCTCCTGGAATCCCAGTTACATTCATTACAGACCCATTGACACCATCCTATATGTTTCTTTTGCTTTTTCCTGTGTTTTCATTCTTTTTTAGCTTTTTGCTCCAATCTATGTAATAACCTTTCACATATCTTCCGGTCATCTATTTTTTCTCATCTGTGGCTAATCTACCATTAAAAGCCTCTATTAAGTCTTTTATTTTGTTTGGTGACATTTTCAGTTTTATAATTTTAGTTTAGTTCTTTCTCAAATCTATTATTTCAACACGTATACTTCTACTTTTTCTTCCAACATTCTTAGTATTGTCTTCTAACTTTCAGAATACACTAACCATAGTTGTTTTAGCTTGTGTCTGATAATTCCAATTTTCTATATGTATCTGTTTCTGTTTGTTTTTTTTTTTACTATTTTTCTTTTGTGTTGATTAGTTTTCTCTTATGTCAGATTGCTTTTTATAGTGTTGTTAACATTTTATCTTAAAATCTTTGTAGAATTAATTTGAAGTGTTTTTTCATTTGCCTCTGTTCTCACCACCAGGTCTGTTCACCCAATAGTGTGAACAGTACAAACTGCTGAGCATAATCACTTAACTGTTTTACTTCTACTAGGCTAAGTACAGTGAATTTATTATCAGCCAAATGTATTTTCTACTTTCTTATAGTACTTGTTTGTCTTGAGTTTTCTCTTGCTATTTTAAATGTATGACTAGAGGACTCTTTCTATAATCACAAGTGGGCCCAAGTTAACATTTTGATATGTTACTACTTTTTTGTTTTCCGGGTGGCATTTATTTAATCTAGCTGTGTCTATGCCCCCAAAACACTTATAGGTCAAGGAAAATTTTTAAGGAATAATGCTGGTCAGAGTTCTCCCTGAGGTCTGAATCTAAGTAGTTAATCTTAGCCTTAGTCATCGCTAAAGCAAAGTTTTCTCAATCTTCCAACCTCAGGGTCAAGAGGGAGAGATACATAACCAGGACAAAGAGTGCCAAGTCATAGCTTTTGCACTGACGGTCAGTGATGCTCTTTGAGCTTGACTCATTAACACTGCTACTTAAGGAGATTGAAGACCAAACTGAACAGGACCATGCCTGCATTTAGCAGTGTTGATTTCCATAACTGTCAAGCATTGTATTGTAATATAATTCTGCTTCCAGGATACATTAAAATATACAGAGTTGTTTGCCCTGCCTTTAAATGGCCTGGGCATCTCTGATTCTCTTTTTAGTTCTAGATCTGTTTTAGCATTAATGCTTCTGCTTGGTCTACTCATTAAGTATATCCAGTAATAATTTAATTAAACTGTTACTTGATTTGATAAAGAAACATTTAAGTAATAGGCTGAAAGATATATAAAGAACTTTTTATAGAATATTAAATGATTTTTCTTCTTTGTCAGGAACTTTTTTTTTAGTTTATGCAGCTAGTAGCAGTTCTTGAAAAAAAATTAAGTCGTTTTTCTGCCTTAATAATGGAGACTATTCATTTAACCACTTGAGATTCACAACAATTTAGATTTAAGCCTCCTTTTCCAATAATAGAAACACTTCAGAACTCTTTTCACCAATATCCTTACTAATTTATTTGTGCGCCATGTAGACAGTATTCCTTAACATTTGTTCTAATTACCTCACTGTATTCTATTTTAACAGATTTCAGATCAGAACCACAGCTACCCAAGAAAACCCATCTCCAAATTGTGTATGGATTCACGTGTCAGTCATTTATGACCAACTGTGTAGTGTGCCCTCATATAGTATTTGTGAGAAGAAGTTTTCAATGTAAGAGGAAGGGTGGAGAAGGAGAGAGAAATATGTGAGGTAGTAAGGAGGACAGAAAACAGAACAGAAAAGAGTAACAGCTGAGGTCAAGATAAATGCAGAAAATGTTTAGAGAGCTTGGCCAACTGTAATCTTAACCAAGAAATTGAAGGGAGAGGCTGTGATTTCTGTATTTGTCGACCTACAGGTAGGCTAGTATTATTTTTCTAGTTAGTAGATCCCTAGACATGGAATCAGGGCAGCCAAGCTTGAGTTTTTATTTTTTATTTATTTATTTTTTTGAGATAGGGTCTCACTTTGTTACCCAGGCTGGAGTGCAGTGGCACAATCTCGACTCACTGCAGCTATCTCTCGCCTCAGCCCCTCAAGTAGCTGGGACTACAGGTGCATGCCACCATGCCAGGCTAATTTTTGGTGTTTTTTGTAGAGACTGGGTTTTGCCATGTTGACCAAGCTGGTCTCTAACTCCTGGGCTTAAGTGATCTGCCCGCCTTGGCCTCCCAAAGTGCTGGGATTACAGATGTGAGCCACCACACCTGGCCCCAAGCTTGAATTTTCATTCTGCCATTGACTTGGCATTTACCTTGGGTAAGCCATAAGCGAATCTTAATTTCTGGCTCTATCAGAGTTGTTTCATGCTCAACAATGCCATTGAAGTGCACGGTGTGTTGCCACGATTTGACCCTCAACTTCTAGCAGTATATCAGTTATGAACTGAGGGTGAAATATATTTCTGAATAGCTAAATGAAGAAATGGGAAAAAATCTTCACCACAGTCAGAGCAATTTTATTATTTTCATCAGTATGATCATAATTATGATTATCATCTTAGTAAAAAGCAGGAACTCCTACTTTTTCTTTATCAATTAAATAGCTCAGAGAGTACATCTGCCATATCTCTAATAGAATCTTTTTTTTTTTTTTTTTTTTTGAGACAGAGTTTCGCTCTTGTTGCCCAGGCTGGAGTGCAACGGCACGATCTCGGCTCACCGCAACCTCCGCCCCCTGGGTTCAAGCAATTCTCCTGCCTCAGCCTCCCAAGTAGCTGGGATTACAGTCAGGCACCACCACACCCGGCTAATTTTGTATTTTTTTAGTAGAGACAGGGTTTCTCCATGTCGGTCAGGGTAGTCCCGAACTCCTGACCTCAAGTGATCTGCCTGCCTCGGCCTCCCAAGTGCTGGGATTACAGGCGTGAGCCACTGCACCCAGCCTAGAATCTTGTATAATATGTAATTGTAGGGAAACTGCTCTCATAGGAAAGTTTTCTGCTTTTTAAATACAAAAATACATAAAAATACATAAAATCTGATGATGAATATAAAAAAGTAACCAACCTCATTGGAACAAGTATTAACATTTTGGAATATGTTTTATTAGTTTTGTGATGTACTGTTTTACAATTTTTACCATTTTTTTCAGTAATTACTGTAAAATGGTATTATTGGAATGAAACTATATTTCCTCATGTGCTGATTTGTCTTATTTTTTTCATACTTTCCCACTGGTGCTATTTTTATTTCCAATGGATATTTCTGTATTACTAGGGAGGCATTTACAGTCCTCTAATGTTGATTAATATGTGAAAAGAAATTGTACCAATTTTACTAAATTATGCAGTTTAAAATGGATGATTTTATGTTATGTGGATTTCATTTCAATAAAAAAAAACTCTTATCAAAAAACCCATGGCCTCTAAATTATGTGCCTGTGTGTCACAATCACTATTACAATTTGCCCTCTCCCCAAAAATGATGATGAATTTGGTATGGGTGGAGTGGATATTTATAGTAGATATTTTGATATTAAAGCATTAATTCGCGATCTTAAAAATTTTAAAAACCTAAGAGAAGATAAAGATCTTTGTGAGGTTTACTATTGTTGTTTAATATGCAAATTTGTTTTCATTACTTAAAAACATGTAGAAAGGGAAGAGATAGATAGGTGCAGCAAACCACCATGGCACATATATACCTATGTAACAAATCTGCACGTTCTGCACGTGTATCCCAGAACTTAAAGTACAATTAAAAATACATACATAAATAAATAAATGATGTAATGTATAATAAACATAAAAAAAGAAAGGGAAGAGATAGATCAGGCTGAGAACATGAGGAGTATGGTTAACTGTTTTAAGTAGTTAAAGCATAGGATGGAGTTTGGAAGAGATATCTAGTATTTTAATTTTGGTTTTGTTTTGATTCATTCCTCCTGGGTCCCCAGGATATAGTGGATGACTCCAAGAAATTATGGTAATCAAGGTAAATAACTGGATGCTGAAGATCCAGCTGTACTAATCTAGTGAACAGACAGGCCAGGCAACCTAACCCATGACGTGGGTATCACGAAAGTGACGGTGTAAAGTAAGATTGCTCTACGTTGTGCAAGACATACAGTACCTGACCTGTTGAGACACGTTTATATCACAGCTTATATGGAAATATACGTTAATAAACAGAAAACATCCACCCTTTTCCAAGAGACAGAAAACATCCACACTTTTCCAAGAGACAGAAAACATCCACACTTTTCCAAGAGACAGAAAAGGTGAAATAGCTGCTAGCCGAACCTCAGTCTGAAAGTTAAATTCGAGATGAGTAATGGTCACACCAGAGGACATGCTCAGGGGCCACCATGTTCACTTGTTTGGCTTATAGCAATAATTTTTGAAGTCGTCTCTGAGCCTTCACCCTCACCCTCTACAGTCTATTTTCAAACAAATCAGAGTGAGACCATTAAATTTAAATAAAATCATGTCGGTTCTCCACTTAAAATTCTCATCAACTTCTCATGTATCTCAGAGTAAAAACAAAGCAACATAAAAAAGAAATACCTTTGTAATTATCTATAAGACGCTACATATTCTGGCCCTCTTAACTTTGAGCTAATCTCCTACTTCCTTCATCTTTACTCACCGCACTCAGGACGCCGGCTTCTCTGTTGTTTCTCAACCATGTCAGGCGTGCTTCCACCTCAAGGTATTGGTGATTCTTATCTGCTTTACCTGAATGATCCTTTTATTTTTTTGAGACGGAGTCTCGCTCTGTGGCCTAGGCTGGAGTGCAGTGGCGCGATCTCTGCTCACCGCAAGCTCCGCCTCCCGGGTTCCCGCCATTCTCCTACCTCAGCCTCCCGAGTAGCTGGGATTACAGGCGCCCGCCATCACGCTTGGCTAATTTTTTTTTGTATTTTTTAGTAGAGACGGAGTTTCACTGTGTTAGCCAGGATGTTCTGGATCTCCTGACCTCATGATCCGCCCGCCTCGGCCTCCCAAAGTGCTGGGATTACAGGCGTGAGCCACCGCGCCCGGCCTGAATGATTCTTACCCGACAAAGCTGCAGGGCCTGGCCTCTCACCTCGTTTCCATCTCTGCACAAACATGACCTTCTTAATGATGCTTACTCACATAACTATTTAAAGTTACCAACCCTTTTTCCCTACATTCTTCATCTCCCTTACCTCTGTTTATTTACCATAGCATTTATTATAGTCTAATATACTCTACTATTTACTTATTAGGTTGGTGCAAAATTGCGGTTTTTGCCATTGAAAGTATATAGGATAAAAGTAATGGCAAAAACCGCAATTACTTTTGCACCAGCATGATACTTATTCTCTTTCTTGTATATTGTCTTCCTCTTTCTTATCTATCTGTTTCTTATATATCGTCTGCCTTTCTCCGTAGAATATAGTCTCTAAAAGGACAGACAGCTTTGCTGTACATGGATGTATCCAACAGTCTGAGAATAGTACTTGCCATACAGTCGATAGTCAAAAATATTTTTTGAAAAAAAAATAAGCTTTTAAGGAAAAGTAGTATAAATGTTAATGTAGGTTTTTTATCAAAAATTATTAGGAATATACTTGAATAACTGAAGCTTGGGAAATAGTTCTAATTGCTATTTTATGAGAATCATAATTACAGGCACCTTCTAAGTGCCTTTTTTTCTGATCCTAGCTGTTGTAATTTTTAACACTGTATCTCTGTTTTATTCAATTATGGGCTTTACATAACTTCATCTTCACAATTTTGACTACCTTCTCTTTTATATGGCTCTCTGATATCCAACCCAATGCAAACAAACAATTTTTGATTTCCTACTTCTTACAAGGCACTGTGCAAGAGGAAGATATTTTTATTTTTATTTATGTATTTTTTATTTCAATAGATTTTGGGGTACAAGACGTTTTTGGTTACATGGATGAATTATATAGTTGTGAATTCTGATTGTAATGCACCTGTCACTCACCTGAGTAGTGTACATTGTACCCAATATGTAGTTTTTTTTATCCCTCCCCCTCCCTTTTCACCTCCTGCTTCTGAGTCATTATATCACTCTGTATGGATTTGCCTACTTACAGCTTAGCTTCCACTTGTAAGTCAGAGCATACAGTTTTGGTTTTCCATTCCTGAGTTACTTAGAATAATAGTCTCCAGCTCTAACCAAGGTGCTGCAAAAGACATTATTTCATTACTTTTTATGGCTGAGTGGTATTCCATGGTGTACATATACCACATTTTCTTTATCCACTCATTGGTTAATGGGCACTTAGGTTGGTCCCATATCTTTGCAATTGTGAATTCTGCTATTATAATCATACACGTGCAAGTGTCTTTTTCATATATAATGACTTATTTTGGGGTAGATACCCAGCAGCAGGATTGCTGGATTGAATGGTAGATCTATTTTTAGTTCTTTAAGGAATCTTCATACTGTTTTTCATAGAGGTTGTACTAATTTACAGTGTATAAGCATTTCCTTTTTACCATATCCATGCCAACATCTGTTGTTTTTTTGACTTTTTAATAATGGCCATTATTGTAGGAGTAAGGTGGTATCTCATTGTGTGGTTTTAATTTGCATTTCCCTGATAATTAGTAATGTTGAGCATTGTTTCATATGTTTGTTGGCTGTTTGTATATCTTCTTTTGAGAAATGTCTATGTATGTCCCTTGCTCACTTTTTCATGGGATTATTATTTTTTTCTTGCTGATTTGTTTGAGATCCTAGTAGATTCTGGATATTAGTCCTTTATTGGATGCATATATGTTTGCAAATATTTTGTCTCATTCTGTGGGTTGTCTATTTACTCTGCTGATTATTTCTTTTGCTGTGCAGAAGCTTTTTAGTTTCATGAAGTTCCATTTATTTATTTTCATTTTTGTTGTATTTGCTTTTGGAGTATTAGTCATAAATTCTTTGCATAGGCTAATGTCCAGAAGAGTTTTTCTGATGTAATCTTCTGTGATTTTTATGGTTTCAGTTCTTAGATTTAAGTCTTTGATCCATCTTGAGTTGATTTTTGTATAAGGTAAGAGATTGGGATCCAGTTTCATTCTTCTGCATGCGGATTGCCAGTCTTTTCAGCACCATTTATTAAATAGGTTTATGTTTTTGTATGCTTCATCAAAGATCAGTTGGATGTTAAGTATTTGGCTTTATTTCTTTTTTGTGGCGGGGGGGGGTTAAATTTTTATTTTAAATGCTTGGATAGCTTCAATATCCAGGTTGTGGCAAAATCAGGACACATGTAAAATACCTTACATTAGATTCCCCAAAGGTACCAAAAAGTACAGTAAAATTAACACTTCCATTACAGGAAATGTATGACATAAATAATATAAAATGAAAAGCTGACACTGGTTTCCTGAGATACAATTTACTCTTTACAACCAGGGTCCACAGGACCAGGCTGCAGAGTGCGGCAGCAGGAAGCAGAGACTGCCATTTTGTTCTGGGGGACCTGGTACTAAAAGTCAGCCCATAATGCCCCTCTGGCCTCTCAGACACCACACGCTGCCTAAATAACTAGAGTTCTGGAAATAGTAAACAAGAGAGTGATTTCCATGGGGGAAATTTTAAGTAAGATGCACATGGGGCAAGCCATAGAAAGTTTGTCAGGTTAAATTTGGTACATAATTGTGTTCACTCCATATCCAAACACAACATGTGTGCGGTCGGTTGGTCTCTCCTGCTGCTGCTTCAGTATGGCTTGTAGGTATTCTGATGGCCACCATGTCACTGGCTCTTGCTGTAGTTTGTACTGCCCTGACCTCCACCTCCACCACCACCTCCGCTGCCTCGGTTCCCTCGGTTGTGGTTTCCACGGTCCCCAGAACCATACCGCTGCTGCCAATAAACTTCTTTGGGCTAGGCCACCGTGATCTCACGCTTACTTCCACTGATAGTATGGAACTTTTTCTCCAGAACTTTCTTCACAGGTTCTTTTTTAAAGGTGATAAACACAAAACCTTGTCTTTTGTTCAACTTTGGATCCACTGGAATTTCAATGGCCTCGATCTCCCCAAACTCGCCAAAGTACTCCCTGATCTTTTCCTCAGTGGCTTCAGGATTCAGACCCTCGGCGAAGATTTTCTTCACCGGGTCCTTCTTCATAGCCATGGCCTTTTTAGGGTCAATGACACGGACATCCAGCCTGTACTCCTTCTGGTCTAGGACCTTCTCCACATTGGTTGCATCTTTGAACAGGATAAACCCAAACCCTCTTGCCCGTCCAATGTTGGGATCCATTTTTATTGTACAGTCAATGACCTCTCCAAATTTAGGGAAATAGTCTTTTAAATCTTTTTTGCTGGTATCCCAGCTCAGGCCACCAACGAGCATTTTTGCTGCGTCCTCCTCGTTCTTGCTGGCGTTGATCTGTTCGTCCTCGGCGATTTTTGATTTTGATTCCCGCTCGAGGGCGCTGCGGTCGCTCCGACGACTCGCCCTCGGGGCGGCCTGGGTTCTCGTTGGCGCCAGGCGTCTGCAAGGACATGATAGGCCGAGTCGCGGCGGCTACTCGCCCACTTGTCCCCACCCACCGGGGAAAGCGCCTTGGGCTCGGCTGTGCTCCAGCTCGCGCTGCTGAGGTCTGGCCTCCGCCAGCTGACTTCAACTGCAACTGCAACTCCTCCTCCTCAGCCGCCGCCTCAGGGAACCCACCGACCCACAAACCAGCTCCCGCAGGGGCGGTGCCGCTGCCTCCTTTTCGTTTTCTGTTTTTGTTTTTGTTGTGTTTTTTGTTTTTGTTTTGTTTTGTTTTTGGAGATGGGATCTCGCTCTGTTGTCCAGGCTGGAGTGCAGTGACACAATCTCAGCTCACTGCTGCCTCCGCCTCCCAGGTTCAAGCGATTCTCCTGCCTCAGCCTCCTGAGTAGCTGGGATTACAGGTGTGCACCACCACATCCAGCTAATTTTTGTATTTTTAGTAGAGAAGGGGTTTTGCCATCTTGGCCCTGCTGGTCTCGAACTCCTGGTTTCAAGCGATCTGCCTGCTTCGGCCTCCCAAAGTGTTGGGATTACAAGTGTGAGCCACCTTGCCTGGACATTCGGCTTCATTTCTGAGTTCTCTTTTCCTATTCCATTGGTTCATGTGTCTACTTTTATAGCAGTACCACGCTGTTTTGGTAACTATAGACTTATAGTAAAATTTGAAGTCTAATTATGTGATGCCTCCAGATTTGTGCTTTGTGCTTAGGATTGCGTTGGCTATCCAAGCTCTTTTTTGGTTCCATATGAATTTTAGGATTGTTTTTTCTAGTTCTGTGAAAAAATGATGATGGTATTTTGATGGAAATTGCAATGAAGCTGCAGATCACTTTGGGCAGTATGGTCATTTTCACAATATTGTTTATTCCAATCCATGAGCATTGGATGTGTTTCAATTTGTGTCATCTATGATTTCTTTCAGCAGTGTTTTGTAGTTCTCCTTGTGGAGCTCTTTCACCTCCTTGGTTAAGTATATTCCTAGGTATTTATTTTTGCAGCTGTTGTGAAAGAGTTGAGTTATTGATTTGACTCTCAGCTTGGTTGTTATTGGTGTATAGCAGTGCTACTGAATTGTGTACATTGATTTTGTAACCTAAGAGTTTACTGAATTTGTTTATCAAGTCTAGGAGTCTTTCAGAGGGGTCTTCAGAGTTTTCTAAGTATACAGTCATATTGTTGGCAAAGAGTGACAGTTTGACGTCCTCTTTACCAATTTGAAGGCCTTTTATTTCTTTCTCAAGCCTGATTGCTCTGGCTAAGACTTCTAGTACCATGCTGAATAGAAATAATGAAAGTGGGTATCCTTGTCTTGTTATAGTTCTCAGGAGGAATGCTTTCAACTTTTCCCCTTCCGTATGATGTTGGCTGTGGCTTTGTCCTATGTGGCTTTTATTATTTTGAGGTAAGTCTTTTCTATGCTTAGTTTGTTGAGGGTTTTTATCATAAAGGAATGCAGGATTTTATTCAATGCTTTTTCTGCATCTATTGAGATGATTGTATGGTTTTTGTTTTTAATTCTAATTATGTGATGTATCACATTTACTGGCTTGCTTATGTTAAACCATCCCTGCATCCCTGGGATGAAACACACTTGATCATGATGTATTATCTTTTCATATATTTCTTTTTTTTTCTTTTTGAGACAGAGTCTCATTCTGTCATCCAGGCTGGAGTGCAGTGACATGATCTCAGCTCACTACAACCTCCACCTCCCGGGTTTGAGTGATTCTCCTGCCTCAGCCTCCCAAGTAGCTGGGACTACAGGCATGTGCCACCACACCTGGCTAATTACTGTATTTTTAGTAGAGATGGGGTTTTGCCGTGTTGGCTGGGCTGGTCTCAAACTCTTGACCTCAAATGATCTGCCTGTCTTGGCCTCACAAAGTGCTGGGATTACAGGCATGAGCCACTGTGCCCAGCATTGTACTATCTTTTTGATTGGCTGTTGGATTCAGTTAGCTAGTATTTTGTTAAGGATTTTTACATCTATGTTCATCAGGAATATTGGTCTGTAGTACTGGTCTTTTTAAAATTATATTCTTTCCTGGTTTGGGTATCAGGGTGATATTGGCTTCATAGAATCATTTAGGGAGGATTCCCTGTTTTTCAGTTTCTGAATAGTTTCAGTAGGATTAGCATCAATTCTTTGAATTAATGATAGAATTCAGCTGTAAATTCATCAGGTCCTAGGCTTTATTTTGTTGGCTTTTTTTTTTTTTTTAAATTACAGATTCAGTTTTGCTGCTTGTTATTGGTCTGTTTAGGGTTTCTATTTCTTCTTGATTTAATCTAGGAGGGTTGTATTTTCTAGGAATTTATCCATTTCCTCTAGGTTTTCTAGTTTGTGTACTTAAAAGTGTTCATAGTAGTCTCAAATGATTTTATGTATTTCTGTGGTATCTATTGTAATGTTTCCAGTCTCATTTCTTTTTTTCCCTGGAGGATAAACTATTTATATTTTGTTTGTTACTATATAACATATTGACTGCTTCAAAAAGCAATCAAACCAAAACCAAACAAAAACCTAGAAATCCAGAATTTGACAGATACAAATGTGTGATGGTTGCCTTGTAACAGTCAGCTTGGGAAGCTATATTTCTATATCAACAATGTCAAGTTTGCAAAAGACACAAAACTAGAAAAAACAGTTAACACTGTTTCCGTAGATTGTATTATTCTCTCTTTTTTAAATTCTTATACTTTAAGTTCTAGGGAACATGTGCACAACGTGCAGGCTCATTACGTAGGTTTACATGTGCCACGCTGGCCTGCTGCACCCATCAACCCATCATTTACATGAGGTATTTCTCCCAATGCTATCCCTTCCCCTGCCCCCCGCCCCACAACAGGACTCGGTGTGTGATGTTCCCCACTCTTTGTCCAAGTGTTCTCATTGTTCAATTCCCACCTACGAGTGAGAACATGTGGTGTTTGGTTTTCTGTCCTTGTGATAGTTTGCTCAGAATGATGGTTTCCAGCTTCATCCATGTCCCTGCAAAGGACATGAACTCATCCATTTTTATGGCTGCCTAGTGTTCCATGGTGTATGTGTGCCACATTTTCTTAATCCAGTCTATCACTGATGGACATTTGGGTTGGTTCCAAGTCTTTGCTATTGTGAATAGTGCCACAATAAACATACGTGCGCATGTGTCTTTATAGTAGCATGATTTATGATCCTTTGGGTATTGTAATGAGAGCGCTGGGTCAAATGGTATTTCTGGCTCTAGATCCTTGAGGAATTGCCACAGTGTCTTCCACAATGGTTGAACGAGTTTACACTCCCACCAACAGTGTAAAAGCGTTTCTATTTCTCCACATTCTCTCCAGCATTTGTTGTTTCCTGACTTTTTAATGATCACCATTCTAAGTGGTGTGAGATGGTATCTCATTGTGGTTTTGATTTGCATTTCACTGATGACCAGTGATGATGAGCATTTTTTCATGTGTCTGTTGGCTGCATAGATGTCTTCTTTTGAGAAGTGTCTGTTCATATCCTTTGCCCACTTTTTGATGGGGTTGTTTTTTTCTTGTAAATTTAAGTTCTTTGTAGATTCTGGATATTAGCCCTTTGTCAGATGGGTAGATTGCAAAAATTTTCTCCCATTCTGTAGGTTGCCTGCTCACTCTGATGGTAGTTTCTTTTGCTGTGCAGAAGCTCTTTAGTTTAATTTGATCCCATTTGTCAATTTTGGCTTTTGTTGCCACTGCTTTTGGTGTTTTAGTCATGAAGTCCTTGCCCATGCCTATGTCCTGAATGGTATTGCCTAGGTTTTCTTCTAGGGTTTCTATGGCTTTAGGTCTAACATTTAAGTCTTTAATCCACCTTGAATTAATTTTTGTATAAGGTATAAGGAAGGGATCCAGTTTCAGCTTTCTATGTATGACTAGCCAGTTTTCCCAGCACCATTTATTAAATAGGGAATCCTTTCCCCATTTCTTGTTTTTGTCAGGTTTGTCAAAGATCAGATGGTTATAGATGTGTGGTGTTATTTCTGAGGGCTCTGTTCTGTTCCATTGGTCCATATCTCTGTTTTGGTACCAGTACCATGCTGTTTTGGTTACTGTAGCCTTGTAGTATAGTTTGAAGTCAGGTAGCATCCACCTTTGTTCTTTTGGCTTAGGATTGACTAGGCAATGCGGGCTCTTTTTTGGTTCCATATGAACTTTAAAATAGTTTTTTTCCAATTCTGTGGAGAAAGTCATTGGTAGCTTAATGGGGATGGCATTGAATCTATAAATTACCTTGGGCAGTATGGCCATTTTCATGATATTGATTCTTCCTATCCATGAGCATGGCATGTTCTTCCATTTGTTTGTGTCCTCTTTTATTTCATTGAGCAGTGGTTTGTAGTTCTCCTTGAAGAGGTCCTTCATATCCCTTGTAAGTTGTATTCCTGGGTATTTTATTCTCTTTGTAGCAATTGTGAATGGGAGTTCACTCATGATTTGGCTTCTGTTTGTCTGTTATTGGTGTATAGGAATGCTTCTGATTTTTGCACATTGATTTTTTATCCTGAGACTTTTCTGAAGTTGCTTATCAGCTTGAGGAGATTTTCGGCTGAGACGATGGGGTTTTCTAAATATACAATCATGTCATCTGCAAAGAGGGACAATTTGACTTCCTCTTTTCCTAATTGAATACCCTTTATTTCTTTCTCCTGCCTGATTGTCCTGGCCAGAACTTCCAACACTATGTTGAATAGGAGTGGTGAGAGAAGGCATCCTTGTCTTGTGCCAGTTTTCAAAGGGAATGCTTCCTGTTGTTGCCCATTCAGTATGATGTTGGCTGTGGGTTTGTCATAAAAAGCTCTTATTATTTTGAGATACGTCCCATCAATATCTAGTTTATTGAGAGTTTTTAGCATGAAGGGCTGTTGAATTTTGTTGAAGGCCTTTTCTGCATCTATTGAGATCATCATATGGCTTTTGTCGATGGTTCTGTTTATGTGATGGATTATATTTATTGATCTGTGTATGTTGAACCAGCCTTGCATCCCAGGGATGAAGCCAACTTAATCGTGGTGGATAAGCTTTTTGATGTGCTGCTGGATTCAGTTTGACAGTATTTTATTGAGGATTTTTGCATCAGTGTTTATCAGGGATATTGGTCTAAAATTCTCTTTTTTTGTTGAGTCTCTGCCAGGCTTTGGCATCAGGATGATGTTGGCCTCATAAAATGAGTTAGGGAGGATTCCCTCTTTTTCTATTGATTGGAATAATTTCAGAAGGAATGGTACCAGCTTCTCTTTGTACGTCTTGTAGAATTCAGCTGTGAATCCGTCTGGTCCTGGACTTTTTTGGTTGGTGGGCTATTAATTATTGCCTCAATTTCAGAGCCTGTTATTGGTCTATTCAGAGATTCAATTTCTTCCTGGTTTAGTCTTGGGAGGGTGTATGTGTCCAGGAATGTATCCCTTTCTTCTAGATTTTCTAGTTTGTTTGCATAGAGGTGTTTATAGTATTCTCTGATGGTAGTTTGTATTTCGGTGGGATCGATGGTGATATCCGCTTTATCATTTTTTATTGCATCTATTTGATTCTTCTCTCTTTTCTTCTTTATTAGTCTTGCTAGCAGTCTATTGATTTTGTTGATCTTTTAAAAAAACCAGCTCCTGGATTCATTGATTTTTTGAAGGGTTTTTTGTGTCTCTGTCACCTTCAGTTCTGCTCTGATCTTAGTTATTTCTTGCCTTCTGCTAGCTTTTGAATGTGTTTACTCTTGCTTCTCTAGTTCTTTTAATTGTGTTGTTAGGGTGTCGATTTTAGATCTTTCCTGCTTTCTCTTGTGGGCATTTAGTGCTATAAATTTCCCTCTACACACTGCTTTGTGTCCCAGAGATTCTGGTACATTGTGTCTTTGTTCTCATTGGTTTCAAAGAACATCTTTATTTCTGCCTTCATTTCGTTATGTACCCAGGAGCCATTCAGGAGCAGGTTGTTGTTCAGTTTCCATGTAGTTGTGAGGTTTTGAGTGAGTTTCTTAATCCTGAGTTCTAATTTGATTGCACTGTGGTCTGACAGACAGTTTATTGTGATTTCTATTCTTTTACATTTGCTGAGGAGTGCTTTACTTCCAACTATGTGGTCAATTTTGGAATAAGTGCGATGTGGTGCTGAGAAGAACGTATATTCTGTTGATTTGGGTTGGAGAGTTCTGTAGATGTCTATTAGGTCTGCTTGGTGCAGAGCTGAGTTCAATTCCTGGATATTCTTGTTAACCTTCGGTCTCGTTGATCTGTCTAATATTGACAGTGGGGTGTGTGTTAAAGTCTCCCATTATTACTGTGTGGGAATCTAAGTCTCTTTGTACATCTCTAAGGACTTGCTTTATGAATCTGGGTGCTCCTGTATTGGGTGCATATATATTTAGGATAGTTAGCTCTACTTGTTGAATTGATCCCTTTACCATTATGTAATGGCCTTCTTTGTCTCTTTTGATCTTTGTTGGTTTAAAGTCTGTTTTATCAGAGACTAGGATTGCAACCCCTGCTTTTTTTTTGCTTTCCATTTCCTTGGTATATCTTCCTCCATGCCTTTATTTTGAGCTACTCCTGCTCACACTTGGTTTTCATTTGCATGAAATATTGTTTTCTACCCCTTTACCTTGAATTTATATGAGTCCTTACATGTTAGATGAGTCTCTTGAAGATGGCAGATATTTGGTTTGTAATTTTTAAAACTGATTCTGCCAATCAGTTTCTTTTAAGTGGAGCATTTAGGCCATTTATGTTCAATGTTAATATTGAGATGTGAGGTACTGTTGTACTCATATTAATTGTTACCTAGATACTTTGTGTTTTTCATTGTGTTGTTGTTTGATAGGCCTTGCGAGTTTTATGCTTTCAAGAGGTTCTATTTTGGTGCATATTGAGCTTTGTTTCAAGATTTAGAACTCCTTTTCACATTTCTTTTTTCTTTTTTTTTTTGAGACGGAGTCTCACTTTGTTGCCCAGGCTGGAGTGCAGTGGTGCGATCTTGGCTCACTGCAACCTCCAGCTCCCTGGTTCAAGCAATTCTCCTGTCTCAGCCTCCCGAGTAGCTGGGACTACAGGTGCCCACCACCATGTCTGGCTAATTTTTTATTTTCTTTTTTCTTTTTTTTGAGATGGACTTTTCCCTCTTGTTGCCCAGGCTGGAGTGCAATGGCATGGTCTTGGCTCACCACAACCTCCACCTCCTGGGTTCAAGTGATCCTCCTGCCTCAGCCTCCCAAGTAGTGGGGATTACAGGCACCCACCACCACGCCCAGCTAATTTTGTATTTTTAGTAGAAATGGGTTTTCACCATGTTGACCAGGTTGGTCTCAAACCCTTGACCTCAGGTGATCCTCCTGCCCTGGCCTCCCAAAGTGCTGGGATTATAGGCATGAGCCACCAGGCCTAGCTTATTTTTGTATTTTTAGTAGAGATGAGGTCTCACCATATTAGCCAGGCTGGTCTCGAACTCCTGACCTTGTGATCCTCCTACCTTGGCCTCCCAAAGTGCTGGGATTACAGGCATCAGCCAAAACACCCAGCCCTTTTCACATTTCTTGTAATGCTGGTTTGGTAGCACTACAAATTCTCTCAGCATTTGTTTGTCTGAAAATGACTTTATCTCTCTTTCATTTCATTTTATCTCTCTTTCATTTAGTTTTGCTGGATACAACATTCTTGACTGACAGTTACTCTGTTTAAGGCAGCTAAAGATAGAGTCCCAATTCCTTTGGGCTTATAAGGTTTCTGTTGAGAAGTCTGCTGTTAGTCTGATAGGTTTTCCTTTATAGGTGACCTGATGCTTTTTGTCTGACTGCTCTTAGATTTCTTTTCTACATGTTGACTTTAGATGGCCTGACGACTATGCCTTCGTGGTGATCTTTTTGCAATGAGTTTCTCAGGAGTTCTTTGAGCTTCCCAGATTTGGGTATCTAAATCTCCAGCAAGGCCAGGGAAGTTTTCCTCAATTATTCCTTCAAATAAGTTTTCCAAACTTTTTGTTTTCTCTTCTTCCCTCAGGAACACCAATTATTCTTAGGTTTGGCTGTTTTACATACTATCATATTTCTTGGAGACTTCATTTACTTGATTCTTTTTTCTTCATTTTTGTCTGATTGGCTTAATTTGAAAGCCTCGTCTTTGAATTCTGAAATTCTTTCTTCTACTTGTTCTAGTCTATCGTTAATACTTTCCACTGCATTTTGTAATTCCCTAAATGTGCCTTTCATTTCCAGACGTTCCTTTTTTATGATATTTAGCTCTCTAGAAAATTTTTCATTTATAATCTGAATTTTTTAAAAAAATTCTTTATGTTGGTTTTCACCTTTCTCTGGTATCTCCTTGAGTAGCTCTTATACAACATTCTGAATTTTTCATTTGGTATTTCTAAGATTTTATCTTAGTTTGGCTTCATTGCTTGAGAGCTAATGTGATCTTTTGGGAGGTGTTATAGAACCCCATTTTATCATATTAACAGAATTACTTTTCCGGTTCTTCCTCATCTGGGTAGACTATTTCTTCTAATTATTCTTAAATTTATTTTTGATTTGACTGTGTGATTTTATTTCTTATTTTCCTTCTTAAGAATTTGACTTTAATGTTTATAGTTTGTTATAGCCTAATTTGGTTCTTGGTGCTTTTAGGGGTGAAAATTCTGTATGATTTCCTTGGTTATAGAGAAACTTTGTATGATGGCTTTCTCAGATGCTAGACATAGTAGTAATGTGCTGAATGTGTGAGCAAACTTACTGTCTCTGGAAGCTTATCTCATTCCAATGTGGTATGCACTTTTAAATTTATTTACTTTGCTCCAGTATTTTATTCACTGGGTTGATGGTTCAGGCTTCAGGCCAGTAGTGGAGGTGTTCCTAGGTAGGAACCAGTTGTGGCTAAAGAAGGTGGGTAAATGCAATACCCAATGGTGGGCAGAGGTCTCAGCCTTGACAAAAGGGGCTGGGGGAGCTGTCAGGGAGACACACTGAAGTCTTATCAGGGGAAGGGTGGTAGCCACCTTAGCTCCCCTGTCAGGTCAGCTGGGAAGCTATCCATCTCCCAGACTCACATCTGTCCCAATATTCTGGCTATTCAGATCAGACAGGCCTCTCTTTTCATCTGCTGGAATGTTAGTGCTCCAAGTAGAGAACTGTGACTCTGCCTCTTATGTAAGCCTGAAACTGGAGGGTTGCTTCCCCTGTGGGGTTGCGGTCACCCTGAAGTGTTCTACAAAGTCTGTCTATGGGTGCACCCATGCTGAGCTCTTGTGGGAGAAGACCCAGCTGTGTCTGCAGTGGTGGACGAGGTTGGTAAGAAGTCCCCTTCTCCAAGATCCTTGATAAGCACCAGGGCTGTCTGACTGTTGGGACAGCTGTAGACATTCCCTGCTGAGCCCAGCACTTCAATTCTGCCTCTATTGAAAGAAACTTCCCACCAGTGGAACAATCTAATCCTTAAGACCTGCCATCTGGATTCTTTATTCACACAGGGTGTTCCCTTGATGTGGCACACTCTCCCTTTCCTTAGGAGTAGAAGTTCCTGAGAGACAGACTACTATGAGTGCTGCTGCTCCTCAGGGTCTAGCCACTCAGTGGCTCCAGACTAGTGCTGGGGGATGTCTGCTAAGGATCCAGTGATATGACCTGTCCTCCAGTTTTCCAGCAGCTGTTATCAGCACCAGGTCTGATGGGGGTGCCAGAGGCGTGACATAGACCTGTGAGATTCCTTGATTATAGATAACTTTAGTGTGTTG
This sequence comes from Homo sapiens, assembly GCF_000001405.40. Taxonomy (NCBI): domain Eukaryota; kingdom Metazoa; phylum Chordata; class Mammalia; order Primates; family Hominidae; genus Homo; species Homo sapiens. Next base: position 10,101,962 of record NC_000012.12, on the reverse strand, counting down.
TCTTTCTTGAATGCTAGTTCAGGTAGTAATAAACTGGTCATGTGGATAGACTCAGGACCTCCTGGTTAGACAGGGTAGTGCAGGAAGTGGTAATAGCTGAGGTCACACAGTAGTTTTGTCCTTCTTGAGTGCAGTGTTATTCCACCTACAGATGCTGCAATGGACTGTGTTGGTAGGCTTCCAGCTACTGGGTGGCATTTGCAAAAGAGTATCAGGTGTGGTAGTAGCAGTGGGATTTGTGCTTGCCTTATGTTGCCCAGGGTAGGTAGTCTGGCTTCTCAGGTGATGGATGGGGCTATAAATCTCCCCAGGGTTTCTGTCCTTTGTATTAAGCTACCACGGTGGGTGGAGGGGCAAAGCCAGATGAGGGCTGTGTTAGGTGGGTCTGCACTCTGAGTCACCATGTGCATGGCAAGCAGCGGCCCCTTTTGGAGATGTGGTTGCACAGGGAGTGGGGAGTAGTAGGCAGCAGTAAGCCTAACCCAGATGTCACACAGTTGGCAAGGCAGATCTGGCTCCTGCAGTACTCTGCTAGCAGCAGTGAGCTAAGTTCCAGGCAGTCTGCACTCAGAGCTCACAACTGCCTGAGGCCATAAACTTTTCCCGTGGTGATAGCAACTGCTGGCGTTCAGGCCATGCCCCTCTCTGTCCACCCACACAGCTGGCACCCAGATCCTGCACTCACGGCTGCAACACATTTCCCACTCACCTTTCTGGTTCTGGCCAAGGGAGTTCATTTCACTTGAGGTTATATTGTGAATTTCAGTTGGGAGTTTTTACAATGTGCAACCCCTGGCTGAGCTAGTTGGCTGAGTTCCGTGAGGTTGTCTGTGAGGCATAAGGAATAGTTTCCCTTGGCTCATGCTGGAGACTGGGAATGCACACAAGCCTCTTCCTGCTGCTGCTCTTACTTTTATATTCATCACTGCTCTTTTAATTGGTTCCAGTGCTGGGACGGGTTAAGGCCTTCCCCCATGGCATGGACTTTCAGGTTCCCCTGTGGGGGTATGTATCCTGGAGCCAGTCTCTTCACCTCACACACCCTGGGAGCTTACAGTTTTTCACCTAGCTCATGGTGTAGGTATAACCTGCTGCTTCTTTCAAAGAGTCTGTGGATTCTTTCAGTTTTCCTGTTCAGTTCCTGTGTTGCTTCTTGGGAAAAGAGTTCACAGTGAGAAGGTTTTTTTTTTTTTTTTTTTTTTTCAGATGGAGTCTCGCTCTGTTGCCCAGGCTGGAGTGCAGTGGTGTGATCTTGGCTCACTGCAACCTCCGCCTCCCGGATTCAAGTGATTCTCCTACCTCAGCCTCCCCAGTAGCTGGTATTATAGGCACCCGCCACCACGCCCGGCTAATTTTCATATTTTCAGTAGAAACGGGGTTTTGCCATGTTGGTCAGGCTGGTCTCGAACTCCTGACCTCAGGTGATCCACCCACCTCAGCCTCCCAAAGTGCTGGGATTAAAGGCGTGACCACCATGGCTGGCCCACAGTGAGAATTTTTTACTCACTATTTTGTCCTTCCAAGTGGTAGAGTCATGCTAACACTGCCTCCAATCTGCCATCTAAAAAAAAAAAAATTCCAATTTTTAAAAAATTTAGAATAATTTGATGAACAACAAACAGCTTGAAACACATGTGAATCCACAATGTGCACTTCCTCATAGATCTTTTATATGGTCTGGCTACCCCAACTGGAGCATTCTGACACTCCTTTATATTTAGCATGCTTGATTTTGCCCACCTATCACCTAACATCTGGAAAAGTTTTGGTAGAGTAATATAAGTCTATTGTACAGATTCAGGAAGAACTTTTAGACATTATCTAAAACAATCTTCTTGTCTTTCAGTTTAGGAAATGTAGATGCAAATTGTTAATTGTCCTCCCAAAGGCACAAGGTTGTTACTGATACCTGTCTTGTTATGGTTTGAATGTGTTTCCTGCAGAATTCAGGTGTTGCCAGTGTGGTAGTATTGAGAGAGGTGGGGCCTTTAAGAGATGATTAGTCCTTGAAGTCTTCTCTCTTGAGGATGGTATTAAGGCCTTTATAAAAGACGCTACATGTAGCATTTGGCTGGCTTGACCTTCTGCTTTCTGCCACGTGAGAATACCCTTCCTCCTCTACAGAGAGTGCAGCTCTCACCTGACATCCAAACCTGCCAGTGCCTTGATCTTAGATTTCCCACCTTCTGGAATGCTGAGAAATACATTTCTATTGCTTATAATTTATCTGGTCTCAGGTATCCTGTTGTAGGTCAGCACAAACAGACTAAGATGGGAATATAATTCTAATGTACTGATTCAGGAAGAATTTTTTCACATTACCTAAAACATTTTCTTCTCAGTTTAGGAGATTTAGGCACAAATGAACTGGCTTCCCCAAACCACATGGTGGTTAGTAATAGTTTTAAAAGTTTTTACTTCCAGTAAATTGTATAATTCCTCGTGATCATAATGTACCAAATGTGCTATAAAATGTTGAATCAAGTTCAGATACTATAAGAAAGACCACTACTCTGTTCTTGGAGAAAGGAAGGGGCTAGGTCCTATAATCTCTTCTCTTTTCACAAAGACACAGAGAGGTTAAACTAAGTGACTCCCTAAAGGATGGGTAAGAAACAGGGATGTGTGTCCTTCCAAGTTATTATTATTCTGCAGACTCTGAAGGAACCACAGTGCTACACCGTGCTATTGTAAGTTCTTGCCTTCTTTACAGTGAAGTTACATGAGAAATGCAAACAGGTAAACAAAAAAGACCTGAGAAAGGCCAACTTTTTGACAACTGTTTAGACTGAGACGGCCTAAACAGAAAACACATGCTATTTCCCCTCAGCCTGACTGATTTGGCATTCAGAGTACAAGCTCACAGGAGAGGGGCTGGGCCTGTCCAGTCAGGAATTGCAGTCAGAGACTTTCCCTGCCCCTCGCTGGGAAAGAACATTAGGAATGCCTTTTAGTGCCTTGCTTCCTGAACTAGCTCACAGTAGCCCGGCGGCCCAGGGCAATCCGACCACATTTCACTCTCACCGCTGTAGGAATCCAGATGCAGGCCAAGTACAGCAGCACGAGGGACATGCTGGATGATGATGGGGACACCACCATGAGCCTGCATTCTCAAGGCTCTGCCACAACTCGGCATCCAGAGCCCCGGCGCACAGGTACCCTGTCTCCTGGAGTCCAAATAGACCACAGTCCTTGTGAAATGTGTGAGATGATCTATCCCTCCTAGAAATGGAGATATTTAGCTTGCATCTTATAATTTTATTTCCAATTACTCGCCCTGTGACATAGTAGTGATTTTTTTTTTTCAGTTATATTCAGTTCCATAATTCCCACACTTAGAGAAGGATTTTATTTCCTGGGCCACTCAGCCAATCTAAAGCTAAAATATGACTTCAGTTCTAGTGAAAAGGACTCACATGGTAATATACACAGGACTAGGTTCTAGGTCCTAAACCAGGTATGCCACTTTCCTTCTGTGTAACTTTGGATGAGTTGTTTAAGTATCCTGGTAGCATCATATTCTTTATTTATAAAATATTAACGGCCACAAACATGTATAAAGGGCTCATTATGTGCTGGCAGTGTTTTAAATACTTTAAGTATATTAATTCATATTAACTTGACTTAATATTAAATAGAAGTAATAAAACTTCCTTTACAAGGTGGTTGTGAGTACTGAGAATGATAAATTATGTAAAATATTTGAATGTCTGTCTGATCTGATATAGACTGACACAAAATTGCTGAAAGGAACACTTTAGGTTCTTAAGAAATGGAATGTTGAAAGGAATCCCACATTTTAACATTCATTCAGTGCCTGTGTTTTAATATGCCCTTTCCCTTCTGATTATATCATTGTTTTCTTCACCTTTGTAAATCTGGATATACCTTTAAAAAAAAAAAACTATCCTGTTCCTTATTTCTTTATCAAATAACTTTTAGTTTTCCTTCCTTTCTCCTACTAAACCCTCCATTCACTTTCTATTTATTTCTATTTATTAAATGACCCTCCACCTGAAACCTACTAATATGGCTTTTTTTTTTTTTAACTAAACTACCCAGTAAGCTGTTAAGGGACATTGGGGATTTCCAACCTCTTTGAAATGAAGCTAAGTGACAAAAGTAGGGATGTCAGCTTTTGTAGCCACAGGATATGTGTAATAGGATACAAAGCGTTTTCCTCCAAAAAAACTTACGAAGAGTCCATTTTTACGGCTGTGGTTTTGAGTAGCTTGTATATAACTTCATTTTCCACCTTTGACTGGAGCCAGGAACTCTGTCAAGGACTAGAGATCAGCATAATTAAGAACAGCATGTACAAATAAGTTCTGCTGAGGTTGAAGGGTGGAGAGGGAGGTGGAGCAAGATAAAACACTAGCTGCAACATCTGGGAGCTTCTTTGTAAGAAATGGATATTGAAACAGTAGAAGTGGAGATTACAAAGAATTGTCTTGGAAGAAATCATCTGGAAATAGTTATCTTAGGCAACATATATGAGATCTTGTTTTCATCTTTTTATGGTAATACAAACATTTAGGGGAATACCATCATAGAAGTATAATTATTTCTTAGATAAACATATCTGATATACCTTCGCTGATAAAAATAACAGCAGAAATCACTCAGAAATTTTCGGCAATGTGGAGGATTCAGATTCAACATAATGATGTGATACCATTAAGAGCTGGCAACTTTTATTTTTTAGAATTAATAAAAATAAATCACACACACATTCATTTAATTTCTAGACTTTTGTCAATAACAATTGACGTAACAACTATGTTTGTGTTTAAAAATGCCAAACAATTAAGATAGTAAAAATGCCAAACAATTAAGATAGTGAAAATGAAAAACAACAACCTCATACATTTTTCACAAACTTATGTTTGGGGTCATGTTATCCTAGTACTGAGGATATAATGTCCAATGTGATATGGTCCCTGTTCATAAGGAAATTGAAAGTCTAATACAATTCTCAACTAAGGAGTAAGTATAATAAGGTGTTATGGCAGAAGCATGTACAGTACAGCCGAGAGCTTAACCAAGCTCTCGGCTTAATTTTTACCTAATTAAGTAGAGGAGTTCAGGAAAGGCTTAACAGAAGGAGCAACTGTGGAGTTGAGTTAATTTTAACATCTTCCACATAATAAGGAATCGGGAGTGAGGGTGTTTGAGAGGCTGGGGACACTATAGACAGAGAGACGTATGAAGGGAAAGTCATGAAGGTTTTCAGTAGCTTTGTATTTTTAGAGAACTATAAGCAATATGTATGGCGTAGGTGTAGAGTTGGAGGAGGGAAACTTAGCAAAGGGGTAAGTCTGGCAAGTTAAGGAGGGATTTTAGGGCATGCTGATCTAGTTTAATTCTATTCAATAGTTAAAATGAAGTCAATGCAGGATTTAGATAGGGAGAAACAAAATTTTGCATTTTGGAAAGACCTTCCTGGCTGCAATGGAAATGATAAGTTGAAGGTATATGAAACTGCATGTGCTGATACCAAATTTTTCCACTAGTCCAGTACAAGGGTAGAAAAACCTGAACTGAGGCAGTATAGTAAAAATAAGGAAAAAGAATCAGATATGAAAGATGTCGAGGTGTTGGAGTTTAGATAATCGGTGATTGGTTACATGTGAGGAGACAAGGAAAGGGACTTCGGTGGTAGGTTGACTAGGTTCTGTTTGATGTAATGTAGATGGTGCTGATGTTAACTGAGACAGAAACTATAGAAGGGACAGGAAAGATGATGAATTGAGTTTGAGTTTAAGGGGTCTGCAGAAGGAGGGACATGCATTTGGAGCTGTCCAAAGACACCCGTATATGCAGGATGTGGGTTGGGCTACATAGACATGTGGGAATTACTGGCATAGTAATTAAATAAATAAAGTAAATGAGGTACCTAAGTCATTAAGTCAAATAAATGGCTAGTAACTAAAATGTATGAGAGTGAGTGAGATCACTGAGGGAAGGAATGTAAAATGAAAACATGAATGAACAGAAGAGAGTGTCAAGGAGATAATCTGAGGGAATATCAACACCTGAGGAGCAAGAAGAATGAAAGATTCCAAAAGGAGCTACCAGGGATGAATAGCAGAGAGTGGTAGAAGCAGGAGTCTTGGAGAGAGACAACAAGGGCATCAAGAGACAATAAATTCAAGAGTAATGGAAAATTAGAGTAATGGAAGGACAATAAATTCAAGAGTTTTAGAAAAGTCAATGATAATGACTGTGAGTTTTAAAAACAACAAATAACAAATACTGCAGAGAGTTTAAGCGAAAGGAAGACTAAAATGATTATTTAACAATTTATCAATAAGGAGGAAAATATTTAGTTTTGACAGCAGTGGTTTGAAAAGGAACTGATGGTTACATAATAAAATAAACAATTTAAGTCATTTTCTCTTTTTCTTTCTCTCTTTTTTTTTGAAGATAAAATGGGTTATTGCTGAGGTATTACAGCATTGGGTGACAGATTTTAAGAATGATTTTTTAAGATGTGGGAAATTCTAACTCAATTGTAGATTGAAAATAAGTTCAGGGAGAGAACTTCACATTAACAGTACAGTAAGAGGAGAGAGGATGAAATAACTGACAGGCTGAGATTCCTGCCAGAGACTAAATTTTATCCTATCAAAAGAATATGAAAAATTACTTTGGTTAAATAATTTTAAAAAATTTAATAATAAATTCAAGTTCCTCTTTTCCCTTGTTCACATTAATTACAGTACTATTGAATTTCCCAGCGTTTTAGTTTTATTTCCTCAATTACAGCATAAATCCCTCATCACAGTCATGACATAAATCGCTGTTAACTGATTCAACAACTCTTTAAATCAAACCTACTAATGACAAGACATTATGGGATGTACTAGAGGAGCCTCTTTTTCAGGTGCTTAGAGAAGTGGAAGGAATACTCTAAATCAATAGTTGTAGTAAATGTCATTTAGTGCTATTAAATCAATGTTGGAGGCCGCAGAAGCAATATAGGAATGAATGAGTTACTGATTGAGTTTAGTTTTGCGAGTTCCCAGAGGAAGTGACATGATCTGGACCCATGAGGCTAAGAAGTAAAATGGGATCCTATTAGGAGGAGCCTGATACAGTACACTAAGAAACTGACTAAAACAGAAAGAGCCTTGGGAAACTTCTTCCTATGGAAGAGAGGAAGTATGATTAAATTTATGCTTTCAGAATTCATCTTGCTGGCAGAGTGGACATTTCATAATGTAGAAGGGAAAAGTTGCAAGCTGCTGTCATTCTATGATTCCAGATGCACTGCCATGTATAAATATTGATCTGAGATGTGTTGGGAGGATAGGAAGATGATTGAAAATGTCCAGCTCTGGAATCAGTCAGCTTGGGTAGCTCTGTGCAACTTAGTGACTTAGGCAACTTAAGTGACTCCTTGGTAATTCAATTTTTGTAAAGGTTGCTTCCAGTGAAATAATGTGTATCTAGAACACACTTATGGTTACTATTAATAACTATTTCTCTCTCTCTCTTTTTCAATACTCTCCATCCAATCATTCTATATAAAGACATGGAGAAACACAATCCTGGGGAGTTACTAATAGTTCATTAGTAACTATTGCTAATAGTAGCTGTGTGTTCCTGAATAAGCTGTCTAAACCTGCTAGGCCTCAGTTCCCTACCTGTAAAATGAGATAATAATATCTACCTTATAGGGGGTGTTTGTGAGGCTAGATGAGAACATTCATATAAGACATTTTTCTCAGTAACTCAAGAAATTTGAGCAATTATCATTAATGGTAATGTTGTTTTTGAATTATATTTCAGTAAATAATATCTGTTGATGGGGATATAAAATTGAGTCACCTAACTTTTACTGAAGATGAAAAATATAATTAAATTTCTAAATACTGTGAATTAGAACCTCAATGATATTCTAGAAATAGCTCATATGTTTTTAGATGTATACTCTTTTCAAATAATAGGAAGGATAACACAGATTTTCATTTAGAGAGTATGAAAATAGCAATATTTGAAATAGATTCATAAGAGAAAAGAAACCTGCATTTACATGAACACAGAAAAGCAGACTCAACCCGTGAACTCAGATTCCCATGAGGAAGTTTCCTATGTGCCATATGTGAGGATTAAGGAAACAAAGACGTTTACATTTCAAAATACAAAGGGATGAAAAAGTGCTTTCTGAAATATTATGTACATTGCCACCAGTTTTGCCCCCATGTCTCTGTGATTCCTGACTGGCTCATGGAAAAGTGTGCAGAGTATAGCGTTAAACATAATTTAATCCTAGCTCTGCAACTAGTTTGTAACATGCACATTATTTAAACTCTCGGTGTCTTCTCCAGCTTTTAAGACCTTTTGCATTTCATAGGTATACTAATAGACTGTATATGGTAATGTCAGCTTAGTTTCTTGGGTGGAAAACAAAATTTTCCCTCTCTGATGCCTGATGAAGGGTAACTGGTTAAGTCTGACAACTCTCCACCCACAAAGTTTCATATAATTACACAGTAATTGGTATCCAAAATTTGACCCTAGCACTAAGGCCTTTTATAGTATGGTTAATACTAAGAGGATACAGGAAAGGTTTTTTTTTTTTTTCTATATATATCTTATTATTCCTAGGGATGTTTATATCATTCCTTGGCCTGTCCACACCCCTTTCTAAACATGCCTCAGGAGACAGCAAAGGGGTTCTCTTCCAAAAAATAAAACCACAATAAAGCCAAACCAAACTCAAGCGACCTCCTAGGCATCTTATTTTTGTGAAAATCTGTCTCATGTTAGGGTGAGGGTGATCCCTGGAGAGAGACTTCAGTATGATTAGGAGCACTTGGAATAAAACTGAGAAACATTAGACTCACAGTTAGAAGAAAAACATCTAGAAGGAAAAATAGTATCAAAGAAAAAGAAAAAGTGAAACTTTCAGTTTCATGGACTTTCCGTCATGGGAGCTTGGTTTCCTGGAAGATGAACTCCCTAGGATTGTGTTTCTCCATGTCTTTTATATAGAATGATTGGAAGGAGAATTTTGAAAAAGAGAGAGAGAGAAAGCGAGAGAGCAAGAGGGAGATGGGAAGAGAGAAGAAAAATTTCAAAATATGAAAATTTGATCAGAGAAAGAGGATTTCTTAGAAGAGATTTTTAAAAACTTTTTAAAGCCTGTTATACTTCTTTTATTTTTTCTGCCCTAGAGGCAATCTTAGGAAGGATCATGTATTTTTTTTCTTTTCATGAATATAATTATTATTGAAAGATGTTCTGATTTCTAAAGTCCAGGCCCTCACTTCACAGTAGGAATTTAAATTCACTCTTTTTGGTCCTTTGGGCAGAAAACAACAACTCCTATGTCCTCAATATTATGCGAGAGAAAGCAGATTTATTTTATTTTATCTTATTTTATTTCATTTCATTTCATTACTACTTTTGAGAGAAGATCTTGCTCTGTCACCCAGGCTGGAGTAGAGTGGCACGATCACGACTCACTGCAGCCTTGACCTCCCTGGCTCAAGCAATCCTCCCACCTCAGCCTTCTGAGTAGCTGCGACTACAGGTGTGTGCCACCATGGCTGATGAATTTTAAAAATTTTTTATAGAGATGGGGGTCTCACTATGTTGCTATCTTTTGTAGAGATGGGATCTCACTATGTTGCTCAGGCTGGTCTCGAACTCCTGGCCCAAAGCAATCCTCCTGCTTCAGTTGGGAGGATTCCAAAGTGATGAGATTACAGGCCTAAGCCACCGTGCCTGGCGGAAAACAGATTTATAAAGAGATAAATAAGTTGGTTGACTGTCATAGTTCTTCTCCTTTACTTCTTATTTTTAATTTCAGCCAGACAAATATTAATTATAAGAGGTCACAGGATTTAAAAAATTATTATGACTTTGAGATGCATATTAATGTAACTGTGTTTGAGTAAGGGTAGGCAGGCATATAACACAGGTATTTGTATATAATGGACCTATTCATTCATTTATTTAAATTTAATTGAGCTTATTTCAACTACTGCCCTAGGAATTGGGTTGCAATAATGGATAAATAAATATTTTCCAAGAAGGAGCTTAATTTTTCCTGGAGTAAGACACATATAAGCTAAATGAAATAACAAAGATATACAATATATTTAATGGTAATAAGAGGTATGTGGAAAAATAAAATCACCATGGTGGTGGGCTCACATAAGCACTTTTAACTATGGAATCTAGAAACATCCATATGATTAACTTTCTTGGACTGTATGGAAGTTTACAAATATAGGGTTTTGGAGAGGATGATTAACCCAAACTATATATTCTGCCTCTAATCTTTTTTTTTTTTTATGTTCTGCTGATCTGAAATACTTTTACAGTCAATACCACGAGAAAACCATCTTTTTCCAGAAAAACTAAGACTAAATCACATAGCTCAGTTAACTGAAGGAAACAGGAGGAAGCAAATCTCCCTTAGATTTGTTCATGATATAATCTCACAAAAGTCAATGTATAGAAACCAACATGGCTGGGAGATGTATTTAGCTGAGTCTGTTTTCTGCTGACATAGATGTTGCTGAAAATCAATAGCCTACAAAAAAAACAAAAACAAAAACCTGTAAACTTAACTTTGGAGAACCCACTTATCTCTTTAAAACTTAAATAGTTTAAGTCATATTAATTTTTTATTATTTCATTTTTTGATTATTTAAGCTGTCAAAGATTTACTCAGCCCTTATGTCCCAGGCACTACTTTCAGTAGTGGAAATGGACTGGTGGACAAGATAGACAAGATCATTGTTGTAATGGAATGTTAAATGGAGAGAAAGGAGACAGACAAAAAGAAACAAAAGTCATGAAAAGATTACCTAGTACAGGGTGAGTGATCTGCTAGAGATGGACTTACGGACCTCTTCCAAGGATGTGCCATTGAAACTGAAATTAATGCAGAGGCAGAAGTAGGGCTGATACAAGGTGCTTAGGGTCAAGCTTGATCAGATCAAGGACTAAACGGGAGACCGTTGTGAGGAGTACATGTGAGTGAGGGGAAAATAGTTCAGAAAGGCATGAAAGAGCTAAGGAAGGTCTCAATAAGACTAATGCAGGATTTAATTTTAAGTGCAATAAAGCTTTTGAAGTTTTTAAGTAGGGAAGTAGCATAATAAAATTGCCATTTTTTTTAAAAAAAGGAGCAATCTGTGAAAAGTGATTTGTATTTTATTCTAAATGTAATGAAAGCTACTTATGAAGGAGATGATTGCTAAGAAATAAGATTCACATTTAAAAATGTATCAGTATGTCTTCTCCGAGACTTTAACTTATTTTGCCTACTAGATTGTAAGTTCCAGAGGATAGTAATTATACTGTCTATTTCTATATTCTTTACTAGTTATCATTCCCCATTTGGAAATAACGTTTCATATAAATCTCTACCTAGAATTGGCCGGGCGCGGTGGCTCATGCCTGTAATCCCAGCACTTTGGGAGGCGGGGTTAGAGGATCACTTGAGCTCAGGAGTTAGAGAACAGCCTGCAGCCTGGGCAACATGGTGAAACCTCATCTCCAACAAAAATATAGGAAAAAAAAATTAGCCAGGCGTGGTGGCACGTGCCTGTAGTTCCGGCTCCTCAGGAGCTGAGGTGGGAGGATTGCTTGAACCTTGGAGGCGGAGGTTGCAGTGAGCTGAGATCTCGCCACTGCACTCCAGCCTGGAAAATCTCTGTACCTAGAATGTATTATGTATAGGACCTTGCTAGAAGGAAAAGAATTTTCCTTTCAAAAAGCCCCTCCGATCTCTTTAATCTTTCTGTTTCAGAACGTGACTTGAATTCTCAGTGAAGTAGAACTAACGGGCTACAAAGAGATCACAGTTTGTTTGAGGGTTTCACTCTCTCTTTGTTTCATTTTTATCACAGTGCTAGATGCTACCTGCACCTGACTGAGACTCTTCCCTTCAGATATGTTAGGTCATTCAGATTCAGATAGGTGACCTCACTAGGTGAGGGGTCTACTCATGACTTACAGTAAAACCTCTGCAATTACTAGTCAAACTTATGGGAATGGAGGGCGAGGAAACCATGTTTGCCACAGTTTTAAAAATTATTTAACTGTTGCAAAAATAGTTTAGATTCATCTTTCTGAAATTGATTATCATGTTTCTTTATAATCTATTTTTGAAAAAATATAAATCAAATGAATGAATAAACAATATCCTTACAATAGCGGGACTTTCAATTAAGCAATTCCACAGAAAAACAGTAAAATTATTACTTCCCATTACTAACATGCAATTTGCCTTTTAGAAAAAGCATATACGGAACTTGGGGGAAGGGGGATGTTTTTCAAAAGTAACAACAAATTAATTTCATCTTTCCCCTGATTATGTAAAAAGTTGTCCCTTGGTAAGGTTCAGAGATTCTCAGGCTGTGTTTCAGACATTTTCGTGAGAGTCTTTCATAATTAGAATTTTGACAAGCAGAAGGTTGTACAAAGAACCACATAAAGATAATGGTAATGCATAGTGTGATTCAGTGCAAAGTAAGACTTGAGGGGTGGATACAAACGGGTGGGGCTTGTGAGAAAATCTAGCTGTGATAAGTGAGGCTTGCACTGAGCCTTATGATGATGTTTCTGAGGACAGAAAGCAGGTTATCCAGCCCCTGTTACCGTTGTCCAGCCTAATTTGTTCTTGTGCAGAATTAACTCCACTCCCTTACCTGTTATTGACTTAGATGCAAGAGGAAGAAAAAGCCAAACTCTGCTTTCTCTTCTGTTCCCTGCAGAGCACAGGGCTCCCTCTTCAACGTGGCGACCAGTGGCCCTGACCCTGCTGACTTTGTGCTTGGTGCTGCTGATAGGGCTGGCAGCCCTGGGGCTTTTGTGTAAGTCTGCGCTCTGACCTGGGGGAGGATCCTGGTTCCAAGGTTTGTCTAGGATGAGAAACACTTGTTATGGATTTGTTTTTTAAACTTTAATTCCTTAGCCTTTGGAAAATTCAGTGTATCTTTTTTTAAATGGCAACTATTTAAATAGTGAATAATGGAAGAAGAAGTAAAAAAAAAATCAGTTGCCAACTAGAATTAAACATTCTGTTTGAGATAAGAAGGGTTTTGTCTGTTTGTTTGTATGTCAATGTTTAAAAAAAATCATTTATTTTAAATAAATGCATGCTTCAGCCCTCTCCCATTCCACAAAAGACTAGGGTATCAGAGGTTTGGGCTCTGAGAATACAAGGTTCAGTGGGCTAGTGCAGAATATGCTACCCATAGAGCCACGGGTACCATCAATACAAGGAGAGTAGGTAAACTCCTTAATCACCATATTTTTTAAAGGCCAGGAAGTTATACAGTCACTTTACAAAAACTTGTGAAAATCAAATTGGAAAAAAGCATATCTAAAAATATTTAAATTTCAAACTAGTAAAAACAAGTTAAAAAGCTTAAAAAAGAAAGTGGATGAATTTGCCTCAGTAGGTGAAGACCCCACAGCAATGTTTCCTAAACAGCTGAATAACTGTTCTTTGAACAGTTCTTTTAACTGTTCTTTGAACAGTTCTTTTAACTGTTCTTTGAACAGTTATTCAAAGAAAAATGTTATATAGAAGAGCAGATTTTAATGTCAAAAATTGGGTTTTATAGGAATTTTAATACTTCTGTTTGTGTCTTATATTTCAAAATTAAAAATAACTTCTTGTTGCCCTTTTTGATCCCAAAAGTTTTGTTTCATTGTGATAGAACTATTGTTTTGCAATCACCATTATTCTTGGAAATATAGAGGAACTCTTATGATTCATGAGGGATTTCTATACTTAGATGTAGAGACCTGAATTTCAAATCTGAATGTTGAAAATTTCTAGTCAAATGATGTTAGGAATTTACTTGTTCTCAATGATCCTAATTGCAAACTGTAAAATCATGGAAAAAATAATAACACTATTTCAATAACTGAATAAGTAACAATATATGGTATATTGTCAATACTCAATATAATGATCAACATATAAACAGATTGGCGGTTTTATGTTGAGTAACATTTGAGAGTATACATAAAAATATTTATCAAGCAGTAAATATAGGTTAAGAATTTATTCCTGAAGTTAGGAACTAATATTATAACTCCACATTTCTATTTATTTATTTATAAATATACATAGATAAATTATTTAAATTATACATTTTTTTTAGGCCAGGAATGGTGGCTCATGCCTGTAATTCCAGCACTTTGGGAGGCTGAGGCGGGCGAATCGCTTGAGGTCAGGAGTTGGAGACCAGCCTGGCTAACATGGTGAAACCTTGTCTCTACTGAAAATACAAAACTTAGCCAGGCATGGTGGTGGGCATCTGTAATCCCAACTACTCAGGAGGCCAAGGCAGGAGAACCGCTTGAACCCAGGAGGCGGAGATTGCAGTGAGCCAAGATCACACCACTGCACTGCACTCCAGCCTAGGTGACAGAGTGAGACTCTGTCTAAAAAAAAAAAAAACAAATATATATATATATATATATATATATATATATATATATATATATATAACTTTGAGGTATGTCCTTTATATGCCAATTTTGCTGAATGTTTTAATCATAAAGGAATGCTGGATTTTGTCAAATGCTTTTTCTGCATCTATTGAGATGATCATAGGATTTTTGTTTTTAATTCTGTTTATGTAATGTGTCATATTTATTGACTTGTGTATGTTAAACCATCCCTGCATCCCTGGGATAAAACCCACTTTATCATGGGGTATTATCTTTTTGATGTGCTGTTGGATTCAGTTAGCTAGTCTTTTTTTTTTTTTTTTTTGAGATGGAGTCTTACACTGTCGCCCAGGCTGGAGTGCAGTGGCATGATCTCGGCTCACTGCAACCTTCGCCTCCCGGGTTCAAGGGATTTTCCTGCCTCAGCCTCCCGAGTAGCTGAGATTACAGGCACCCACTACCACACCTGGCTAATTTTGTGTTTTTAGTAGAGACGGAGTTTCTCCATGTTGGTCAGGCTGGTCTCGAACTCCCGACCTCAGGTGATCCACCTGCCTCGGTCTTCCAAAGTCCTGAGATTGCAGGCATGAGCCACCGTGCCAGGCCTCAGTTAGCTAGCCTTTTGTTGATGATTTTTGCATCAGTGTTCATCAGGGATATTGGTCTGTAGTTTTCTTTTTGTTCTGTGCTTTCCTGGTTTTGGTATTAGTGTGATACTGGCTTCATAGAATGATTTAGGGAAGATTCTCTTTCTCTATTTTTGGGAACAGTTTCAGTAATATTTGTACCAATTCTTCTTTGAATGTCTGATGGAATTCAGCTGTGAATCCATCTGTGAATGGACTTTAATTTGTTGGCAATGTTTTTATTACTGTTTCAATTTCACTACTTGTTACTGTTCTGTTCAGAGTTTCTATTTATTCCTGGTTTAATCTAGGAGGGTTGTATATTTCCAGGAATTTATCTATCCCCTCTGGACTTTGTGATCTTTCGTATTTGTGTGGCATCAGTTGGAACATCTCCCGTTTCATTTGTAATTGAGGTTATTTGGATCTCCTCTCCTTTTCTTGATTAACCTTGCTAACGTTCTATTGATTTTATTTATCTTTTCAAATAACCAGTTTTTTATTTCATTTATCTTTTGTATTTCTTTTTTTTTTTTCATTTCAATATCATTTAGTTCTTCTCTGATCTTTGATACTTCTTTTCTTCTACTGGATTTGGGTTTGGTTTGTTCATGTTTCTCCAATTTGTTGAGCTGTGACCTGAGATGGTCTATTTGTGGTTTTTCAGACATTTTGATGTAGTCATTTAATGCTATGAACTTTCCTCTTAGCACCGCTTTTGCTGTATGCTAGAGGTTTTCATAAGTTGTGTCACCAATATTATCGTTCTGTTCAAAGTATTTTTTAATCTCTATCTTGATTTCGTTGTTTACCCAAAGATCATTCAAGATCAGATTATTTTATTTCCATGTATTTGTGTAGTTTTCAGGGTGCCTTGTATTGTTAATTTTCAATTTTATTTCACTATGCTTTGAGAGAATACTTGATATAATTTCAGTTTTCTTAAATTTATAGAGACTTTTTTTGTGGCCTATCATATGGCCTTTGTTGGAGAATGTTACATGTGCTCATAAAAAGAATGCATACTCTGCAGTTGTTGGATGGAATGTTTTGTAAATATCTTTTAAGTCAATTTGTCCTAGGATATAGTTTTAAGTCCACTGTTTCTTTCTTTCTTCTTCATTGTTGACTTTCTGTCTTCAAGACCTGTCTAGTGCTGTCAGTGGAGTATTGAAGTCCCCCACTATTATTGTGTTGCTGTCTATCTCATTTTTTTAGGTCTAGTAGTAATTGTTTTATAAATTTGGGATCTCCAATGTTAAGTGCATATATATTTAGGGTTGTGATACTTTCCTGTTGGACTATTCCTTTTATCACTATATAATGTCTATAATGTCCGTCTTTGTCTTTTTTTTTTTTTTTTTTTTACTGTTTTTGCTTTAATGTCTGTTTTGTCTGATAAAAGAATAGCTACTCCGGCTCATTTTTGTTTTCCATTTGCGTGGAATATCTTTTTCCACCTCTTTACCTTAAGTTTATGTGAGTCCTTATGTGTTAGGTGAGTCTTTTGAAGACAGCAGATACTTGATTGGTGAAATCCATTCTGTCATCTTTAGCTTTTAAGTGGAGCATTTAGGCCATTTACATTCAGTGTTAGTATTGAGATGTGCAGTACTGTTCTATTCATTATGCTAGTTCTTGCCTGAATACCTTGTTTTATTGTGTGTGTGTGTGTGTGTGTGTGTGTGTGTGTGTGTGTGTGTGTGTTATTGTCTTATAGGTCCTGTGAGATTTATGCTTTCAGGAGATTCTATTTTGGTGTATTCTGAGATTCTGTTTCAAGATTTAGCACTCCTTTTAGCATTTCTTGTAGCTCTGTCTTGGTAGTGGCAAATTCTTGCAGCATTTGTTTCTCTGAAAAAAACATTATCTCTCTTTCATTTATGAATCTCAGTTTCACTGGATACAAAATTCTTGGCTGACAAAATTTTGTTTGAGGAGGGTAAAAATAGGACCCCAATCCTTTCTGCCTTGTAGGGTTTCTGATGATGTCAGCTATTAATCTGGTAAGTGTTCATTATAGATTACCTGATGTTTCTGTCTTACAACATTTTCTTTTCTTTTTTTTTTTTTTTTTTTTTTGATACAGAGTCTCACTCTGTCGCCTAGGCTGGAGTGCAGTGGCGCGATCTCGGTTCACTGCAAGCTCCGCCTCCCGGGTTCATGCCATTCTCCTGCCCCAGCATTCTGAGTAGCTGGGACTACAGGCGCCTGCCACCACGCCTGGCTAATTTTTTGTATTTTTAGTGGAGACAGGGTTTCACCGTGTTAGCCAGGATGGTCTTAATCTCCTGACCTCGTGATCTTCCCACCTTGGCCTCCCAACGTGCTGGAATTACAGACTTGAGCCACTGCACCTGGCCTGTCTTACAACTTTTAAGATTCTCTCCTTCATCTTGACTTTAGATAACATAATGAATATTTACCTAGGCGATAATCTTTTTCAATGAATTTCTCAGGTGTTTTTTGAGCTTCTAGTATTTGAGAGATTGTTTGGAGGTTCTAGCAGGAGAGTGCAGCTACACATATACCCTTGACCAGACTGGTCCTCCTCTATCGGGTGTGGTCGTCCTCTTCGACCCAGTGCACAGCTTCAGGAGGGATGCACATGGAACAGTGAGGGAGGAAGGGGACACACACCTAGCCAGCCAGATCCGCTGAATCAACACTGGCAATCAGTGGGGTGACAGATATCGCAGCCAGATTGCCCTTACATCCTGAGCTTCTAGTGTTTGGATGTCTAGATCTCTAGGAAGACCATGGGTGTTTTCCTGGTTTATCCCCTCAAATAAGTTTTCCAAACTTCTAGATTTCTCTTCTTCCTCAGAAACAATTATTCTTAGGTTTGGCCATTTACTATAACTCCAACTTACTTGGAGACTTTGTTCATTTTTTTTTTTCTATTATCTTTGTCTTTGTCAGATTGGGGTAATTCAAAAGCCTTGTCTTCAAGCTCTGAAATTCTCTCTTCTCCTTGTTCTAGTCTATTGTTGAAACCTTCTACTGCATTTTCTATTTCTCTAAGTGTGTCTTTCATTTCCAGAAGTTGTGATTGTTTTTTCTTTACGATATTTATTTCTCTGGATAATTTTTTAAATCCATATCCTATATTGTTTTTTAAAATTTGTTTAGGCCGGACATGGTGGCTCATGCCTGTAACCCCAGCACTTTGGGAGGCTGAGGAGGGCAGATCTCCTGAGGTCAGGAGTTTAAGACCAGCCTGGCCAACATGGTGAAACCCCATCTCTACAAAAAATATAAAAATTAGAGAGACATGGTGGTGGGCACCTGTAATCCCAGCCACTTGAGAGGCTGAGGCAGGAGAATCACTTGAACCTGGGAGGTAGATCCAGGTTGCAGTGAGCCAAGATCACACTACTGCGTTCCAGCCTGGGCAACAGAGTGAGATTCTGTCTCAAAAAGAAAGAAAGAAAACCATAAATAAGTTTCTTAAGTTGGTTTTCACTTTTCTCTGGTATCTCCTTGAGTAACTTAATAATCAACCTTCTGAATTCTTTATCTGGCAATTCAAAGATTTCTTCTTGGTTTGAATCCATTGCTGGGGAGCTAGTGTTACCTTTTGGTGGTGCTATAGAATCCTGTTTTGTCATATTACCAGAATTATTTTTCTGTTTCCTTGTCATTTGGGTCTATTGGGTATTTCAGTGAAAAGATCTGGAACACACAGGCTGCTGTTCAGATTCTTTCATCCCATGGGGTGATCCCTTGATGTTGTGCTCTCCCCCTTCCCCTAGGTCTAGGGCTTCCTTAGAGCCAGACTGCAGTGATTGTTATTCTCTTCTGGGTCTAGCCACCCAGTGGTGCTACCAGGCTCCAGGCTGGTGCTGGGGAATGTCTGCAGAGTCCTGTGATATGATCCATCTTCTGGTCTCCCATCTGTGGATACCAGCACCTGCTCTGGTGAAGTTGGCAAGGAGGTGAAGCAGACTGTGTGAGAGTCCTTGGTTGTAGATATGTTTAGTGTGCTGTTTAGTGTGCTGGCTTCCTTGAATGCTGGTTATGCTAGCAGTGAAGTTGTCAGATGGATGCACTCAGGACCTCTGGTTAGCCAGGATGTTGCAGGCAGTGGAATTAGCTGTTGTCTTCTCCCTCCTTGGAGCAGGGTTATTCTGTCTTGAGTTACTCTAATGGTTTGAGTTGTTGGCCTCCAGCCAGGAGGTGGTGCTTTAAAGAGAGCACCAGCTGCAGTAGTAGACACGGGATGTAAGCTTGTTCTAAGTTTGCCAGGATGAGTATTCAGGTTTCTCAGGTGATGGGTGGGGCCATACAGCTCCCAAGTTTATGTCTTTTGTGTTTGGGTACCAGGGTGCATAGAGAAAAAACATCACATGGGATCAGGGTTAGGCAGGTCTGAGCTCCCACTCTCCTTGGACGGGGCTTGTCATGAATCCTGTGGGGGATGGGGGTTGGTTCTCAGGATTTTATGGCTGCCTCTGCTGTGTCATACAGGTCACCAGGGAAGTGGGAGAAAGCTGGCAGTGATAGGCCTTACCCAGCTCCCACATAGCTGGTGATGCAAGTCTTGCTCCCCCCATGCCCCACCAACACCACGAAGTTTATATCCTGGCAGCTCATGCCTGGGGCTCTGAACTTGCCTCAGGCTACAACCCTTCCCACTGAGAAAGCAAGCAGGCTTTCAGGCCACGCCGCTCCCCACCTTCCCACACCATCTGTCACAGTTCCTGTGCTGATATCTGTAGCAGTTCCTCTTTGCCCCCTGGATTCTGCTTAAGAAAATTCATATCCAGTTGAAATTATTACAAAATTCATTTGGAAGCTTCTTTCATCCTGTGTCTCCTCTTTAATTCCACTGGCTGCCTTGTCCAAGGACCCCTGTGAGACAAAGTCAGGGATGGCTTCCCTGGGCTTGAGCTGGAGAATGGGAGTGCCTACAGGACTCTTTCCTCTGCTTCTTCTACTTTTATATTTTGCATCTATTTTATATTTGGCTCCCTACATCCATTTCTGCTCCAGGTGAGGTTAAATCCTTCTCATGTAACCCAGATTTTCAGGTTCCCCATTAGGGATGTGTGTTCAGAGGTGGGTTTTCCCCACTTCACACATTTTTGGCTGTCTTCCAGAATTTTCAGTATTGAGTTGCTTCTTTCAAAGGATCTGTGCATTCTTTCAATTTTCCTGGTATGTTCCTGAGGTGGTTCCTGGAGGAAAAGTTCACAGTGTGAGTCTCCTCACCCTGTTCTGTTGTCCAAATGGGAGCTCTATCTTAGCCCTCTTAGCCGTCATTTTCTCCTCATGACTTCACATTTTTAGACAGACTTAAAGAAATTAATTTGCCCAAGGTGATACAACTTCTCATATATGTACTAGAGTCCAAACTTGAATATAGGCAATATGAGAACTCAGAGCCTGAGATACTAAAAAATATACTGTTTTGTCTTCCCCATAAGCAGAAAATGGAAATAAAACATAGAAATAAGCTGTCCAGTCTGACTTGGTCATTTGGGTTAGTTTTTCAGTACTACCAGCTCTCCAATACTGGTCAAGACACCATTTCTCAAATGGAAGAAAGATTAGGAAATACGTCCCAAGAGTTGCAATCTCTTCAAGTCCAGAATATAAAGCTTGCAGGAAGTCTGCAGCATGTGGCTGAAAAACTCTGTCGTGAGCTGTATAACAAAGCTGGAGGTAAGTGTGTCCTGGTCACTCTGTCCCCATGTTGTCTGGAAACAGAGAGATGGATTTCCCGCCGGTGAAAGTGAGAGTCAAGTATTATTTAACTAGAGGTCTGGCAAACTGAAAAAGGGTTTGGGCTTCAAGATCATGATCAGTTGTTGGGATCATGTGATTCATATGTGTCTGTGATACCATGCATCAAGGGACTCTTCAAATGCAGACATTTTAAAACAATAAAAACAATTAACTAAGAATAACCAAAATAAGACTACGAGTAAAGAAAATACAGGGGTATGTCTCAATTTACCTCGGCAAATGTTCTTACAAATTCTTTCCTAGTAAGAAGTAAGCAAACTCATAACTATAGTTCTCAAATCTTAAACAACATACAGGGACTAGTCTGAAAATGCAGATAACCTGAATCAAATTCAAGTTATTTTAATTCAGGATAACTTGGCTGGGTATCAAAAATATGCAGTTTAATAAGGACCACAGATGATGACAGTGCCAATGGTAGGTGAACCACCGTTGATAAAATTACTGCTGGAGAAGTCTAGGAGCATCGCTTCAGTGTGAGTGCATGTGTATTCCTATTCTCCTATTCTTTTCAGGTTTTGTGATAATCCACTTTATTCAGGTCAGCTCTCTCTTCTGCTCTCTTTATCATGCTTACTTAGGAAATGGCATACATGTTCAGGTTTCCACTTTTTATTTCTTTTTTAGGAACTCTGAAGGAGGGCAAAGTCTCCTCATCTACTATACACACACCACTTCCCACCTGAAACAGACATCCTGATTGCATGGCTATGCAGGAGAAAATATTAATAGGCACAGTTTTACTTCTCTAAGTGATTCTTTCCTACATAACTAATGACCTCAATGGTCATAATGTCCTTATTTACTAATTTTTCTTTTTCCTTTTTTTGGGGGTGGGGGGAGATGGAGTCTCACTCTGTTGCCTAGGCTGGAAGGCAGTGACACGATCTCGGCTTGCTGCAACTTCCTCCTCCCAGGTTTAAGCAATTCTCCTGCCTCAGCCTCCTGAGTAGCTGGGACTACAGGTGTGCACCACTGCACCCAGCTAATTTTTTCTTGTATTTTTAGTAGAGATGGGTTTTCACTGTGTTGGGCAGGCTGGTCTTGAACTCCCAACCTCAGGTGTTCCCCCTGCCCCAGCCTCCCAAAGTGCTAGGATTATAAGCGTAAACTACCGTGCCCAGCATTTATTTACAAATTTTTCTAACAAAGCCCAGTGTGCATACTTTCCTTTGTTGGTTGCCATATCTTCAAAAAGATAATCCACTACTTGACAGGCTGAGGCTAGAAGATTGAGCTGAGGAGATCAAGACCAGCCCAGGCAATATAGTAAGATACTATCTCAAAAATTATTTTTATTTTTATTTTTACTTTTATTTTTAATTTTTTTTTTTAAGACAGAGTCTCGCTCTGTCACCTAGACTGGAGTGCAGTGGCATGATCTCGGCTCCCTGCGGTCTCCATCTCCTGGGTTCAAGTGATTCTCGTATCTCCTCTTGGGTAGCTGGGATTACAGGCATGCACCACCACATCTGGCTAATTTTTGTATATTTTAAGTAGAGACGGGGTTTTTCCATGTTGCCCAGGCTGGTCTTGAACTCTGGCCTCAAGTGATCTGCCCGCCTCAGCCTCCCAACTGCTGGGATTACAGGCATGAGCCATTGCACCTGGCTAAAAAAAATTTTTTTTTAAGGTAACCGAGATTTTCCTAACACAAATGGTCTTTCAAATTTTTATTTAGGTATATAAAAACAAACAAAAAGAGAAGCTATGCAAATAAGTTACATTTAATTTAAATATAAAATCTAAATGCAAATATATTAATGCTGCTTCTCATAAAAAATTCTTACATATTTTTGGTTAGATGTCAGTTCTCAGTTTTAATCTGCTACTTTTTATTTCTTACCCTCATCTTACCCATTATCCATCCATCCATCCACCCACTGAAGTGATATTTATGCATTTAGTTCGTACTGCTACCAGTGTGGTTGGAGTATTTACTGAATGCCTACTGATGCATATCTGACAAAACACACAGGATGTCTACTCTCATGGACCACTTACTCTAGTGGGGTAGTAGAAGTAAGTATATTGAAAAACATAAGATGACTAATGTCTTTGTCTGTTTGTGTTGCTATAAAGGAGTACCTGAGCCTGGGTAATTTATACAGAAAAGAGTTTTATTTGGTTAATGATTCTGCAGGCTATACAAGAAACATGGTGCCAGCATCTGCTTCTTCTGAGAGCCTCAGGCAGCTTCCACACATGGGGGAAAGTGCAGCAGGTAATATGACAAGAGTCCAGGAGGCAAGAGATTGGGGAGAGACATGCCAGGCTCTTTTTAACACTCAGTTCTCCTGGGACTCATAGAGCGAGAACTCACCAAGCTGTTCATAAGGGATCTGCTTCCCTGACCGAGACACTTCCCATTAGGCCCCACCTCCAGCACTGAGGATCAAATTCCAATATGAGATTTGGAGGGGACAAATGTTCAAACTATATCAACCAGCATTTCCAAGTTGGCCCCCAACGTTCCTTATTTTAGTACTAAAAGTCCCACATTCTGGGAAACTCTAGGTCCCAGGTATACAGTAATGATCGGCCAACCTAAATACAATGTATGAGAGATTAATCAATCCTATGAGAAATGAAGGTAAACAAGGCAAGAGGGATAAGGAATTCCAGGGTAGTCTGTTGCTACTTTAAATAGAGCTGTCGTAAATCCTGAATTAAGATGATTATATGGTAGCAAAGACTTGAAAAGTTGAGGGAGTTAGCCATGTAATATAGAGAAATAATAAGCTTTAAGTTAAAACAGGAAACAAAAGAGCCTTAAAACATGAATGTATCTGCATATTCCAGGAATAATGAGGAGCTCATGCGGTTGGAGTGGAAGACTAACAGGAGGCTAGGTAGAGATAATGTACAGCATTAGGTGCCTTTGTGAGAGATTTGGCTACTATTTTGAGCAGATGAGGATTAATTATGGGGTTTTAAGCAGAGGAAATACATGATCTGGCATAAGTTTTTAAAGGCTTAATCTACATTCTGTTAAAATTAGACTGGAAGAGGAAAGAATAGCAACAGAGAAATCAGATAAGAGATGGCTGTTACTAAAATCTAGGAGAAATATGATGGTTCTTCTAACTAGGATATTGTTTGTGGAAATGATGGCATGATGGGATATAAATTGATGTGTGAGAAATGAAAGATTCAAAAACAGCTCCAGAATTTGGGGTCAAAACAACTAGAAGCATAGAGATGTGGTCGAGTGAAAGGAAGAAGAATTCTCTGGCTACAAGGGGAAGATTAGAAACCAGGAATGCTGTTTGGGGAGTTAGATATATGAGGGAAAATTCTGGGCCAGACACATACACAGACTTACATTCCTTTTGCCCAAAACACAGCAAAAATAAAGGAGAAATGGAGAGAGAAAGGACTATAAGAAAAAAAAAGACGATTAGCCTTTTCTTTGGATGACATATTTTCATGTATTTATGAAATGGAATGCCCGTCCTGGGGTTATTGGCCTTGCTAATATGAACATTATTGTTTATTGATCCTAAATATCTATAAACATTTATTGCACTATATAATATAAAAATGGTAATTTATAGGTAAAGAGAGTTCATAGAAAGTGTACATGTTCCGTTTAGAAATTAGTATTTTATTTTTCCTAGGTGTATATGCCATGGACAAAACATTTGAGAACAGTTCATTTTCAGTCCACCCGTTTTTCCGGCCAAAAATATGCATTTTTCTCCTTTAAAAATATATATTTTTGGGGGGAGCAGAGAGGTGGGGAAAACAGGGTCTCACTCTGTTGTCTAGGCTGGAATGGAGGGTATATGTATCTGTATATCTATCTATATCTATGTCTGTACCTATATCTATATGTATATAGAGAGAAATGAATTTCTTCTAATCTGTATTCTATTTTCCTCCTCCAATGGTTTAAGTAATAGTATATCAAATATTAGGTAGTTGAAGTTAAGAAAGTAAAGAAGTTTCTCTATCTCTGTCTCTTTAGTTACATAGTATCACTACCTATTTCACATAAGGCTCTCAGTCCTTTAGTCTCTCACCTTTTGATCTAATTGTCCCTTGCTTCCTCCTAAACATTCATTGAAAATTTCTCTATTAATTCCCCTACAAGTAGGAGACTTGTTTTTACATAGAGCACATAGAGGGTCACTTATCATATCTGAAGACTGAAGGTATTTAAGAAAACATTGTATGTGAGACTGGAATGAGGTATTAATACACTGTACCAAAATTGCAGTTACATAGTTTTTATTTATTGAATCCAGAGCAGAATGAACCAAGATTCTCCTTGCTGAGTCCAGTTGCTGCTTCATAATCTTTTTCAGCACAGCACTCCAAGCATATATCACCCATCTAAGTTCTCACAACAACAGGGACCATAGTTGAAACGGACCTTTATTAAATGCTTTTTATGCATAAGTCTCTGCACAAACTGGACTCTGTTTTTTACGTATTTACTCTTTACAATAATCCTTTTAGGTAAGCATCATTCCCATTCTTGTTCTGTGTTTTAGAACGTCTGAGGCTCCCTGCATTTTTGCTTGAGTCTCTCCAGGTTGTTACATTTCTCCTGGTAGAATTCTGAAGCAAGCCGACCTGTCTGAGAGAGTGCAAAAGCTATTGAGCTCCACAGCAAGTTTTTCATAACATGACAAAGATATCCTTCTAAGTTATTTATTTATTTATTTATATTTTGTTTTACTTCATGAAATATTTCAAATTTACAAGAAGATATAAACAATAATATAACACCTACCTGTGTATTAGCCACTGAGATTTTAACATGTTAACTAGATCGCTTTTAAAATAAAGAAATTGTTATAGATATGACTTGGGTTCTCATCCCACTACAGACCCACAAGAGACTGGATTAGGTTCCTAACTCTAAATGACCCAAGGTCATGTATCCACATAGGGTTAAAACTATAGCTCTCAGGGCTTGGCACCTATATTTGCGATCACTACCCATACTTCTCTGGCCTGGATGCCCAATTTAATTTGTGACACATGGAGATTCAGCATTCTAACTTCAGGCTTGCCTCAGTATTTTTTTCCTTAAAAAGACTCCACATCATATTGGTATATACCGTATTTTTTAAAACTTATTTTACTATTATGTAAGATAATTTTGAGGAGAACATTATAGAAACTTTATTTCCTAAACACAATGCAGTTGGAGTTTCTGTACATTTGAGATGCTTTGTGAAATTGAATATTCTCTTCATGTGCTGAATTTCATAGGCAAGTGGCAAGAAAGTTCTAATCATTTATTACTAGATTCCACATAAGCAATTAGTGTCTGTTTTAATTTCTACAACATACTTAGGACCAGTTATAATTCCTGGCAGTTAGTAGGTATCCAGTAAACATTGTAGTTATCATTGCCTGGGTAATTAATTAAATATTGAGGAAGAGTTAATTCTTTCTTAGGACATCAAATACTATATAATTTCAAGAGAGGAGCAAGACAGACTCATGCAGAAAATAACAATAAAATTGGCTTTTTTCCAAGCACACAGGTGCAGCCCTTGTACAGAACAATGGAAATGGCATGGAGACAATTGCTACCAGTTCTATAAAGACAGCAAAAGTTGGGAGGACTGTAAATATTTCTGCCTTAGTGAAAACTCTACCATGCTGAAGATAAACAAACAAGAAGACCTGGTAAGATTCTGAGGCTTTTCAATGTTTGAAGGATTTCAAAAAGAGGCCTTAAAAGCATTAGGCAAGAAGACTCTAAGGATCAAGAATATCGGTCCACAGGTTTTCGAACCTGTTTCGATCAGGGCCTGAGTCTTATTCCTATTGCTTTGAACGGTCCCCTGAAGTAGATAGAAGGAGTTGTGTTCTCCACAAATACACACACCTTAGGAAGATGAGCAATATCACTTTAAAATCCCCTCTCAGGGAACAAAGTTAGAATGTCTTAACTTCTTTCCTGTTTTGATTTGGGTAGAAAAGGAATAATATTGATGCAATGTCAGAAACATGAAAATAGGGCTGCCTGCTCTTCCATTCTAAAAGTGGCAAAGCTTTTAAGTGGAAAATATTTAACTAAGTTTTTACCATAATCTGCAAATGTATATCTTGCTTTCCAGAAGTTTACAGCCTAGGATAGACTGGTCAAGGCAAATGTGACAATAAAACTACAAATTGACATATATTGAGTTAGTACACGCAATTAAAGTACATCATTAAAATATGATTATTCCCCTTTCTCTCATATTTATTACTGCCTTTGAATTGAAGTTCTCAAATAGTATGGCCGTTGTTTATTTATCAGTTTCTCTAGAATTTAGCAGAGATTTTTCTTGATGAAGAGTAGGTTATCAACAAAGGGTTATTTAATTGAATTAAATGCTCAGCTCACTACACAAATTCTTAACATCATTCTAATTACTTCTTAATTTCTACCTACCTCCTGAAATCTGTGATGAAAGAACCTCTGTAATTTTTCTCGGCTACTAATATTTTATAACCCTTTCTCGATGGCTTAATTTAGGCAGAAAGCGAGGCAATTTCTTTGACTAAGACAGTGTGCCCTAGCATAAACCCTCCTAATTTTTCTTATTCTCTTTGATTCCTCTGCCTCCAGCATACACTGCAAACTCAGGTATAAAACTGAACTATATTATATCACGTGGTAGGAAATTGTCTTGTTGAACCTATGTAGTTATTTTCTATCATGAACTTCATATATTTGTATATATTTAAATCTTTTTCATATGATTTGCTTTCAAAATTTTTAATTTGAAGGCACCCGCCCATTTAATTGGAATAAATATTTTCAACTACAGTTATTTTCACCTGTTCACTCTACGACTATTGCTTGGTAATAGCTTCATTTACATTTTCAATAATCTCTCATTAAATCAGTATATTTTATTAATTATCTGAGGGGTTTTGGATGTAACAATGAAACAAAGTGTACGGCCTTGAGAAACTCATTATTTAAATGGATAATTATAATAAATATTTAGATAATTTCTATGTTAAAATATTAGGAGTGCACTGAGCCTGGGGAGGTTGAGGCTGCAGTGAGCTATGATCGTGCCACTGCACTCCAGCCTGGGCAACAGAGTGAGACCCTGTCGCCACCAATCCTCCAAAAATATCTATTAGGAGTGCAGAGTGAGACTAGATAGAAGTAAGTAAACAACTTTTAAAATGTAAACATATGTTAAATATGGATATTGGGAAAAGGATTACCATGTATAGGACTATACACATGTGTGCACATAAATATTTATAGATAGAAATTTAAAAATTTCTTTCTTCTCTTCCTAGTCTAAGACATAAATCATCCTTGCAAATTTTTCTTTTACTTTTTTTCTTCCTTTCCCAGGTATTTATAACGGTTACTACCTCATTCCTGCACTTTTCCCTCCATATTCTTCCATGTCCCAGAATCATTCTGCATCTCTTTGTTAGTCTTTCCCTCATATTTTTATGTCAACATTAATGTTTAATTCTGTGCCTTAAAAGCCATGGGTCAGGAACAAATCTTGGTTGATGTGATTTCCGCTTTCAGAATATCGACATGTGTTCCATATTTACTAAGACAAAATAAGTTATTAAACCTGGACAAATTTCTGACTGGCCTCAGCATAGATGCTTTTTCTCTTAAGCATATGAGCATCAATGTGAAGCAGGACTTGTGTGTGCTTTGAGAAAAGTGCTGGCTGGCCCATGCATGTCTGTACATGTGAGTAATCATGCCACCAAAGCTAAAGCTTTTCTTATGTGCTTTTCACAGGAATTTGCCGCGTCTCAGAGCTACTCTGAGTTTTTCTACTCTTATTGGACAGGGCTTTTGCGCCCTGACAGTGGCAAGGCCTGGCTGTGGATGGATGGAACCCCTTTCACTTCTGAACTGTAAGCCTTCAGGATATTTTATGGGAAAGGCATTTAACAAAGATATTTTGCTTGAGTGATAGAGCTCAAGAATTTGGTCCATCAAGTATTAATCAAACTTCTGCTTTGTACTGGATACTGTGTTTGCAGGAGGATGCCTGAAGATATTTGAACAATAGTGCATCCTCATTTTGTTTGTGTGTGTGTGTGTGTTTGTTCGTTTGATTGTTTTTTGAGATAGGGTCTTGTTCTGTTGCATGGGCTGGAGTGCAGTGGTGCAAGCTCTGCTCACTGAAACCTCTGCCTCCCAGGCTCAAGCTCTCCTCTCACCTCAGCCTTCTGAGTAGCTCGGACTACAGGCGTGCACCACTACATGCAGCTAATTTTTTGTCTTTTTTGGAAAGACAGGATTATGATGTGTTGCCCAGTCTTGTTTAGAACTCCTGGACTCAAGTGATTTGCCCATCTTGGCCTCCCAAAGTGCTGAGATTACAAGCATGAGCCACCGCACCCGGCCAGTGCCTGCTTTTGAACTGCTTATAAGCCAGTGAGGGAGACAGATACATAGCATTAGTAAAATATCAGGGTAGTTCTCTTGCTGCTTTCAGAAGTTTGTGTCTGGGACATACTGCAGATGAGAGAAGGGAGAGACAGAGAGAGAGAGAGAGAGAGAGAGAGATCTTTCCCTGAGTGAGTAAATTGAAGCCCAGGAGTCCAGGCTGTAATGGTGGTTGCCTAAAGTCACACAACTTGTCAGTACCCAGAGATAGCATAAGAGTTCTTGGCTTTCTGTGCAGCAAAATAGGGAGCACATCTTTTAAAAAACACAATCTCTGAGAAAAGATTTGCTGAAAATGTAAGGGGTAATATAAAACACTAGTCGTACATATGCTGTGAGCATTTAGACAGGAGTACATATGGTATCTGTGTTAGTCCATTTTTGCATCAGCATAAATGAATGCCTGAGGTTGGATAGCTTATAAAGAAAGGAGGTTTAATTGGCTCACAATCCTGCAGGCTGTACAAGCATCTGCTTGGCTTCTGAGGAGGCTTCAGGGAGCTTTACTCATGGCAGAAGGCGAAGCAAGAGCTGGCATGTCCAATGGCAAGAGAGAACACAAAAGAGAAGGGGCTGGGGGGAGGTTCCAGGCCCTTTTAAGCCACCAGATCTTGCATCAACTAACTGAGTGAGAACTCACTCATCACCAAGAAGAGGGCACCAAGCCATTCATGAGGGATCCACCCCGATGACCCGAACACCTCCCACCAGGCCCCATCTCCAACACTGGGGATAACATTTCAACTAAGATTTGGAAAGAACACACATCCAAACCACATCAGTATCCTTTGAAAGAGGAAATTGTAATTTCTCTATCAAAATATATCACATTTAAAGCCATATTTGAACAGACACCATTCTTCCCTATATACAATATATCATTATTCTCCCAGGAGACAGGATATATTTGATGTAATCATTTGTATTTTACAGTTAAGTAAACTGAGTTACAGAGAAGGTAGAGAACTTTTTAAGTGGCAGAAACACTATATAAATTTGGAGGAGAACACGTAGCTTCGCTTTAGTTAGAAATGGTTTTTGCTGTTTGGGGTGACCTGCTGTTTCTAAGAATGAGTATGGAAACTTAGGGGCTGAAGAGAAAGAGGCACATGACCCCAGTTTCCCGGTAAACTTATTCTGGTATCTAGACTATAATTTTATAACTCTAGAAAGAATGGGTATTTAATATTTTATTTTAGAAATAAACCGTGATTGAATTTACTTTTTCTTCCTTTCTTAAGGTTCCATATTATAATAGATGTCACCAGCCCAAGAAGCAGAGACTGTGTGGCCATCCTTAATGGGATGATCTTCTCAAAGGACTGCAAAGAATTGAAGCGTTGTGTCTGTGAGAGAAGGGCAGGAATGGTGAAGCCAGAGAGCCTCCATGTCCCCCCTGAAACATTAGGCGAAGGTGACTGATTCGCCCTCTGCAACTACAAATAGCAGAGTGAGCCAGGCGGTGCCAAAGCAAGGGCTAGTTGAGACATTGGGAAATGGAACATAATCAGGAAAGACTATCTCTCTGACTAGTACAAAATGGGTTCTCGTGTTTCCTGTTCAGGATCACCAGCATTTCTGAGCTTGGGTTTATGCACGTATTTAACAGTCACAAGAAGTCTTATTTACATGCCACCAACCAACCTCAGAAACCCATAATGTCATCTGCCTTCTTGGCTTAGAGATAACTTTTAGCTCTCTTTCTTCTCAATGTCTAATATCACCTCCCTGTTTTCATGTCTTCCTTACACTTGGTGGAATAAGAAACTTTTTGAAGTAGAGGAAATACATTGAGGTAACATCCTTTTCTCTGACAGTCAAGTAGTCCATCAGAAATTGGCAGTCACTTCCCAGATTGTACCAGCAAATACACAAGGAATTCTTTTTGTTTGTTTCAGTTCATACTAGTCCCTTCCCAATCCATCAGTAAAGACCCCATCTGCCTTGTCCATGCCGTTTCCCAACAGGGATGTCACTTGATATGAGAATCTCAAATCTCAATGCCTTATAAGCATTCCTTCCTGTGTCCATTAAGACTCTGATAATTGTCTCCCCTCCATAGGAATTTCTCCCAGGAAAGAAATATATCCCCATCTCCGTTTCATATCAGAACTACCGTCCCCGATATTCCCTTCAGAGAGATTAAAGACCAGAAAAAAGTGAGCCTCTTCATCTGCACCTGTAATAGTTTCAGTTCCTATTTTCTTCCATTGACCCATATTTATACCTTTCAGGTACTGAAGATTTAATAATAATAAATGTAAATACTGTGAAGTGTGTGTGATTTTACAATGGACTTATGGTTGGTGGGAAAATTCAGCATGGAAATGCTTTTCAAAATATGATAGCGGTCATTATTTTGATTGTGCCTTACTGAAAGTTTTTGGGGAATTTACAAGAGTACTGATTACATGATTATCTGGAGAAAATAAGATGTCTTTGAAATACGTGTTGGCTTCAAGAAAACAGTTTTAACGTTTTCCTAAAATGAAATCTTTTGAGGTGAGCTTATGGCATCAACACATGGTTGATGAGGAAGCTGAGTTGCATTAGTGCACATGATTTCCAGTCAGGTCATGGGAAATGAACAGAGACAGTGACATCTTTGTAGCTGCTCCTTTGTGAGGCACTTCTTTCTTGAGACGACTCCATGCACAAATATAACAGGGATCATTGGGAATGACACCATCACAGCCACCAAGTTTATTGGTTTACTGATAAATCAATTTTGAGGGTTTTATGCTAGAAAAGATAACATTATAAATCTTTGTTTTTCAACAGTGGAAACTGAGGTGCTTCAGTTTTGTTTTTCATAAACATCTATCTCATGGTAAAATGACGTATAGTAGCAATCATATGATAGAAAGAACACATTGGTGCTCATTTTCATAAACTTCATTTTGTTAGATTGTCACTTAGCAAAGACTATTGCGGATTCTTCCTTGAGAACTTTCCTTTCAATTTTCTGTTGATTTCCTTAAAATTTTCTTCAGGGTCGAGCAAGTTCTGTTGATATATTGTGTCATGCAAAGAAAACTGTATTTGTGGTTAGAAAATGAAGATTTTAGACCTCTTATTCTGATTTACTTATTAGGCAAGTCACTTTACTTCATGAAACCTATTTCACTGCATATGAAGTAGAAATAATTATAATTTCCTCATAATGTTACTGTTAGCTGAAATAAAGTAAATGTGAAATCAGTTTCATAATGTGAACTGCAATAAAAAATGTAAGGGAAGTCAAGAAAATATTTTTAAAAGGATCTAGTGATTTATTTTTAAATATAGGGGCGCACATACACATGCATAAGCAATGTTAAAAAGAAAAAAACTTCAGCTCAATTAAATTTAAAAGAGTTTAATTGAGCAATGACTCATTCACAAATCAGGCAGCCTCCAGAGCCAGAGTAGACTCAGAGGCTCCAGTGCAGCCATGTGGTGGAAGAAGATTTATGGACAGAAAAAGGAAAACGTAGTAAAGAAAACGGAAGTGAGGTACAGAAAAAGCTGGATTGCTTACAGCTCGGAGTTTGCCTTATTTGAACACAATTCAAACAGTTGGCTACATTTGATTGGCCAAAGCACAGTGATTGGCACAAGTATAGACTAGGGTCTGTTTACCCCTCAACTTGTTATAGTTGACATTATGTACAGAGAATCCTTTAAGCTAAACTTAAAATACGTAAAAAGGCAGCGTTAGGCTAAACTTGATTTATTAATAACAACAAACTTCTTTGGAAATCTGTATTTATGAACAAATTGTAGAAGGGCACCTACTTTGGGGAGCTAAGGATTTTATTACCAAATATTTTTGATGATGAGTGCAGATTTTCGATGAAAGTAGTTCATATAATAGGTACATAACAAGAAATGAGAAGTAAGCCTGCAGTTAAGCAATTGTTATGTAAGCCTTGTTGCTACAGAAAGAAAATATGACTGATAGGAGGAAGTCAAATGATTTTGTGGACTAAGCTGTAAAACAGAGACATGCACTCATTTAAGTTTTGACTCCTAGCATCCTATGTGGCTGCAGTCTAGCTCAGGGATGGATGACAAGCCACTCTTTAAGTGCCATTGATGTGAAGGGTCTAGCTGCCTAGAGTGAGTTTTGAATGGTATGTCATTCCAAGTCTGGGACTAAGGGATAGTGTCACTTTAGATTGTGAGGAGGAAAAAATAGCATACATTTGACATACTTCAGCTCCTTCCCTGAGTTTATTCTTCATGTTTCCCCTTAATCCCTTTGTCTTTATAGCAAAACTCACAATATTGATCACAATGTGAACAAACATTTCAAAACAACAGAAAAAAGTGTATAGCATAGCATTCTCACTACACACTTTAGAAAAATGATATTAAGAATAGGACATAATGATAAAGTGAATTTTAAAATCTGATTTGCTAAGAACAATATCCAGTTGAGAATCAGAGAGGGGCACTGTATGAACTGGTTTTTCTGGATGAGGAGACTTTTTTCTTTCTAGGTTCTTGTTTATGTAATTCTGAAGAAATTGCAGGAACAGTCAAACGAGGAGCCCAGCCTTTCCTGGTAGAGCTGAGATCTCCGGTACACAATAAGCTCTTTCTTTTCCTGAGGATATTGAACCAGCTTTCAGGATTTATCAACAGGAAACAGGTCATGAGCCCTGTAACAGCAGGAAGTGTGAGAAGAGTAACGGGGAGCTTTTATTTTGAGGATACAAACACATTATGAACAAGGAGAAAAGTCTAGTAGGTTAGCAGGTTGTCTCTGGGCCAGCTTTAATATTTGGGAGTCAACTCCTCTGTAGAGAGATTCTTACAGTATTTGAAGATTACAAACAAATCAGGATCCTCTGATTTAAAGTCTGCGTGACTTTTGTACACGCTTCATTATATGAATAGATTTTTAGGCTCGAATAGTATCTACTATTATTCTACCAATATTATTATGTATACTTTTTATACATTTAATGTACTTTAACCAAACATGTAAAAAAACTCTTCACATTTGCAGGATAGTTTTATTTTTAGTTTTCTTTTCGTTTGTTTAAGACTAACTTAGAACTCAATGAAAGAGATCTAAGATGCCCAATTCATTGTTGGTGGGACTAGGATATAAGACTGGCATACTCAGTGTTGTATCTGAAAAGCCTTGGTATCCTGGACCAAAAGCAACCTGCAGAGAAGAATCACCCAACTATAGCATCTGTGTGGAAAGTAGCATCGCTGCTGAGGAGATTTGTAGGAGCTGAAGTCAGCTGCGCTGTAGATAAATTCTAATTTGAAAATACTGCATCATACACTACGGGATGACATCAGCTGAAGGATGTTTGCCTTTTGCTTTATTGTACTTCTTAAAGAATGATTATAAGTGCTTCGTATCCTTCCTCTAAACATAGTTCCATGACAATACTTTGAAGAATCTTTAAGGCAAACAGTCTTTGCTAGTAAATTCCACTATTGTTTCTCCTTTATTCCAGGTTATTACATTCAGCTGCCAGCTGTCAGCTGTAAAAATCAAACACAGGAGACAATATATGCTGTGTTTTCTCTGCTATTCTCCTTTTTCAGGTTCTGCAGAAAATTAGAGAAAAATCTCTTTTACTTAAACTCCCACATTTAAACTCTAGGTCAAGGGTAAATAAACAAAAACATGCTCTTCTCATCCTTACACAACCTTACCCATTGTAAAAGGACATTTAGGTAAGAGGATATTTAGTTTCATTTAAATGATTTCCAGTGACTCAGAGAATTAGGTTTTTTTTTTACTTTATATATTTAAGTGATGCCTTTATGCTTAGGAAGAAAAGATGATAATCTAATGAATCTCAGCTCCTCTTTATGAGAAATGAAGAATTAAATAAAATTATACTGAATTAAGCAAATATTTATTGAGAACCTACTATGTGGTACGGCGTTCTTGCAGGGACGTAAGTGGTAACAAGTAATATAATAATAATTAAAGAATCTGTTCTTTCTGTAGATCACAGGGTTCTTTGCTATTAATGGTCTCTAGGGAATAAGATAGTCCATGCTTCAGGGAGTCTACAGACTTAGGGCAGAGAATGTCTATAGATTTATTTGAGGAGAATCCATTAACTTTAAAGCAGATATTCTCTCCAGAGAGTTGCTGACATTTTACACATAAACTTTAACTTCTGAATATCCCTCCAAGAGGAGCAAAAAAAGGGATCATTTTTGCCTGGGATGCACAAATAAAGGTTGATGTGTATAGATGATTGGTGGTGTAGTCCAGAGAACAAAACCAAGCACTGATAGAGTGTTCAACTCTGTGCAAGACTATTCTCAGCACTGACATATATTTACAGTCTACTCCTCACACAATATTTTGGAGTAAGTTCTGCTGTTATTTTACAATGAGGCAATCGAGGCACTGAAAGACGTAATCAAAAGTGTTGGCGTGTTAACCCTGAGGGACCAGACCATGAGCCCTTTGGTTTGCGAATGCCAGGCATGGTCATTGAGAGGAAAGAGGGAATTCACAGAATTCTCTGGAGAACATTCTGATCCTGGCATCCTGACTATTCCTTCTGCTTATGTCAACTTCTAGTAGTTCATCTTTCTAGAAGAAATCAAATCTTAAAAAGTACATTGTCTTACAGGCTGCAGATAGAAGTCTGCCTTTCTTCCAGTTTGGAAATTCGTATCTCTGTTCTTCTATCAGTCTGATAACATAATGCCTGAAAGCCTAGAAAATGCATAGAAAGATCTCACAGACAGTGAGTTTTAAAGGCCAAATTTATTTATTTATTTTAAAAATATTAGTCAGCTGTAACTACATCACCTCCCCCAAAAACATAGATGCGTACCTTGTGTGAAAGTTACAGTCATTCCGGGCTTTAAACAATAAAAATTATTTCCTTGCGTTTGTTCTTAACTCTTCAGGGTTTTGTCTTCTGTAGCTCTAAATAAGTTTTACTCTTGCAATGTGAACAACATCAAATGAAATCTGGACGGTGTGGAAGAATATTCCCAAGTGTATTATTGAGTCCCAGGTTGCTAATTTCATGGCCCACATTTTGGTTTACTGTTCTGTTTTTTTGAGGGGGGGTGGGGGTGGGTTTTCCAATGGCATGCTCCAAATAACAGTGTAATAGAACACTTTGAACACAATTTCTTTCAGACAGAGGATCTCAACGCATACTTCTCACAGATAAAATACTTCCACGTGCTGCAGTTAGACGAAAGAAGGGAATTGCTTTTCACGTATCCACAGACTTGGTTAGCTGACTGGGATCTCTCTGCTGGCAACCTGGAAAAGCAAGTCAACATTTCTGAGGTTAGACTTGGGAGTTTCAGAAATGCTCCTGAGGGTAACTAATGAGAGGTGTGTAGCTGCTTGTTTTGTTTTGTGTTGACACAGCAACTTCCTGTGGTGGTTTCATCCTCCTTCTTCAGTAACTGCTTCTTTCTCTCAATAAAGAATGTTAATATAATTTGAACAAAAACAGCATGTAAAGAAAAAGAAAACATAGATACCCAAAGACAGTCCCTAAATTAGAATCTCTTTGCTGACTCTTAATTTTCAAAATATGAAGGCACCTGATTCTGCTTCTCCATCTCCCCACTGCCATCTGAAAAGCTTAATGTGGAAATAAATAGTTATTCTCTAAACATTAAGCGATACAAAAGAAACACACTTGATAATTATATTATTCATCAGACACTCAAATTGTGAGGTGAATTTTCTATAAGATAATAGAAGCAGGGCTGGGAAGGAGAGAGACTTAGAAGGCATGAAGCTACTCTTAATTTTGTTAGCTTTAATCCCAATTAGCCGCCTGTAACATTATCATGCTGCTTGTCCCTTGGAGAAAATTCATGGTACAAGGTGAAATAAACTTTTGAATTCCCTCATGTTTCTAACTTTTCTTGTAGCATTTCACTCAGAGACTTACAGGCCAGGAGAAGGAGAGGAGCCATCTTGCCAAAGCCAGCGTCCGCTGTGTCCATCCTGAGACAACCCCACCCAGTAATCATAGCTTCCTTTAATCTTCCTCAAGCTGCCAGTGATAAAATCCTATGAGACAAAAATTGAACTGTGAAATGAGAAAAACAAACAAACAAAACTCTAGTGAAATATAAAGTGTGACATTTTGCCTAGCTAGAAATTAATGGGAACTTGAAATCTGGAAAAGGAGAGAAGGGAGTATTATAAAAAAGTGCCGATACATTTTTTAGACTATTTTCGATTGCTGTATGGATCCATGTGGTGTTAAAAACTATGAAAAAAATAGGCAACTGGGATTTTAAAAGTTTCAACAGATTCAGAGCCTGGCAGGTAGTATACGTCAAAAAAAGAAAGTGTTATACTGAACCTTCGTTATCAAAAATAAAAATATTCTTGACATCATAGACCACATAGAATAGTCTTTCTCAGTATACGTCGATGTAGAAAAATAGTTCATGAGATTCCAGGAGCAACTTAACTATGAGCACGTTCGGTTAGAAGAAGCATTTCTAATTTGTGTCATCAAATTTGCACGTAAAATAACTTTTTGCACCTACAACTGTAATAATTTACTTCAAATGTTCTTGGTTTACTGCATATCCTTAACAAATTATTTTCTCATGATTTTTGTTGAAATGAACTTCATCTAATTACTGAATATAGCAGGTATACATTTTTTATAGGGCCAAAAATGTGCAATTTTGCATTCTATTTCATATATTTGTGGGTAGAATGAATTCAAGGCAACATCTTATTGTTCACTTGTTTTATTTTATTATTATTATTTTTTTGAGATGGAGTTTTGCTTTTGTTGCCCAAGCTGGAGTGCAATGGCTGAATCTCGGCTCATTGCAAACCTCTACCTCCTGGGTTCAAGTAATTCTCCTGCCTCAGCCTCCCACGTAGCTGGAATTACAGGCTCCCACCACCATCCCAGCCTAATTTTTGTATTTTTAGTAGAGACAGGGTTTCACCGTGTTGGCCAGGCTGGCCTTGAACTCAGGTGATCCACCCACCTTGGCCTCCCAAAATGCTGGGATTACAGGTGTGAGCCACCCCGCCCAGCCTATTCACTTGTTAAGATATTGGTAAACTAGGTTTTATGCTAATTAAACATTTCATTTAGCAGATACTTGTATTTTTCAAGACCTATTTATTTCATGGCACCACTTCAGTTTTTATACTTCTGTTTTTTCTTGATAATTACAAGATTATTATAGGTTACTATATTTGCCTACAGCATTGAAAATAATACATTTAAAACATATCTGCAACTATAATATATGTATATCTTGAAGTGGATTATCATGCTACAAAATAGTATTCTCCTTATTCCCTCCTCTTTTTAATTAACCAAGGACATAGAACAAACATATTCTTCTCGATTTCAGAAAACCATCCTGTTTTTATGTTTTCCCATTAAAAAGAAAACAAAAAATACAGATTCCAACTTTGTTTCTTTTAAACCTTTATTTTTACAATTATACTGCTGTTATAGAATATTAAGGAATTTTGTCTTATGAGAATGAGGGATTTCTTTTAATAAGTAAAATGATATTTTCAGAATAACATGAGACCACAAAACAGTGTTTACCATTTCTTCTTTGCTCTCTATTTGTAGCAGCGTGGAACCTTCCTTTAAACAATTCTCTTGACTGGTGTGCCAAATGCTCCAAATTTCAGAGACATAGTAACAACTTTCTCTGTTCTGAATCCAATTGTTTGGACAAGGACTGCTGTTATGGGCTTTGAATATAAACATTTTACTTTAGTATCTTATTGTAAAATATTAACAACATATATCCCTCCAAAAAGCCCCTTGCCTCACCCTCAGTGAGGCTGAATCTCATAACGTAATGGTCCACATGATGTAGCACTTACCAATTTCAGCTTCTCTGAGGCTCAATATAGTAAGATTCATGTAATAATTTCTATCTGCAATGGGCCTTTAACTTAAATATGAAATTAATTTTGGGATATATTTAACTAAATTTTTTCTCTTCTATAATAATCTGATTATTCCAGTTTTATCAATCTTTCCTTTCTTTGAATTCACATCATTTATTGTCTTCACTTGTTTGCTTATTGTTTCATGTCTGTTAGTCTTACTGCCCCAATTTAGCCAGAAATGTACTGGACCATTGGATGGATTGAATAATAAGCCCTGAATTTATGTTTAAATTCTGAGAGCTAAACAAGGAAATATTTTATAGATAATGGAGAGAACAAGTAGTCTGCCTTAAGGAGTGATTTGAAAACATGCAGGTGAGGAAAATTGGAGAAGAACATAAATGAACAATATGCTTAGTTTAGGACTCTGATACAACTAAGAAGTAAGCCTTAATGTTTAATCAGTTTTATGGAACCTGTTTTAAGATGGAATATAGTCACAAAAGAAGGATGGTCAAATGTGTAAAAGGGGAACCAAAGACCAAGAATTTGACCAAGTGTTTCTGGCACAGGTTTATAGAAGGAAAGACACTGAAACTTCCACAACTCTGGTTTCTAGACAGTCCCTGTATTTAGGCCAAGAAATAATTCATCAGTAGCTTCCATGGGCCAGATGTTAAGTTGTTTAAAGCTCTTCAATATCTTTTGTTTGAAATCCCTGCCAACCAATATCCTGAACATTGCTATAGTATAAATAGTGTAGACAATGGTATTGGTGGCGTTGAAGAACATGTTGGACTTGTACGTCTCCAAAATGGATATTGTTATTCTATTCAAGGTTGATGGCTCAGAGGTGGGCCTCACCCGAGTTTGCAATGGCCTGCTGCATAGAGAAACATGGTTGGGCACACAGTGATCCTTCAAACACTCGATTAAATTTTAATCAGAAGGAACTATGGTTGATGTTTGACTTCTCTCATTGGCAATTATGTAAATGGTATCCAGTCTAGGAAAGTTAATTCTCTAAACTATATGTACAAGCATTATGAAATGCCAAGCATAGAATACATGGCAAACTATATGACAGGTAGAAATAGACTCTGCATTAGGTTTAAAATGCTTGTAAAGCATATAAAAGATTAAACTGCAGTAACTTCATAGAATTTTAAAAAAGAGCTAGGTCCTGCATCGTAAAAGAATTTTGTGGTAAATACTCTCATTTTCAAAATGAATTTTTTTGCTCAAAGCTATCTAAACTTGAATCTAAAACAATATCTAAACTAAATATATTGGGAAATTTGGAGCTAGAACTAAAACATCCTTACAAATTTGAATGGCTGGATAAAACGATTTTTTTTTGTGCATGTATTTTTTTAATCTGACCTACTAATTGCACACACACCTCTTTGGCATTTGACTGTACATTTCCTTTAGTTGCATTCTTTTGGATCCCTAGTGTTTCCACGTAGTATTGGATGTTATAAATAAGATTGAACTGAAGAGTGACCAAAATTATGTCACTCTTATTATAAAATCCTAACAGTTTTGCAGAGAACAAAATGTGTGTCACTGTTTCTTTTGAGGTATTGGTGTATATATTTAGATGTATACAGTGGAAACTGATTTTTATCCATTACCTGAACTTAATGAGTTTTGCATGAAGGCTTGGCAATATTTCATCTGAAGGGCACAGCTTCTCTTCCATTCTGTAAAGTTTAGCAGTGCCCTCTCTTGTTGGATGAGTTTTTCTTGCTGCTGCATCGCAATGGTGGACACCTGCAACACTTCACATGATAGCAATCATTCCTAATAAAATCCTGACATTTTATAGCAAAATAATCCTTCAACACAGACTAAAGACAAGTACAAATTACTATTATTTTTGAGACTTGAATTTGTATTATTTTAGGTTTTTGCTTAAAATTTACATTGTACAAGAATCAAACACTACAAAAGACGTGGAACAAAATGTCTCTTTGCACCCATTTTTAATTTGCTTGATTTACTACCCCCAAACAACCAGATTTACCAATTTATATTTTATTATTTGGGAGCTTTTGAATATTACACATAAGATAAAACAAAAAGAAACTTTACAAATGAAGGCAAATGAATATAAAACTCGCTCTCTCCCCTTAACACAAATGGTAACAATATATTTACATGGTTTTGCACCTTTTGTTTTATCATTAACATGCATATTTGAACTCAGTTCCATATCAGTACATAGACATGCAAAATTTAGTTCAATAGCACAACCAGGATATTGACATTGATACAATCAAGATACTCGGCTCCTCCACTACCATCAGGATCTGTCCTTGCCCTTTTATAAGTACACCCACTTCCCTCTTGCCTTCACCCCTTGTTCACTCCTGGCAATCACTAATTTGTGTTCCTTTTCTATTTTATCACATAAATGACATATAAATGCTATCTTACAGTATGTAACCTTTTGCTATTTGCTTTGTTCACTCAGAATAATCCTCTGGAGACTCATGCAGATTGTTGTTTAAATAAATAGTTCACCTATTTTGTATTGTTGAGTAGAATTCCATGATATGAATTACCACTACTAGTTTAACTGTTCATCCACTGAAGGACATCCAGGTAGTTTTCAGGTTTTAGTCATTACAAATAGAGCTACTATAAGCACTCATGTACAGGTTTTTGTGTGAACATAAATTTTCATTTCTATGAGGTATACGCTCAAGAGTGCAATTGTTGTGTTTTAAGGAAGTGTGAAGTTTAGATTTTTAAGAAACTGCTACGCTATTTTCCAGAGTGGCTACAGCATATTACATTTCCACCAGGAATGAGTGAGTGATCCGCTTTCTCTGCAGCTTGACAAGCATTTGATGTTGTCACTTATTGTTATTTTAGCCATGCTGATTATGTATGTAGTAATATCTCACTGTAGTTTTAATTTACATTTCCTTAATGGCTAATGACATTGAACATCTTTTCTTGTGCTTATTTGACATCTGTATATTCTCTCTGGTGAAACGTCTTTTCATGTCTTTTTGCCATTTTCTCGTTGGATGGTCTAGTTTTTTACTAACTAGAGAGTTCTTTGTACATTCTAGGTTCTAATCCTTTGTCAGATATTGATTTACAACTATTTATTCCCAGTCTGTAACTTGGCTTTTATTTACTTATTTATTTTTGTAGAGATGGGGTCTCACCTTCTTGCTCAGGATGGTCTTGAACTCCTGGGCTCAAGGAATCCCAAAGTGCTGGGATTATAGGCATGAGCCACCACACCTGGCCTGTAACAAGTCTTTTTACCCTCTTCCTAGTGTCTTTTGCAGAGTATGTATGTTTTATTTTGATGAGGTCCATCCAACTTACCAGCTTTTCCTTTCATTAACCATTTTTTAATGTAAGTCTAAGAATTATTTGCCTACCTTTAGATTCTGAAGATTTTGTCCTATGTTTTCTGAAAGTTTGACAGTTTTATGCTCTACTTTTAAGACTGTGGTCTATTTTGAGTTAACTTTTAATTTTTGTGTAAGGTTGAAGACTTAGGCTTATTTTCTTTTTCTTTTTTTCTTTCCTATGGATGTCTAATTTCTCCAGCACCATTTGTTGAAAAGGCTATCCTCCTTCTTTCAATTGATTTGCACTGCTGACAAAATCATTTGGGTATATTTGTATGAGTCTGTTTCTGGATTCTTTATTGTATTTTATATCTGTCTTTTTGTCGACTAATACACCTAGCTTTAATTCATACAGGTTTTGAAATCAGGCAAATTGATTCTACTCAGTTATATAATTGGTTTAAAATAAGTTTATGATATGTTAATCATTATTAGATTGTGGTTATTGAATAGACATATTGTATAGAGAGAATGGCATCAAGAAAAATTAATTAGTGAATTAAAAAAAACAAATAAAAACACCTATGCGTGTCAGCCAGACCTTTAGGATTAAAAATCCTCTTTTAGAGAGAAATAGAACAACAAAAGAGGAGAACAAATGGGCAAATCTGTAAAATTATTTTCATATTTTTAACCACAAAACGGAGGTAACCACGATCACACAGAAAAATCATCTGACCAAGACAGGCTGGGCGTGGTGGCTCTCGCCTGTACTCCCAGCACTTTGGGAGGCTGAGGGGGGTGGCTCACTTGAGGTCAGGAGTTCGAGACCACCATGGCCA
Source organism: Homo sapiens (assembly GCF_000001405.40). Lineage (NCBI taxonomy): Eukaryota > Metazoa > Chordata > Mammalia > Primates > Hominidae > Homo > Homo sapiens. Next base: position 10,058,748 of record NC_000012.12, on the reverse strand, counting down.
ACATGGCAAAGCCTTGTCTCTACTAAGAATACAAAAATTAGCTGGGTGTGGTGGTGTGCGCATGTAATCCCAGCTACTCAGGAAGCTGAGACAGGAGAGGCACTTGAACCCAGAAGGCAGAGGTTGCAGTGAGGTGAGATCATAACCCTGCACTCTGCACTCCGCACTCCGGCCTGGGCAACAGAGCAAGAAAAGAAAAAGAAAACATTTACATATCTACATATTCTGATCTGTTTTACTTATCAACATTGCTGCTGAGAAGAAAATGCCAGAAATCAAAAGCCATGGACTAGAGAAAGCAGATGTGTATGCCCTGTCCATCGGTGGATAGTTAACAAAAACCCAGGCTGTCAGCTGCTTGGATCTTTTTCTCTCTTTCTAGCAAAATGATGGATCTAACCAGAGTCAAGTGTAGAACAGTGATGCTCTGATTTTTATCCTATTAATAATCTGGCATGTTTAGACTTTGAAAAATAATAATTTTCTTCTTAGATTCAACATATAATTCTAAAATTTTATATTTAGATACCTTTTTAGATTAGCTATATCATAGAAGCTGTTGTTTATTACTGTCTGAACAGCGTATACTATATGAAACTGTAATAAAACTGGAGAAAGGGAAATGAGACTTCTCTTCAGAGTTTTACCCTAAATGGGAAGCAAAATATAGCACCTTTATTGGGGTTGAAGTTGTAATAAATCTGCAATGAGGAATAAAGACAAAACAATATAATTACCTGGGGAAAAAAAACAAAATACTTTTAACGTCCCCCAAATAAAATTATTTGTTATATGATATCATACATTATACCTAATTGATGAATTAAGAAAATGAACAGTAAAAACAAATTAAAAAGCTGATTTGTTAGAAAATATTTTGAACTATAGATTTTTTAATACAAAAATTAATGGCATAAATAATGTGGTAGAAAAATTAGAAAATGTGAAATAGTAGGAAGAAAATTAAAGTTAAGTCTACTTACTTTGAGAACTACCACTCAAATAATGGCCATTAGTATTTGGTTTATATCTATTGAAACTCTTTTCTATGTATGTATATAGAAAAGTATTTTATATACAACCTTTAGAAAACCATATTTTTATATAAATGTCTTTTTAGAAATCTGCTTCTTTCGTGAGAAAATATTGCATAACCATATTCCCAAAACAATAACAATGGTTCTAGAAGAATTCTTTAAATAATGGCATTGTGTTCTTTTATATAAATATGACATAATTAATTTTACCAGTCCTTCTATTGTCAGGTACTGGCCTTTAGTTATATATATGAGCAATTTGTAATTAGCACTTTCATTATGTTCATGTTATGATACTTTTAAATAAAAGGTTATAGTTTTCATTTACTACTTTTTGTCAGACACATGGTCCTATTTAAAAAATATATATGTATATAATTTAAATATGTTTTCATATTTGTCTTGCAATGCAAGTTTTCATAAAGAAAATTGGATGTAACATTTTAATTTAAAATGGAACATAATCAAAATGGAATATTTATTAAAAAATAAACATGACTTTTGTAACTCAAAGCCTACTGGCTATAACATAATCTGTAACTAGCTGGGACAAGTAATTAGTTATTGAACAGAATGTTTCACATGAAGAAGCTGCTTATTGCTTAACACAACAGTTTTATTATGGTAACTGGTTTTATTTTTTTAAAGCCTTAAGTGTTAAAAATGTATAAGAAGACCTAGGCAAATTATAAATTTAAAAACAACAACAATAAAAATTAATAGTCACTAGAACAAAAGCTAAAGGAAAATATACTTTACGCCTGTACAGTGATATTTAAGTTTTGTAAGTATATATTTTTAGCTCGTAAGACAAAATTTAAAAAGCAAAAACTTTTATTTGTAAGAATTTTCTAGAAATTACTGGAAGTCTTAGGCACATGGTTTTCTAGCTATGTTTCTTTTATCCTCATTAAAGTAACATTTTCTTCATACAATTTGTGTTTGGGGAGTTAACATTTTTTAAATATATACTACATTCATAGGATTAAAACATTTAAAAAAATCCGAAAAGTAAACATTGAAATATATTTTTCTCCTCATCGTCACTATTTATCTCACTTCTCTTGCCCTCACTTTTAGTATTTCTTATATAACCTTCCATTGTTTGTTTAAATTCAAGAAAATGTTCATTCTTAATCAAATTGTAACATAGCATATACATTTAAAAAATAATTTCAGCTTTTATTTAGATTCAGGGGGTACATGTGCAGGTTTGTTACTCAGGTACATGATGCTGATGTTTGGGGTACAATTGATCTCATCAGCCAGGTTTTAAATGCTGCTTTTTTGCACTTTACATACAGAAGTGTTTCTTCTTTCTTTTGTTGTTCTTGCTTCAAGGTATTCTATTGTATAGATGATGTACCATTATTTATTAACATGGTCTCTTATCAATGTGGTGGGTATTTGAGGCTTTTCCCCTATTGTTAAATTGCAGGTTTATCTATAGGTACAATTTCCAAAAGTAGTACTGCTGGGTCACAGTTAATACAGTTTAAAATAATTCACTATCTTAGGAACATGATTTATAGGTTTCATATAAGATTTCGTTTACTAGATGGAGAAGACACTTAGGTATACACTGAACAGCAAATCTTTTGACAACATGGAAAATGTAGAGTGTATCTTTTTTTTTTTTTTTTTTTTTTTTTTGAGACAGAGTCTCACTCTGTCACCCAGGCTGGAGTGCAGTGGTACAATCTTGGCTCACTGCAACCTCCACCTCCCTGGTTCAAGCAATTCCCCTTCCTCAGCCTCCGGAGTAGCTAGGATTACAGGCGCACCCCACCACTCCCGGCTAATTTTTTTGCATTTTTAGTAGAGATGATGTTTCACCATGTTGGCCAGACTGGTCTTGAACTCCTGACCTCAGGCAATCCGCCCACCTCGGCCTCCCAAAGTGCTGGGATTACAGGCATGAGCCACCACGCCTGGCCTAAAGTGTACTTTTATAATCATCCTTATTATGTAGTATATGATTTTTGTCTATATAGTAGACAAAATATTTGGCAATTGGAGACTATAGATTTATGTTTATATAAAAACCAAATTATATATCCCATTCACTTGACAACAGTGCTTCAAGATGTTGCATCTTCAGTTAATTTTGTTTGTAATTGGAAATGATTTTATATGTTAAGTTTTAAAATCTTATTACCCCAAATCATTATCATTTGTAAAATAACATTGAAATTCATTATATAGAATTAACATTTAAAGAATATTTTTTGATATTTGCAATGCAAGTTAAATATGGATTCTTCTATTGTAGAGTTACAATGAAGTTTGGCAATGTGTCATTTAAAGTCCTCAATTTTTACAGAAGAAGGTGGATTATTAGATGTTAATTGACTGAACTGGTCTTTTAAATATAAATTGTTTCCACAGGTATTTAATATGTGTGCTTCTTAAAAAGCGAACTCACATTTGTCTAAAATATGTATTTTTTAATAAGACCCAAAGAGAGTAGATAGAGAAAAAGAAAGCTGTCTTGAAGTTCTAACATTTCTGTTAAGCTGTGAAACTTTATTTGAGGAGACAGACGAAGTAACAATTACTGATTAAGCTCTTGGCAATTCTTAAAACGTTCCTCTAAAAACCAGCAGAAAATGAAGCTCATGACATTACCTAAGCAAGGTCAAACTTCCTATACTTTGTGAATGCGAATCTGAACCTTTCCCTTCCTTATTCTCAGAGTTCATAATTCTTCCTCTCCAGCTGATGTCTTTTAGATAGAGATATGATTTGCAAAGGCATATAAGAAAGAAACATCTACATTTTTCTTAGTGGTAGCATGAGTGATGTTAGAGGTTCATTGTTCTTTTTCTGGAATCTGAAGCTCTGTAATTATTATATTTTATAAAAATTTCACTTGCCAAACATAAAAGTATGTCTTCTATTTGGACTAAAAAGCAATGTGGTTAAATGTGGTCGAACGAAGCTCTCAGGTTTGCATTAAACATTTTAAATTGAAACTTGCCTAATATAAATAATCTTTAAAAGTCAAATTTAATTTAAATGTATATTAGAAACAGAAAAGCAGAATGTGAAATCTTTCAAATTGCATGCTTTAGCATGTTAACATGACTCACAAATGGAATCAGAATATGTTATTATTTTCATTGTTTCTCCCAGAGACCTATAGCACATGATTTGAGTTAAAAAACATGCAATAGATCATTGAAAGTTATCAGTGGCATCCAAGTGCTCAGAGAGTTCTATCAAATGATTGAAATTTGAGGCCATTATTTTATATCATTTATGTGCATTCACATATGAATTGATTTTCCATCCATTTATAAATTATGAAGTTTTATATATAACGATATACATATTTTGAAAATATCTTTTAGTACTTACACTTGACGCCCAAGAAAATGGATGCTGTTAATAATCCCATGCAGAAAACACATGAAATCACCATCACAAGACAGCATGCTCCTAACCACAGAATAGGAAAAATGATACCGAGTTAGAGAAAGCAGATAAAAAAGACGGGGCAAGGATAGATTGAGATTGAGTAAAAGAAGGAATTAACATTGGCATTTCTACTGAGAGTTGTTGGGGCCTGGGATGTGTAAAAGAAAAGGAAAAAGAGAACCTTTGCTCAAATGCACTGAAATACAACTCATAACTTGGAATATATGTGATATGGATACTGCCAAATTAAGTAGATTTAATAGTATACTTCTGTTATCCTTATCTTTGATGTCACACCTTAAACAAACTAATTATATGTATTCTTTTCCAACAATCTTTTAGAGATTCCCCCAAGCCAAATGCTGGCTTTATGTTTTGAGATAAAAAATGCTGTCTCACATCTCCCCATCTCTTCAGTGTTACTTGAACATGATTAAAGAAAAGAAAGATACACATTTTAAATATATACTTTTAAATATACATTTTTTGGAAGACGAACAAGTTTTCCAAGGTAACTTTACAACCCTGCAGAGAGGAAAAAAAAAAGGAATATGTGATTTTTTGTATTCAAAACACTAATCAGAGAAAAATAGTTAAAATTTATCTTTGAATATTGTGATAGGCAGAGAAATGCCCCTGCCTAACATGCCAGTGTCATAATTCCTGGGACTTGTGAGTTACCTTATGTGGAAAAGGGACTTTGAAGAAGTCATTAAGTTAAGGATTTGGGATGGGAAGATTAGCCTGAATTATCTGGATCCCTTTTAAATGAGAGGTAGGATATTGGAGGGACAGAGCATGGCATGATAATGGAGGCTGAGAAACATTTAAAGAGGTTATGTTGTTGGCTTTCAAGACAGAAGAAGGGTCCATGAGCCAAGGAAAGCAATAAATCCAGCTCTAGAAACCAGAAAAGACAAGGGATAGAGTCTTCCACTCGATCCCTGCCAACACCTTGGTTTCAGCCCATTGAAATCCATTTCAGCTTGTGACATCTAGAGCCCTAAGATAATAAATTTACGTTCTGTTAATCCCCTAAGTCTGTGTGATTGGTTACACCAGCAGACAGGAATTAACATAGATATTAAACGATACAGACAGAACTAATCACTATAGCCAACAACTCTAGGCCAATGAGATCTTGCCAGTTTTTCAACCTATGTTTTCTCTTTTTTATTTCTTAGTATTTATCAGATAATTTGCAGAATGTTTTAGTAGGAGTTCAATTAATTGAAGTTGTATTTTTTTCACGTATTTCCCAAATCTAGGTATTGCTTTTCTTTTCTAGAGAGGCAGAGGAAAAAATAGTTCCGCACGTTTATCACGTGTATTGCTCTCTTTATTTTTCACCGTTACTTAATCCTTCTCCACTTCATTAGCATTTCACGGACATTACAGTACCCTTAGGTAGATTATCTCGGATTAGAATAAACATCTTGGCCTCATGATAGAGCAGAAAAAAAAAAAAAACATGAACTCTAAAGTCTCACACAAAATAGTTAGAACTGGTTACCTGAACATTTGTTGGAAGACAGACATTTCTGGTAAGTGTCTGGTGCTGGGCTATCCCACTGAAGAGAGGTGTATATTTCTTCCTCGTGCATGTCTAAGGTGCTTTGATAGGAAAGCAGTCCACACAGGAGGCTGGAACAAGTAACTCCTCTTGTGGTTTGGAGCAGGTTGGTGTAAGAACTGAAATTGGTTACATTTTCACAGTAGTGGGAAAATATGTTTGTGTTTAAGGAGTAGAATAGATGCACCTTCATTCAGAAAGTGGAAGTTTATGAAGTCTAAGCCAAAACACAACTTGGTGAAAAAGGAAATGAGAGAGAACTGAATTTAGAATGGCCAATGATAGAACATTTTTTTATCCGGTTTCCAAAATGTAGCAGATGTTGAAGGTGATAGCAGTGAGTTCAGAAGAAAAAGATGTAAGTGCAAAGAACGCACTTGCATTTGGTATAGGAGATGAAGCGTGGGGTGACCTAGATAGTGAAGATATAAAGATAACTCACATTGGGCAAACCACGGTGTAAAGGGTGGGAGATCACTGGGTAGCCTTAAACAACAAAGCTAGGAAGGGATTTCAACCTTAAAATAAATTTACATACTGTATATCTGTTAGTGTAATGCTACTTACTGTGATAAATAAACCTCAAAATATCAGTACTTAACACAATAAAAGTTTGCATCTTACATAATGTTTTAGCTCCAGGAATCCTAGTTAGTGATAGCATTCCTCCAAATGAGACTTGGGATTCTTTCGTCTTGGGAGACATTGGAGCCCTTGACTTCTATCCACTGGAAAAGAAAAGAGAAGGTGATGAATCCACACCTGCTCTTGAAAGCTATAACCTAGAATAGCATGTCTCACATTCACATCCACCAAAGGCATGCCCACTTTTGGACATAAGGTTTGAGCTTGAAAAATGTATTTTTTGCCTGCACAGCAAGCTCTTGATGACCACTTCACTCTAGAAGGAAAGCATGAATTATTTAGCATTTCTGCCACATCTTGCGACTATAGCATCAGAAATTTGAGACTTTAATCATCATTCATCATTTGACCACTTATCTTTATGGCCAAAGGTTATGTCTAAGTAATATAGTCTATGAGTCCCAATAATATGCAAAATTACACTGTTTACTTTTGTTTCAGTATCTCACTGGATTCATCAGTCTTCTCCCTAGCAATCAGGCCCCCAGAAGGAAACAAATGGCATACTCAAGGGGTAATCTAAGGGCATTTAATTAAAGGACTGTATATAAAGTTTCGGGAAGTGTTAAGGGAACCAAAAAGGGGTGTGACATATGCACTGGGAAGCTGTCAGGTCACCTGAAGAATTAAGTTGAAAATGTTTATTGGAACTGCATGACCTGCCTGACAAGAGCCCTGATCACCACTGCCTTCTATTGGCTCAATTAACTAGAAGCCAGGGGCCAAGTTTGTTTGCCCTGATAATGCGTTCATTTGAGCTCAGCCTCTCAAAGCACAGGTTGGAACTGAGAGAATCCCCAGGGGCAACTGAAGAGAATATCCAGCAAATTTTATTTATTTAATTTATTTATTCATTTTTTTTTTTTTTTAGACAGAGTTTCACTCTTGTCGCCCAGGCTGGAGTGCTGTGGCCCTATCTCGGCTCACTGCAACCTCTGCCTCCTGGGTTCGAGCAATTCTCCTGCCTCAGCTTCCCAAGTAGCTGGGATGACAGGCACCCGCCACCACGCCCGGCTAATTTTTGTATTTTTAGTAGAGACAGGGTTTCACTATGTTGGCCAGGCTGGTCTCAAACTCCTGACCTCAGGTGATCCGCCTTCCTCGGCCTCCCAAAGTGCTGGGATTATAAGCGTGAACCACTGTGCCTGGCCCCATTCTTCAATATTTTATATGATGCTCATGTGACCTGAGATTCGAATCTGAAAATTAATGTAACCTAATCCCACATAGCCTTAAAGTAGGATCACTTCTATCTTGAGGAGAAACAGAGGAAGAAATCATAAGCATACCAAATGTACATTGAGACTAATGTTAGGAACACAGTAACAGAAGCTTAAGTTGTCATTAATTTCCAATTGTTCTCAAATTTTATCAGCACTAAAAATCAGGCTCAGAAAGACTCCTTTTCCCCAAATATAGAACATTCCCTGATAAATTTCATTGTATGGAGCCATTGGCTTCTCCCAATGAAGGACTAATATGTTCCTTTTATTACTTTTGATGTTTTTAATCGTACCTTTACTTATTGCTAATTATATTCCGAGTACTATTTTCAAGAACTTATACATGAATTATTTTGATTATTACCAATAGCTCAATGAAATAGGCACTATCATTAGTATAGAGTACAGGCATATCTTGTTTTATTGAGCTTTGCATTATTGCGCTTTGCAGATACTGCATTTTTTAAAAAGTGAAGATTTGCGGCAACTCTGTGTCAAGCAATCCTATCAGTGCCATTTTTTCCAACAACATATGGTTACTTTATGCCTCTGTGTCACATATTGGTAATTCTCATAATATTTCAAAACTTTTCATTATTATTACCTGTTACGGTGATCTTTGATGTTACTGTTATAATTGTTTGGGGGACCCACCATGAACTATATACCCATATAAGATGGTTAACTTAATTGATAAATATCAATAAATACTGTGTATGTTCTGACTGTTCCACCAACTGGCTGTTCCATCATCTCTGTACCTTTTCCTTGAGCCTCCTTATATTCCCTGAGACCTAACAATATTAAAAATAGGTCAATTAATAATGCTACAAAGGCCTGTAAGAGTTGAGGGAAAGAGTTGCATGTCTCTCACTTTAAATCAAAAGTTAAAAATGATTAAGTTTAGTGAGGAAGACATGTCAACAGCAAAGATAAACCAAAAGCTAGGCTTATTATGTAAAACAGCTAGCCAAGTTGTGAATGTAAAGGAAACATTCTAGAAGGAAATTAAAAGTGCTGCTCCAGTGAACATACAAGTAATAAGAAAGCAAGATAGCCTTATTGCTAATATGGAGAAAGCTTAGTGGTCTAGATAGAAGATCAAGCCAATTACAGCATTCTCTTAAGCCAAAGCCTAATTCAGAGCAAAGCCCTAACTCTTTTCAATTCTGTGATGAGTGAGAGAGGTAAGGAAGTTGCAGAAGAAAAATTGGAAGCTAGCAGAGGTTGGTCCATGAGGTTTAAGGAAAGAACCCATCTCTAACAAAAAAACGAAAGATGAAGCGGCAAATACTGATTTAGAAACTGGAGAATGTTATCCAGAAGATAAAGCTAAGATAATTGAAGGTTGCTACATTAAACAACAGATTTTTAGTGTAGATGAAACAGCTTTGTATTGGAAAGATGACATCTAGGACTTTTATAGCTGGAGAGGAAAAGTCAATGGCAGGCTTGAAAGCTTCAAAGGACAAGCTGACTCTATTGTTAGGGGCTAATGCAGCTGGTGATTTAAGTTAAAGCCAATAGTCAATTATCATTTCAAAAGCCCTAGAGACCTTAAGAATTATCCTAAATATACCCTGCCTATTCTCTATAAGTAAAACAACAAAGTCTGGATGACAGCACATTTGTTTATAGCATTGTTTACTGAGCATTTTAAGCTCACTGTTGAGAACTACTGCTCAGAAAAAAAAACCTTTTTTTTTTCTCAAAATATTACTGCTCATTGACAATCCCTCTATTCACTCTAGAGCTCCGATGAAGATGTACCAGGATATTAATGTTTTCATTCCTGCTAACACAGCCTCCATTTCTGCAACCAATGGATCAAGGAGTAATTTTGACTTTCAAGTCTTATTCTTTAAGAAATAAATTTCATAAGGCTATCACTGCCATGGATAGTGATTCTTCTGATATATCAGAGCAAAGTAAATTGAAAACCACCTGGAAAGGATTTACTATTCTAGATGTCACTGAGAAGATTTGTGATTCATGGAAGGAGTCAAAGTATCAACATTAACAGGCGCTTGGAAGAAGTTGACTCCAACCCTCATGGATGACTTTGAGAGATTCAAGACCTCAGTGGCGGAAGTAACTGCAGATGTGCTAGAAATAGCAAGAGAACTAGAATTGGAAGTGGAGGCTGAAGATGTGGCTGAGTTGATGCAATCTCACCAGGAAACTTGAACAGATGAGGAGCTGCTTCCTATGGATGAGCAAATAAAATGGTTTCTTGAGACAAATATTACTCCTGGTGAACACGCTGTGAACATTGTTGAAATAATAACAAAGGATTTCAAATACTGCATAAACTTAGTTTTTAAAGCAGTAGCAGGATTTGAGAGGATTGACTCCAATTTTGAAAGAAGTTTACTATGGGTAAAATGCTATTTCACATGATTTCATGCTACAGATAAAAATTTCATAAAAGGAAGAATGAATTGATGCCACAAACTTCACTGTTGTCTTTTTTTTTTTTTTTTTCGGAATCTCACTCTGTCACCAGGCTGGACTGTAGTGTCGCGATCTCGGCTCACTGCAACCTCCGCCTCCCAAGTAGCTGGGACTACATGCGTGCACCACCACGCCCAGCTAATTTTTTTTTTTTTTTGAGACGGAGTCTCGCTCTGTCGCCCAGGCCGGACTGCGGACTGCAGTGGCGCAATCTCGGCTCACTGCAAGCTCCGCTTCCCGGGTTCACGCCATTCTCCTGCCTCAGCCTCCCGAGTAGCTGGGACTACAGGCGCCCGCCACCGCGCCCGGCTAATTTTTTGTATTTTTAGTAGAGACGGGGTTTCACCTTGTTAGCCAGGATGGTCTCGATCTCCTGACCTCATGATCCACCCGCCTCGGCCTCCCAAAGTGCTGGGATTACAGGGCGTGAGCCACCGCGCCCAGCCCACTGTTGTCTTATTTTAAAAATAGCCGCATCTGCATCTACCCCATCCTTCAGCAACCACCACTCTGATCAGTCAGCATCCATCAACGTCAAGGCACGACCCTCTACCAGCTAAAAGGTTTCCACTCATTAAAGACTCAGGTAATCGTTAGCATTTTTAGCAATACAGTATTGTGTTTTTAAATTAAAGTATGTGCATTTGTAGACATAGTGCTATTGTGTACTCAATAGGCGACAGTTTAGGGCAAATATCACTTGTATATGCATTAGGAAGCCAAATAATTAGTGTGACTTACTTTATTGCAATAATTGCTTTATTGTGGTGGTCTGGAACTGAGTCTACAATACTTCTGAGGTATGCTTGTAACTTAGTTGTAATTTGAAACACAGAGGAGTCGAATTTTGCTAAGTTCACTTAGATAATATGTAGAAGATTAAGTATTTGGAATGAAGTGTTCTGATTTGTGCTACTAACATTTGTGTTATTTTGATTCCATGTGTAAGATGCTTTAGATATGAATACCAGGAAAAAAATCTTTGTAGGCACAGTTTGATTGGCTTACATTTTTAAATTGTATTGTTGCCATGCACTAAAATACTATCCTTCTAAATTTATGTGTGCCATAGTGATGTATGAACATATGCTTTTCCATTTTTGGGAGACGAAACAAAAGCCAAAGTTATGGCTAATTTTTGGATAGTGTTCTGAATTATTAGTTCCTATTTGGTTTCTCTAAATAAACAGTTAAAAATAAGAAAATAATAATACATTCACTCCAAATCCAAGATCTGTAGACATTTGAAGTAGCAAGTAACATTTGAGGTGTTTCTGTTATTTTTCCTAAGCCCTCCAAATCTGCTTGTTTATTGATAGTCTAGAAAAAAGATAAAGATTCAAGTGTCTTTAAGTGTTAGTGCACAAAGCTTTAAGAGTAACACACTTATTGAGTATGTATTACATGCTTGGTATTCTGATCAGTACTTTATATAGTCATATTAAATGAGGTTTACAATTACCTATGAGCAAGGTCAAAATATTAAACCCATTTCATAGATGAGGAAATAGAGTTTTAAAGACACTAAATTACTTATCCAAAGCCATACAGAGAGTAAGTTCTAAAGTAGTGATATTTCTCTAACTGTATTAAAGACTACCTCTACAAGAATTATGTCATGGTGCTTGTAAAAACCCACGTCTCTGTGTGTCCTCAGCCTTCCCACTAACGTCAGCATTTGTGTTTGAACATCTCCATGTTTTAACCAACACCTCAGTTGAGACGCTTGAGAATCATGTTTATAAATTGTATTCACTAGTTAAAGAAGGGAAGCTGTGGGAAAGAAATGCAATTTTTGCCTATTATCCTGTGAAACGGTGCCTTTCCATGTATTCTATAAATACTTGCTGAGTTATTCAGCAAGAAGCAAGCATAGAGCTGTTAGGAAAAGACCTAAATAAAGCATTTTAACATGTCCTTCTGTGTAGTAGCCTCTGGGCCTTGTTGAGAAGCATTTATTCATTTTACAAACCCCATGAGCTTTGTTACAAACTTTCTTTTCCTTCTTTTGCACAAAAAATTACTGCTGTTGAGTCTAACCAGAAATGAACTTGGAATAGTAATTGTATTTGTGTAATGTCTCTCTGTTTCCTGTAAGCCAGGATCTGGGGTTGGCGATGGTAATACAATAGTAAATGCAAAAGTCACAGTGCCTGTTCTTGTAAAGTTTCTGGTATAATTAACACTACAAAGTTTTATTTTAAGTTGTAGAACTGTGAGGTATAAATGGAGGATGTATTATTCCTATTTCAAGTATGAGAAAATGGAAGTTAAAAAATCTATGTGACTTGTTCATGATTGTACTTTAAGTGACATTATCTAAATTATTCTACCAATTCCAAGTTTAGTATTCTTTTTGTTACGTCACGCTATCTTTCAAACTTAGATATTCTGCACACATTTTAAGCTTCGATATTTTGCCCAACTTAATTAAGCACTAATCTATATTGTCCTGATTTTAATCTTATATGTGTATATATGAAGATGCAGTAAATCATATTATATTCAGGTAATTAGAAATTAGACAAGAAGAAAGAAAATTAAGGGAAAGTAGAATGATTGAGAAGCAAGTGATCAATTTACATGTTGGGTTCTGGATATTCAAAGAAGGGAGTAGGTAAGTGATTCTGGTAGTAAAGATAATACTAAAAATGACATCAAAGGAAGAAAGGAAGAAATAACCAATTTATGGCTATTGATTTCTTCATTCAGAACTTTTATTGGGCAATAAAGCCCTTATCTGTGATATCCTGCCCCTTTCCTTGCATTAAGGTAGCTGGTCCACCTTGGCCATGCCAGCTTTCCTCTCACACATTAAATAATGTTTGTTCTCACAGAAGGTAGAGTGCCTTTTCTGATTATGAAAATAGGCACAATTCATATTTCCTTTTCCATCTTCAGAAAGCCCAAACCTGTGAATGGGAAAGGTAGAATAAATTCCTTCAAAAACTAAGGAAACAATCAACAATCAAACTCTGTGTATAGTATTTTGATGCACAAAATGGAGACTCTGGGGAAAACAGTAAAAAAAAAAGTTTCTCATTGTTGAGTAGCTCCCAACCTGCTTGGTAGTACAAGGTATGTATATCTGAAAAGCTCAGTAGCAGTTTCATGTAGCATAAGATTAAGGAGCAAGGGAACACTAGTACAATAGGAGCCCCAAAGAAGAGATTGAGATAGCTCTGAAATAATGGGAAAAGGCTTTATCTACAAGATCAGACTTTAGTTGGTATTGATGGAAGGGCAGGATTTAGATGAACAGGACAAAGAGCTGCAATGGATGGGACAGGAGACAGGAGATGGACAGGACAAGTATCTGCAATGGATGGGAATAGGTTCATGGAAAAGTGAGTTGATTCAATATTTTTGAGCTGAGGATTTATGTTACAGGATAGATGATCTAAGACAGCATGCTGTATTGTAATGGCTGTTAACTTATCTTTATTCTCTTCTAGACCGTTTATCACGAGAGGACAAGGAATATATATTTATTAGTTTATTTGGCATATATCTACATAACTATGTGACAAAGTTGTTCTATGGGCTGAGGATAGACTGGTACAGAAAGGCAAGAAAGCCAAGGGCTTTCCTGTTGGGGAACTTCCATTTCAGTGGGGTGATGCCAGTAAGAAGCCCACAAATAGACAAGAAAATTTCTGACAGTGGTAAAGTTACAAAGAAACAAAACAGTGGTAGACTGTGTGGATGTGGGCTGAAGGGAAGCTAATTTAGTTTGGGTAATTAGACTTAGCCTCATTGAAGAAGTGATGTTTAAATAGAGACTTGATTCACAAGAAGGAAACAGTCATGGAGTTGTGGAGGCAGAGCATTCTAGGAGAAGAAAATAGCAAATGCAAAAGTCTTGAGATAAAAAAACGAGTTTGATTTGTTGGAAGAATAAAAAAAACCCCACTAATTTGTCTGCAATATTGTGAATGAGGCAGCAAGTAATAGGAGATAAAGCCCATGGTCTGTGAAGAGTTGTAGCTGTAGTATCCTGAGATCCTACCTATAGTAAATACTTCCTAAATATTTATTAAATAATTAATGGTGCAAGTAATGATCATATTGTACAAGATTTGGTTATCCATTTACATTTTAATTGGAGAGAGACTGCAGTTTTGATATATAGGATGGACAAAAGATGTTGAGACTGGACATTGGAAAACCACATAGGAAGTGACAAAAGTTCACAACCTGGTGCTAACAGCCTATTTGCCTGCATCATGTGTAGAAGGATAGAGCTTCACTAATGGACATTGGAATTATCTTGTGAACCCCAATGTATCTAATTCTTGGAGACTTGAAGGATAGAAGAGTAGGCAAAATGCCACCGAAAAGTCAAAAGACTCTCAAGTTTACAACTTTCAACTGTAACAAAATAAGGATGAAATTTTGTTTAAAAAATATATGGAGAGGGCCAGGCGCGGTGGCTTATGCCTGTAATGCCAGCACTTTGGGAGGCTGAGGCAGGCGGATCATGAGGTCAGGAGAGGGAGACCATTCTGGCCAAGATGCTGAAACCCGATCTCTACTAAAAATACAAAAATTAGCTGGTGTGGTGGCGCGTGCCTGTAATCCCAGCTGCTCAGGAGGCTGAGGCATGAGACTCACTTGAACCCAGGAGGTGGAGGTTGCATTGAGCCAAGATCGCACCACTGCACTCCAGCCTGGTGATAGAGCGAGACTCCATCTCTCTCTCTGTCTATATATATATATATATATACATATATATGCAGAGAATCAGAGCAATTTAAAGACACACACACACACACACACACACACACTGTTCCATGGTAAAGATTAATATAGAAATGAATGGGAATAATATCAGGTATAAAAATGGGTTGTGGCTTAGATAAAGAGTTTAAGAATGGGAGAGGGGAAGGTAGAATTGTCTTATGACCAGTGCTCTCTTGTTTGAAGTAGGGAGTAAGTGACTCAGCTGCTGATTATATAACCCATAGTAGGTTATAGAGACACATTTCAATTATTAAGTGACTTGGACTGAGATGAGAGCGGATCTCAAGAATAAGTTTCTAGTATTACTTTCTATTCTGAGTGTCGGGGACTTACATATTTTTTTAGAGAACTGAGCCATCTCCCACTTACAGACCTCATTAGAGTTCTGGTGGGATAATCTGACCCAATGAATTAAACCAGTCCTGGCTTTGATGTATTCCTATTGTAAACATAAATAAACACAATGGTCAGAATCCCTCCACAGCTGTTGATAATGACATAAAGACAAAGCTTTATGATAAGACCCTGGACAAAAAAAAAAGTTGGATTACATGTCTATATTAATGTATTTCATTTGATATTTGAATCTGTGCCAATTTCACTTGTCTTAGAACTTAAAAAAGCTTGTAGGATGCAGGTAAAATTGTACACAAAATAGCTGAAATTCTAATGTTCCTATGTGTTTATAACATATATTTATATCTTCAATCAATTGAGGATTATACTTTCAGACTACCAAACATGACTCAAAGGAATAAATGTGAACAGAGAAAGAAAACACAAAGAAATACATTATTGGTGAGCTTTATATTCCTTAGATTTAAAACTCTACATGGTTTGGTTTTATTGCTTAGCTTGCCTATAAAATGTTCCCTATAGAAGTATTAATTTGTTTTAGTTGAGTAAAGGAGTACATAATGTCTTTCTCAAAGGGATTTATTAATAACATACATCTACCTTTCCTGGTTTACTTTTCTCTAGTTAGCAATAATCACTACCTACTATACTGTATAGTATGTTATTTGTTTGGCTTCTTGGCTGTTGCTTCAATTAAAATCTATGCTCCTTGAGCTTAAGGATTATTTTTTCTGTTTTATTAACTGCATAGGTCCAAGTCCTGGAATAGTTTCAGCACATATTTGTTGAATTAATGAAGGAATAGGTAAATCAATCAATATATGAGTAGGAAAATTAAATGGAGGACAAATGTTTATATACTCTCACACCTCCCAAAATAACAAGTGAGAATGCATTGTTGGCAAATAGGAAGTGACTTGAGGTTCTTGACAGATATGAAAGACTCAGAATGGCATTCCACAGGAGCTATTGTGTGACAGTCACATTTGACTGCTTATTTCTAAAAGCTTAAGCCACTAGTAACCTTACTCTTACTCCTCCTAATCTTTTCTTTAGAATATATCAACATTATATACTTCCCTACAGAACCTGACAGATAAATTCTACTTGAAATTCAACTATACCTTTCTATTTTCTCAAAAAAATTGCATGAATACTTTTAGTTATAAATCTTTAAACTGGCACCAGCCTAGAGTAATACAAATTCAGGATATACATATATGTCTTCAATTAATCTTTTTGTAATAGAGCTGAGATTTTAGGAAATTCTCTTATTTTGTTGGAGTGGAAAGAAAAGCTAATTAATTTAACTGGATATCTCCTGTATGAGTCTGAGCCCACAAAAACAGTAAGTGCGCAGTGCAGCAAGTTAGAACAACACAGGACACAAATGATCAAGAACATCACTGGGCTGACTCTTCATGTGTGACCCACTATGTACCTGAGCTGTCAGGAAGGGACAAGTCAATTTGACCAATCAACTCTAGCAATGTTGTAGAATATTATGACTGGATTGAATATTTGGGTTCTGTAATTCTTACTAGGTTTCATAAAGTTCTTAGATTAGTACAAACTGAAAGATGTTAAGAAAAATGTAAAAAACAAAAAAGGTCAAATGTTACATTTGAGAGTTTTCTCCCTTGCCTCCAAAATATTTGACATAAGAATCTTCTTACCAGAATGTTCTGGTTGTCAGTCTTCAGGAGAGTAGCCTTCATGTCAGTGCAGTACTGCTCACTCTCTTTCCATGTCAAGTTGTGTTTGAAGAACCCATAGCAGCTATCTCCATAATATGTCCAGTTGGCATCACAGGGGCTGCGTTTATAGTCACCTGGAGAAACCAAGCACAGGAATGTTGTTGTTGTTTTTAAATTGGAATTACATTTTCCCTACATTCCATGTATTCTGCAGATCCCAAGACTCCCTTCAGTTACCATCAGAGAAATGCTCCAGGGGTTGGAGAAATGAAGACGTTAAAAAAACAATACCTACTAAAAGTGCCCTTCTGTTTTTTTTTGTTTGTTTGTTTTTTGTTTTTGTTGTTGTTGTTTTTGACTGAGTCTCACTCTGTGGCTCTGGCTGGAGTGCAGTGGCACGATCTTGGCTCACTGCAACCTTCACCTCCCGGGTTTAAGTGATTCTCCTGCCTCAGCCTCCCGAGTAGCTGGGATTACAGGCACCCACCACCCTGTCTGGCTAATTTTTTTTGTATTTTTAGTAGAGACAGGGTTTCACCATGTTGTCCTGGCTGGTCTCGAACTCCTAACCTCAGAGGATCCGCCCGTGTCGGCCTCCAAAAATGCTGGGATTACAGGCGTGAGCCACCACACCCAGCCGCCCTTTTGTTCTGATTGTTTTATTACATATTGGCAGAAGTGCTTTGCTAATTGTTGCAGAGTTCCTGAGAGATTTTCATTCTCAACTTGTAGGTAATTTTGCTGCATGACAGCTAGATGTAAAAAATAAATAATAACATTTTGTAATCAGAATTATAGGAATGATGCAAATATTTTTTGTTGAATTTTCATTTCATTAAAATTGCCAATAGGCCGGGTGCGGTGGCTCATGCCTGTAATCCCAGCACTTTGGGAGGCTGAGGCGGGCGGATCACGAGGTAAGGAGATGGAGACCATCCTGGCTAATACGGTGAAACCCCATCTCTACTAAAAATACAAAAAATTAGCCGGGTGTGGTGGCGGGCGCCTGTAGTCCCCGCTACTCGGGAGGCTGAGGCAGGAGAATGGCGTGAACCTGGGAGGCGGAACTTACAGTGAGCCGAGATGGCGCCACCGCACTCCAGCCTGGGCGACAGAGCAAGACTCCATCTCAAAAAAAAAAAAAAAATTGCCAATGTATGAAGAGTTTACTAGATACACGTGATTAAATCAGTGTTGAAAAGAGTGAAGGGGCTATAAAGAACAAATTTAAAAATACACAAAACTGACACCTGAGGGTTAATAAGTGAACTGTTTGAAGGAGACAATCACAAATAAAAAAGATCCCTAGATCAATAACATGCCCAAAGTGGTTGTTGACATTTTCTTGAATACAGGATTCTCAGCTGAGTTCAGAGAGGTGAAGGAACTCATTTTCTGTTCCTTGTGTGATGCCAAACTATTCATTTATTTTAAAATGCATACTAATTTCTTGTTATGGTTAAAGTACTTGTGATAAGATTGGGCAAGGTGACTCATGCCTATAATCCCAGAACTTTGAGAGGCCGAGGCTGGCACATCACTTGAGGCCAGGAGTTCGAGACCAGCCTGGCCAACGTGGCGAAACTTTGTCTCTACTAAAAATACACAACTTAGCCAGCTGTGGTGGTGCACACCTGTAATGCCAGCTACTCGGGAGGCTAAGGCATGAGAATCTCTCAGACCTGGGAGGTAGAGTTTGCAGTGAGCCAAAATAGCACCTCTGCAACTCCAGCCTGGGTGAAAGAGCGGAACTTTGTTTCAAATAAATAAATAAATAAATAAATAAAGTACTTGTGATAATTAGGTAAATAACGAAGAAATAAAAGATGATAAATGAAAGATTCTAAAATATCTCATGAAAAATCAACAAATATACAAACAAGCAACAGCTACGCAGACTACAATGTGCCACTGGAGGACTGTGAGATTTCCTGGAGGAAAAAAGCACAATATTTTAGTAAACAAAGTGGGATGACGCAAATTTTAGGTAGAGAGAATAGAATGAGAAAGATTTCAGACAGGGGAACATAGGATTTACATATGAAATTGAAAAACTCCATTTTGGCTGATTCTTAGGATATGCAAGATAGGAAGAGGGACAAAATAGTTTTTAAAAATAGTTTGGATCCACACTGAGGAGTTCTTAAAAGCCAGTAGTAAATTCTTAAAAATACTTTTAATTAATAAAAAACTTAGCTATTTTGATCACAAGGAAAAGGTCAGTGTTCTCCTTTATTGAGAGTATCTTGGCAGCTATGTATAGGACAATTGGATAGTGACAAACAGACAAATAGTGACCATTGAGAAGCTTAGTGGGATATGCCATGACCCTTCGGTATTGCCTTCCTCCAATCAAATCTTTGGCAGAGTCAACACTTACACCAAATCCCCAGAGCCACCAGCCCGACAACCATCCCCATGCACAGGATCAGCAGAATCAAAGCCATCACACACCACCAGGAGGAGGAAGCAGGGCCAATTGTAGGCATATAATAAAGACATCAAGGAGCAGGCAGTATGGGTTAGCTATGGGGAAGGCTCACCCCTGCCCCTGCCCCTGCCTTCTCAGGGTCCTCCAAGTAATAGAAAGAGCTTTGCTGGCAGATCTCACCTGTGTTCTCCTGATGATCATCAACAATAGGCATGGCCCACCCCCATACCACACATCCATCCTCATCCCCAATGGACTTTACCTCTCCAAGCTGAAATATTACTCTCTGTTAAGGCCTGATGTGTTTGCATTTTTTGTTTTGTTTTGTTTTATGCCCACCCATCCTATAACTACTTTAATAAACAGCAACTGGAGAATCACACACACACATTTAACTTTATGAAATGAGCTTTTAAGTTATTTTAGCTTGCATTGAAAGTAGTTATAAGAACAGCCATACAAAGCTAGCTGATGTGTTTATTGTAGGAATATTGGGGAGGATGCTGTCTATTTTGCCATTAGAGTAGCTCTTATATAGCTTTATGGAAGTATTTTGTTGTTGTTGTTAAACCCCCATGAGCAGTAAAGCTTCCCTTTTTCCAATTAAGTAGTAGTCTTTTACTTTATAAATGACCTGATTTCTTTTTTTTCTCTAATTAGCAGAATGTTAGACTTCTCAATATAGTAACTATGTGGGTTATAGTGGCAGATATTTTGTTTACTAACACGCCTTTTGGCATAGCTTGTACATATTTTTTTTCTCCCTGCTATCTCCTTCACTCTGAATTCTTTGTCAATTCACTTAAAATGGTCTTCCATTCTAAAATTTCTTTCTCTACACTCTTCAAATTATTTTGAGAATGAGGTGAAGAATAAACAAACAAACAAAAAAGACAGTACCTGATTTTGGAAACAAAAACTTAGTATGATTCAAATATTTTTACCAAAAACCAATTCTTAATAATAAAAGCTCATTTCCAAGAAATGCTGAATTATTTAAAAGTACTACAAATTAAAAAAAATTAAAATCCCAAACCCATTTTTGTCACTGAGTTTTTTATCTCAGTTAAAATATTCAGTGGTTCCCAGTCGTAAGCTGGGTAAATCCAGTCACTTACCATTCACCTACCACAGCTTCTGTTCTTGAAACTTTTGTTTTAGCCAAAAGGGACTCTTAACCCTTCCTTCACTAATTCTTAGGCTATGTGAACTTTTTTTTTTAACATTTAAGACATCTTCCCCACTCAACTACACACCAGCCCACGTTCTTGTCCCTCTTCCTTGCTTCACTCTTTTCCATAACGCTGATCACTATCCAACACACATAGAGTTACCTTTGATAATAAAATTTTTGTCCTTTAACCCCAGAAGAAAATGTCCCATGGCTCTAAAATAGTGACTGACATGCAGTTAAAGCAGGTTCTTGAGTAACATCCTTTTATGTAAGATTGTTTTGTTATAACGATGTTGAGAAAAAAAATTGCTTCCCAGCTGGGGCCACTGTGTGGAGTTTGCACGGTCTCCCCGTGTTTGCATGGGTTTTTCCTGGGTCCTCCAGTTTCCTCCCATGTCCCAAAATGTGAACGTTAGGTGAATTGGCGTGTCTACATGGTCCCAGTGTGAGTGAGTGCGGGTGCGTGTGAGTGTGCCCTGCGATGGGATGGTGGCCTCTTCATAGTCGGTGGCCTCTTCATAGTCAGTGCCCTCCTTGGCCCTGAGCTGCCTGAATGGTCTCTGGCCACCTGAGACACGGAGCTGAAATAAGTATGTGGGAAAATGAATGAATGAATGAATACAAATTATTGTAAAATAAGAATTTGTAAAATAGCCAATAATTATACAAATGCAGGTAAATAAGCAATGTAGTTCGAAAGCGCTCAGTGAGCCCGCCCTATTCCTGATTGTGTATTGTTGAACGGCATGGTTTAGAAGGTGCTTCTGTCAATTTTTACTTTGCAAACATCTATTCCTTGATTTTACCTACTACTATGACCACCAACACCCACTGATTTACTAAAAATTGGGTATATAATTATCTTGTTTTCATTCATCTTTTCTGAATGTACGTAATAGGTATAGTTCACATTTGTTTTAATGTTTACTCTTAGAAGTGTTCTGAGTCTTTATTTACAAGGTAGGTGATGTTTTTGTGACCAGAAATATGCTGGTTGGTTTGGTTCTACCTTGTTTCTACGCAGCTTCTAAGAATCTATTGATGATGTTAAGTGAGAATTTCCTGTGTTACCCAATACGTATTTGTTGAATGAATGAATGCATATATGTATGACGGGCATTATCATCCTGATTTTGATCATGGGAAGAGAAGTTTAAGAAATTTGGGGGACTTTTTAAATCATGGTATTTCTTGTAAAAAGTAGTACCTAGTAGCATCTACCCAGTTTGTAAATTCTTTCTACTACACTTTGATGTCTTTCATAGACTCTATTATCTATGTGTATAGCTGAAGAATGAGTAAAAGATACTAAGATAACAATGACAAGGAGTACATGCAGTAAGAATTGAAATTAGTGGAATGTATAACATTGTAGATAAGACTGATTAATATACAGGGATGGCCTGTGGATGTGTAGAAGAGAAGGGCAATAAGATGTTGACTACTGTGGGTGTTATGACTGCAGACAGAAACAAAAGAAGTATTTTGTAATTGGTCATAGCTTTTCACAGACTTCTTACCACCTTTAAGCTAAAGCCTCAGGTGCTTCTATTAGTGATATTCAGTCCTCTCTCTCAGCCCTCTTCATTACAATTGTTGGTTTGCCTTTGACTTACCAGGCTTTCACACAAATACTAAATGCTATTTAATTTGTAAAGGGGTAAGATTTCCTGTCATAGAAAAGTATAGTTAATATTTTCTCCTTCATTTACAGAAAGCTTAAACATGTGGATTTCAAAGTGGAATGAGCTTTATTAAAAGTTAATACACCAAACAACTAATAACTATCAGACCAAAATTATGGCAGAACATTTGTGACAAACAGTAGTGAAAATGAAGGGAAAAATGTGTCAGACTGCAGTCCTATCACAAAGTTTATCAGGCATTTGCATACCAAACATGGAAGTAAAAATTAAATAAGAATGAATGATAATCAGTTGGATTAATTAAGATTTGCATTGGTATTTGAAGGAAAGGTAAATATTGCCTAAGAAGAAAAAGAAGAAGGCAATGTTTATCAGGCAGGGCAAACATCTTAATAAAAACTGGGAGTTTGAATAAGTATACTTCTTGTAAAAAGCAGTACCAGGCACCGGGCATGGTGGCTAACTCCTGTAATCCCAATACTTTTGGAGGCTAAGGTGGGAGGATTGCTTGAGCCCGGGAGCTTGAGATCACCTTGTGCAACATGGTGAAACCCATGGTTTAAAAAATTAGCTGGGTGTGGTGGCGCACGCCTGTAGTTCCATTGCGTGGGAGGCTGAGGTGGCAGGATCACCTGAGCCCAAGAGGCAGAGGTTGCAATGAGCTGAGATCGTGGATCTTGCCACTGCAGTCCAGCCTGGGTGACAGAGCCAGACCCTGTCTCAAAAACAAAACAATAACAACAACAAAAATGTACTATCATCTAATCTACTCAGTGCGATTATGGGAAATAGTGCGATTGATTGAGGGAAAGTGGTCTGATCAAGTATATTTGAATTGAGGATTCATAGTATGTTAAGTATATTTGCCATTGCACTTTCCTTTAAAATTACTACAAAATTTCATGGCAAGGGCAATTAATTAATCATTTATTTGAACATATGTGATACAGAAGTGGGGCAGAGAAGTGCTGGATAGAGAAAGGCGGATCCCTGGCGAGGGCTCCACCCCCGGGCCTTTGCCCACCGACCTGGATGAGGACAGGCACTCCTGCCTTCATGCCCAGATGTTGCATTTCCCAAGACCATCCTGGCCCGCATGTCCCCATCCTGTGCCTATAAAACCCCCAAGACCCTAGCAGGCAGACACATAAGTGGCTGGACATTGAGAGTAGTCATCAATGGAACAAGACATAAGTGGCTGGACGTCAAGAGCATATCGGCAGGCCACCAACTGGTGAAACAAGGCAGAGTTTGGCCGGGACAATCAGAGGAGAGCCTGGGCCACTGAGTGGCCAGACTCCAGGGGAAAACCATCACCCTTTTGGCTCCACCATCCGCTGAGAGCTACTTCCTTTCACTAAAACCTTGCACTCATTCTCCAAGCCCACGTGTGATCTGATTCTTCCAGTACACCAAGGTAAGAACCCTGGGATGCAGAAAGCCTCTGTCCTTGCTATAAGGTAGGGGTCTAATTGAGCTGACTAACACAAGCCACCTATGGACGGCTAAACTAAAAGAGCACCCTGTAACACACGCCCACTGGGGCTTCAGATACAAACATTTACTCCTAGACACTACCGTGGGGCCGGAGCCCCACAGCCTGCCCCTCCCCTAGAGGTCTGAGTAGCGGGGCACTGAAGAAGCGAGCCATACCTCCATTGCACACTCTGCTAGGGGGACAAGAGAACTTTTCCCATTTCATATGTTTATTGATCACTGTGGAAGTCCCAGGCATGTTTCTATTTTCTGGGGACTAATCGTTAATGAATCATACAAGCAATGAGCTTGTATTATAGTAAAGGGTGGGGAGCACAGATAGTAAAGAAACATAGAAAGCAAAGACCAATATAATTTTACATCGAAAGCAAAGATCAACATAATTTTACATCATGAAAAGTGCTACAAATGAAGAAAAGTGATATAATTGAGTTCTTCCAGACAGGCTGGAGGCAGACCCTGGTTGGGCTCATGAGAATTGGTTTGTTTAAGCTTCACTGTCAGTGCTTGGGCAATGTCCCAGCTTTCTTCCTTTTTTTAAGATAATCCAGAATAATCCAAACTTACTTCCACTATGACAGCTGCCATTTATTGCTCTTTCTATATGCTTTTATCAGTTACATTTGTGGTAGGCATTAAACTTATGACAAATTTACTGCTAAGAAAAATAAAGCACAGAGGCTCAGTAACTTGCCAAAAGCCACAGGGCAAGTAAGTGTTGATCCAGGATTTGAATCAATCAGCCTGTCTTCACAGTGCTTCATTTTAATTCAGACATTTTATTATCCTGGTCAGGCATACTCACCTAATTGGGTGACTATATTAATACATTTAAAAATAAATTCCATCCTATATCCATCCTCTGTCTCCTCCTTGTGGCCATTTATTTTTCTTCTGCTTTTAGTTTATTTTTGTTTCCCTTATGCCTTTGATAACTCTGGCTTTCATCTTCATTTTTCCCTATTTCTTTTTTTGTAAATAATTCTGAATTAATTGTCATTCTGGCCATTCTCTGGGTACTATCCAATTTAGGCCCCACTTTAAAAGTGTCCTCTGAAACAGGCATAAGATGTGAGAATGGAAAGACTGTTAAAGAACAGAGTGAGAATGAATCCTCCTATCATGTTAACTCAGCATTTCTTTTAAGGTATTCTCAATCAACAATACTTCCATAATTAATAACTGTGCTTCCATATTTTCCAAGGTGAACAATATTTTCTGACATGTTTAATTCATGTGAGAGCAGCAAGAAAAGTCAAAGGTGATTCCAAGTTTTTGGCAGAGGAACCGTAGGTATGGAATATTCATTTATCGAGATGGAGAAACTCATTGGGAAGAGTCACTCATTTTTTGATGTGTTAAGTTAAAAAATCCTAAAATATATCAAAGTCAATATGCCAAGAATCCAGTCAGATATGTGGTTCTGGAGATCAAGCAATGGTATGGAAATATAATTTTGGACATTATCAATGTATGGCTATTAAGTCATGAGGTTACAAGAGATTAATTCCCATTCTGGCCATTCTATGGGTACTATCCAATTTAGTTCATCCCAGGATAAATTAAAAAAAAAACAAGAGGACCAAGAACTGAATTCTGGGACACAACAACATTTTAAATTAATTTAAGGAGGAATCCAAATCTGAGGGAGGATTGGGTTGTGAATGAAGCAAAAGGAAATTGAAGAGAACGGTGTCCTAGGGAACACTGTATTTTAGAGAAGAATGTATGTTATGAAAAGGGAATAATCTTTTTTTTTTTTGAATGCTTATCTGGTGCGTGAGATGAATTCTGAGAACTAGCCATTAGATGTGTTCATGTGGAGGTTAATGGTGACTTTGACTGGAGTGTTTTCATAGAAATAGTGAAGGAAAAAGCCTAATTAACATAAAGGAAAAGTAGGATGAAACAGTAAGCACAGAGAGATTTTTGAACATTTTTGTTGTCAAGAAAATTAGAGAAATGTTAAGAAGAAATATAAGAAAATTAGAATCGTGTGTATGGGGGCATGGTAAACAAAAGATGGCTTTTGCTTGTTTTTAACATAGGAGATATTATACCATGTTGGGAGGTGAAGGTGAGTGAACAAGTGGAGATGAAAAGAAATTGATAGTGCCAGAGCGAACCAAAGAAAGAAAATTACAAGCTTGAAATCCCTATTGGCCGGGCGCGGTGGCTCACACCTGTAATCCCAGCTCGTTGGGAGGCCGAAGCGGGCGGATCACGAGGTTAGGAGATCGAGACCATCCTGGCTAACACGGTGAAACCCCATCTCTACTAAAAATAAAAAAAAATTAGCCAGGCTTGGTGGCGGGTGCCTTTAGTCCCAGCTACTCGAGAGGCTGAGGCGGAAGAATGGCGTGAACCCGGGAGGCGGAGATTGCAGTGAGCCGAGATTGCGCCACTGCAGTCCAGCCTGGGTGACAAAGCGAGACTCCGTCTCAAAAAAAAAAAAAAAAAAAGAAATCCCTAAGGAGGTAGGTGGATGGATTTTAATATACAGATGGAGATTGAGCATAGATTATGTTACGGGATCTTTGGGATGTTGATTTTCTGTTCAGAAACCTGTGTGGCTGTGGCGTCTTTGCCCGAGTTCTTGTCCTGCGTCTATGGTTGCTAGATTGTATGTTAATATTATACTTAGCTCTGTAAGAAACTGCCACACTGCCTTCCAAAGTGGCTATGCCTTTTTACCTCTCACCAGCGGTGAATGAATGCTCCTGTTGCTCCACATCCTTGCCAGCATTGGATGTTGTGAGTATTTTGGATTTTAGTCATTCAAATAGTATACAGTGGTTTCTCATTGTTGTTTTAATTTGCAATTCCCTCCTAAGGTATGACATTGAGCATCTGCAACACTGAACTTAGCTCTCCAAACAAGGCTCAGCCTTGTCTGCATTCCTTTCCCTACCCTCACTTCCCCTTCTACTTGGAATGTTATTTGTAGCATTTGTTTGTCTCCTGTAACCCTGCCAATCCTTCCCAATCCTCAGAGCCTTCACTGACAGCATCGGGCGGCTCACTCGTTCCTGCTGCCATAGTAATTTGTGCGTAACTTTTCTTGAGATTTATCACATCCTGTTATTATATGCTGTTTCTTCTACCGACATTGGTTGCTACTCCCATTTCTCAACCTCCTGGCTTCAAGCAATCCTCCCACCTTGGCCTTCCAAAATGCTGGGATTACAGGTGTAACTAACTGCACCTGGTCTTGCTACTCCCGTTTCTAAATAAAATTTCAATCTGAGTAAAAACTAAAGCCAATTTCTTCCCAAAATGGTGGGGGGCACTGGACACAATATCGAAGACCATTAGCACAATCAGTAGCACCAGACAATGAGTCAGCAGAGTCACTAAAGCCTCAGGCCACGAGTTAGAAGACACTTCACAGATTAAAGGAAATCAACAGAGGAGTAAGAAATAACCAGGGATGGCCTCCTGGAGATTTCGTGTTTGACTCCCTTTCCCTCTCTATCTCTAAAGAGAAAGTGCAGAGGGCATTTTAGACTGAGGGATCAGTAGGAGCAAGAGTAAGGAAGCTACCTGATTTACAGAGGCTGTCTACTGCCTGCAGTATCAGGCCATTGAAATACACTTAACGTCTTTCCACCAGCGGCTCCAGCCTTCCCCTCCACTTGCATCTTCCCTCATCCATCTCTGCAGATGATACATACTCCCACATATCATTCATTATTTCTTAAATATATCAGCTCACACCTTCATATTATTTTACATTTCTTCAGAATCTTTCCTAACCTAGAATGCCCTTTCCCCTTTCTCCTTTAATCATGCCTTTCTTATAAAGTAGGTTCAGATGACCTTCTCTGTCAGCATCATCTGTAATGACATACCTTCCACCCTACTGCCAGTGGTTCTTACCTCTTCTGCAGAGAGTATCATCAGTTTGAATCATTTAGATCTTGGCTAACATGGGAATCTTTACCATTGTGTGGATCAAATACCCAGATCTTGATAAGAAAAATAAAAATGCTATTGTCACATAAATGGCTGGGTTTAATCATCTGTGGGCCTTAGAGTATGTTTTCTTCAGGACAAGGTAGGCCGTTGTGCTTCACAAGAGCTTGCGAGTTATTTGAGAAGAATCAAAACATGTTGCCAGTCTAGCAGAAAAGCATTTCAACTTCACCACAGATTGCCACAGCCGGGTACAAACGGAAGTCCCGCCCCCTTCCAGGTTGTTGGGGTGGGAGCTGCCGGATGAGCTGCTGCGGCCCTCGGGGCGCAGGACCACACCATCTGCGCAGCCTGCACCCTCGCGGCCCGGTAAACTTGACAGTTTCTTATAGAGGTAAGTATAGTATTAACAGACAATCTAGGAACCATAGAAAGTGGAAAACCTGTACACACTGCTGAGACCAGCTCGGTCTGGGAGACCCTAACCCAGAGGCGCTAGAGGAATTAAAGACACACACAGAAATATAGAGGTGTGAAGTGGGAAATGAGGGGTCTCACAGCCTTCACAGCCGAGAGCCCCGAACAGAGATTTACCCACGTATTTATTAGCAGCAAGCCAGTCATTAGCATGGTTTCTGTAGATATTAGGTTAACTGAAAGTATCCCTTATGGGAAACAAAGGGATGGGCCGAATTAAAGAAATAGGTTGGGCTAGTTAACTGCAGCGGGAACATGCCCTTAAGGCATAAATTGCTCATGCTATTGTTTGTGGCTTAAGAATGTCTTTAAGTGGTTTTCCACCCTGGGCGGGCCAGCTGCTCCTTGCCCTCATTCCCGTAAACCCACCACCTTCCAGCATGGGTGTTAGGGCCATCATGAACATGTCACAGTGCTGCAGAGATTTTGTTTATGGCCAGTTTTGGGGCCAGTTTATGGCCGGATTTTGGGGGGCTTGCTCCCAACACACACAAAAACTGGCACACACATTTTCACAGGAGCTTTATTCATAATTGCCAGACATTAGAAGTAATTATGATGTCTTTCAAAAGATGAGTGGATAAACAAACTGTGGTACATTCATGCAATGGAGTATCATTCGACAACAAAATGAAATGTTGTCAAACTATGAAAAACATGGAGGAATCTTAAATGCATATTACTACGTGAAAGAAGCCGGTTTGAAAAGCTATCATATTATCCTAGCTATATGACATTCGAGAAAAACCAAGACAAAGAAAACAAAGAGATCAGTTGTGACCAATGATTCAGGGGAAGAGGAAGATTGATAGGAAGGGGGAAGATTGCTGAGTAGGTAGGGCACAGGGGATTTTTGTCTGCAAAAATGTACACCCATGTACATAAGCAGGGCTCTGAATTTTTTAAACTTTTCAAATTTTGTGGCAGGGCCTATTGAATGGGTTGAGGGAGACCTTCCTGATTGATACCTACTAATGTATATACAAATTTGAGACAGATATTTTGAGGGAGAGTGGAATTCAGGTACAACATACCTATTACCCCAGAAAGGTGTCAAGTGGAAGTAAAAAAAAAAAAAAAGAGGTGTGTGAGGTAAAAAATTAAATTAAATTCTAAATGAGGACATGGAGGTTCTTGTGGAAAGTTTTTTCTTGTATATATATATATATATATATATATATATATATATATATATATATACACACACACACACACACACACTATGTTTTCTTTATCCACTTGTTCATCAATGAAATGAACATTTAGCTTGTTTTCATATTTTGGCTATTGTGAACATGGGAGGAAATGAGATATTTGTAAGACTAACTCAAACATTGCATTAAATGGTCCATATTTAATATAAAGAAATCAAGATAATTAATATATACGTCTGGCTTTTCAGATAATGGATGTAAGCCCTGTCCTGAAAGGTGGCAATGGAGCAAAAGACCAGTAATATAAAATAATTCAGGAATCCATAACATGGCAAGACAGCAAGGATAAAAATTTTTAGAGGATCTCTAAAATTTCTACCTTACTCAATATAGAGAATAAGGAATTGGTAAATATGCAGGTCTCCTGTCTTTTGTTAAAATTTACAGAGGTGAGGTGAGAAGGTAAGGGTAAGTTAAAAAAATTATTGAGTACCTAATAATAAAATACTATGCTCTCAGGCGAGTCTATAAATGATCACATTTAATTCTTCCTTTGTGTGCAAACAACAGCCTTACAAGTCTGGTAATATCATTCCTAATTTTTAGATATGAAACCTAGGCTTTAGAGGATAAGAAACTTGATTTAGATCACACAGCCTGGTTTTGCATATTGAATAGGATAACAAAAAGAGACAGAGGAAATATATACTTCCTCATTTAAATACTTATTTTTGTCTTTCATTATTGAATTCCAAATCTAACACATCATTCTGGAAAAGAGAATCTAGGGAAATAATAGTGTACAAGAAGAAGAAAATAAAATATAAACCAAAAAAGAGAATAATTTAAAAAATACATCGTATCTTGAATTTATAATTGTTCTAAGGTGGATACATTGTTATTGTATAAAGTTAAGGTTTACACAACAACTCACCTGCCTTCTGACAATTCTGACAATCAAATGCAATACTTTGGAAAGTTTTAGGAGAGCACGTTTCATTAGGGAATCAAATTTTCAGTCTAGGTAAATGAAAAGTATGCTGAAAGAAGAGAATGTACGACTGATCCGGGGAAGAAGCTTTAAAAAGTAAACACTTAATGAGATTTTTATTTATATTGGATTTAATAGAGTTTGGAGGCAGAGGAAAAGGCAGGATAAGAAAACAACTTCCTAACTTGTGCATTTTTTTTCAATGTCCATCCACAGCACAGAAGCCGTGGTGGTGTCATGGAATATTGTCAATTTCGGTTACATTTCATCATGGTCAAGTCAACTCCAGGAGGCAGCATCATGGACGATTTGGCTTATGTTCTGCTTTTGTCTTCTACAGAACCTTGTGTCTCACTGTTGTCTCCTTCCTGGCTGGGGTTATCACATGGCATATCCAACTGTGAGTGTGGGAAGATGGCATAATCCTCTGACTGTGTCAGAGTCTTAGGAAATTGTGACTGTTATAAGATGGCACAATCTCTTCCCTGATGTGTGTCAAGTTCTTAGAAAATTGTGGTGAGCTATTCCTTTTTCTTTTGGCAGGTTTTTGTCTTGGTGTTTACCAAGTGATCCGAGATAGAGAGAGGGAAAGAGGAGAGAGAGAGAGGGAGAGAAGGAGAGAGAGCGGGGGAGAGAGAGAGAGAGAAAGAGAGACAGAGAGAGACAGCGAGATGGGGAAAAAGAGAAAGGGAGAGAGAGGAGACAGGGAGAGAGGGACAGAAAGAAACGGAAGGAAAGAAGGAAGGAGGAAGGGAGGGAGGGAGGGAGGGAAGGCAGGCAGGCAGGCAGGCAGGCAGTTTTATTGCATGATCTGTGCCCTTAACCACAATGATTTGCTTCCATGGAATGAATTTCCTATTTAGCCCTCTGATTACCTAGAGGTAACCTCATACAGATGATCTATAATGAAAGTGATTGGAATACAGTAAGCTTATTTTTTTGCCAGGATTATAATACCTGGTATGATACTAGTTTACATCTCTTACAAACTACCTAAGACTAAATTTATAAGTTCTGGTCTATTATTAAGTGAGGTCTATGCAATTTCAAATACTGGGAAAATGCATGTACTGAAATATGCATTACTAGAAAATTAAAAATTACTCATTTTAAAAAATGAGTTGGAATTCCTGTTAGAATTCTTATAACCAGCATGCCCTTATATCCCTTAGGAGACATTTTTTGGTAATTTCCATTCCTTTTATGATTAAAAATGTAGGTTTTTTTTTTGTCTACTGTATTAGTCTGTTCTCATGCTGCTTAGAAAGACATACCCGAGACTGGATAATTTATAAAGGAAAGAGGTTTAATTGACTCACAGTTCCACATGGCTGGGGAGGCCTCACAATCATGGTGGAAGGCAAAGGAGAAGCAAAGTCATGTCTTGCATGGTGGCAGGGGAACTCTCCTTTGTAAAACCATCAGAACTCATGAGACTTATTCACTATCAGGAGAACAGCACAGAAAAAACTCGCCCCCATGATTCTATTACCTCTCACCAGGTCCTTCCCATGACACGTGGAGATTCTGGGAGCTATAATTCAAGATGAGATTTGGATGGGGACACAGCCAAACCATATCAGCTATGCGAATCTATAATTTTCTCTTTTTAAATTTTTTATTTACTTTAAGTCCTGGGATACATGTGCAGAACCTGCAGGTTTGTTACATAGGTATACATGTGCCATGGTGGTTTGCTGCACCTATCAACCTGTCATCTAGGTTTTAAGCCCCGCATGCATTAGGTATTTGTCCTAATGCTCTCCCTCCCCTTGCCCCTCATCCCCTCAACAGGCCCCAGTGTGTGATGTTCCCCTCCCTGTGTCCATGTATTCTCATTGTTCAACTCCCACTTATGAGTGAGAATATGCAGTGTTTGCTTTTCAGTTCCTGTGTTAGTTTGCTGAGAATGATAGTTTCCAGCTTCGTCCATGTCCCTGCAAAGGACATGAACTTATTCTTTTTTATGGCTGCATAGTATTCCATGGTGTATATGTGCCACATTTTCTTTACCCAGTCTACCATTGGTGGACATTTGGGTTGGTTCCAAAGTTTTGCTATTGTAAATAGTGCTGCAATAATTTTCTCTTAAAGTCTGCTTTCTCTTCTAGCAAAAGAGCCAGAGGAAAAGCTATACTTATACTTCACCAGCCTCCAAAATTCCCAAAGTTAAGACACAGACTTAAGGACTGCCATAAGCTACATTTCTGTCAACTGAATTATAATCCTATTGTCTTCTAACAGGAATATAGGAAAGAAATAAAGATAAATGTTAATTCTGTAACATAGTCATGTAAACATAGCCTGCAACATATACAACTTTCTTTTGCTCCTATGATAAATTCAAATGTGCAATATACCACAAATGGGGGCCTAGATCTGAGGAATCAAGCTTTCATAGAGCAATAAAAGCGTTTATTTTGTTCATTTCTAACTAACAACCTAAAATATAAAGTTCTTAGAAACAAATAGTTTAAATTAATAAAATGAATATGCCACATTTTATTTTTATTCTATTCACATGTCAATGGACATTGAGGTTGCTTTCGTGTGTTGGCTATTGTGTACAGTGCTGCAATAAACATAGGAGTTCAGGCATCTCTTTGAAATTGCAATTTCAATTTCTTTGGATATATACCCAGTCATGGGATTGCTAGGTCATATGGTACATGCCATGGAATATTATTTAGCCTTAAAAAAGAAAGAAATCCTGCCATTGCAGCAACATGAATAAATACGGAGGATGTTATGCTAAGTGAAACAAGCCAGATACAGAAGGACAAATGCTGCATGATACCATTTATATGAGGAACTTCAAATAACCAAACTCATAGAAGCAGATAGTAGAATGGTGGTTGCCAGGGGTTACAGGAGAGGGAAATGAGGAGGTATTAGCCAAAGGGTAGAAAGTTCAGTTACACAAGATGAATAAGTCCTACAGATCTACTGTACAGCGTAGTGCCTATAGACAACAATACTATATTGTATATTTAGAATTTTCTAAGAGTGTAAATCTTACGTTGTGTTTTTATCACACAAAAATATTAACAATAAAGAGGGTGGGAGGACTTTTCAAGATAATGCCTATGTTTATGGTATACATTGTGGTGATGGTTTATTCATGTGTGTATACTTATCTACAAATATTAAGTTGCATATATTACGTATGTACAGCTTTTACATGTCAATTATACCCAATAAAGTGGTTTTTAAAGAAGAAATGTTTATGAATGAGGCAGGCAAGTAGGGATGGCATGCCTAGTGGCTTCAAATCAGTCAACATCAGACCAGCAACAGGGGCTATGGGGGGAGATAGCAATACATAAGGCAAGAAAATTGCTGAGGACGGATTTAATTAGGAAAAGTAATAAAATGTATACTTAAAACAAGATGACACCTGGGGTGGGGTCACCATTTATGGGAAGTGTCATTGCATACCATCTTCTGTGTTCTGATAGCATGCTGAAATCTATTATTTATTATATATAATAAATCTATATTCTGTTGCATTGCATTGTCTCACAGCTATGATTCTGTGAAAAGATAATAGGGCTCTGGCATGTATTGGACCTGGTTCAGAACCTAACTTCACCCTTTCCGGCTGTAAAACCTTAGCCAAGCTTTGTTCTAAATCAAGCTTTAGTTTCCACATGTATGGAATGATCTCAGATGAGATCACATATTGAATTTGTCAAGTTCCTGCCATGTTAGGGCCATCTTAAAAATTGTAGGCCCCTTTGCCCCTAGCTTTGAGCTTATTGTGGTTAAGGGTCCTGTCATGCTGATCTTCATATCTATCCCAAGGGTTTGCATATCGACTAGCACTTGGTTGACACACACACAAAATCTATTGTTAAATAAGTGAATAATTTGCAGCTGCCAGTCGCACCTGTCGAAATATCAGTTGTGCATTTGGTAGACCCAGATAAAGAGAGACCAGAAATCTGGTTTTCAGTCCAATTCACCTTCCTGGGACTCATTTCCCACCCTCCTTGATGCATTTTTTGGCTCTGTAAGTTTTGAGAGGTATTCCTTCCCAACTTGTCCTATTTAGACACAAAAGAGCTTCAAAATAAAGACAGAAACAATCAAATACTGTCTTCTTGCACTGGAAATTGAAGGTCAGTACTTGAAGAACAAGAGAGAATGGAGCCCCCTAGAAATTACTCTACTCAAAATACAACTTACAGATCATATGGGCTGGACAAGATTGGTGAAGCCAACATCAATTCACCCATAGAGAGTAATTTTTCTCAGAAACAAATTCTGTCTAGAAACAAAGAAAGCTGGAGAACTGAAAATAATGGCCTTGGTAACTATAACAGTAACAATTAGTGTTTCCCTACAATTTCCAGTGCTATGCTAAGGAATCAAAAAGGTGAAAGGGTCTGGACCCTATCCTTGTCCACCTCGTTTCTGGCCTCCACATCACAAAGGGCACAGAAGATACAAAAATAGTCCATGGGCAATATAGTGCCTGTCTCAGGTAATTACCTAGGGCTACCTGCCATCTACTATTCACCCTGTTGCTCCCCTCCATGATTTCTCTTCCCTGATGAGCTGATGCTCAGCCGCTGAACCAACTTTCATTATTGTGTTTGTATTTAAAAACTGTTGCCTTTCAGTTACACTGAGATAATTTTCCCAAGGAAAATATCATTGGTGGTGAAAACCAAGCTAAGCACCCAATGCAGGAATGTTCTTGGGACTGGAAGGATCATGCAAATCTGCTCTCTAAGGGGAAGCAGAGGATGGTAAATGTAAGAACAGCTAAACTTAACTGGGTCTTCACTGTACCATGTGGGTTATCTCTCTTTTTGTTTTCTTCACAAAAATCTCAGAGGATGGGCACGAGTTTTGTCACCCTATTATGAAAAGGGTTTACATAATTTAAGAGCCCTGTCTGCTATGGTGTGAATGCTTGTACCCTCCAAAATTCACGTTGTAATTTAATTACCATTATAATAGTTATTAAAGTGTGAAACTTTAAAGAAGTGATTGGCTGGGTGAGGCGGCTCACACCTGTAATCTCAACACTTTGGAAGGCCAAGGCAGGAGGATCACTTGAAGCCAGGAGTTCAAGAGCAGCCTGGTCAACATAGCAAGATCCCATTTCTACAAAAAATTTATTTTTGAAAAATAGTTGAACATGGTGGTGCCCACCTGTGGTACCTACCAGTTCCTCAAAAGACTGAGGCAGGAGGATTAATTGAGCCCAGGAGTTCAAGGTTGCAGTGAACCGTGATCGCACCACTGCAGTCCAGCCTGGGTGACAGAGCAAGACTCTGTCTCTAAATATAAAAACAAACAAAGAGATCATTAAGGGGCACAGCCCTCATGGGTGGAATTAATGCTGTTATAAAAGGATGAGTTCCATCCCCTTTTGCCTCTTGGCCATTCTGCCCTCTGCCACATGAGGATCCCACCTTCCTCCGTTCCCAAGGTTACAGTTGCCTTCTTAAAGAAGAGAATGGCCTCATCAAGCACCAAACCTGCTGGTGCCTTTAACTTACACTTCCCAACTTCTAGAACTGTGAGCCAAGAAATAGATAGAATACTCAGTCTAAGGCATTCTGTTATAGCAGCGCAAAACAGACTGAGACATTGTCTAAAATATACAGCACTTACATTGAGAATAAAAACATAACCCATGGCTGTCTGATTTAAAAAATTTATTGTCTTAAGCACCAAGCTGTACTGCTTCCTAATAAGGGGTTGGGATACTTCCGCCTGCTTGAAAGCTGTGACATATTTTGAAAGAACTGAGAGGAGATGTGTTTTATTATATTTATATTATTATATACCCTCAAAAAGAGAGAGAGAAAGAGAAAGAGAGAGAGAAAGGAAGGAAAGAATGAAGGAAGAAAGGAGGAAGGGAGGGAGGGAGGCAGGGAAAGGAAGGAAGGAAGGAAAGAAAGAAGGAAGGAAGTTTAGGAAGTCAGACAGACAGGTGTATTACTTGTAGTTACTTGTTCAGTAAAACTAATATACCTGTGGAATAAAAAATTATATTTGCTTGAGGACCACATTGTTAATTTTGGCCACCTATTTATAATCTGACTCTTGATTTCAGTCCTCAGCTTCACAGTGGATTCTCATTCCAAAAGTGTATCATTTCCCCTTCTTCCCAATTTGACTCCATCATACCTACCCTGAGGAAAACAATGTTACTAATGTGTCTAAATCCTTCTCCAGGTGCATACAAATGTATACAAGTATGATTATATATGCTTGTATGCAGCCTCGAATATACCATCAATCCTAGTTTCAGGTAATCATCATTATTGTCCCTGTCTCAACCATGTGTAATCATCACCAATGGAGCTAGTTCACCCGTTTTCTTAATATATAATGGAGGGTTGGCTATTTTACTGAAAATAGGGGCCATTGGGCCAACCTCAGTACAAGGATTTTCAACCTTAGCTTCAGATTGGAATCATGTAGGAAATTTAAATTTTTTTAATAGCCCAGCTACACTTCTCATCAATGAAATCAGCATCTTAAGAGGTGGGACAATCTTAGGCATCAGTATTTCCTCAAAGCTCCCCAGTATAATTTCAGTGTGCAGCAAAATTGAGAACTATTTTCAGAGAGCTAAACAGATCAAACTTCATATCACTTGTCCATCCCAACCATGCCAATTAATACCCTCAGTAAGGGCTTGTTGGCTAAGATTACAACAGTGAAATAGTTGAGAACTGTCACTATATCTGTCCCAATTCTGATCTGTCCTGACCTAACGTGGTCTGCACAAACCAAACCAAATTTGCTAACGTTGCAGAAAGAGCCATCCAGTTTGAAGATGGTTCCAGCACCTTCGCCTCTGGGCCTATTTGCTCAGGGAGTTAGTATTGAGGTTATTTATCCAAACATTGCCACTCAGGCTGTGTTAATAAAAATCACCTGTGTAGTTTGAGAAACTTACAGATTCTCCATTTCTGTCTTCCAATCATTCTGATTTTATAGATCTGACGCGTGGCCCAAATATCTGTGCCTTTAAGGGACTATCCATGTAAATCTGATGTGAAGCCATGTTTGGAACCCATGTTAAATTCTCACATTGCTATAAAGAAATACTCAAGACTGGGTAATTTATAAAGAAAAAAGTTTAATTGGCTCACAGTTCTTCAGGCGGTACAGGAAGAATGATGCTGGAAACTGCTGGGCTTCTGGGGAGGCCTCAGGAAACTTACAGTCATGGTGGAAGATGAAGGAGGGGTGGGTACTTCACACGGCTGGAGCAGGAGCAGGAGAGAGGGTGTGGGGTGGGGTTGGTGGGGATGCTACACACTTTTAAACAACCGGATCTTGCGAGAACTCGCTATCATGAGAACAGCACCAAGAAGATGGTGCTAAGTCATTCATGAGAAATCTGCTCCCATAACCCAATCACCTCCCACCAGGCCCCACAACCAGCATTGGGGATTACATCTTGACATGTGATTTGGTAAGGACACAGATCCAAACCATATCAATGGTCTTTCCCCTAAAAATATACCATTTGTATATACCTGTATATATAAATAAAATATCTCAGGGATTTTGACTGGAGAGGGTGTAGGGGCAGTAGGAGAGGAAGAAAGAAAGAAAAAGAAAGAGATGAAAATTTCTGGAATCAAGTCCTGTCTCATAAGCTAAGTTATCAGAATCAAAGGATGAAGTATTCTGACACAAAGGGCTAGTGAATCTTGAGAACTCTGGATTTATGCATCTACTGTAGAGGTCGTCAGGGATAATATGATGATAGCAGGGCAGCAGGGAGGGAGCTCTTAGTAATAGGAGCTGATCAAGATCCAGAGCACTGTAAGGTCAGAAACAGAAATTTTCTTTTAATGAGTATAAAAGAGTTTACATGAAATGAGAATTAAAATATACAAGATACCAGAAAAAAAAACCTGTAACTTCTTAATAGGAACAAAATAACCAACTAAGGTATTTTAATTATTAAAAGTAGATTTTTTTAATTAGAAATAGAGGAATGAAAGAACTTATTTTTCTCATGGGAATAAAACGAAACCCAAATGTGTGAGAGTCAGAGGCACAGATTTTGACCTTTAAGAAATAATTTTATCTTTGTGAGAATGCCAGGGGCAAACTGCTAAAGAGAAATGGAAGAATCAAGTTTCTTCTTTAATCCATGTGTATATAACTTATGTTTGAATCCCGTATAAGAACTAAGAAACACTGTTTACTTGAACTATGATAATTGTCTGTATTTAAAAAGTTGTGCTTAAATATATTGTTTGTAATTTTTACTAAATTTTCACACTTGACATTTTTCCTTTGTTCTAGAGTTTCTGTTGGTGCCTATATAAAACATTGATTAGTTGATAATTTTAAATATTTAGAGAATAAGAAGCTACTAGATGGTATGTATGAAGTGGTAGTTTCAAAGGACTGTCAAAGTATTGAAATGCATCTAACTTTGAATTTAGATTATATCAATTTTCCAGTAAATTCTAGATTTCTGATCTAGCAAAATCAGTATCAAAGGCTAATTTATCATTATTTTCTTCCTATATATAGCTATGGAACTATGTGAAGATAAATGGAAAACTACATCCTTTACCAGTACTCTGAAATCAGCAATTTTGTTCCAGGAAAAATCTTGAACCCTAGATTTACAATATTTAGCATCTAGTGTGCAGGAACACTGACAAACTGTGATTCAGGAAAGGTCTAAATAATTAAAGATAATGGTTCTTCTATTTTGATGTCTTCAAACAGTTTATTAGGACTTTTCTGAGGGAAACAAAATATCAATTGTAAGAGAATATATTTTTATAATAATACCCAGATTACAAAATCAATAACATCAATATTACTAATTTAAATAAATGACAAACACATAAATATTGGCCAGGGGCAGTGGCTCACACCTGTAATCCCAGGATTTTGGGAGGCTGAGGCTGGCAGATAGCTTGAGCCTAGGTGTTTGAGACCAGCCTGGGCAACATGGTGAAACCTCGTCTCTACAAAAAAATACAAAAATTAGCTGAGCATGGTGTTGCATGCCTGTGGTCCCAGGTATTCGGGAGGCTGAGGTGGGAGGGATCGATTGAGCCCAGGAGATTGAGGCTGCAGTGAGCCAATCACATCACAATACTACAGCCTAGGCAACAGAGTGAGACAGTGTCTCAAAAAAAAGTAAATATTAAATTATTATGCCTAGATTATAAATTATCTAAATTTTAAAGATTAATAAGAACGCTTATTTTCATAGGGTTGTTGGAGAAGAAAAGCTATTTTGCAAGTGCAGGGCGACACTTAGCTGGTTCACAGTGGTACAAACATTTGCTAAAATAAAATATTTCCAAATCAGTTGATACAGTGCTGCAGCCCCAGCTACCAGGACCCTTAGCCTGGGATCCCCCAGACCTCCACATGACCCAGCAACTATCACAACAGGCATCTCTTGGACCTTGTTCTAGTGCTGTGGCCTGTGTTTTTAAATATTTAAATATCACCCTAGTTTTTAAATATTTAAATATCACCCTAGTGCACACGTGACAGTATAATAATAATGAAAGAAAGGAGTCTTTATTTGAGAAAGCAAAGAAATTCAGTGAAATGATTCTGAGACAATCATAGGGCCATAGTATGGCTATTCCCCTTTGTCCCCAGGTATAATTTTAAGACCGAATAATAACATCAAATCAGAAGACGTCAGACAAGGAACTGGAGAATGTTCTGTTAAACAAGTTCATTTGTCTGATAATGTAAATACACAGTCATTTTAAAAGCTGGTTTGGCTCTGGTACCGTAGTTTCCTCTTTCCTCATATGAGCTTACTCACAAGTCTCTTACTTCTTGGAGAATTTGGAAGAAGCATACTAATCCAAATCCTCAGTCTTCACTGGGGCAGCTGTCTTCTCGCAAATCCAAAAAATTTCAGCACTACAGCGAGAAATATAAATATTTCCTTTTTGAAAATAAGCACATCCTTTGGATCCATTGATCTGGTCAAGTTCTTTAGTACTAAATCTGAAAATTAATTTAAAATTAATTATAAATTCTGTATTTGAAACGTGATCACTATTTAGTGCCCTCAGTTGCTCTTACAGCCAATGTCATGTATCTGAATATGGAGAGACTTCTGCCTCCACAAAGCTTCAAAATCTGAAGCTGCCTAAAGCTGGCACAAAATCTGCCCAGAGCTGGCACATCTGGGTTCTTTATTTTAAGTTAATCATAATCCCAGGTAGAATTCTTTAAGAGAAATACTTAAATCCTGGACTGAGAATTTGTATTTCCTTCATAAATATGTAATTCCATTAATGAAATCTAATCAGTTCAGCTTATATTAGAAGTACTTGAAGTTCTTTGGGACCTTATGAAGAAAAACATAAAAATAAAATCACATTCTGTTGTAAAAAGTTATCACATTTTATTATGCACAAATATAATTTTTCACATAGTTATACATATGTGGTGGGTAAAAAGAGAACAAGACAGACGTTAAAAGAGGAAATGATTGACTATATAGATATGGTTCTGACAATAGTATTCATTTCCTCTGCTAAGAAATTGATGTTAATCCTGAAATAATGTCTTTAGAAAATTATACTTGTCAGATCTAAATTTTCTTTGTGCCCAACATTGTTTTTTTCTAAATGACCTGCATTACACTGCCATATTCTTTGCTTGCTTCAGGGCTAGGCTTACTAAATCTTAGCCTTGGCCTTTACTCAGTAGTCAAGGAAATGGCTATGCAATCTGGAAGCTCAGTCTCTCTAACCTGTGTTTGACATGCTGGCTTGTCTGACAGCTGCATGTCTCAGGGGCCAGGGTCTGTAGGTTCCAAACCCTGCTGTGGGGGCCACCTCCTCCACACTTTGATTAAGAGTGAGTAGAGAGGCCAAGAATGATTAAAATCCCTTTGGGAGAAGGGACACATCTTAGATTCCAACATGAAAACTGAATGTGTTTACATGATGTCATAGTACTACTCCTGGAAACCCTCAGTCTAGTAGCAACACCTCAGATTAATATTAATCAGTTCATACCCAATATTGCTCTTGTCACAAAAAAGTAACTGTCACTTTTTTTGTTTGTGTATTACTCTGCATGTGCTTTTTGTCATTATTATTAGTGTGAAACCAAACTAATTGACTTGATATGATTAATAATGGTGATTAGAGAATGGGGGATTAGTGTTTGAGTAGAAATAGCCATGACAAAACATTGGGAAATGGATGAAGATAAAGTGTATCCAGGGAGAAAATAATAGACCTACCATTGTTTGTGATTTAAGGAACTGCTGAGTCACAGCTGAAGCATGGCATCTTTGACAGAAGATGAGTGATTATTATTCAGTTTAAGAAAACGTTGACAACATGCTTTAAAGAGTGAAACAGGAGGGAGGGGGGTGGATAATGATTTGTTGGGGGAGGAAGGTAGATAAAAAGCCATTATGAATACAAATATTCTGTTAGATAGAAGAAGTAAGACCTAGTGTTTCATAGATTATTAGGGTGAATACAATTAACAATAATCTACTGTACATTTCACAATAATGAGAAAATAATAATTTGAATGCTCCTAGCATAAAGAAAAGATAAATATTTAAAGTGATCGATATCCCAATTCCACTTATTTGATCTTTACACACTATCTGAATGTATCAAATTATCACATATACCCCAAAACATATACATCTCTTATGTATCAATAAAAAGTTTAAAAATCCATTAAGATGCCAAAGATCTTAAATTTTATCTAATAGAAAAATACTATTATATTTAAAATATTAATACAGTTGTTTCATTTAAATGTAGTTATGATGAGAGGTGTTCCTCAAAATTTTTTGTTTTATAGTCTGTGAAAGAATTTAGCAAACCTAATATCCCCTTACACATTTTTGTTGACGTCTATTTTTTCATAACTTTAAATAGTTAAAAAAATTGAAATTTTCCAAGTGTTATATATTCTATTTGTCCTTTAAATAGTTTCATCCAAACCCTGAAGTGGAAGGTTTAGTTCATTTTAATTCATAAAAGACACTTGCCGTATATTGTAATTGGCAAGTCCTCAACATGACACTAATTGTTGAACTAATCAGTCAATTCAGTCTTACTTTTTGTTAGAAAATGGTTGACAGTTATTTAGTATAAATAAATGTGTTGATATGTGTTCTTATGACCAGCAGCACCCTTTTGGATTGTAGGTGCTGGAGAGTCAGAATAGCTGAGTGACTGAGTGCACAATCCCTAAAGTGCAATTTATGAGCTGAGTGACCTCAGGCAAGTTACTTAATCTCTCTATTATAATATTTCTACCTATAAAATGGGAATATAACTGCTTTCTTCAAGGGTTAGTATTTATAAAATACTTTGAATGTAGTATTAGGTGTGTGTGTGTGTTAAATAAACACATTTCTACCAAAAGATAAAATTCAGTGCC
This sequence comes from Homo sapiens, assembly GCF_000001405.40. Lineage (NCBI taxonomy): Eukaryota > Metazoa > Chordata > Mammalia > Primates > Hominidae > Homo > Homo sapiens. The sequence continues at coordinate 10,015,912 of NC_000012.12, read as the reverse complement.
TTGCTATAAATTTGTCACAGAGATGAAATGAACTATACCTCCTTTCAATATTTGTTACTGGAGCTCTTTTCTCAGTATGTTGTACTCCTCTTTTTATGTCTGTATTTATAATTCTCACAATCATTATTAATTTTCCCAGGATTCCATGGAAAGCTTGTGTTTACCCTCAATAGTTAGAGACGTACAAGGATGGAGAGGGAACAGAGCCATCTTCCCAGAACCAACTTCTGCCAGAGGAGTCCCATGATAATCCCAGCCAAAAGAACGAAAACATGAGTAATGGCTGTGACATAAGAAAATCCTAAGAGAGAAAACAGAGAAAAAGTTTTACGTGAGCGCCACATTCCAGTTTGCAGAGTTAAGATAGATGAGGACATTCATTAAATTCATGTATTAATTCTAATTCAAGATGCACTGAATTTCCATCATGTGAATCAGATGTTTTATTTATTTCTCTCTCATTGTATGGATAATGTCTATAACTAGAGAATGAGACTCAATCCTACCTTTTCTTCCAAACTGTCTATCTTCACTAGGGTGGAGTTCTTGTCTATGCAGTCCTTTCTACTGTTAGCCCAGGTTTTCTCCTCATTTGTTGTAAAATAGTAGCAACTATTTTGGTACCATTGCCACATCTTAGGACATGGATTACATCTGTGGTCTGAAAAGGAAATTATACCCAATAATATAAACTGAAGACTCTAGAGTGACTGGAGAAGGCTTTGAAACAAAATCATGTAATTGAACAATAGGGACTGAGAGCCTGCACCCTGAAAGCATACTGCTTTAGAAGCCTCTGAAAAAAAAGTGACCCCTGGTTATGGGTTGGGGCAACAGGGATTCTCTTTTCATGGCTTAGTCTTCTGACCTCAGAATTACCAGCTATGCCTTTAAGCTTTCAGAGCAACATGATCACCTAGAAATAGTTAATAAAATGAGGGGTTGAAGTATCCAGATTGATATCATTCCAAGATACTTCCCAAATTTGCCTGTGGTTTCAAAAATATTAAATGAATTTGTATATTTCCTTGCTGTGTGTAAATTTAGTGCAACATCATTAAGGTTCACTGGATGACATAACTCTCTCAATACTCTTAGGTGGTACATGTGATCAACTTAGACCAGGATAACATATGCCATCTGACTGGTCAGCAGGACTAAGTCTGATTACCTGAAGTATGAATGATTAGCTCTTGGCACAGTTTGATGGCCATTTGTTCCTGCCTCTTCAGTACACTGGAGATCTGTGACTTGAGAAATTCCTCCTCCATGGACAAGTTGTTGGAGTTGCCCAGTTGCTGGGATAAGTTATCCTGCTGCTGTTGGATGGTTTTCTGAAGTTGACTCAATTTCTCTGAATCTGAGTTAATGTCATTAGATATCTGCAAAACTCCAAGACATGACAGGAGACAAGTTCATATATTCTTCTATTCTTATAACTGTAGATAATTCTCGTGACAGAAACATTTCTTAATTGTTCAAGATTTATTAGTAGCTCTTAGTATTTGAGGTATCATGAAAGAAACAAACCAGATGCCTTTCTATTCCAAATTATTTATAGTTCTTTATAATTTTATTTACATTTTTATTATTGCACTATATTAAAATAATGATTTAATAATGATATATTTCTGACATCACATCTAAGGAAGGGCCAGTCATTCTGCCACTCATTTTCATGAAATTGTTTTATTTTTGTTTTATTTTATTTGGAGATAGATGATGTAATTGTTGTTTTAATGAAAACAGCATTCTTTGGGACAATGGATATCTCAAACTCTGCAGATGACCTGAGATGCTTGTTTACCAAAAGAAAAGAAAAAGCAGATCTTAATGGCATATCAGACCATTTCTCGTCATGGGTCCATGAAATATGCCCTTTTCATAAGCATTTAAGGTGCTTCATCAGCACAACAAATTTAAGAACCACTGCACCAAAAGCACTAAATTTTAGAAAAGAAATGTCACCCTTCTATATCGAACCAATGGACGTACGTTATTGCATTTTCACTTAATTTTTAAATATACATTATTGTAGAAGATCGGCTGCTAATCCTCATACTGATTGGCTCCAGAATATCTGTTACTGCTGCTTGAACATCATATTCCTTTTCAAAAGAGCAAGGTACATCATTAGTCTCTTTTTATGTTGGCAAAGATATGTCCAAATCCTAATTAACCATTAAATCCTAAAAAATTATCCATTAAATCATTAAAAAGAAATGAATGTAGCAGAGGAGATGTTAGTATCATTCAGCAAATTAACTTTCTTGACTGTGAGTTCCCTGTAAGCGAATACCATGCCAATTCACTACTCTGTATACCATATACTTAACAACCCTATAAAGTTTGTATTCTCAGGATGTTTTTCTCATTACTCAAGAACTCCCTACCATGTTCATCCCCAACTTCCCGAGGATGGGTCAGAATCAATAGAATGTTCCTTTGTGGCTGTGGTGCTTGAGAGTGGAGCTTCCATTGTCATGTGGAGATGGTTCAACTCTCTTACTTGGTAAGGTGTATCAGGCCACTCTTCCTCTTTGTTTATATGTCTTTCTCATTCATAGAAATCAGGCTGCTGCTGCTACTTGGAAGATTTCTCTCCACTAGAGAAGTTTCATGTAAGCAGACTGAACCTAGTCTAGTGTTAAGTCTTTCAGGTAAATAAAAATAGCAAGCACTTCCTTCAATACATATTTCTTGACTTTATTTCTCAGCATTGGAATGATAAGTGAATGTGTGTCTAGGCAGAAAAGAGGCTCTTTATTCTAATGAATAACTGGAAACAAAGAGTCTTTGTCTAAGTCCAGTTTAGCTTATCAAGATAAAACAATGAATTTAGAACCAAATCCTGATAATGTCTTTTGCCGGTTTTTTGGGAAGATATGACGAATAGGAGAGATATGAGACAGCAGAAAAGTATCAGACGATTCAGGATGCTAGGACCCATCTACAATCCAAGCTGAAAGTACATGGTTTACAATATGTTTTCTAGTTGCCTTTGTTGGGTTTGATGCTGATATACTTACACATCATCCCCAATGTCACCAGCCCAATCAGCAACATCAGGCAAAGAGTTACCAGACCCAGAGCAGCATGACGCCAAATGGGAGATGGAGCTGGATGCCCTGGAGAAAGCCAAAAGAGCAATCAGCACACAGAACTGCTTTGTGCTTGTTTCACTTTGGTTTGTTTATTTCTCCCACTTAGGGAGCTTCCCGATACTAACGTTTCTTTCTTGCTTCTTTAATGCCCTCATTTAGAAAATACCTAATATGAAGTGCAATGAGGGTGCCATCCTTGTTTCCCCTCCATTTCTCCACCGCTCTCCTTCACTTTAAGAGGAAGCTTCGTTGGGGGAGGGGGGAGGCATACCTTTAGGAGATATACCTAATGCTAAATGACGAGTTAATGGGTGCAGCACACCAGCATGGCACATGTATACATATGTAACTAACCTGCACATTGTGCACATGTACCCTAAAACTTAAAGTATAATAATAATAAAATAAAAAGGAAGCTTCTCCTAATTTCAAGGTTTTTGTTTTACATCATTGCCCACTTTTCTTCCTCAAGTTTATTGAATTCATAAATGAGAGATCTAAAAACTGCTTTTCTGGATGATGCTGACAGTAGGAGACACCTCAAGCTTTTGAGCTCAAAAGTCTCTATAAGGCACATGTTCTATCTGCCTTGTAAAAGTGGATTCGACTTTTTAAAGTATCTTTTACCTGTTAACAATAACTTATCTATTATTCATGCTATTTATCACCTAATAAATAATGAATGAATACTGAATGAAAGAAGGAAAGAATGTGCAGTCTAACCTACAAACAGCAGAATAGACCAGAAAGCCGTTAGCATCCTAGTCATTGTTGTTGTTTAAAATATCAATGGTTGTCATGTTTTCCTTAGCTTCATATCCCTTGATTTAGGTCCAAATAACATCTAGCGCAATGTTTTAGATACAGCATGACAGACTCTAGGTACACTGTGATATGCACCATATCCACACCTCCTTTTTCCTCACAGGTTAGAATTAGAATTAAAAAGTAAAACAAAACAAGGCAAAAATGTGTAACCACATTTATTAGACATATGCAAAGTCTATTCCCATCGGCTTTTTGTAAATATCCTTCCCTCAAATGTCATGCACCACACAAAATGTAAAGATAAATCTAGAGGGCAGGAGAAAGTAGTTCAGATGACTGACATGATTCAGGAGAACCTGGATAGTTAACATATCTGAAAATAAGAGATGTGGTCTTATATATTAAATCAGAGTCTTGACCATGGAGACTGCTATTTTTCCAATTAGGCATAAGAGAATGAGCTGAAGACCAGCACTGAGACTGGGCTTCCCCACATAGCAGTTGTGTGAGCTTGCTTAAATTATCTAATTTCTCTCACCCTCAGTTTTTTCATCTATGTAATGGAGAAAATACTAATATTCGAATATTATTGTGGATTTTCATTACAATTATATCTGTATATAATGTACATAAAATACTACCCAGATACTATTATTACTGGTTCAACATTACAAATTATGCTCGGATTTCAACTACCCTAAAATTTGAAAAAATACTGACAAAAGAAAAATTAGCTCTGATCTATTTCTAATCCACTCACTCATCTTCCAGTTTTCTCTTAAGTAACTTACATCATCTAAAAGAAAAACGTCCTCTACCTTCTCTATTTTAGAAGCCTCCAATCTGGTTTCTGAAAGAATATCCTCCTGGCATCTCTAACAAGGTATAAATATCAAGGATTATATTCATAAGAAGAAATCTCTAATTCCCCAAGCTCAATTTCTGGCATGTGCAGTCAGAATTTCTCTGACTGTGTGATATCACACAACTTTAAAGAGGTTCTGAAAGCCACATATTTTCACTTCAACCTTGGGAACACTCACTTTTCTAATACATTCCACAACTATTTGTCCCCATTTTGGAGATTTCACAGCACATGTCTTTAACGCCAGTATTAAAGCTGGCACCTCAAAGCATTTAACACCTGTCCACTCCCCCAAGGACACAGCTGGTCTTCTCTGAACTCCTACCTCTTTTTCTTAGGTTATTTCCATCTCGGTTATTCCTTGCTCCAGCAGAATCCTGAAATGTGAGTGTCGCGTAGGTCACTTCTTCAGACATTGTAGAAGAAAACGCTACTTTAAATTATCTAATTAATGTTTCAATATCTTGAGGCCTGGGAACAGCATGTGTTTTTCAAGGCTGGGAGCTTTGATGTAGTCACTCAGCTGACCCAGACACACTCTACTGCCCCTCTGTAAGAGAAGAATGACAATTTGTTTCTCTACAGAGAAAGTGAGAAAAGCCAAATATTCTCCTTAGAGATATTCTCATTAGAATGTTACAGATCTCAAACTGTCTGCTCTGTCAGAACTGTTTCTTGCTGTGCAGCAAAGAAGGGGTGCTTGAGGCAGAGCAGGAGGAACATGAGGGAATTCCCATGATCCTCGGGGTAGAGGATGCTCTGAATGTTTCAGAAAAGAGTCAGGTTGTCTTCTTTACATCTATCTAAGGCTAGCTAATCTGCCTGGAGACATTGGTTCTAGTTTATTCTCAGCCACATTAGATATTAAGCAGAGAGACACACATTAAGACAGAAAGAGCTGTGCCACACACCTGGCTGCTATTATAGAAAATTCAAGCGTGTGTGTGTGTGTGTGTGTGTGTGTGTGTGTGTGTGAGAGAGAGACAGAGAGAGACAGAGAGAGAGAGACAGAGAGAGAGAGACATGGTGTTGGTAATGGAGCATGGAGAAGAAACTGATAGCTACTTAGCTACTTAACGTGAGTATGAATGGGAGTGCCCTCTTCTGGCATGGTTGGGAAAGTTCCTAACAGAACAACAACCATGGGATAATCCTGCAGACAGCAAGGAATACACAGGACAAGATTTTAAAAAGATAACTACCGGAAGTTAATACATCTGTGGTAATTTGTTACAGCAGCAATATGTAGTTAATACAGAACCCAGGAAAATATGGGGGGGGAGCGCTATATATGAGGGACGAAATTAAGGAATCTCCTCTAAAGCTTTCCTTTGGGGAGAGGCAGAATATTAGATAACTGTACTTAGGGGAAGGATTGGGTATGAGTTTTGTGGTTTCAGATGAGTGGGGAGTGATCTAAAACTTCCAAGGTTCATATCTGTGTGGAGATTATCTTAGTCAAAGGTGTCCAGCGTGAGGTGCACTCACCCCACAGCTGTGAAGCAGATGCAGAAAGGCAATGTAAAAACTTTCTCTTTAGGAACGCTGTGCATGATCTCTAAACACCTAAATATACATATGTTACTTGTTCATGTTTTTTGTTTTTTTTTTTTTCAAATTGATGAAATAATCAAAAAAATGTTTGGAGGCTCTAAGTCATATATCAATAAAACTCCACTATCAAAAATATTGAAACAAATAATAAATCTATGCTTATGTTTACTATTCTAGTTGAATTCAGAAAAGGCAGAGACCATTGACATGAGGACCAGTTTAAATAGATGATTACAAAAATAAGAAATTAAGAATGGTTTTCTATCTCTGTTCTGGTCCGTGTCCGGAGTTGGTTCCTGCCGGTGGGTTCCTGGTCTCGCTGACTTCAAAAATGAAGCCGCGGACCTTTGCGGTGAGGGTTACACCTCTTAAAGATGGCACGGACCCAAAGACTGAGTGGTAGCAAGGTTTATTGTGAAGAGCAGGATGACAAACCTTCCACAGCATGGAAGGGGTCCCAAGCGGGTTGCTGCTGCTGGCTGGGGTGGCTAGCTTTTATTTCCTTACTGTCCCCTCCATGTTCCGTTTCTGTCGTATCAGACTGACCTTTTTTCAATCCTCACCGCAATTGGCTACTTTTAGAATCCTGCTGATTGGTGCGTTTTACAGAGCGCTGATCGGTGCGTTTTACGTGGCACTGATTGGTGCGTTTTACAATCCTCTTGTAAGACAGGAAAGTTCCCTGAGTCCCCACTCGATTCAGGAAGTCTGGCTGGCCTCACGTCTCATGACTTTCACCAGATTTTGCAAAAACTGGGTTTTCATCCTCATTTCCTTAATTCTTTCACATACCTTAAAGCTTCCTAACAAAGTATTAACTTCTCACTATCCATGAAATGATGCTTAGCTTGAACAATGATGAAGAATGTCACCTGATTCCTAATTATTTCTAAGAGAAGATTGATAACACTTCTCACATACTTTCTATTATTATGATCCAAAAAGCTATATCATCTATCATTATTAGTGTATGATCATATTAATTTAGACATTTCTTTATATACTTTTCTCCCTTAAAAACTTACAGCATTTCTGTAGCTTATTTTATCAGTTACACTATTTAAAAACTCACTTTGTTGCAGTCATTTACCAAATTCTCCTTATTTCTTCATTATTTTTTCAACTATCTTAAATCTTATTGATCTCTACTCCTATCATGATTATCATGTGATTTCGACATTCAGGTAGGTGATAATTCCAATACTATGGGCTCTCAGTTCTTGAATTTGCCTCCAATAACCTTACCCACACTCAGAAATCAGTTGCTCACACACAAAAATCAGTCACCCACTAGATGATCCTAGTTTAGAGCTAGGCTATTCACCGTAGTAATCACTAGGCATATAATTGCTATTTAAACTTAAATTAATTAAAATTAAATTAAATTTAAAATTTATTTCCTAGGTCACACTAGTCATACTTCAGGTACTTAACAGCCACAGGTGGCATTGGCTATGCAATTGGACAGTGCAGGTAAATAACATTTCCATTATTAGCAACGTGGCTATTGAACAGCACTGCACTAGAGTGCAGACAATTTCATTTCCAATATGAGAAATTCTTCCATGATCTGTTTCAGATATTTCACTCTCTGACCTCCACCTCCTATGTTTCCAGCCCACTCTCTCTGGGTATTCTACACTCTACAGCATTTCAGTGCCCACTGAGATAGCAACTTCACTGACCATGCCAACTTCTCATTGTTGTCAATCCCTCATGTCTCATTTCCTATTATACCCAGCATGCACCACTTACCAGGGCCAATTATAAAAATCGTTTTCTTACCCACAGCTACAACTTCCTTGCTTACCTCTTCATTCATCATAAGCATCTAGAAAATGCAGCTTGTTTAAATCCAACCCTACCTACTCTGTGCATACATTCAAGTAGCTGAATGTGATCATATTAACTGGTTTTATCTTACGTTTTTGAAATGTAACTTCTCAGCACTCTTACTAATCAATCTGTTCTGCAAATCTCCTAAAAGATTATTCCCAATCTCTTTTTCTTTCTCAGACTCTCAAATTTCTTTCTGTCTTCTCTTTCTACAAACTAAACGGATAACCTGGCTTTTCCATTAACATTATCTTAAGAAAAAAAAGAAATTCAGAAAGAAGTTTTCTCTGTTTCACTAGTCAAATATACCAAAACAGCTACATCAGTATATGAGGTAGTATTCTTTTCAACAGTGGTTGAATTGTACTACTCATCTAAGATCAATCTCCATCTGTATATTAAAATCCATCCACCTATCTCCTTAAAGATTTCAAGCTTGTAATTTTCCTTCTTTTTCTCTTTCTATCAATTTTTCCATTTTTTTCATCTCTACTTGTTCACTTATGTTCACTTCCAAAGATGATATAATATCTCCTATATTAAAACAAGCAGAAGCCATCTTTTGTTCACCGTAACACCATACACATGATCACTCCATTTCTCTAATTTTCTTAACAACAAATGGGTTCAAAAATTTCTCTATGATCTTCCCAAACCTATTCTAATTAGGCTTTTTCCTTCACTATTTCTTTTTTTTCTTTTTTTATTTTTATTCTTTCTTTTTTTTTATTGAGACAGAGTCTAGCTCTGTTGCCCAGGCTGGAGTGCAGTGGCGCGATCTCGGCTCACTGCAAGCTCCGCCTCCCAGGTTCATGCCATTCCCCTGCCTCAGCCTCCAGAGTAACTGGGACTACAGGCGCCTGCCACCCCGCCCGGCTAATTTTTTGTATTTTTAGTAGAGACGGGGTTTCACCGTGTTAGCCAGGATGGTCTCGATCTCCTGACCTCGTGATCTGTCCCCCTCGGCCTCCCAAAGTGCTGAGATTACAGGCGTGAGCCACCACGCCTGGCCCTTCTTTCACTATTTCTAAAAAACACTCCTGCTAAAGTCAACATTACCTCAGTATAAACACATCCAATGGCTAGTTCTCAGGATTCATCTTACACATCGTATAAACAGAATTTTAAATAACTGATTATTCACTTTTCGTGACAAACTTTCTTCTCCAAAATGCTTTGTTCCCTAGGACACCATTCTCTTGGTTTTCCTTTTGCTTCACTCACAACCCAATCCTCCCTCAGATTAACTGATTCCTCTTTAAATTAATTTAAGATGTTGTTGTGTCCTAGAGTTCAATTCTTGGTCTTCTTAAAAAAAAAACAAAAAACTTATCCTGGAATGAACTAAATTGAATAGTACCCAGAGAATGGCCAGAATGGGAATTAATTTCTTATAGATTCGTGCCTTGAGATAACAGCCATACATTGATAATGTCCAAAAATTGTTATCTCCATACCAGCGCTTGATCTACAGGACCACGTATCTGAATGGATTCTTGGCATATTCACTTTGATATATTATAGGATTTTCTAGCTTAACACATCAAAAAATGGGTACCTTTTCCCAATGTGTTTCTTCATCTTAACAAATGTACACTCCATACGTACAGTTTCTCAGCTAAAAACTTGGAATCACCTTTGACAATTCTTGCTGCTCTCACATGAATTAAACTTGTCAGAAAATATTGTTCACCTTGGAAAATATGGAAACACAGTTATTAAATGTGGAAGTATTATTGATTTAGAAGATCTTAAAAGAAATATTGAGTTAACATGACAGAAGGATTCATTCTCACTCTGTTCTTTCTGTTCTCACATTTCATGCCTATTTCAGAGGACACTTTTAAAGTGGGGTTTAAATGGGAAAGTACCCAGAGAATGGCAAGAATGACAATTAATTCCGAATTATTTACAAAAAAGAAATAGGGAAAAGTGAAGATGAAAGCCAGAGGTATCAAAGACTTAAAGGAAACAAAAATAAACTAAAAGCAGAAGGAAAATAAATGGCCACAAGAAGGAGACAGAGGATGAATATAGGATGGAATTTATTTTGAAATGTATTAATATATTTACCCCATCAGGTGAATATACCTGACCAGCATAATAAAATATCCCAATTAAAATGAAGCACTATGAAGACAGACAAATTGATTCAAATCCTGGAGCAACACTTACTTGCCTTGTGGCTTTCGGCAAGTTATTGAACCTCTGTGCTTTATTTTTCTTAATAGTAAATCTGTCATAAATTTAATTCCTGCCACAAATATAACTGATAAAAGCATATAGAAAGAGCAATAAATGGCAGCTGTCATCGTAGAAGCAAGTTTGGATTATTCTGGATCATATTAAAAATGGAAGAAACCTGGGCAATTGTCCAAGCACTGACAGTGAAGCTTAAACAAACCAATCCTCATGAGCACAACGAGGGTCTGCTTGAGCCTGTCCAGAAGAACTCGATTATATCACTTTTCTTCATTCATAACACTTTCCATGATATACAATTATCTTGATCTTTGCTTTCTATGTTTCTTTACTATCTGTGCTGACCACCTTCTACTATAATATAAGCTAAATGCTTGTATAATTCATTAACCATTGGTCCCCAGAAAATAGAATTGTGCCTTGGACATCTGCAGTGATCAGTAAACATATGTTCAAATAAATGATTAATTAATAGTCCCTGCCATGAAGTTTTATAGTAATTTTAATTGGAAAGTACAATAGTAGATATACTTAACATTCTGTGAATCCTTAATTCAAATATACTAGATCATTTCACTTTCTCTTTGATTCAGACAAGAGACAGGGAAATACTGGGTAGAAGAGGGTTGTTCCTACCACACACCGGGGCCTGTCGTGGGGTCGGGGGAGTGGGGAGGGATAGCATTAGGAGATACACCTAATGTAAATGACAAGTTAATGGGTGCAGCATACCAACATGGCACATGTATACATATGTAACAAACCTGCACATTGTGCACATGTACCCTAGAACTTGAAATGTTATATATATATATTTATAAAGAAGAGAGTGGTTCCCTGGCACGTGCCCCACCCTTAAGCTGGGAGACTGGCAGCTCCAAATGGGGACAGACATTCCTGTTTTCATGCCCCAAAAAGTTGCCTTTTGGCCTGCCATGCCCCCTATTCTGTACCCATATAAACCCTGAACTCCAGGCTCCAGATCAGATGAGCAGACGAGGAGATGAGAAGACAAGCAGATGAAAGGTGGAATGACATGACAGAGAAGGAGAGAAGAGGAGGAACTTCTGAACGCCAAGAGGAGTTTGGCTGGGAGTGGTCAGAGAGTAGTTTGGCCGTTGGATGGCCAAACTCCAGAGGAAGATCACCTTCCCATTTCATCCACCTTCCAGCTCCCCATTCATCCCACTAGGAGCCACTTCCACAACTCAGTAAAACCCCCACATTCATCCTTTGAGTTCATGTGTGACCCGTTTCTTCTGGGATGCTGGACAAGAGCTTGGAATACAGAAAGCTGTCACACTGGCCCTCTGCCCTTGAGAAAAGGCCGGGGAGGCACTGAGCTGGTTAACACTTATGTTGTCTGCAGATGGCAGAGCTAAAAGAACTTTGTAACACTGGGGTTCCAGGCACCCACCCCTAGACACTACAGTGGGGCCACAGCCCAAAGTGCTCACCCCAACTCCTGCACCTGCCCGTCTGCATGCTCTCCCTCCCACAAGGGATTTGAGCTCATGACAGTCAAACAGACAGACATGCCCGTCACATACCCTGCTAAGAGGGCCAGACCTCTCCCATTTCACCTTAATCACACTATTTCCCTCAATCACACTGGGTGGATTAGATGAGGTTAGATGGTACTGCTTATTTTTTATTTTTTATTTCTTTTTGAGATGGTCTGGCTCTGTCACCCAGGCTGGACTGCAATGGCACAATTTTGGCTCATTGCAACCTCTGCCTCCTGGGCTCAAGTGAACCTTCCACCTCAGCCTCCCAAGTAGCTGGGACTACAGGCGCACACCACCACTCCCGGCTAAGTTTTGTATTTTTTTGGTAGAGGAAGGGTTTCAGCATGTTGCTCAGGCTGGTCTCAAACTCCTGAGCTCAAGCAGTCTTCCTACCTTGGCCTCCCAACGTGTTGGGATTACAGGAGTGAGCTAGCATGCCTGACGCCTGGCATTGCTTTTTACAAGAGGTACATGTATTCGAACTTCCTGACCTTTATTCAGTTGTTTGCCCTGCCTGAAAAACATTGCCTTCTCCTTTCTCCTCTTAGTCAATATTTACATTTTCTTCAAATATTAATGTAAATCTTAATCCAATTCATTGTTATTTATTGTTTAACATTTTACTTACATATGTTCTGTATACATATGCCTGATCAACTTTGCGGTATGACTGCAGACTGACACATTTTTTCCTTCAGTTTCCCTACTGTTTGTAACAAATGCTCTGCTGTAATTTTGGTCGGATAGTTATTAATTGTTTAGCTTATTAACTTTAAAAAAAAGCTCATTTCACTTTGAAATCCACATGTTTAAGCTTTCTGTAAATGAAGGAGAAAATATTAATTATACTTTTCTATGACAGGAAATCCTACCATTACCAAATTAAACAGTATTTAGTATTTGTGGAAAGCCTGGTAAGTCAAAGGCAAACAGCTTTAGTTTAAAAGTGGTTTATGTTAAAAAGTCTCAGAATAGCTATCACCAGTTGCAAAATACTCACTTCCTTTTGTTTCTGTCTGGAATCATTATAACACCCACAGTGGTCAACATCTTGTTGTCTTTCTCTTTTACACATATTTTACATGTGTAAAATATATACAGGACATCCCTGTATATTGATCAGTCTTAACCACAATGTTACGTATTCCACTAATTTTCATTCTTACTGCATGTACTCCTTGTCATTGTTATTAGTGTCTTTAACTCATTATTCAGCCTTAAACATAGATAATGGAGTCTATGAAAGACTTCATAATGTAGTCGAAAGAATTTAGAAACTGGGTAAATAGTACTACTTTTTACAAGAAGTGTAATGATTAAAAAGTTCCTCAAATTGCCGGGTGCGGTGGCTCACGCCTGTAATCCTAGCACTTGGGGAGGCCGAGGCGGGCGGATCACGAGGTCAGGAGATCGAGATCATCCTGGCTAACACGGTGAAACCCCGTCTCTATTAAAAATACAAAAAATTAGCCGGCCGTGGTGGCGGGCGCCTGTAGTCCCAACTACTTGGGAGGCTGTGGCAGGAGAATGGGGTGAACCCGGGAGGCGGAGCTTGCAGTGAGCCGAGATCGCGCCACTGCACTCCAGCCTGGGCGACAGAGCGAGACTCCGTCTCAAAAAAAAAAAAAAAAAAAACATTACCCAACTTGTAAATTTTTTTAAAGAAGTTCACATAGCTAAAATCTAACACTCTGCTTCATAAAGACTAACCTCATGATTTTTCTCCATGAATACTCAGCACCAATTTCAGTGTCTGAAACATAATTAACATTCATTAAATATTTCCTTTAAAACAGACAATTTAGAGTGTTCTTAATCTGTAAAATATTGAATGAATAAAAGGTTTTATTTTAAATTCAATTTCATCAGGAAATTTGGAATAAAGAATTTTTTTAGGCCAGGCGCGGTAGCTAAAGCCTGTAATCCCAGCACTTTGGGAGGCCGAGGCGGGTGGATCACGAGGTCAGGAGATCAAGACCATCCTGACTAACACGGTGAAACCGCGTCTCTACTAAAAATACAAAAAAAATTAGCCAGGCGTGGTGGTGGGCGCCTGTACTCCCAGCTACTCGGGAGGCTGAGGCAGGAGAACGGCGTGAACCCAGGAGGCGGAGCTTGCAGTGAGCCAAGATGGCGCCACTGCACTCCAGCCTGGACGACAGAGCAAGACTCAGTCTCAAAAAAAAAAAAAAAAGATTTTGTTTAGCTGTATATAGTTTCCTTAGTGAAGAAAAGGAGAAGAGAATAAGATATTCAAGCAAGGTTAAAATATTGAAGCAGAAATAAAATAAGCTAATAACGGGACTTGGAGGGTGATTAAAAGGTAACTAGCAAAGACTCTGGATTTGGGAAAAGGAAAAGAAGCATTTGTGATATCTATCTCTCTTTCCTGCAGTTCTCTGCTTAATTTTTGCTGAGTAACTCAACTTACATTTATAGAATGTGGGGAGGGAGCAAAATTAGAACTCAATGTTATCAAGGGCTAGTTCCTTTGGCCCTGAGAGTCTCTGTCTTCGCTCAGCTTGCTTCTAACACCACAAAGTCATGTGAGGGGGGATACACAGAAAGGCAAACGTATATTTTGTGGAACACAGATAAGATATAAGACTCTCAGACTGTGGCTGGAATGATCAAAGATCCAAAAAGCAAGGTTAAATTACAATGAGAAAGAGGAATGAAGCAATGGAAAGTCCAGAGCCTGAGATATAGGAAAGGAATATCTTCAAAGGCGGAGTGTTAACCTACTTCAGGCATTAAATATGCAGTTCTAAGCATTAAAGGATCAAGAACTAATCCTGGCACATTCCTGGTGGTTTACAAAAATACATGGGACATGTTTTATAATGAAATCAGCTGCTCAAGTCCTAGAGAATGTGGAAACCTCAACAAAGCAATCTAATTGTTCTCTTTAATACCATCTTAAAGTTTTTGTTAATAAACAAAAAATGTTTACAATAATTTAAAAATTGTCTCAATGTCCTTGGATCTTACCTTTACATATCTGATTTAATGTAACAAATTAAGTTTTCATATGTACCTGTTTGGTACCTAAGAGAACAGAGTAAAGCTTTATTGGAAAAGTGTCATTTGTACTATAACCTCCACACATTTTCTTTTCTCTCTGTTACTTTGTCACAGTTATTTATTCGATTATTTTTTAGTGTTTCTGTATATTTTAGGTAACAAAACACTGAAGGAAAGCAGTGACCAAAAGAACGTGAAAGACAGGGGTTACTGTGACAGAATAGCCTCAGGACTTGCTGATGAGTAGATGTAGAAAGGAAGGAAGAGAGGGAGGATCAAACCCCATTCCAACCCCAATCTTCCAGAAAAGCCTGAGGATAAATGATGGGAGAGCGAAGAATCCCTTTTAGCTGAAACAGAAGTTATGAGAACAGAAGCAGTGGTAGATGAATGGTAAGTGACTGAATTTACCCAGCTTATGATTGGGAACCCCTGAATATTTTAACTGAGATAAGAAACACAGCAACAAAAATGGTGTTGGGATTTAATGTTTTTTAAAAATTTTTAGTCTTTTCTTAAAATTTGGCATTTATTTCAAATGTGTTTTTTTTTAATTAAGAATTAGTTTTGGTAAAAATATTTGAATCATACTAAGTTTGGCTTTCCAAAATCAGGGAATGTCTTTTATACGTGTTATGCTTATTCTTCACCTCATTCTCAAAATAATTTGAAGAGTATAGAGAAAGAAATTTAGAATGAAAGATAATTTTAAGTGAATTGACAAGAAATTCAGAGTGAAGGAGATAGCAGGGGAGAAAAAATCTACGGGCTATGCCAAAGGGCATGTTAATAAACAAAATATCTGCTACTGCAGCCCACATAATCACTATATTGAAAAGTCTAACACTCTGCTAAGTAAAGAAAAATAGAATTCAAATTATTTATAAGGTAAATGCCTACTACTTAAAGCTTTGCTAGTCATGGTGATTTAACAAAAATAAAAATCTGCCATAAAACTATGTAAGAGTTACCCTATGGCAAAATAGACAACATCCTCCCCAATATTCCTATAATAAATGCATCAGCTAGCTTTGTATGGCTGTTCTTACAACTACTTTCAGTGCAAGCTAAAATAATGTAAAAGCCCATTTCATAAAGTTAAGTGTGTGCAATACATATTATATTGTGATGAAAAGGTGCTAGGAACCATTCAGTCTCAAATATTCATCTAAGCACAGCTGTACTTGAAATGAAGTGATTTCATCAAATCAAAATTCTTCCATTCCAGGAAACTCACTTTAAAGCACAAACACTACTAAAGAACAATGCAGCAAGTCACCAACTCTGTATTATTTTACTTGATTTGATAGTTTTCCTTCAATACCTAAATCTAAGCAATATCAGGCCTGCCTCATGTGGATCCTTCAAATAAAAAAAAGTATGAAATATGCAAGAAGTTGTGTAAATTCTAGGTCATAATCAGGAATGATCTCTTCCAACACAAGACTATGAAACAGCTAATTTAGCCCCTATCAGATCCAATTATATTACACTTGCTTCTCACAATGAGATAAACTATATATCTGCTGGTGAGCTATATCCATGAATTTTCAGCAGAAATCTCTCATTTGAGCAATGTAATTTAGACTAAGCTAGGGCTAAGATAAAGCATGAACTTTTGTTCTTAGAAAGGATGCACATGATGGAATGTCCCTTTATTTAGTGTTGAAGATAAAAAAAAAGCAGGAAGCAAATACCTTATCTACTCCTTTACCACAAGTTATTATTATTTTTGTGTTTTTGTGTTCAAGGTCCATGTATCTCTGAGCAGCTATGAAGAAGCTTCCTGGAAAACAATAAGCAAAGGAAAACAAATGTGTCCCATCTCACATGGTTCTACCCTACTAAAGACAGGAAGATCATAAACTGACAGATACTGAAATTGTAAAGTTGGAAACTACATTTTGCAAAGTCATTGAACTCTGAGCTCAGTTGCAGTACTCGGGAAGCCATGCAGGATGAAGATGGATACATCACCTTAAATATTAAAACTCGGAAACCAGCTCTCATCTCCGGTAAGAATGCTCAGAGCCAATAATTTGGAAATTAATTTAAAAAATGAGTTGATTCAATTCTTTCTTTTTCTACTATTGATAATATATATAGTTTAATTTCTTTTTCTTGAATGATGTTAATGCTCTAAAGCATTTGAGTAGTGTTTTCATAAGCTCATACAGACCTATTTAGATTACAAACATCCAATATATGTGCAGGGAAAATTGCATTAAGATTCTGAGCGTTTAATACTCGAGGGCATAGAAGTCAAGGGGATAACGGAAAAGAGTGGAAATTTCATTTTCTATATGTGAGCAAATGAGTGTGATTCTTCATTTGCTGTTTATTAAAGCAATTATTTATGGCATGGGTGAGCATAAAACAAAACAAAACAAAACAAAACAAAACAAAAAATACAAACACATCAGGCCTTAACAGCAAGTAATATTTCAGCTTGGAGAGGTAAAGTGCATTGGAGATGAGAATGGATGTATGGTATAGGGGTGGGCCATGCCTATTGTTGATGATCATGAGGAGAACACAGGTGAGATCTGCCAGCAAAGCTCTTTCTATTACTTGGAGGACCCTGAGAAGGCAGGGGCAGGGGCAGGGGTGAGCCTTCCCCATAGCTAACCCATACTGCCTGCTCCTTGATGTCTTTATTATATGCCTACAGTTGGCTCTGCATCCTCCTCCTGGTGGCGTGTGATGGCTTTGATTCTGCTGATCCTGTGCGTGGGGATGGTTGTCGGGCTGGTGGCTCTGGGGATTTGGTGTAAGTGTTGACTCTGCCAGAAATTTGACTGGAGGAAGGTAATACTGAAGGGTCATGGCATATCCCACTAAGCTTCTCAATGGTCGCTATTTGTCTGTTTATCACTTCTACAGTTGTCCTACAGATAGTTGCCAAGAGAATCTCAATAAAGGAGAACACTGACTGTTTCCTTGTGATTAAAATAAGATTTTAAGATTTTAACTAATGAAAAGTTATTTTTAAGAATGTACTACTGGCCTTTAAGACCCTCCTCAGTGTGGATCCAAACTATTTTTAAAAACTTTTTCATCCCTTTTCCTATCTTGCATTCCTAAGAACCAGCCAAACTGGAGTTTTTCAATTTCATATATAAATTCCATGTTCCCTTGTCTGAAATTTTTCTCATTCTATTCTCTCTACCTAAAATTTTCTGTTTCTCATTTTGTTTACTAAGTTACTGTGCATTTCTTCTTTCTGTAATTCTCATGGCCCTCCAATAGCACATTGAAGTCTGTGTAGTTGTTGCTTGTTTGTGTATTTGTTGATTTTTTTAAAAGATGTTAGAATCTAACATTTATCCTCTTGTATTTCTTTATTATTTACCTGAATATCACAAGTACTTTAAGCATAACAAGAAATCAGTATGTATTTTTAAATGAATGAATAGTTTGGCATCACAGAAAGAACAGAAAATAAGAGGTCATTCACCTCTATAACTCAGCTGAGAAGCTTGTATTCAAGCAAATGAATACAGGCTCTGGGGATGTTATCGATGTTGGGATTTTTTATTTGTGATTGTCTCCTTCAAACAGTTCACTTATTAACCCTCAGGCGTCAGTTCTGTGTATTTCTTAATTTGTTCTTTATAGCCCCTCCACACTTTTCAACATTCATTTAATCATGTGTATCTAGTAAACTCCTCATATATTGGCAAAGTTAAGGAAATGAAAATTCAATGACAGACCTTTGCATCATTTCTATGGTTCTAATTACAAATTATTATTATTTACTTTTTAAACCTAGCTGTCATGCAGCGCAATTACCTACAAGGTGAGAATGAAAATCGCACAGGAACTCTGCAACAATTAGCAAAGCGCTTCTGTCAATATGTGGTAAAACAATCAGAACTAAAGGGCACTTTCAGTAAGTATTGTTTTTTTAACCTCTTCATCTCTCCAACCCCTGGAGCATTTCTCTGATGGCAACTGAAGGGAGTTTGAGATCTGCAGAAAACATTGAATGTGAAGAAAATGTAAGCCCAATTTAGAAAAAATACACCATTCCTGTGCTTGGTTTCTCCAGAAGGTCATAAATGCAGCCCCTGTGACACAAACTGGAGATATTATGGAGATAGCTGCTATGGGTTCTTCAGGCACAACTTAACATGGGAAGAGAGTAAGCAGTACTGCACTGACATGAATGCTACTCTCCTGAAGATTGACAACCGGAACATTGTGGTAAGAAGATTCTTATGTCAAATATTTTGGAGGCAAGGAAGAGAAACCTCAAATGTAACACTTGACCTTTTTTTGTTTTTTACATTTTTCTTAACATCTTTCAGTTTGTACTAATCTAAGACCCTTGTGAAACCTAGTAAGAATTACAGAACCCAGATATTCAATCCACTCATAATATTCTACAACACTGATAGAGTTGATCAGTCAAATTGACTTGTCCCTTCCTGACAGCTCAGGTACATAGTGGGTCACACATGAAGAGTCAGCCCAGTGATGTTCATATTTATTTGTGTCCTCTGTTGTTCTAACTTGCTGTGCTGTCCACTTACTGTTTCTGTGGACTCAGACGCATACGGAAGATATCCAGTTACATAAATTAGCTTTTCTTTCCACTCCAGCAAAATAAGATAGTTTTCTAAAATCTCAGCTCTATTATATAGAGATTAATTCGAGACATATATGCATATCCTTAATTTGTATTAGTCTAGGCAGATGCCAGGTTGAAGATTTATAACTAAAAGTAGTCATGCAACTTTTTCAGAAAAAGAAATTGTATAGTTGGATTTCAGGTAGAATTTATCTGTCAGTTCCTATTGGGAAGTATATAATATTGATATATTTTAAAGAAAATATTAGGATATAACAGAAAGGTTCCCGGTGGCTCAAGCTTTAAGAAATAAACAGTCACATGTGACTTTCACACAATATCTCCTGTGGAATGCCATTTTGAGTCTCACATATCTGTCAAGAAGCTCAAGTCATTTTTTATTTACCAAGAATGCATTATCACTTGTTATTCTGGGAGGTCTCAGAATATATAAGCATTTGGCCTTCACATAATTTTGTTACCCATAGATTGATTGATTCACTTATTCCTTCATTAATTCAGCAACTATGTGCTGAAACTATTCCAGAATTTGGACCTATGCAGTTAGTAAGACAGAAAGAAAAATGCTTAACCTCGACAAGAGTATATTCTAGTTAAAGCAACAGCCAAGAAACAAAGCAAATGATATAGTATATAGTTTAGTAGATAGTGATAATTGCTAATTAGAAGAAAGTAAATAGGGAAAGGTAGATGTACGTTATTTATAAATCCTTTTGAGAAAGACATCATAAATGCCTTTATCCAATTAACTACAACAAGTTAATACTTCCATATGTAAGATTTTATAGGCAAGCTGAGCAATAAAACCAAAGCAGGTAGGGCTTTAACTCTAAGGAATATACAGCTCATCAACAATGTATTTCTTTGTATTTCCTTTCTCTGTTTACATTTATTCCTTTGAATCATATTTGGTATTCTATTTGGGAGTATAATCCTCAACTGGTTGAAGATCTAAATACATGTTATAAACACAAAAGAAGATTAGAATATCAGCTATTTTGTGTACAATTTTACCTGTGTCCTATAAGTTTTTTTTAAGTTCTCAGACAAGTCAAATTGGTACAATTTCAAACATCAAATGTAATCCATTAATACTAATATAGACATGTAATCCAACATTTTTTGTCCAACGTCTTATCATGAAGCTTTGTCTATCATACCAAGAGCTGTGGAGGGATTCTGACCATTGTGTTTATTTATGTTTACAATAGGAGTACATCAAAGCCAGGACTCATTTAATTCGTTGGGTCGGATTATCTCGCCAGAAGTCGAATGAGGTCTGGAAGTGGGAGGATGGCTCGGTTATCTCAGAAAATATGTAAGTCACTGGACACTTAGAATAGGAGGGAGTACTGGAAACTCTTATTCTTGAGATTCCCTCTTCTCTCAGTCCAAGTCACTACTATGGGTTATAGAAGCAGCAGCTGGGTCACTTACCTGCTAATTCAAACAAGACAGCGCTGGTCATAAGACAATTCTTTCCCCTCTCTCCCATTACTTTGCTCTTTATCTAAGCCACAATCCACCTTTATCTCTGATATTATTCCCATTCATTTTTACATTCAACCTTACCATGGAACACTGTGTGCATGTATGTGTATGTGTGAGTGTGTGTGTGTGTGTGCGCGCATGCACATGTGTGTGTGTTTTTGTGTTTTGCTTGTTCTGATTATCTTCACATATTTTTAAAACAAAATTTCATATCATTATTTTACAGTTGAAAGTTGTTATCTTGAGAGTCCTTTTGAGTTTTCAATATTGTTTTGCCTATTCCTCTATTCTGGGAGTCTCCAAGAATTCGATACATTGTATTTCACAAGATAATTCCAATGTCCATTAACGAAGCTTTGTCCTTCTACAAACAATCCAGGCAAAGGGACTGATTGCATTGAGTGGAGTTGCTTCCTATATGGCTTTCCAATCTGCAGTCTCAACATCTTTTGTTCATCCTGTATATCAAAACTGCAGTCTCTCTTCAATTAAAATTTAAACTGATAACCAAAACTTATATAATCTGATTATTACTCAAATTATGAATTAAATTTTTAAACAAATATTTATTAAGTATTTACTATAGATAGGATCTTAGGATACTACAACTACAAGCAAGCCTCTTCACAGACCTTGGGCTTTATCTCCTATCTCCTATTGCTTGCTGCCTCATTTACAATATTGCAGGCAACTTAGTGTTCTTTACATTCTTCCAACAAATCAAACTCGTTTTGTTACCTTAAGGCTTTTGTCTTGCTATTTTCTTCTAGAATGCTCTGCCTCCACAACTCCATGACCATCTCTCCACTGAGACTCAAGTCTCTATTTAAACATCACTTCTTCAGTGAACCTAACTCTACCCAAACTAAATTAGCCTCCCTTAAACCCATATCCATACAGTCCACCACTGTTTTGTTTCTTTGTAACTCTTACCACTGTCTCAATTTTTCTTGTCTATTTTTTGTGGGCTTCTTACCGGTATCGCCCCACTTAAATGAAAGTTCCCCAACAAGAAAGACATTAGCTTTCTTGTCTTTCTTTATCAGTGTATCCTCAGCACATAGAACAACTTTGTCACATAGTTCTGCAGGTATTCTCCAAATAAACCAATAAGTATATATTCCTTGTCATCTCATTATAAGCAGTTTAGAAAGAAAGAAATATAACTTAACAGACAATTACAATACAGCCTGCTGTGTTAGATGATTTATCTTGCAACATAAATCCTGATTTCAAAACTACTGAATCAACTCACTTTTCCATGAGCGTATTCCCATCTAGTGCAGCTACTTGTCCTGTAGGGCTCTTCCATCTCCTGTCAGTTCATCTGAGTCCTGACCTTCCATCAATACCGAACTAAAGTCTGATCTTGTAGATAATGCGTTTTCCCATTATTTTGGAGCCATCTCCATCACTTCTTCAGGGCTCCTATTGTACCTACTGTTCCCTTGCTCCTAATTTTATGCTAAATGAAATTGATATTGGGCTTTTTAAATATGCATATCTTGTACTGCCAAGCAGGGTGGAACTTTCTCAACAATGAGAATCGTTTTTTTTTTTGTTTTTTTTTCCTATTTTCCTCAGTCTCTATTTGGTGCATCAAACTACTATACGCAGAGTCTGATTACTGATTGTTTGCTCAGTTTTCAAAGGAATTTATTCTAACTTTCCCTTCACAGGTTTGAGTTTTTGGAAGATGGAAAAGGAAATATGAATTGTGCTTATTTTCATAATGGGAAAATGCACCCTACCTTCTGTGAGAACAAACATTATTTAATGTGTGAGAGGAAGGCTGGCATGACCAAGGTGGACCAACTACCTTAATGCAAAGAGGTGGACAGGATAACACAGATAAGGGCTTTATTGTACAATAAAAGATATGTATGAATGCATCAGTAGCTGAAAATTGCTTATTTCTCCCTTTCTTCTCACTGGAGTTATTTTTAATATTATCTTTCCTATCAGAATTACCTAGTCCCTTCTTTGAATATACAGAAGCCATCACGTGAGTTTATCATTTGCTTCCCAATTGTTCTATTTTCCTTTAATTTTCTTTCTTCTTGTCCTTCATTTCTAATTACCTGAACATGGTATGATTTACTGCATCTTCAGATATACACATATAACATCAAAATCAGGCCAATATAGGTTAGGGCTTAATTAATATAAGTTGTGCAAAATATCTATGTTTGAAATCTGTCCAAAATATCTAAGTTTGAAAGGCGGTGTAAGATAGTAAAAAGAATATTAAACTTAGAATCAGCAAAATAATTTAGATGTCAATTAACTAAATTACAATCATGAACAAGTTTCATAACCTCTTTAACTTCCCTTTTCTCATATTTAAAATAGGAATAATAACAACCATCTTTTATATCTCACAGTTCTACAACCTAAAATAGAACTTTAGAGTGTTAACTGTACCAGAAACTCCATGAAAGCGAACACTATGACTTCCCCATTCACTATTCTCTTACCAGCACCAACCCGAAACCCTGGCTCACAAAACAGAGAGATATTTGTTTCTCTTTGTATAAGATAGTTCATGAGAAAAATAGCTCAATCATTAAAACATTACGCAAATAGAATTACTATTCCAAGTCTACCTCTGGTTAGATTCAACAGTAGTAATTTTCTGCGCTAGAGAAGGAAAAGAAAGTTTGCAAGAAAACTCACTGGGTTTGTAAAATGAATAAATGCTTCTTAAGTTTCAGAGGCTACTAGACAGAAGGACAAGTAAAAATGCTTTAATTAGTATTTTCCTAACAGTTCTGTGCTTTATTTTTGCTGAGTAACTCAGGAAGTATTTACAGAATATGTGGAAAGGCACCCTTTTACAGGATAATAGGAAAAAATTGCATTTCTTTCCCACAGCTTCCCTTTTTTAACTAGTGGCTACCATTTACGAACATGATTCTCAAACATCTCAACGGAGGTTTTGGTTAAAACATAGAGAAACCAAATAGGAAACTCAAATGCTGATGTTACTCAGTGGGAAGACTGAGGAGACACAGAGACCTGGGTTTTTACCAGCATCACGACACAATTCTCATACAAGTAGTCTTTAATACAGTTAGAGAAATATCACTACTTTAGAACTTACTCTCTATCTGGCTTTGGATAAGTAATGTTCTCACCTTGAAATGGGTTTAATATTATTACCTTGCTCATAAGTTAATTGTGAAGCTCATTTAATATGATTATATAAAGTATCGATCAGAATACCAAGTATGTAATACATACTCAATAAATATGTGTTACTCTTAAAGCTTTGTGCGCTAACACTGAAAGACACTTGAATCTTTATCTTTTTTCTAGCCTATCAATAATTAAGCAGATTTGGAGGGCTTAGGAAAAATAATAGAAATACCTCAAATTTTACTTGTTACTTCAAATGTCTGGAGATCTTGGATTTGGGTGATGGTATCAGTATGTTTTTTATTTTGAATTGTCTATTTAGAGAAACTAAATAGGAACCAATAATTCAGAAAACTGTACAAAATTAGCAACTCAACTTTGTTTCATCTCCCTAAAATGGAAAAACATATGTGTATACATCCCTATAGCACACATAAACTTAGAAGAATAATATCTTAGTGCATGGCAACAATACAATTAAAAATGTAGGCCAATCACTGTGATTCTTTTTCTGGTATTCATATCTAAAGTATCTTATACATAAAATCAAAATAGCACAAACGTTAGTAGCACAGATCAGACCACCTCATTTCAAATACTAAATCTTCTACATGTCATCTAAGTGAACTCCAGCAAAATTTGACTTCTGTCTTCTTCAATTTAAAACTAACTTACAGGCATGCCTCGGAAATATTGTGGGTTCAGTTCCAGACCACCACAATAAAGCAATTATTGCAATAAAGTGAGTCACATTAATTATTTGCTTTCCCAATTCGTGTAAAAGTTATGTTTGAGCTACAACGTCTTCTATTAAGTATACAACAGCATTATGTCTGGAAAATGTACATAGTTTTATTAAAAATAGTTTATTGCTAAAAATGCTGATTATTTGAGTCTTTAGTGAGTGAAAATCTTTTTGCTGGTGTAGCGTCTTGCCTTGATGTTGATGGCTGCTGATGGATCACAGCAGTGGTTGCTGAAGGATGGGGTAGATGTGGCTATTTTTAAAATAAGACAATGGTGAAGTTTGTAGCATCAATTTAGTCTTCCTTTTATGAAATTTTTATCTGTAGAATGCGATGCTGTTAAATAGCATTTTACTCATCGTAAACTTCTTTCAAAATTGAAGTCAGTCCTCTCAAATCCTGCTACTGCTTTATCAACTAAGTTTATGCAATATTCAGAATACTTTATTAGCATTTCAACAATGTTCACAGCATGTTCACCAGGAATAATATTTGTCTCAAGAACCATTTTCTTTGCTCATCCATAAAAAGCAACTCCTCATTTGTTAAAGTTTCCTGATAAAATTGCATCAATTCAGCCACATCTTCAGGCTCCACTTCCAGTTCTAGTTCTCTTGCTATTTCCACCACATCTGCAGTTACTTCCACCACTGAAGTCTTGAACGCCTGCAAGTTATCCATGAGGGTTTGATTCAACTTCTTCCAAGTGTCTGTTAATGTTGACACTTTGTCTTCCTTCCATGAATCACAAATCTTTTTAATGGCATCTAGAATGGTAAGTTGTCTCCAGGTGGTTTTCAATTTACTTTGCTCTGATATATAAGAAGAATCAGTATCTGTGGGAGTTATAGCCTTATGATGTGTATTTCTTAAAGAATAAAACTTGAAAGTCAAAATTACTCCTTGATTTGTTGGTTGCAGAAAAGGATGCTGTGTTAGCAGGACTGAAAACATTAACCTCCCGGTACATGTCTATAAGAGCTCTTGGGTGACTAGGTGCATTGTCAATGAGCTGTAATATTTTGAAAAAAAGACCTTTTTTTTTTCTGAGCAGTGTTTCTCAACAATGGGCTTAAAATACTCAGTAAACAATGCTATAAACAAATGTGCTTTCATCTAGACGTCATTGTTTCATTCATAGAGCATTGGCAGGTACATTTAGCATAATTATTAAGGTCCCTAGGACGTTTGAAATGATAAAAGACTACTGGCTTTAACTTAAAGTCATCAGCTGCATTAGTCCCTAACAAGAGAGTCAGCTTGTCCTTTGAAGCTTTCAAGCCAGCCATTGACTTTTCCTCTCTAGGTATAAAAATCCTAGATGACATGTCTTTCCAATACAAAGCTGTTTCATCTAGACACCTTCAGCTATCTTAGCTATATCTTCTGGATAACTTGCTCCAGTTTCTACATCACAACTTGCTGCTTCATCTTTCATTTTTATGTTAGAGAGAAGGCTTCTTTCCTTAAACCTGATGAACCAACCTCTGCTAGCTTCCAACATTTCTTCTGTAGCTTCTTCACCTCTCTCACCCATCACAGAATTGACAAGAGTTAGGGCCTTGCTCTGGATTAGGCTTTGACTTAAGAGAACGTTGTGATTGGTTTCGTCTTGTATCCAGACCACCAAACTTTCTCCATATCAGCAATAAGGCTATCTTGTTTTCTTACTATTTGTGTGTTCATTGGAGCAGCACTTGTAATTTCTTTTTTTTTATTATTATACTTTAAGTTTTAGGGTACATGTGCACAACGTGCAGGTTAGTTACATATTTATACATGTGCCATGTTGGTGTGCTGCACCCATTAACTCGTCATTTAACATTAGGTGTATCTCCTAATGCTATCCCTCCCCCCTCCCCCCATCCCACAACAGGCCCCGGTGTGTGATGTTCCCCTTCCTGTGTCCAGGTGTTCTCATTGTTCAATTCCCACCTATGAGTGAGAACATGCGGTGTTTGGTTTTTTGTCCTTGCAATACTTTGCTGAGAATGATGGTTTCCAGCTTCATCCATGTCCCTACAAAGGACATGAACTCATCCTTTTTTATGGCTGCATAGTATTCCATGGTGTATATGTGCCACATTTTCTTAATCCAGTCTATCACTGTTGGACATTCGGGTTGGTTCCAAGTCTTTGCTATTGTGAATAGTGCTGCAATAAACATACATGTGCATGTGTCTTTATAGCAACATGTTTTATAATCCTTTGGGTATATACCCAGCAATGGGATGGCTGGGTCAAATGGTATTTCTAGTTCTAGATCCCTGAGGAATCGCCACACTGACTTCCATAATGGTTGAACTAGTTTACGTCCCACCAACAGTGTAAAAGTGTTCCTATTTCTCCACATCCTCTCCAGCACCTGTTGTCTCCTGACTTTTTAATGATCACCATTCTAACTGGTGTGGGATGGTATCTCATTGTGGTTTTGATTTGCATTTCTCTGATGGCCAGTGATGATGAGCACTTTTACATGTGTCTTTTGGCTGCATAAATGTCTTCTTTTGAGAAGTGTCTGTTCATATCCTTTGCCCACTTTTTGATGGGGTTGTTTGTTTTTTCTTGTAAATTTGTTTGAGTTCTTCGTAGATTCTGGATATTAGCCCTTTGTCAGATGAGTAGATTGCAAAAACTTTCTCCCATTTTGTAGGTTGCCTGTACACTCTGATGGTAGTTTCTTTTGCTGTGCAGAAGCTCTTGAGTTTAATTAGATCCCATTTGTCAATTTTGGCTTTTGATGCCATTGCTTTTGGTGTTTTAGACATGAAGTCCTTGCCCATGCCTGTGTCCTGAATGGTAATGCCTAGGTTTTCTTCTAGGATTTTTATGGTTTTAGGTCTAACATGAGAACAGTATAGGGGAACCACCCTCATGATTTAATTATCTCCCACCAGGTCCCCTCCTGCATCATGTTGAATTATGGGAGCTACAATTCAAGATTAGATTTGGGTGGAGACACAGCCAAACCATATCACTCCATCCCTGGACCTCCCAAATCTCATGTCCTCACATTTCAAAATCAATCATGTCTTCCCAAAAGTCCCCCAAAGTCTTAACTCATTTTAGCATTAACTCAACAGTCCACAGCCCAAAAAATACAAAAATTAGCCAGGTGTGATGGTGGGCACCTGTAATCCCAGCTAGTTGGTAGGCTGAGGCAGGAGAATCACTTGAACCAAGGAGGCGGAGGTTGCAGTGAGCCAAGATCATGCCACTGCACTCCAGCCTGGGTGACAAGAGCGAGACTCTGTCTCAAAAAAAAATAAATAAATAAAAGAAAGAAAGAAAAGGTAAAATGATCTGGGGCTAAAAACAAAACAAAACAAAAAAACAAACAAAAACATACAGGTTAACAGAATTATAAAATTTAAGATGTTTAAACAAACTTTATGGAAGGTAGTTGTAAGCCCTTTACCTAAATGTCATGTGAAAATGGGTACTATATCTGACTGGGAGATGTTTCCCCTTTCTAGTACTATAAAGCTGAAGGCATAAAAATCTGCTCTTTTAGTAAATGTTAATTGAACATGCTGAATGGGAACTAGTAAAATTGCCTCAGCCCACAAAGTATTGGGTAGAAGCTAGAGCGCTAGTCAGGACAAATCCTCCATTTCATTTGTGGCATTTGTGGCACATTTATTGGGGCTGATGGCAAAAAACTGTAAATATTTCCCAATGACAATATTGAACAGAGAATTTCCACCTGAGAGCCATGTACTGCCTTGCTATGGAATTTTAACTGAAGCCACCCCTATGCTAATAAAAATGATGGTGCCCAAAAGAGTTCCATAAAAAAATAAAAATGATTTACATAGAATCTTGCTACCTGGGGATATTAGGAGAAAATACTGATAAGTAGGGGGCCTCTTTCCTAGATTCTACCATGCCTGATAGACAGCTTTCATGAGCTGTTGGCTTGTAAATGGCATTTCCCAAATAAACATTGTTTGAAAGCTCTGGCTCTGGTTAAAGCAGGGTCAACAAAATCTTTTTCTTTTGAGTTATTTGAGTGAAGTATGTTTTTGTAAGCAAATTTATATTTCTCTTTGAGTTCTAAAATTTGGATTGTGATTTTATGACAGTATAGTCATTTGCATAAATTCAAAAAGCATCTTTTAAAATAAAAGAATTTGAGACACTGGTTATTTTACTAAGACTTTAACTAAAATAGCATATTTTTAGGTAAAGTTCAGTCAAGGTCAACTTAAAGAAGCCTATATGGCCAATCAATTCTTGCTGCATTTTAAATTAATTAATTAATTTTTTTTGGAGATGGAATCTTGCTCTGTCACCCAGGCTGGAGTGCAGTGGTGCAATCTCACCTCACTGGCACCTTTGCCTCCCGGGTTCAAGCGATTCTCCTGCCTCAGCCTCCCGAGTAGCTGGGACTGTAGGCGTGTGTCACCACGCCTGGCTGATTTTTGTATTTTTAGTAGAAATGGGATTTCACCATGTTAGCCAGTCTGGTCTTGAACTCCTGACCTCAGGCAATCCACCTGCCTTGGCCTCCCAACGTGCTGGGATTACAGGCATAAGCCACCATACCCAACCCTTGCTGCCTTTTATGCAAAATTACCAGGCCAAGTATAATAAGCCGAAAACTTATTTTGCACACAAATTGGTCTTGCTATAATTTCTCTTTAATAGAAAAAAAGGGGGGGGGGGATAAAGGAATTGCTTCAAAGGAAAACATTTAATACTCAATTTCAGTCCTAATCTTTTTTTTTTTTTTTTTCAGTGGAGACTGAAACATCATTTTTTGGCTATGGTAATCCACTAGCAAGTACCAGATTATAATTTTTCTTCGTATTTTTAGTTGGTACCCTAATGGAATAGGTTCCTTTTTCTGTTCTGACGCACAAATTGCTCTTTTAATGATCAAACTGTAAATGTTATTTATCTCTTCTTGTTTTACTTCCAGGAAAACCCAAATCATGATATTTTGAAGATCAGAGATGTGGCTCTCCGTCATTTTGGCATCCCACTGGGCCGGGATCTGTATTTCACTGAGAATGCTCTGCTGCACAAACTATACAAGCCCCCTTCCCTCTAGGCCCAGCTACTGTCACAGAAGAGGAGGGGGCAGAAGATTGTAAGGGCTGGTTTTAAAGAAAAAAATTAGGTCAAGGTCAAACCTCCAAATCAAGGAGGGGTTACAAAAATGCCTAAACAGCTGGTAAAACAAGTTTAGTTGCTTTCTAAACGATTATGTGTCACTTTTGCATCTACCCCAACCATGAAAATTTATTTGCTTATTATAGAATTACAGGAAAATATTTACTAACAGGATAAAAAATACCTTGTAACAAAGCCTCTTGGGTATAATACTCCCAGTTATGAGTTATGGAGATAAACATATCTATCTATATATTTTTTTTCAGAACAATGCTTATGTTTGCATAGCTAATTGCTGTATGTCTTTAACAAAAGCCAAGCTTACAGTAGCTCAACACACAGAAGTTAAAAATAAGTCAGTCTCGTAACTTGCCTTTTCGTTTTTGTTTATTGGCTTTTACTTAAAATAATAATTTTAAGAGGTAATAAATGCATGTCCATATCCATTCTTACCTGGCCTAGAACAATCAATTGGCTATAAGTCCTTTGACTCATAAGGCCTTCAGCCATAGGGAGTCCCATGGAAGTATAGGATGGACCCGAGATGGGGAGCCATGCCACCCTAGCAACGCTGTGGGACAAAATTAAAATTTGCTGGTTTTTGATGTTGCCTCTGGCAAATCTTGGCCAGAAGGGGAAGAACGTAAATGAAAATGAAAATTCGAAGGCCCCCCACAACTATCTGAATGGACTTCCTCTTCCTCCAGGGTTCAGGCCATGATGGAAAGTGGGAGGTGGGACATGCTTCATTATACCTCTCTGGCATTAACATTCACAGTCTATTCTCTCTGAAGCTTGCTACCTGGATGTTTCATCTGCATGATAAAATCCCAGGTCTTCAGACAAACTCAACTAATTGTCAACCAGAAAATATTTAAATTTACCTATAGCCTAGAACCCCCACCCCCTACACTCCTTAAATGTATTTGATTGATGCCTCATGCCTCCCTAAAATATGTA
Source organism: Homo sapiens (assembly GCF_000001405.40). Classification (NCBI taxonomy): domain Eukaryota; kingdom Metazoa; phylum Chordata; class Mammalia; order Primates; family Hominidae; genus Homo; species Homo sapiens. Next base: position 9,985,004 of record NC_000012.12, on the reverse strand, counting down.
GAACCAAGCTGCACTGGATTGGCCATCTTCTCACATATCATTCTTTTTTTATAAGTGCAGTGATAATATTGAACATATAGTCTATTTATATATCCACAATACATGTTATTTAAGTCAGGTGCGTTTCTTATAACCCTGAAAGAGAAAGTAAAGAATTACACTTGGCAAGTCAGATATTTGAAACATATTCACAGAAAAAAAAATTACACTTCCAACATGATATTATTGCCCTAGACTCTGTGTTGTTTAAACTAAATCTAATTTAATGTTCAGAGTATCAAGAATGTCCGAGTTAATTGTTTATGTTAACACATATGCAATGTCAAATACTGCTTCATTTCTCCCTGCTTTTTCCACTTTCTAACATCTGATATTTGCTGTCCTTTGCTTACAGAGTTAGCACCCCAGCCCCTTCATATATAATATAATTTGGAATAATACCATTCCATAAGATTCTCCTAGTCTAACTGGCTAGGAGTAGTAAGACTTGGACCCTTTCTCCCTCAAGTGCTTTTTATAATCATCAAAGTCAGGAATTCACCTGAGATATATGACACCTGAAGTTCAACATCATCTCTAAGTGACACTTGGCAAAAGATTTTACTCTGAAGTTCTAATGACCAGCCCATAAATACTAGATTAGTGATCAGGGACTATGCACTAAAAACAAATTTATAAATTAAAAATATTACCTTTTAGATTAATTTAGCATCAATACTTGGGTAAAAAAATAATGATATCAACCAGTAAATAAGTTCATCAATTAAATGTTTAAGAATGAGATTTATTTGTGGTGACATAGTACAGATGTCATTTATTACAACCCCCTTTCAGAAACAAACCCCAAAACAACACAGAGTTATAAAGTGAAGATATATATACACACACACACACATATATATATCATACATACAATTATTATATACTTTTTCAGTTTTCTTTTTGATAACTGAAAATATCTACAATGTTTTCCATTCCATTATAGATTACCATTCCATTTGCAATAATTACAAACACATACATATTCTACGTTTGCAAAACAAGATTCCATCTGTACTCTCTCCTGACACACACATTACCTTTGTCTCTAGTCTTTCACTACAAATTAGGCCTTTGAAATATATATCCTTCTCCACTCCATTTGTAGATAGCTTATCTCCCATTGTATCCTATCATTGCCAACCATCAGAGGTAGGGCCACCTTTTCTTTCTGACCCACACTCCTACACTTACTATTTCTATGTGAAAGAAAAAGCAAACAAACAAAACAAAACAAAAAATTCTATTTGCCATTATGGCCCAATGTGATGAGTATGCAGGGATCTGAGTGCCTAAACTCGCTGTGGTGGCACCTCAACACAGTTGACTCAGAGCTGTCTCCTGCTAAAAGTATATACTAAAAACGTGTTAAATGATGGACTTCCAATAGTGTCCAGCAGGTTGAGACTCTGGTTTCTTTCTTCGTTTGATATTTTCTGCTTCCCAAATTTCAGAGATTAAAAAATACAAATGGAATTTGCCACTATTTTTATATGTAAAGACTTTTTTTCCCATTATAAGCAGAACAAATACAACGTATAAATCCACTTAAAATAGTATATTTATAACCACATTCCTCATTATACTACACAACAAATTATTTTATCTATACTATATATGTGATATATTAAGCTGAAGTTTATATTCTTTCACCTGAAGTGCTCTTCTAAACCAGTCTTTAAATTTTTCATTCAAAAATGCCCATTTCAGAATGGAAGTTAGTGTAAACTCTATGGCAATTTTTCAAAGAACTAAAAATAGAATTACCATTTGATCCAGCAATTCCACTATTGGGTATCTAACCAAAGGGAAAGGAATTATTATATTAAAAAAAAGACACCTACACTTAAATGTTTGTTGTAGAACTATTTACAATAGCAAAGTCATGGAACTGTCCTAAGTGTCCATCAACGGATTATTGCATAAGAAAACATGAAACCATGCTTTCTTTTAGAGTGTATACACCATGAAATACTACTCAAGTATAAAAAAGAAGGAAATCATGACTTTGCAGCAAAATGGATGGAGCTGGAGACCATTCTCTTAAATGAAATAACTCAGGAACGTAAATTTAAATACTGCATATTCTCACTTAAGTGGGAGCTAAATAATATGTACACATGCACATAAAAAGTGGAATAATAGACATTGGAGACTCCAAAAAGTAGGAGGGTGGGAAGAAAATAAAGAATGAGAAATTACCTGTTGGGTACAGTGTACACTATCCAGGTTATGGTTACACTGAAAACACTGACTTCATCATTATGCAATATATTTATATAACAAAATTGCAATCGTACCCCCTAAATCCATAAACTTTTTAAAATGCCCATTTGAAGTGTCATTTATAACAAAAGTATCATTGCAAAAATTTATGTTTTGTTAGTCTGTGTATTCTTACTGAAGCATTTATCACACTATATTCTCTTTATCTCTAGCATAATTCAATCAGTCTGCACATAAAATTGATGGTTAAGTAACTTTAATGATGAATCAATATTTCATTCATCTTTGAACCCTAGAACTTATCACAATATTAAGTACTTGTTAGTCCAATGACTTTTCTGGGCTTCCACAATTTTTCTTAGATAAAATTATTTACAGAGTTCTCCATAATTTGGCTGCTGTAATTTTGTTAGTTACTTGTCAAAATTATGAGAAGGCATTTATGGTAACTTTATGTATTAGAAAATACATCAAAGAAGCATGATAGAAAAGGGTTCTTTTAGCATGCAATTTCAATTGAAGCTGGTTTTAATTTGAATCTACAGTGCTCCTAAGGAAAATACCTCTACTCAAACCCAGCTATAAAATTCTAACAAGAATAGACACTTACCAGGCAGAGGAGTTGATTATATTATCCACTCTCATACCACGAGTGGAATCTTCTTCAGGAGATAATCCCAGCCAATAGTCATATGATCTACTCTGGGATTTTATAAATTCCTACAGGAAATACAGATAGTCTGTTTAAGAAACAGTCTCCTACTTTTGTATTTTACATTATAATGTAATTTCTTACAAATTGCTGTTTTAAGGTAACATACTGGACATTGCACTACTACTATTAAATGTCATTATAAGAAATTGAAAGAAAGTACTCCTTACTACAAAATTTCAATATTTTTAACAATATCATTGCTGGTCTCACAAGAAGAGAGGCCCTACTAATCCATGTACAACCTTAATTTACAGTCAGTGAAGAGTTCACAATGACAAGTTCAAGATTAAAAAATTTGAGCAGTAAATATTGTGTCCAGGGCCAAAGGAGGTGGGTAATGGCTATAAACAAGAGTTAATAGAAACAGAAAGAGTAGGAAAAAAATGCCACACACTCAGATGTGAGTGGTTACAGAACAGAATTCAGAACCAGTCCAGAATTTTGTAGCCAAATAACAGGTTTTTTTCTTATTCTAGCCTTTAAAAATTTTTTCTAGAGTAAGTAACTGTGAATGGGTCACTTGACAATGATCTGATGAGGAAGAGATTGTGGGTTGATTTATCTCTCTTCTATAAAGGATGATGAAAGTTTCTTATTGTGGGGAAGCAGAGAATTTTAGAAAAGGTAATTTTGCTTAAAAATATATGATTGCTATGTGAGAGACCAAAAATGCTATGTAATAAGTGTAACATGGAAACATTATTTAGACATGGAAAACTAAGAAAATGAATAAATCAATAAAGCTACCAGAAAACACATTTTTCCTGGGATTCAAGGACTCAGTACAATATATCTGACACTTGCCTGTGCCATCTTACTTCAGTTCTTCTTGTTTGTACATATTTTATGCTAACCTACTATAACTTGCCTATTTCTCTTAGTGAATTAAAAAATACAAAATGGTAGAAACAAAACATATTCTCCCATGTAGTTCTTATGGAATTGCTAATCCTGGGGAATAATCTCTGTATCCTCTGTTTTTAGATAAATGTTTATAAATTAAGTTCTGAGATTTGGTTCTAGATTCTAATTTGGAAATGCTTACAGACCTATAGATTCTGGGTGCCCTGTAATACTCATCTACCTGTCAGCTAGTAATATTTCTCTTATGCTAAGGTCCTAAACTTGTATGTTTTACCTTGCCTATGATATCTTGAGATAAGTGTACAAAGTTTCAGTCACTTCACACCCCAACTGAAATAAACCAGAATCATGAGTGGGTTGATTGAAGTCTTCTCCAACATGCCACACCCCTCTCTATCCCATGATGGTAGAAACACCTGGGCTTTACCAATGCATTTTTGTTGTTTATCTTCAACAGGCTGGCATTCTGAGCAGCACAGGCCATTTTACTCTCCTGCCATGTTTGGACATCATCACTTAGGAAATAACAGCTGTCCTTATGCCAAATCCATCTCCTTGGACAAGGCTTACATTTGTGCTCTGGAAGAAGAACATAGTTTTATTTGGGTTTTGTTGATAGTCATAATAATTCTTATTATTTCCTTTCCTCTCTGTGTGACATTGATCACATTTGCTGTTTATTCTTCTTTCTTTTTCTTTCTCTCTTTCCCCCTTTTTTTTTTTTTGACAGAGTCTTGCTCTATTGCCCAAACTGGAGAGCAGTGGCGTGATCTCAGCTCACAGCAGCCTCCACCTCCTGGATTCAAGTGACTCTCCTGCCTCAGCCACCCAAGTAGCTGGGATTACATGCCGTTTCTTTTTTTTTTACATCGAAGGGGAAGTAAGTGAATCCTGTATTCTAGTTCCTTATATACCACCATAATGTGTCAGACACATAACTTGAACAAAAAAATTTCAAATTAAGCACTTGGATTCAAGTGTGTCTTCCTATGTCAATTCCTCTTTGTTATTTTGTATATTCTTTAAAGACAATAAAAACTAATTACTGGAAACATTCTGTATAGTAAGAATTAACCCCACCTATCTATACCAATCTTATCTTCTTTAATTTTTGTTCTCTGAAATGTTGAAACTTTGAGGTTTCTCAGGAGCAAAAGGAATATGTTTTAGCAACTATGACTATAGAAACTTATGGAGACACTAAAAGACCAACTCCCCGATCCCAAAGGTGAAGTCTCAATTTATTTTTTTCTATGGACTTTGTTATCAATCACTGACTGAAATTTAAGAATGAAGTCACCTGTAAAGAGGTGTCACTTCCTCCCTGTCTTCTATTAACCTCAGTGCCCAGAATAATTATAGTAAGTGACAGATTAGAGAAACTGTCTTGTCTAACATTTTATTATGTAACCATTATCTCCTGATAATTTGGGGGCCTATTGTTGTTACTACTTTTTCTGTTTTTCTTCTAACTGCGTGGAAATATCAATGAATTCTCCATCAACCACATGTAATTCTTTCCCCCAAATTATGACTCCCTAGAGAAAGGCTGCTAGCTAATTATAAAATGATTCTTAAGAGACTCAGTGGTTTAGTTTATTGTCCAATAAATAACTCCAAGAGAATACAAGATTACCTTGTTCTTTGCTATATAGCTCACGACATAATTTGGTGGCTATTGTTTGCAGTGTGGTGGAGAGGTTCCTGATCTTGTTGGAGATATTCATGTTACTCATCAGTTGTAGAGAAATATTTCTCTGGAGCTCTTCACTGATGTTTTGTAGTTTGTTCATTTTTTTCATTTCTATCTTCAAAGTTACGTGAACTCCACATTAAAAAAATGACAAAAAATTGTAAATTCTCAATAGAGCCATCATCCTTTATCATTTGCAGAAGTAGTATAAAGATTAAAGGGGTAGGGAAAGCAATTACTCTACAGGAGTGAGGGAAAGAGACTAAGTTCCACATTGTAAGTCCTCCTTGTGGGCCTATCACCTATCATTATTATAAATCTTCCACTGAAGGAATAAACTTTTGTTGCTAAATATTTGAAATTCTAGATACTTCCTCTTGACAAAAACAGGGGCAGTACATACACATGCTTGCCAAGACTCCCAATCCAATGAGCAACAGAAGGCACAGAAGAGTCAGAAACAAGGCTGCTGGACGCCATACATGAGAGGGAGCTGGAGGTGCTGTGGAAAGCAAAATTAACAGAGAGGCCTAAAAATGGTATAACTTTCATTTGGATTATTTACTCATTCATTCATTCATTCATTTTACCTTTATTTCCTAATATGCCTATTGGAAAGAAATGGATTTGCTAGCCATTCAAGAATATTCAAAAAATATTTTTGAAGAATATGTCAAGAATAAATCAAAATCACTTAATTGTTTTGTATGTAAATTGATTCTGGCAGGAGAAGCTGTTAACTGGTAGACTGATTTAAAAAAACAGATAAGCAAAAACAGAATTTATAATAGAGAATGGAGAAAACCAGTCAACCTAGATATAGTGTATTTTGTTTGTACAAATTTGGGAAAAGTGAGTAGCTGGAAATTAACAGAGAAGCCAATAGGAGAAGTCTTTGCTTGAGTAGACAATTGTGGCATGTCAAGAAAAACAGTTTCAGTTGTTTATGTATCCCCCCAGGCAATTATGAGAATTTAGCTGCAGAATGAACAAGATAGGCTGTCTTTTCATAATGTCTTTGGGTGTCCTCCCGTTAGCTTTTGATCTTAATCAGTCCAGATCTACACCATTTTTATTGCAATTTTTCAAAAAAATTTTCATGTGTTTTTGCAAGAAACTTTTATTGAATACTTCCTTTTTAATGAATAGTGAAGCCCAGAATAGATCATTTCTCTATTTAAAAAAAAAACAGGAATTATAAACTTTGTGAGTGAATTATTATTGTGACTATGTTATTTAAATCATCATTATGTATAAAGCTATTATACATTAGGTAAAGACTAGCTAGATATTTCAAGAAAATCCAATTCAGGGATACCATAATAATCTCACTATACTTCTGAGCTATGTCTTACATCTCATAGTTGATGGTGCAATAATATTGTGAAATCCAGAGACAATTACTAATAAATAGTAAAACTTAACTTATATAGACTTTAGAAAATAGTTACTACTGAAAGAACTACATGTTCAAGATTTTATCTAAGATTAGAATTATAAATGCCAGTGCTATCTTTCTTAAAATTATTTTCTTATTTATATGTGTATTCAATTATTCAAGTTTATTTATTCAATGAACTTATTCAATTATTAAAAAGTTCAATTATTCAAAAGTTATCTTTTGAGTGCCTTGTATTTATTAGACATTATCCTGGGTGCTAACAATATCAAAGTGAGCAAGATGTACAAGTTCCTGTTTTCACAGCTATAAATTTTAATTGTAGGAGGAAATAGATAAATAGATATATAAGTGAGACAGGGAGAAAGAAAGAAAGGGAGAAAAGATCTCAAATTTGGCGATGTTGTGCAGAGATTTAAAACTAAGCTGTTATAGAGAGCAGGCAGTTCAAATCTTATGAATAGGAACCAGCATGCAAAATAAGTAGGAAGAACATTACAGGTAGCAATTACATGAAGTTCAAAGACAATAATTTAAGGAAAAGATTTCTATTTGAAAAACAGAATATATTCAGAGGGGCAGAAGAATTGTGGCCAATGTGAAAAATGATGTTAAAGGTTTTATTTGTTTTCTTTTGTTTTGTTTTTAAAATAACAAGGAGGAGACATTATTTACAGCCTTTTCTAGCCAGAATAAGTTAGATTTTTGGGGAAACCACTGGAAGAATTTAATCTAGGAGGGCAAAATAACAGAGTTGTTTTATCAGTAAGAAATCTGTTACAGTATGACATGTGAAAGAGAACAGAAGTTTGACTAGCTAGTACTAGGGAATTTGATGACCCATGGATAAATTAAGTATACATTTCTAAGCTAAAATCTATTGCAAAAATTTCTGAAATTTTTCTTTAGAGAAAGTTGGTAGATATGCACATTTGTAGGCAGTATCTCATAGTGATAAAAAGCAAAACACCATCTTTAGGGTTAGCATGTGTATTAGTCCATTTTCACATTGCTAATAAGACATACCCAAGACTGGGCAATTTATAAGGAAAGAGAGGTTTAATGGATTCACAGTTTCACGCGGCTGGGGAGGCCTCACAATCATGGTGGAAGGTGAAAGGCACACCTCATATGGCAGCAGACAAGAGAAGAAAGAACTTGTGCAGGGAAACTCCCCTTTATAAAACCATCAGATCTCATGACACTTATTCACTATCACAGGAACAGCACGAGAAACACCCCTACCATATGATTCAATTACCTCCCACGAGGTCCCTCCAACAACACGTGGAAATTGTGGGAGCTATAATTCAAGATGAGATTTGGGTGTGGACACAGCCAAACCATATCATTCCACCCTGACCTCTCCCAAATCTCATGTCTCACATTTCAAAACCAATCATGCCTTCCCAACAGTCCCCAAAAGACTTAACTCATTTCATCATTAACTCAAAAGTCCACAGTCCATCTGAGACAAGGCAAGTCCCTTCCACCTATGAGCCAGTAAATTCAAAAGAAAGTTAGTTACTTCCTAGATACAATGAGAGTACAGGCATTGGATAAATACGGTCATTCCAAATGGGAGAAATTGGCCAAAACAAAGGGGCTACAGGCCCCATGCAAGTCCAAAGGGCACCAAATCTTAAAGCTCCAAAATCATCTCCTTTGGCTCTATATCTCACATCCAGGTCATGCTGATGCAAGAGGTAGGCTCCCATGTCTTTGGGCAGCTCTGCTCCTGTGGCTTTGCAAGGTACAGTCTCCCTCATGGCTGCTTTCATGGGCTGATATTGAGTGTCTGCAGCTTTTCCAAGTGGACAGTGCATGCTGTCAGTGGATCTACCATTCTGAGAGCTGGAGGACGGTGGTCCACTTCTCACTGCTCCACTGGACAGTACCCCAGTGGGGACTCTGTGTGGAGCTTCTGACCTCACATTTCCCTTCTGCACTGTCCTAGCAGAGGTTATCCATGAGCACCCCATGCCTGCAGCAAACTTCTGCCTGGACATCCAGGCATTTCCATACATCCTCTGAAATCTAGACAGAGGTTCCCAAAACCCAACTCTTGACTTCTGTGCACTCAAAGGCTCAACACCACATGGAAGCTACCAAGGCTTGGGGTTTGCACCCTCTCCGAAGCCATGACCTGAGCTGTACCTTAGCCTCTTTTAGTCATGGCTGGAGCAGCTGGGATGCAGGGCACCAAGTTCCTAGACTGCACACAGCAGAGGGACCCTGGGCTCAGTCCATAATACCATTTATTCCTCCTAGGCCTCTGGGCATGTGATGGGAGGGGCTGCTGGGAAGACCTCTGATATGCCCTGGAGTCATTTTCCCCATTGCCTTGGCGATTATCATTTGGCTTCCCATGACTTTAGAAATTTCTTCAGCTGGCTTGAATTTCTCCTCAGAAAATGGGATTTTCTTTTATTTATCATTGTCAAGCCACAAATTTTCTGAACTTTTATGCTCTGCTTCCCTTATAAAACTGAATGCTTTTAACAGCACCCGAGTCACGTCTTTAATGCTTTGCTGCTTAGAAATTTCTTCTGCCAGATATCCTAAATCATCCCTCTCAAGTTCAATGTTCCACAAATTTCTAGGGCAGGAGCAAAATGCTACCAGTCACTTTGCTAAAACATAACAAGAGTCACCTTTGCTCCCGTTCCCAACAAATTCCTCATCTCCATCTGAGACCACCTCAGCCTTATCACCATTTTTGTCAAAGCCATTCAAGAAGTCTCTAGGAAGTGCCAAACTGTCCCACATTTTTCTGTCTTCTTCTGAGCCCTCCAAAGTATTCCAACCTCTGCCTGTTGCCCAGTCCCAAAGTCTCTTTCAGATTTTTGGGTATCTTTACAGCAGCGCCCTACTCTATTGGTACCAATTTACTGCATTAGTTCATTTTCACACGACTGATAAAGACATACCCACAACTGGGTAATTTATAAGTAAAAAGAGGTTTAATGGACTCATGGTTCCATGTGGCTGGAGAGGCCTCACACTCATGGTGGAAGGTGAAAGGCACATCTCACATGGCCACAGACAAGAGAGAACTTGTGCAGGAAAACTCCTCTTTATAAAACCATCAGATCTCATGAGACTTATTCACTATCACAAGAACAGCATGGGAAAAACCCGCTCCCATGATTCAATTACCTCCCACCATGTCCCTCCTACAGCATGTGGGACTTATGGGAGCTACAATTCAAGATGAGATTTGGGTGGAGACACAGTCAAACCATATCAGTATGTTTTGGTTTGAATTCTGGTTCTGCTGCTTATTGCTTGTGAAACCTCGGGAAAATTATTTAACACCTTTTAACATCTCTGTGTCTGAGTTTCAATATGGTTAAAGCATGGGAGACAGAAAGACTGCAAAGTATCAGACACTAAATAATTTAATATTTATAATGCAATTAGAACAGAACTGGCACAGAGAAAACACTTGAAAATTGTATTTAAATATATATTTATATGTGTATTTAATGAGATGAGGCTGTCTGGAGAGAGAGACAATTTTAGAAGAAAAATAAATATTACTATTTTTGACATTTTAAGTTTAAAATGAGATTAGAACTCCTTATGGAAATGTGAAAGTGGCACATGTATTTTCTAGTCTTGAGATTCAGGGAAAGGTCATACAGAGATATTGGGGAGTCACTCTATTTAAAGTCAAACAACTGAATGAGGTAGATTAGAAGAGTGTACTGAGTGATGCAATAAAACGGGACCCAGGACAGGGCTTCAGAGTATTCCATCTTGTAGAGTTTCATCTAGGAGGAGGAATCAACAAAGAATGAGGAGAGGCAGGCATGGTGACAGGAGAAGCCATGAGGATGTGTCAGGAGGGATGTGCAAAGAAAGCATTTAGAGGACTGTTCAACTTTTTCAATGCTGCAGGGAAGTGAAGTAATGGAAGAGACATGTGACTATTGGGATGAAACAGGCAGGACATCAGTGACCTAAAGCTCAGTCTCTATGGCACCAAGGGGGCAGAAGCCTAATAGAGTTGGTTGAGAACAGAATGAGAGGTGAAGAACTGAGAGTCAGTGGCCAAAGAAAATGCTTTCAAAAGTTGAGTTGTGAAAGGAAACAAAGAAGTTAAATAATAATGGAAAGGCTTAAGTGGTCAAGCAAGGATTGTGTTTTGTTATAAAAGGAGTAGCAGAGTATATTGGTGAGTAGTAGAGTATGTTGGTGCACCAAAAAGGAAAAGCAGAGAAGGAAGAGAGAATAATGACACAGGAGAGAAAGGAAAAAATTACGGAAGTCTGTCTTTGAAAACGACACATGGACTGAAATTCAGAGCAAAATGAGGAGCCGTCCCTTCATAAGTACATACTTATCGTAAATACTATCTGGAAGGAAAGCAGAGTATCAGTAAGGACATGGTAGGATAGACATTTAAATAACAACAAAAAAAAGTGTAGATGGATGCTTTTTTCTTACCAGAGGAAAGGTGAGAGTAACTGGGGTTGAAAATTTGTGTATTTTTCACCAGCAATATTCAACTCTGGGGCAGACTGGGTGGATATTCGGGTTTAACCAGAACTGGAGTTGTTTTTATTTGTTTGTTTTTGGGGTTTTTGTCTTGTTTTGTTTTGATTTGTTTGAGGCAGGATCTTGCTGTGTCACCCAGACTGGAGTACACTCGCCTGATCTTAGCTTACTAGAGCCTCCAACTCCTGGACTCAAGTAATCCTCTTTCCTCAGCCTCCCAAGCAGCTGAGACTATGGGTGCCCAGTTAATTAAAAAAATTTTTTTTTTATAGACATGGCATATCTCTACTTTCCCCAGGCTGGTCTCAAACTTCTGGCCTCAAATAATCCTCCCATCTTGGCCTCTCAAAGTGCTAGGACTATGGGTATGAGCCACTGCACCTAGCCAGAGCTGGAGTTTTTAAGGAAAAATTAACACACATTGAAGAGGAGAAGTGTAAGAGACTAAGAGTAGACATTACATAATACAATGTTATATTACATAATGTAGATTCTAAGCTCGATAATGAGAAAATTAGATGAGATTAAGAACATGAAGAAGACATGGATTCAATATTTCCGTGAATTCAGGGAATTCTTGTGGTGGGAACTTAAGGTGGATTGGCAGGAAAAGAGGTGGGAAAGGGTGTGAGAGGACAAGTAAAGGGCAATTGTTGGTAATATTAGGCTCATGATATGCCCATTCTCTTTCAGTGTATAAAAGAAGAAATATAAACAAGGAAATAAAGACAGAAAATATTGTAAAATTCTTAAACCCTTCTTCTTTCTAAAAAAAAATTTCAGTATTAAAAAAGAAGCCAACAGAATTAATCTGCTATCCTTTCTCAAGATTTACAATGCTCATCATAAATGGATCCAAGATGTAACAGTGAAATTTCTGTTTATAGCAATGCTAGAATATTAAAGATGTTATATTCTGTGTGGGGAGAGGAGAGAGGACAACAACTTAAATAATATGTGAGAATTTTGGCACTCTTCTCTCCTTATTTTTCTGTTTCTATCACCCTTCTTTGTGTTCTCCACTATCACTGTTTAAGTTATTTTTAACTCAAATACACTGATTTAAACTATGGATTCGCTAGGGCAGATTTCACTCCCAAAAGGCTAGGAGCCAGAAGGCAAGAACCATACATAATAGGAAAACTATAGGATTCTGAGTAAGATGAAGAGTAGTTTTGTTTAAGTGAAAGTCAACACAGATGGACCACTTATTTCATGATTTTAATTTGAATTGAAAAATACAAAGTTACTTGATATAATGTGGTTTTGAATATTATGAATATATTATGTCTTCTGATATTTCTTTACCTCTTTTCTTCCTTTATTCCTTAATGATTCATTTCATTTAACTTAACATGTTTTATTTTTTAGTAAGTTAGTAAAAAATCTCCAAAAGAAGTAGGAGAAATTTTAGGGTGATTTATGCTTAGTTTGGTAGATAGTCAAATGAAATCCTATAAAGGTCTCTCTGTCTGACACAAAGCATTTTCTTATAAAAAAAAAAACACACACACACACACACATATGAAATCATGACTTTCCTGAACATGTTTCTTTTTCCATGGCTTCATCTCATAAAGAAATAAAATCTTCATACAACCCAATCATTTGAAAAATTCTGTCCCAATTATATTGAGTGTGATAATAAAAAATTTCAAAAATGTAAAAGATTGATTATTCAATGCAGAGATAAGTGTTTTTACAAAACCCTTTTTTCTAATCATTTTGTTCATACACTTTTTGTTCCTTTGCTTAAACATAAGAGACTTAATTGAAAATTTAAGTTGAATAGTAACTATATCACTAATATTGAAGATGCAAGTCTATAACCACTTCTATTATACAAACTTACAACACATCCATAACTCAAAATCTTACCTTTTTCCCCAAATTTGCCAATTTCTGGGATTTTTTCCATCTCACTGGAGTTCTGGAATTGAAGATCTGCATAAGTAACTTCTTCAGACATTGATGAATATGTAAAGAAATCTTGACAAAGTGTAAAAACACAAAAAGATGAGTGAGTTAACAGAGCTGAATGTTAAACAGGACCTATAATTTTAAACTTCTGTTTATAAACGGAAGCTTAAGCTTACAAGTTTAAACTTCTGTTTATAAACCTACTGTACCAATCACCCATATGTCTGCAAATGAGCCAAATCTCATCTGTGGCTTCAGTTAAGAACATTGAACTGTTGCAACAGATAACATCTTTCTTCCTCATATTTCTTCCTTTTTCTCAATTTCTATATATTTACCAACTACAGAAAGTAGTTTTTGAAATTGTGTTTGGATAACATCATCAGTGTCATGCAAGAGAACACAAATAACTAGCACCACATGGTGCAGACATAGTGTAGGATTTATTGGTGAAAAACTTTCAAGCAGAAAAATAACAGAAAAGATGCAGTTCTCAGACACTCACTAATCTGCAGCTGTGGCCTGGCATAGATATTCCTTTTGTATGATGATGAAGGTCCTGATAGAAGGGTTCTCTTCACTGGGAGACTGAACATACAGAGAGCACTCCCAAGGAGAATGAGACAGTTAGTGTCATTCCGTTGCCATGTTACATAGCTATAGGTTTGCCTAAGAGAGGTAGGGAATGCCTAGTTTCTCTAAATAACAATATATAGGTTGGTGCTAAAGTAATTCTGGTTTTTGCCATTAAAAGCAAAAGTAATTGTGGTTTTTGCCATTAAAAGTTTACAAAATTACTTTAGCGCCAACCTATATATTAAGGGATCTGATGCCCAGAAACCACACCAGAGAGTATGCATACTGATGGCCAAGGTCTGTATACTGAGGGCTCTGGAAACAGCTTTGCAGGCCAGGAAAACTATAATCAGCCTTGCTATCTCTCTACAGACTGACTCAACCATTTGATCTCCTCCTCAGCTAAGCTATCAAAAGTGGGAGGGAAATGAGTCTCCAAAGTCCAGATTTGTGTCTTATTAGTTTGACTCAATAGTCTTAGTATTTTTTATTTCACTTCTTGATCAAGAATGCAAGTGGAAGTGAGGGGGTGGAGAGGACTGTTTTTGAGCATGTTCTCTAATATTCGTTAGTAAATCTTACTTTAAAATTCTTCTTGACATTGCCACATGTAAATCATAAAATGGTTAGGTATTATTATTATACATATGAAAGAGAATGCATAAATATTTTTAAAAATCAATTAAAAACTAATTGCTTTATTATGTCAGGATAGACAGGAAAAACAAAATGCTCCCTTTATAAGAGCTACTAAAAATAAATAGGAAAATATTACAGATAGAAATTAACTAGATATTTGCATAACCAAAATGAACAAAAAAATTTTAAAACTATTGAAGAAAAGAAAAAAATAGAAAAACATGCTGTGGGATTAGAAGCGTCAATACTGTATAAAAAGAAACTAAATTCTCCTAAATGTATCAAAAATTCAATGTCAATTTAATTAAAACAACTGATTTTCTCCTGATAAAGAAAAAGCTATTGAATACATTTGAAAATATTACCATGAAAATATTGGCAGCCACATTTAAAGGAAAATATATTCAAAACATGATTACTTCATCCTAAGTACTTTACTAATGTTGCTTTTATCTTTACAACTCTCTAAACCAGGTGCTATTATTATCACCCTTATTTTACAGATGCGGAAGTGAGTTGCAAAGTGGTTAAGTTTGTATCCAACATCACACAGTTGGTGAGTGGTAGAGTTGAGACCATCAAAGTCTCTGGTTGCCTTGTTCAAATATGTGCACAGGCTATAAGGCCTCTCCTGGTGGGAAAGAGTAGCCCTCTATTTTTCCTAGGTGGATCAAATATTTGCATATAAATATTTGTTTATAAATATCTCTTTGTTTGTGAAAGGATGGAAACCGGCCACCACACAGGCAGAGTCCTGTTCTGTGTTCTATTGCTCTGCTGTCTCATGTGGAACGTTGTTTCATCAATCAACACTAGAAGATGAAGCGTATATGACGAACTGTAAAGGGAAACAAATGAAAAATCTCAAAGTCCTGTTTGCAAGGTACTCTATTTTGTTGAAAATATTTGAATAAGTATTACTTCATACAAAATCCTTGGTTTAGAGCCAGCTAAAACATTTATATCCACAAGAATAAGCTGAGCTCTGAGATGACTACATGGTTTGCCCTTCACAGCCTATATCAGTTTTTTAAAAATTTTGTTATTGATACAAAATAGTTGTATGTATTTTGGAGGTACATGTGATATTTTGAAACCTGTATACAATGTGTAATGACCAAATCAGGGTAATAAGAATATTCATTCCGTCAAACACTTACCTTTTCCTTCTGTTGGGAATAGTACATTTCTTCTCTTTTAGCTATTTTGAAATATACAATAAATTATTGTCAACTATAGTTTTCCCACTGTACTATCAAATACTAGAATTTGTTCCTTCTATCTAATTTTATTTTTGTACCCAACCAACTTATCTTTATCCCCCACCACCCCTTTCTAAGCCTCTGGTAACCACAATTCTACTCTCTGCTTCCATGAGATTCATTCTTTTAGCTCTCACATATGAGTGGAAACATGTGATATTTGTCTTTCTGTGCCTGGCTTATTTCAGTTAACATAATGACCTTCAGTTCCACTCCTGTTTCTGCAAATGACAGGATTTCATTTCCTTCTATGGCCAAATAATATTCCATTGTGTATATATACTATAGATACCTGCACTCCCATGTTTATTGCAGCACTATTTGCAATAGACAAGATATGAAATCAACCTATATCAATTTTCATTCTAGTTGAATACTAAGAGACAATCTGCAAATATAATTACAGATGTCTTCCAATATTAAACATAAGTGATACATTATCCATTACCTAAATTATATATTTTTTGTGGGTTGTTATTGTCAGGCCTCTGAGCCCAAGCTAAGCCATCATATGCCTGTGTATATGCCTATGACCTGCATGTACACATCCAGATGGCCGGTTCCTGCGTTAACTGATGACATTCCACCACAAAAGAAGTGAAAATGGCCTGTTCCTGCCTTAACTGATGACATTATCTTCTGAAATTCCTTCTCCTGGCTCATCTTGGCTCAAAAGCTCCCCTATTGAGCACCTTGTTACCCCCACTCCTGCCCGCCAGAGAACAACCCCCCTTTGATGTAATTTTCCTTTACCTACCCAAATCTTATAAAACAGCCCCACCCCATCTCCCTTCGCTGACTCTCTTTGCAGACTCAGCCCACCTGCACCCAGGTGAAATAAACAGCCTTGTTGCTCACACAAAGCCTGTTTTGTGGTCTCTTCACACGGATGCGAGTGAAATTTGGTGCTGTGACTCGGATCAGGGGACCTCCCTTGGGAGATCAATCCCCTGTCCTCCTGCTCTTTATTCCATGAGAAAGATCCACCTATGACCTCTGGTCCTCAGACCAACTAGCCCAAGGAACATCTCACCAATTTTAAATCCAGTAAGTGGCCTCTTTTTACTCTCTTCTCCAACCTCTCTCACTATCCCTCAACCTCTTTCTCCTTTCAATCTTGGCATCACCCTTCAATCTCTCTCTTAATTTCAGTTCCTTTCCTTTTCTGACAGAGATGAAGGAGACGCGTTTTATTCATAGACCCAAAACTCCGGCACCAGTCACGGAATTGGGAAGACAGTCTTCCCTTTGGAATCAGGCAGGGATGCCTGCCTGATTATTCACCCATGTTTCAGAGGTGTCTGACCATGTGGGGACACCTGCCTTGGTCCTTCACCCTTAGCGACAAGTACTGCTTTTCTTGGGAGCAAGAACCCCCAACCCCTTCTCTCCGTGTCTCTACTCCTTCTCTGCTTTTCTGGGGGGCAAGAACCCCACCGCTTTTCTCCATGTCTCTACCCCTTCTCCGCTTTTCTGGGGGGCAAGAACCCCCCAACCCCTTCTCCTTCACCCTTAGCGGCAAGTACCGCTCTTCTTGGGGGCAAGAACCCCCAACCCCTTCTCTCCATGTCTCTACTCTCTCTTCTCTCTGGGCTTGCCTCCTTCACTATGGGCAAGCTTCCGCCCTCCATTCCCCCTTCTTCTCCCTTAGCCTGTGCTCTTAAAAACCTAAAACCTCTTCAATTCACAGCTGACCTAAAACCTAAATGCCTTATTTTCTTCTGCAATGCCACTTGACCCCAATACAAACTCGACAGTAGTTCCACATAGCCAGAAAATGTCACTTTCCATTTTTCCATCCTACAAGATCTAAATAATTCTTGTTGTAAAATAGGCAAACGGTCTGAGGTGCCTGACGTCCAGGCATTCTTTTACACATTGGTCCCTCCCTAGTCTCTGTTCCCAATGCAACTCATCCCAAATCTTCCTTCTTTCCCTCCCGCCTGTCCCCTCAGTCCCAACCCCAAGCATCGCTGAGTCTTTCTAATCTTCCTTTTCTACAAACCCATGTGACCTCTCGCCTCCTCACCAGGCCGAGCTAGGTCCCAATTCTTCCTCAGCCTCCACTTCTCCACCCTGTAATCCTTTTATCACCTCCTCTCCTCACACCTGGCCCAGCTTACAGTTTCATTCCATGACTAGCCCTCCCCAACCTGTTCAGCAATTTCCTCTTAAAAAGGTGGCTGGAGCTAAAGGCATAGTCAAGGTTAATGTTCCTTTTTCTTTATCCCAAATCAGATAGCGTTTAGGCTCTTTTTCATCAAATATAATAACCCAGCCCAGTTCATGGCTCGTTTGGCAGCAACCCTGAGACGCTTTACAGCCCTAGATCCTAAAAGGTCAAAAGGCCGTCTTATTCTCAATATACATTTTATTACCCAATCTGCTCCCGACATTAAATAAAACTCCAAAAATTAAATTCCAGTCCTCAAACCCCACAACAGGACTTAATTAACCTCGCCTTCAAAGTGTACAATAATAAAGTAGAGGCAGCAAAGTAGCAACATATTTCTGAGTTGCAATTCCTTGCCTCCACTGTGAGACAAACCCCAGCCACATCTCCAGCACGCAAGAACTTCCAAACGCCTAAACCACAGTGGCCAGGCATTCCTCCAGGCCTGCCTCCCCCAGGAGCTTGCTAAAAGTGCCAGAAATCTGGCCACCTGGCCAGAGAATGCCCGCAGCCCAAGATTCCTCCTAAGCCATGTCCCATCTGTGCAAGACCCCACTGGAAATCAGACTGTCCATCTCACCGGCAGCCACTCCCATAGCCCCTGGAACTCTGCCCCAAGGCTCTCTGACTGACTCCTTCCCAGATCTTCTCGGCTTAACAACTGAAGACTGTCACTGCCCAATCACCTCAGAAGCCTACAGGACCATCACAGACACTCTAGGTAACTCTCACAGTGGAGGGTAAGCCCGTCCCCTTCTTAATCAATACGGAGGCTACCCACTCCACATTACCTTCTTTTCAAAGGCCTGTTTCCCTTGCCTTCATAACTGTTGTAAGTACTGATGGCCAGGCTTCTAAACCTCTTAAAACTCCCCAACTCTTGTGCCAACTTAGACAATACTCTTTTAAGCACTCCTTTTTAGTTATCCCCACCTGCCTAGTTCCCTTATTAGGCTGAGACACTTTAACTAAATTATCTGCTTCCCTAACTATTCCTAGGCTACAGCCACACCTCATTGCCACCTTTTCCCCCAGGTCAAAGCCTCCTTCACATCCTCCCCTTGTATCTCCCCACCTTAACCCACAAGTATAGGACACCTCTACTGCCTCCTTAGCGACTGATCCTGCACCCCTTACCATCCCATTAAAACCTAATCACCTTACCCCGCTCAATGCCAATATCCTATCCCACAGCACGCTTTAAAAGGATTACAGCCTATTATCACTCTCCTGCTACAGCATGGCCTTTTAAAGCCTATAAACTCCCCTTACAATTCCCCCATTTTACCTGTCCTAAAACCAGACAAGGCTTACAGGTTAGTTCAGGATCTGTGCCTTATCAACCAAATTGTTTTGCCTAACCACCCCATGGTGCCAAATCCATATACTCTCCTATCCTCAATATCTCCCTCCACAACCCATTATTCTGTTCTGGGTCTCAAACATGCTTTCTTTACTATTCCTTTGCACCCGTCATCCCAGCCTCTCTTCACTTTCACTTGGACTGACCCTGACACCCATCAGACTCAGCAAATTACCTAGGCTGTATTGCCGCAAGGCTTCACAGACAGCCCCCATTACTTCAGTCAAGCCCAAATTTCTTCCTCATCTCTTACCTATCTCAGCATAATTCTCATAAAAACACATGTGCTCTCCCTGCTGATCATGTCCGGCTAATTTCCCAAACCCCAATCCCTTCTACAAAACAACAACTCCTTTCCTTCCTAGGCATGGTTAGGGCAGTCAGAATTCTTACACAAGAGCTGGGACCGCACCCTGTAGCCTTTCTGTCCAAACAACTTGACCTTACCATTTTAGCCTAGCCCTCATGTCTGCATGCAGTGGCTGCCGCTGCTTTAATACTTTTAGAGGCCCAAAAAATCACAAACTATGCCCAACTCATTCTCTACGGTTCTCATAATTTCCAAAATCTATTTTCTTTCTCCCACCTGACGCATACACTTTCTGCTCCCTGGCTCCTTCAGCTACACTCCCTTTTTGTTAAGTCTCTGACAATTACCATTGTTCCTGGCCCAGACTTCAATCCAGCCTCCCACAGTATTCTGGATACCACACCTGACCCCTATGACTGTATCTCTCTGATTCACCTGACATTCACCCCTTTTCCTCATATTTCCTTCTTTCGTGTTCCTCACCCTGAACACACTTAGTTTATTCATAGTAGTTCCACCAGGCCTAATCGCCACACACCAGCAAAGGCAGGCTATGCTATAGTACAAGTCACCAGCCCACCTCTTAGAACCTCTCATTTCCTTTCCATCGTGGAAATCTATCCTCAAGGAAATAACTTCTGTTCCATCTACTATTCTACTCCTCCTCATAGATTATTCAGGCCCCCTCCTTTCCCTACACATCAAGCTCGAGGATTTGCCCCCACCCAGGACTGGCAACTCTTAACTCCCTCTCAGAGGGGATAGATAATCTTTGCTGGCAGGGGACCCTCCAATACTTTCACCCTGATGAAGTTCTATTCTTTACTTTTATACTCAATCTTATTCTCATTCCCATTCTTATGCCACCCTCTACCTCTCCCCAGCTATCTCCACCACACTATAAACATTACTCATTCTCTCCTAGCTGTTTCTAATCCCTCCTTAGCGAACAAACTCTAGCTTTGCATTTCCCTTTCTTCCAATGCCTACACAGCTGTCCCCACCTTACATGCAGACTAGGCAACATCTCCTGTCTCCTACACCTCCAAACTTCCTTTAACAGCCCTCACCTTTACCCTCCTGATGAACTCATTTACTTTCTAGACAGGTCCAGCTAGACCTCCCCAGACATTTCACGTCAGCAAGCTGCCGCCCTCCTCCACACTTACTTAAAAAACCTTTCTCCTTGTATCAACTCTACTCCCCCCGTATTTACCTCTCACAACACAAACTACTATTCCTGTGGCTGCTCCTTTATGTATCTCTCAGCAAAGACCCACTGGAATTCCCCTGGGTAACCTTTCACTTTGATGTTCCTTTACTCTTCATCTCCAAAGCCCTCTTGTTGTTTACTTATACCCAGCCCCATAAATAACAGTGAAAGGTAGCTCATAGACACTCAACATTTTCTCATACACCATGAAAATCGAACCTCCCCCTCTACGCAGTTACCCCACCAGTCCCCATTACAACCTCTGATGGCTGCTGCCCTAGCTGGATCCCCAGGAGTCTGGGTACAAGACACCCCTTTCAGCACTCCTTCTCATCTTTTTACTTTGCTTCTCCAGTTTTGCCTCGCACAAGGTCTCTTCTTCCTCTGTGGATCCTCTACCTCCATGTGTCTACCTGCTAATTGGACAGGTACATGCACACTAGTTTTCCTTACTCCTAAAATTCAATTTGCAAATAGGACCGAAGAGCTCCCTGTTCCCCTCATGACACCGACACGACAAAAAAGAGTTATTCCACTAATTCCCTTGCTTATCAGTTTAAGACTTTCTGCCTCCACTATTGCTCTCGGTACTGGAATAGGAGGCATTTCAACCTCTGTCACGACCTTCCATAGCCTCTCTAGTGTCTTCTCTGCTAGCATCACAGACATATCACAAACTTTATCAGTCCTCCAGGCCCAAGTTGACTCTTTAGCTGCAGTTGTCCTCCAAAACCGCTGAGGCCTTGACTTAGTCACTGCTGAAAAAGGAGGACTCTGTATATTCTTAAATGAAGAGTGTTGTTTCTACCTAAATCAATCTGGCCTGGTGTATGACAACATAAAAAACTCAAGGATAGAGCCCAAAAACTTGCCAACCAAGTAAGTAATTATGCTGAACCCCCTTGGACACTCTCTAATTAGATGTCCTAGGTCCTCCCAATTCTTAGTCCTTTAATACCTGTTTTTCTCCTTCTCTTATTCTGTTTAGTTTTTCAATTCATACAAAACCGTATCCAGGCCATCACGAATAATTCTAAATGACAAATGTTTCTTCTAGCAACTCCACAATATCACCCCTTAGCATGAAATCTTCCTTCAGCTTAATCTCTCCCACTCTAGGTTCCCACATCGCCCCTAATCCCGCTGGAAGCAGCCCTGAGAAATATCGCCCGTTATCTCTCCATACCAAGCCCCCAAAATTTTTGCCGTCCCAACACTTTACCACTATTTCATTTTTATTTTCTTATTAATATAAGGAGACAGGAATGTCAGGCCTCTGAGCCCAAGCTAAACCATCCTATCCCCTGTGACCTGCACATACACATCCAGATGGCCGGTTCCTGCCTTAACAGATGACATTCCACTACAAAAGAAGTGAAAATGGTCTGTTCCTGCCTTAACTGATGACATTATAAAATTCCTTCTCCTGGCTCATCCTGGCTCAAAAGCTCCCCCACTGAGCACCTTGTGGCCCCCACTCCTGTCCGCCAGAGAACAAGCCCCCTTTGACTGTAATTTCCCACTACCTACCCAAATCTTATAAAACAGCTCCACCCCTATCTCCCTTCGCTGACTCTCTTTTCGGACTCAGCCCACCTGCACCCAGGTGAAATAAACAGCCTTGTTGCTCACACAAAGCCTGTTTGGTGGTCTCTTCACACGGATGTGAGTGAAAGTTATAACGGAAAAAAGGGAAAGAAATGAAGACAGGTGAAGAAAAGTGCACAGGGATAAAAATTTGGAGACACACACCTTCAGAGTCACATAATTTAAAAGTTGAGAGACCACAGTGACAGTGATATACTCAGGTACCAAAAAGAAACACACACTTGGGATCCAAAAAAAAAAAAAAAAAAGAAAAAACCGGTTATACATTAAAAGGAAAATTTAAGAAGATAAAATAACAGGACAATTTACAAGATAGAGATAAGACCAAAGGAAACCATGAGGGATAGTGAAATACCCCAGGGCTAGCTACTGCCGGAAGCCATTACTACATTAGGCCTGAGAGAACATTGCTGGTAGCAATTAACTGAAGCAGCAGAAACTATAGCTGATGAAGGCTGCCTCCCTGGAGGTACACTCAGCGAGAACAACTCCATATCCATTTCCTAGTGCTGTAGGGAAGGATTCTCCCACCTTTAAATCTTTTGCCTATTCTTCCTATTAGCACAAACATACCTAGAGCTTCAGGACAATAGTGTCCAGGGATATTATACATGAGAGTCAGTCACCATCCTAGGGCACTGCAAAGGGATTAGAATGGTGAAGAGTAGATTTATTGAAATCATTTTCTGAACCATATGTAGGCCAGTTTTTATCATTTGGCTTGTCAATTGGTGTTTTGATATTTAATTCTTTTTTTTTAGGTTGTCTCATAATTTTTTATTAAATAACAGGCCTTATGTATTAAAAACAGAAATTTTAAATGATCTTCCTACCAAAAAGTTTTGTTTCTTTTTTTCTGGCAGTCACACAGAATATAAGCGGTAAACCTTGATTAATTGGAGCCCCTCAAATTTTGCCTTCTCAGTTGTTTTATACATTTTATCTAAATTTTATAATTATCTTTTTGTAGGTTTCTTTCATCTGATACAAGTTGCAATGCTATGACTAGGATTGGCTTTATTCTGGCTTTGTTCTCCAACAAACTAAAATTGGGAGGTTATATAGTGAGGAAGGAATGTAGCTATGTGCAGGCAGAAATGTAGCTGTGTGGGGAGTGTAAACCAAAAATGAAATTCTAAGGCCCCTCAACCATCTGAATGGACTCCCTCTTCAACCACAGCTCTTTGAAAATTTAACCTGAGAGATGGGTTCAGGCCATGACAGGAAGTGCGTGTCGAACACGCTTCATTATATCTCTCAGGCATTAATACTTAAGTCTCTCTCAAGTCTGCTGTCTGGAGGCTTCATTTGCATGATAAAACCTTGGTCTCTACAACCTCTTACCACAACCCAGACATTTCTTTTCTATTGATTCCAGACCTTTAGATAAACTCAACCAATTGCCAATCAGTAAATGTTTATAGTTGATTGAAGCCTCGTGTCTCCCTAAAATGTACAAAACCAATGTGTACCTGAACCACCTTGGGTGCATGTTCGCAGGGCCTCCTGAGGGCTGTGTCACGGGCATGGTCACTCATATTTGGCTCAGAATAAATCTCTTCAAATATTTTACAGAGTTTGATGCTACGTGGACAGGGGAAAAATAGAAATTAGGCAGAGGTAGGGAAAAAATCATGCTGGGTGAAGGATCTGCAGTCTCATTGCCTGGGTGTGGTGCTCTGATGAGTTTCAGTTCCTTGCCTGAAAGTCGGTTTTCTAAGCAAGAAACTCAGGAAAACAAACAAGTTTCAAGTTTTAAGACCAGACAGGGTCCATTTCTATGTTCCAAAGCAAAACAAACAAAAACAACTGTAAATATTAGTTCTATAAGATAACGGGGCCGGTTTCAGTCTCTCTTTTCTATTTATCACTTCCTCAATCATGGAGAATCTGGTCATTGATCCTTCTGGCTGCTTCATGCTGAGGACGTGTGAGGTGGAATAATGATAAGGAATGGAAATGTGGCACTATAATCAGAAGTAGTCATTGGAGCACTATGATCTGGGTACTTTTATTTCAGTTTTAGAACAACGTTTTAGGCCACATTGAACAAGGATGATAAATAATATAGATAAACCAATTTTAAAATACCAGAGAATTTGGAGTGGATCCCTTGGGGAATCCAAGAGAACAATCCTAAGCCTACCAAAAAGTATTCCTGATTCATTATATCTTATATGTGAAAAGCTGTGGGTTTAAAGAGAATAATAACTGAAAAATGCATATTCCTTTTACAGTTTCTTATCTAGGATCTTTGGCTGGGCTTTCAATATTAACTTAAGGCCATGTATAGGTTCACAAGAGCATGACTGTTTCCCCTGGAGGGATCCCACAGTGACTAGTTTTACTGAGTATGTTGAATTCATGGTTTAACACTGGCTAACTTGATAGACGAGTGGGTGGTCAGCAGCACCTTAAAAAGACTGACCTATTGTGGTTGCAGCTAGTCTTCAGCCTGATGGGATTTCCAGGTCTTCAGTATGATTCGATTCCCTGGTTTCAAACAGGGAAGAGGCAAGTCCATACAGAAATGAAGTCTGTTGGAGAGACTAGTTAATATATTCCCTAATTGTTTCATGTATGACATAGCTTCTGTTTCAGGGGAGGAAAAAATCCTCAAGCATCAGAGAGTCCAGGAAAACAGTCTCCAAGTAAACATTTTGAAAGGGGCTAAGAGCTAATCCATTTCTGGGAGCTACCAGTACCCTCAGCAGGGCAAGGGGCAAGACCTTTTCCCAGGTAAGATTTATCTCTTGGAAACTGAGGTCTCCTTGGAATATGCCAGAGGGAGCATTGATTGCCAAACTTTATTTTGTTCCATATCATTTCCAAGGTGGTATGACTACCTGCCCCGAGTCCATCCTGTTCGTCAGTGGGACCCCTGTAACCAAGGGACTTAGAGTCAAAAAAGACTTATAGTCAATTAAACATTCTAGGCCACACAAGAATAGAGGTGCCAGGGACTCATTACCATTAAAACTCAAAGCAACGAAAGAGCCAAAAACCAAAAAGTAAGGTTAATATTTCTTTCTTCTTTTTTTTTTTTTTTGAGACAGAGTTTCGCTCTTCTCTCCCAGGCTGGAGTGCAGTGGCACAATCTCTACTCACTGCAACCTCCGCCTCACTGGTTCAAGAGATTCTCCTGCCTCAGCCTCCAGAGTAGCTGGGGTTACAGGTGCCCGCCACCACGCCCAGCTAATTTTTTGTATTTTTAGTAGACATGGGGTTTCATCATGTTGGCCAGGCTGGTCTCAAACTCCTGACCTCATGTGATCCACCCGCCTCAGCCTCCCAAAGTGCAGGGATCACAGGAGTGAGCCACCACGCCCAGCCAAGTTAATATTTCTATCATTGTTCCTGGACCAAACTGAGGGTCAGACTGCTATTTCTTCCAGCCCAGTAACAAGATGCAGATGAACTGGGGAGGAAGAGTTTTTATTTCTTTAACAAGTTATAGGGAGAAGGCCTGGAAAATATTGCCAGACCAACTCAAAATTACAAAGTCTTCCAGAGCTTATTACCTTCTAAGTTATATGTCTGTGTGTAAGTGCATTCATCTAAAAACATGAGTGATTAACTTCTTGTAATCTATAACTGAGATCTGAGTTCTGAAGACCTTCCTCTGGAGGCTTAGTAAATTTACTTAATCTATATGGGTCCAGGTGCTGGGGTGATTACCCTATCTTGTCTCCTGCTAAATCATGGAGGTTTGGGAACTTCCTTGAGATCTCCAATAAACTTGTCTGTGGAAGCCTGGGAAGTTTCTTCAGACTGCCGGTAAAACTTGTTTAATCCTAATCTGGTCCTGTTAAGAATTCCTTCATTATCTTGTCATGGGTCCAAGCCCCAGGAAAGTCCTAGGCAAAACTCGTGGTGGGCTTTTGTTACAATCCAGAGTTTGTATAAGGCCACTGGCTTTTTTACCTTTTAACATTTAACTTAACCACTCAGTCAGTACTGAAACAGTTGTTATGGAGGCCTGCATTAGTGACCTGGCCTGCCACATCATTATAAAGCCAGTCCCCCGTGGCTTACATTTGAAGCATATCTGTTGCTTCATCTGGAGTGCTCCACTTGGCATTTATAGGTGGAGTGGGACAATTCTCCTTCTCAGAGTAAATAGTTCTCACAGTGTTTTATCCAGTCCACCAAGTAGGCTGTTCTTTTGGGAATAACCTCCTGTGTGCCCGGATTATATGTACCCATCTGCAACTGTTCAATTGTGAGCCGTGGGTTCTGTATCAACCGGATCTTCCACTCTGCAGCATTTAAAACCAAAGACATTGTGCCTAAAGTAATTACTCTCACAATTTATTTTAGTAAAGGTTCAGGAAGCTAATGATACTGATTTGCAAAATAGAACAATTCCTTCACATTATACCCTCTAGTTTCAGAAGTCACTTTAATTCACTCCTTCCCCACATTGACTACCTTCCAGGAAACCACAGATCTCAGAGGTACTTTCTGGTTTCCTGGCATAATTTTCTTCTTCATGAGCAGCCTTGAGGCTAGTGATCTGAGTTCAGACAGACCCACATCTAGGCTTGGTTTGGCCTCAAAGCCTGACCCAATATTCTCCTACTTTAATTTTAGCTATTACAGATGTGAAAGGAAAATAAATCTTGGGGTCCCCAAATCACTAAGCCAAAGAGAGAAGTCAAGCTGGGAATTGTGTCAGGCAAACCTGGCTCCCATTTTATTCGATTGAATTTCACCCTGGCAATGTAAATTGATAGCTTATCTTCACAGGTATGGGACAAAGGATAGAACTTGAAGTCAACCCTCTGCTCATCTGAAACAAATGCATATCTGATTGCTTCCTCTGCCCTTTCGTTTGTATAAAAATGCAGATTCACTGATCTAGACTGAGGCATAAGTGACTATTTCTTTACCCCACTCTCACATGTAATTGTGTATTTAGTGAAAGTCTGATCAAAATCTCAAAAGAATACAACCATTTGTCTCTTATCTACCCACACCTTTTTTTTGTTTTTTTGTTTTTTTTTTTTTTGAGATGAAGTCTCACTCTGTCATCACCCAGGCTGGAATGCAGTGGCACGATTTTGGCTCACTGCAACCTCTGTCTCCCGAGTTCAAGTGATTCTCCTGCCTCAGCCTCCTGAGTAGCTGGGATTACAGCCGTGCACCACCACACCCAGCTAATTTTTGTATTTTTAGTAGAGATGGGGTTTGTCCATGTTGGTCAGGCTAGTCTCAAACTCCTGACCTCAGGTGATCTGCCCACCTTGGCCTCCCAAATTACTGGGATTACAGGCATGAGCCACCGCCCTACCCACACCTTTTTAAAATTTCTTCCTCTTTCCCCAATATCTGCCCTTTCCCCTTTAAATATTGAAGCCCTCAAAAGCATCTTTGGAGAAAGGCACAGACTTGTGTTTCAGGCACATATCCCTACCCTTGGCAAAATAAACTTTGAAATTAATTGAGACCTACCTCAGATACATTTTGGTTTATATCGATAACAAAAACCAAGGGATTGAAAATTTTGCTTTTTTAAAAATTAGTTTTTATTTCCTTATGCATCCAGTGAACCAACTTCTGAGGTGATGAATCCATATCTAAATTCCACTGGTAACTTATACTTTTAATAACTGAATGCAGCACAGCACAGATGTATCTCCATACCATGGATGACCAGGTTGCCATAGGTCAAAGATTAATCTAATAACAGGTGTACTGCAGTTTTCTTCCAAAACATAATGTTTCTCTCTCCAGCTCCCCATTTCCATGAAAGGCAAATCACAGTAGGACCAATTTATTTGCAAAATCTGTTTTAATCTTATTATAGTTTGCCTGATTATTTGCATAAACTGAAGCAAGAATTATTGTTCATATAGGCTTTTTTAAATTGGCTTTGCTGGAACTTTTCATAAGGAATCTCAGATTTGATTTTTAAAGGCCTCTCGAGCACAACCAATAATTGATCTGTGCTTGCAGATACCTGTATGAATTGGGTGAATTCCTCTTTTCTTGAGGTCCCAAAACAACTTGAGTTTTCTGGGCCTGAGAACATTCATGTTTCTCATCTATAAAATGTTAATATCTGATAGACAGCCCAGGATTTCTTGCTTCCTAGGTTTCCATTAAAATTTAGGATTACTAAGAATAAGAATTCCAGCAAATTGTATGATTCCATGTACAATGTGCCAAAGAAGATGTGTTCTTATTGATTAAAGAAATAATTTTGTTTAACTCAGAAGTTATCTAAAGGTTAATTCAAATTATAGACTTAGGTTGTTTATGAAACAGGGTAGAAAGGATCCAGTAACTAGGGGAGAGAGATATAGATTAGTCCCCTGGGTTAGAACAAGGTTTTCTTAAAATATTGATTGGATGAGAGGTTTTGATTTTGACTCTATAATCTGTTACTTTTTGAATACTTCTCAGATCTATATCTCCAAAGTGCAGCTTTCTTGTGTTTTGTTGCTGTCAGCTTGTCTCCCCTTGAAGGAACCTGAAATGAAACTATCTCCTTCAACTTTGTCAGTTCTTGTATCTTTTTTTTCCCTCTTGCCTTAACTGCTGTCATGGTCTGATGCTGAAATATTTATTTTAAAATTCTAGAGAAGCAACGTTTTCCTCCAGTATAGCTTGATTCTGTCCTCTTGGCTTTTCTTGATATGTCTACATCATTTATCAGGTTTGATTTTCAGGTTTTCGAGATGGGACTCTGATAGGAGAAGCAATCACACTGCAGGAGGTTTTTCTTTGCCTTTTGGTAACTGACCTGAGAAACAAATTTTACATTTTATCAAAATAATTTCTATGTCATTGTTATTGGGTTTTTGATTGCTTAGGAAAACTGAGATTTAAAGGAATTAAGGTTTTTACATCATTTAACTTTCTGTATTGAAACCCTTTCATAATTGGAAATGACCCACACATCTCATGAGCATCCAAAATAACTTCAAGATATTAAATTACACAAAAAGTTCACTTAGAGCATTTATGCCATTTATATTTCATTCACTTTTTTAGCAATTATCTATATTACTTATGAGAAAAGAGATATCAAAGCTATTCATTATTTCCTTGTTAACCATTTTTATAACTTGTATATATTAGATGTTCACCTAAGTAAGAAACATAAAGTTGGCTGGGCATGATTGCTTACACCTGTAATCCCAGCACTTTGGGAGGCTGAGGCAGGAGGATCATGAGGTCAGGAGATCAAGACCATCCTGGCTAACATGGTGAAACCTCTTCTCTACTAAAAAATACAAAAAATTAGCCGGGCGTGGTGGCGGGCGCCTGTGGTCCCAGCTACTCAGGAGGCTGAGGCAGGAGAATGGCGTGAACCCGGGAGGCAGAGCTTGCAGTGAGCCGAGATCGGGCCACTGCACTCCAGCCTGGGCGACAGAGTGAGACTCCGTTTTTAAAAAAAAGAAACATAAAGTAAAATACATGGATACTTGCACCAATAATGCAAAAGTTTCAGCTATTTTTATTAACCTAACGACATTAAATTAGTCTTATTTATCAAAAAATCACACAAAGATAATTTTGTTCTTGGCTGGGTTTATAGTCTTATAATCTCTTTGTCAAACCCTGACACCTTTAAATATCTAGCAGAGACAAATGTAAAACCCAAACAAAAAAAGTATGCTGACAATTCCAAAGGCATTTCTATTTTTATTTTACAAATGATCTAAAAGCTCTCTTGTTTATTAAAGATTTACTTAAGTCATGTAAACTTGAAAAATGCTTAGACTCATTTACTTAATTTATGAACGCTTTTT
The DNA here is from genome assembly GCF_000001405.40 of Homo sapiens. Taxonomy (NCBI): domain Eukaryota; kingdom Metazoa; phylum Chordata; class Mammalia; order Primates; family Hominidae; genus Homo; species Homo sapiens. Next base: position 9,954,741 of record NC_000012.12, on the reverse strand, counting down.
AATTTATAAGCCAATTTGCTACCCTCTAAAAACAACACGTAACATCTAGACACATATACCTACATACACACAAAGATCCAATAGCTTTTACCTTTAAATTCCAGCCATGAGATAGCAATGCAAACTCACTGGTTTATGAACATGTTCACATGGTTGAACTTTATTTGTTCTGATAGGTAATCCAATAAAGGTTGTGAAACAAAATTTTGAATAAAGCAGTTTCCATGATAGTTTGATTATTTTTTTTTTTGAGACAGGATCTCCGTCACCCAGGCTGGAAGTGCAGTGGTGTGATCAAGGCTCACTGCAGCCTCAACCTCCCAGGCTCAGGTAATCCTCCCACCTCAGCCTCCTGAGTAGCTGGGACTACAGGTATGCACCATTACACCCAGCTAATATTTGTATTTTTTGTAGAGACAGGGTTTCACCATGTTGCCCAGGCTGGTCTCGAACTCCTGGGCTCAAGTATCTGCCCACCTCAGTTTCTTGCGCCCAGCTGACAGTTTGATTTTTTTTTTTTTTTTTTTTTTTTTTTTATTGATAATTCTTGGGTGTTTCTCACAGAGGGGATTTGGCAGGGTCATGGGACAATAGTGGAGGGAAGGTCAGCAGATAAACAAGTGAACAAAGGTCTCTGGTTTTCCTAGGCAGAGGACCCTGCGGCCTTCCGCAGTGTTTGTGTCCCTGATTACTTGAGATTAGGGATTGGTGATGACTCTTAACGAGCATGCTGCCTTCAAGCATCTGTTTAACAAAGCACATCTTGCACCGCCCTTAATCCATTTAACCCTGAGTGGACACAGCACATGTTTCAGAGAGCACAGGGTTGGGGGTAAGGTCACAGATCAACAGGATCCCAAGGCAGAAGAATCTTTCTTAGTGCAGAACAAAATGAAAAGTCTCCCATGTCTACTTCTTTCTACACAGACACGGCAACCATCCCATTTCTCAATCTTTTCCCCACCTTTCCCGCCTTTCTATTCCACAAAGCCGCCATTGTCATCCTGGCCCGTTCTCAATGAGCTGCTGGGCACACCTCCCAGACGGGGTGGTGGCCGGGCAGAGGGGCTCCTCACTTCCCAGTAGGGGCGGCCGGGCAGAGGCGCCCCTCACCTCCCGGACGGGGCGGCTGGCCGGGCAGGGGGCTGACCCCCCCACCTCCCTCCCGGACGGGGCGGCTGGCCAGGCAGAGGGGCTCCTCACTTCCCAGTAGGGGGCGGCCGGGCAGAGGCGCCCCTCACCTCCCGGACGGGGCGGCTGGCTGGGCGGGGGGGCTGACCCCCCCCACCTCCCTCCCGGACGGGGCGGCTGGCCAGGCGGGGGGCTGACCCCCCCACCTCCCTCCCGGACGGGGCGGCTGGCCAGGCGGGGGGCTGACCCCCCCACCTCCCTCCCGGACGGGGCAGCTGGCTGGGCGGGGGGGCTGACCCCCCATCTCCGTCCCAGACGGGGTGGCTGGCCGGGCTGAGGGGCTCCTCACTTCCCAGTAGGGGGGGGCGGGCAGAGGCGCCCCTCACCTCCTGGACGGGGCGGCTGGCCGGGCAGGGGGCTGACCCCCCCACCTCCCTCCCGGACGGCATGGCTGGCCAGGCGGGGGGCTGACCCCCCACCTCCCTCCCGGATGGGGCGGCTGGCCGGGCGGAGGGCTAACCCCCCCCACCTCCCTCCCGGACGGGGTGGCTGCTGGGCGGAGACGCTCCTCACTTCCCAGATGGGGTGGCTGCCGGGCGGAGAGGCTCCTCACTTCTCAGACGGGGCGGCTGCCGGGCGGAGGGGCTCCTCACTTCTCAGACGGGGTGGTTGCCAGGCAGAGGGTCTCCTCACTTCTCAGACGGGGCGGCCGGGCAGAGACGCTCCTCACCTCCCAGACGGGGTCTCGGCCGGGCAGAGGCGCTCCTCACATCCCAGATGGGGCGGCGGGGCAGAGGCGCTCCCCACATCTCAGACGATGGGCGGCCGGGCAGAGACGCTCCTCACTTCCTAGATGTGATGGCGGCTGGGAAGAGGCGCTCCTCACTTCCTAGATGGGATGGCGGCCGGGCGGAGACGCTCCTCACTTTCCAGACTGGGCAGCCAGGCAGAGGGGCTCCTCACATCCCAGACGATGGGTGGCCAGGCGGAGACACTCCTCACTTCCCAGACGGGGTGGCGGCCGGGCAGAGGCTGCAATCTCGGCACTTTGGGAGGCCAAGGCAGGTTGCTGGGAGGTGTAGGTTGTAGTGAGCCGAGATCACGCCACTGCACTCCAGCCTGGGCACCATTGAGCACTGAGTGAACGAGACTCCGTCTGCAATCCCGGCACCTCGGGAGGCCAAGGCTGGCGGATCACTCGCGGTTAGGGGCTGGAGACCGGCCCGGCCAACACAGCGAAACCCCGTCTCCACCAAAACCAGTCAGGCGTGGTGGTGCGTGCCTGCAATCGCAGGCACTCGGCAGGCTGAGGCAGGAGAATCAGGCAGGGAGGTTGCAGTGAGCCGAGATGGCAGCAGTACAGTCCAGCTTCGGCTCCACATGAGAGGGAGACCGTGGGGAGAGGGAGAGGGAGACGGAGAGGGAGAGGGAGAGGGAGACGGAGAGGGAGAGGGAGAGGGAGACGGAGAGGGAGAGGGAGAGGGAGAGGGAGAGCGCTCACATCCTGTTTTTTTTTTTTTCCTTGAGACAGGGTCTGACAGTTTGATTTTTAAAGGCCAAATCTCTCCAGACTCCAAAGAACTCTGTAGCCAAACAGCAGCACATACTAATCAGGCCTGCCTGTCCTTAGAGCAGCAGCATAGAAGCCTGGAGACATGGACTTCCATCCCATATTCACATTCAACAGCAAAATAAATCCAAATATAAGGCAGTGCTACAATTCAAAGACTGTCTGAGATCAGATGAGATTGGGCATGTTCAGCGTGATACGGGTAGAGATGTTCCCTCACTCCACTGGCCCACAGCCACATGCAGACCAACCCTGAAGAATACACCCAAGCGGTCTGCACTCAGATCAAACCCTGATCTCCCACAACTACATCAACACACAAACAACCACCAGAATACAATCTAACTGCTGCAACAATAAGCAAGTCCCAAGAGAGTCCAAACTGAAACAGTTGAGTTGCTTTCTCCCTGTTTGTTGGGCTAGTTCAATCTGCAAATGGAGATTCCTTCGGAATTTCTCAAATTGAGAAAAGCAGATCCTGCTGTCTGGACCCACAAATGACACTCACTTATCCAGACACATACTCAATTACTAACAAGCCCCAAGAGTGTCTGAACTGGAACAGTCAGGGTGCTTCCTCTCTCCGTCAGTTGGCCTTGCTGAACTTGCCAATGGAAATTCCTTCAGAATTTCTCAAATTGAGAGGAGCCATTCCCACTGTCGGTATCCACAAAAGACACTCACCTATCCACATGCAGAAGTCAAATTTGAAAGGCTGTTCTTCCTAGGCAATCAGAAATGTGGTTGGGGCTGGCAGCAGCAATGCTAAATAGAAAGACTAAAACCCACATCCTGCCTAAAACACATAGGCTGCTGCTTAGGGTTGCGGAAATTCTCCCAACTGGTGACAGCCAAGCCAAGAGCAATGTCTTCCTGATGAGGGAACCAAAATCTGTTACTGAAATGCCAGAGGTTCAGCCTAGGTCCCGTTACTCATTGCACAGAATGCCAATCACTGAGGCAAGTATTTCCAGGGGAGATGACTTTATTCAGTTGCTGCAGCTGAGAAGAACTGCAGATCAGTCTCAAATTCATCTCCCCAAGTGACTGAAATTGGGGGTTTACATAGCAGAGGAGGGATGTAGCTACGTGCAGGAAATAATGTAGCTATGTGTGGGAAAACAGAATTTGAATTTCAGGTAAAAATGACTTATTTTTAATGTAAGTATTGCTCATCAATATTTGTATTTGCTGTCTCTGCAATTATCTGTGGTCGATTGAAATTCAAATTTAACTGGAAATCTTGTGTCTTAATTTGTTAATATGGCCAGCATATCCATAAGCCCATTGGAGTGGATTGGCTGAAAAAGATGAAGACAAATTTGTACAGGCAGCACACATTCTTTTAATGAGAAGAGTGACTTAGTCTCACCACCCACCCTAAAGTACACTCTCCCCACTCTTCTACATACCTTGTCAGTCAACCTATTCACCACCCAATCCCATGTTTTTCACAGCATTTATCAAGTATTTCGGTGCCCGGTTAATATTTTCCAGATGGTTGAGAGGCATCAGGATATTCATTATGTTTCTTTTATGGACTAATTGCCTGCTACTCTAAGTCAAGTCACAGAAAGCTTATGGACTGAAGCAAGATCGCAGCTACTAAGGTTTCTGGAAAGTAACTTTGCTAGTAAAAGAAGCTTCATAATGCCTTCGATGGTTATTTATGTTGTAGCTTGTGTCAGAATGTCCTTCCTTTTTAAGGCTGAATAATATTCCATTGTATGTATATATGACATATTTTTATTCCACCCATTGATGGACTCTAGGGTTGCTGTAACCTGTTGTTAGCACAAAGTTCTAAATTCAGACTGCCGTAACAACAATAACAAAAAAACTGAAATATATGCACTTATACACCAAAATGCTAGGTCTAGTTGTCACTTTCTCTGCCTCTTTAAATTTTTCAGGGCAACAGGAGATTTGATGGGGAATGAACACCCCACAGCTCTGTGCAGGAGTGCCTGGAAGTGAGGCCAGTCAAGGGAATGCTGCCAGACAACCAACTCAGCTTCAGACCATCTTCAGATCGTAACCCACCAGGGACTGTGGGCTTTGCCAGACCACATTTTTGGTTACTGCAACTCAAGTTGGCTTCTAAATCTCAAAAAATGTGACAATGATACAGATTTTTTTATCTACTTTTGTCTAAAACATTTAAATACTCATTCTGAAGTAACTCATCTCAAAATCCAATGCTAGAAAAATGGAAATAATTACAGGCAGATGCAATGATTTAAAGGTTTAAAAGAAGCTGTCCATTCTAAAGAGTCAGAGGAAACCTTTCCTTATGAAATGGTTAATGAAATAAATAGGAAAAAAAAATCCAACACAATCACGAGGTTCCAGAAAACATTGTATATTTATTTAAAAAGTAATTTTGTATGAATGAAATATTTCTTAAGGTTCTGCCTTTCTTTCCTTCCACTCAACAGGAAACAAAATTACTGGATTTATGGTCAAGGAAAATCACTAACCCACAGCCCTCAGATGCACTCATGAAAATGGGAAGAATGCATACACAGGGATCAGAGAACAGAGAAACAGGTGAATCTTGTGGTTGGAAAGAAACGCACTTTTGTATGTACACACAGAATTAACTTTACTTTTCCACTAAGCTCTCTCTGAGACTTAGAAATCCCTACATCTGGGTAGGCTGGAGTCAATCCCAAGGCTTTTATGGTTCCTTGAAGTAAAAAGAGCAGTCTCATGTCAGAAATTAATAGGTCCAGTCTAGCACAGTATTGAAACTCCAAACTTCAATTTAAACTCTACTTGGAAGCCTGCAGAAGAGGAGGCAGGCGGTTTTGCTGCCTCTTTTTTTCCCTAGCATCATCAAATCCTCTATTCATTGGCTGCTGTTTCTTAAACATTTCATGGGAAAGAGAAATAGAAGCACAGATATCTGCTGTTAATGGTTCTTTCTCTTACCAAGTGCTGTTGGGGGTTTTTCAGAAGTCACATCATATGACTGAAACTTATCTCCTGTCTGATTTCTCCTCAACTTTTGGGATTCTACAGATTCTCACCATTAGGATTTCAGTGTCTGGCAGTCCTCTGGGAAACTACTTTTTAAAAATTATGGTAAAATACACATAACAAAATTTTTCATCTTAACCATTTTTAAGTGTAAATTTCAGTAGTAAGTACATTACATTGTTTTGCAATCAATCTCCAGAACTATTTTCATCTTGCAAAGCTAAAACTCTGTATCTGTCAAACAATGACTCCCCATTTCCTCTTTCCCCCATCACTTAGCCACCACCATTCTACTTTCTGTTTCTATCAGCTTAAGTCTTCTAAGTAACTCATGTAAGTGAAATCATACAGTACTTGTCCTTTTGCGACTGGCTTATTCCGCATAGCATAAAGCCTTCAATGTTTATTTATGTTGTAGCTTGTGTCAGAATGTCCTTCCTTTTTAAAGCTGAATAATATTCCATTGTATGTATATACCACATTTTTTTAGTCCACCCATCGATGGACACCAGGGTTGCTTTAACCTGTTGACTTGTGAATAACGCTGCTATGAATATGGCTGTATAAATCTCTTGGAGATAACCTGCTTTAATTATTTTGGCTATATATCCAGAAGCAAAAGTGCCAGGTTATAATTTAATGTTTAATTTGGCGGGGGGAACCACCATATTGTTGTCTGTAGTGGTTGCATTATTTTACATTGCCATGAAAATTTCACTAGGGTTGCAATTTATCCATATCCCTATAGTATTTGTTATTTTCTGGGTTTTTTTTTTTCCACAGGAGCCATCTTAATGGATGTGAGGTGATCTCTTAATATAGTTTTGATTTTAATTTCTCAAATGATTAGTGATATTGAATGTCTTTTCATATGTTTGCTGGACATTTGTTTATGTTTTATGAAGAAGTATCTATTCAAGTCATTTGACCAGTTTTAAATCAAGTTATTTGTTCTTTCATTTGTTTGTTTTCTGCTGCCCTATAGGAATTTGTGATATATTGTGGATTCTAATTCCTTATGAGATATGTGATTTCCAAACATTTTCTCCCACTTTGTAGGTTGTCATTTCACTCTGTGGATTATGCTCTTCGATGCACAGAAGTTTTAAATTTTAATGTAGTCCATTTTGCCTATATGGGTGGTATTGGTACCACTTCCTTTTTTTATATCTTGCAATGAGTAAACAACCTCCACACACACACACACACACACACACACACACTCACTCTCTTAAAAAAATATTTTGGTGGCCAGGCACGGTGGCTCACACCTGTAATCCCAGCACTTTGGGATGCTGAGGCTGGTGGATCATGAGGTCAGGGGTTCGAGACCAGCCTGGACAACATGGTGAAACCCCATCTTTACTAAAAACACAAGAAATTAGCTGGGCGTAGTGGTGGGCGCCTGTTATCCCAGCTACTCAGGAGGCTGAGGCAGGAGAATCGCTTGAATCCATGAGGCCGAGGTTGCAGTGAGCAGAGATCACACCACTGTACTCCAGCCCAGGCAACAGAGTGAGAATCCATCTCAAAAAATATATATATTTTGGCAATAAGACTGTTTTTGGTTATGTATCCAAATCCATTCTCTTCTTCTATATTTCAGGTAGAATCCTAATTTTGTCAGTGGAGAGCGAGTGTGTATGAAATTGTCTATATCTATATAATCTATATCTATATATCTGTCCCTAGTTCCTGTGCAGAGCTTCTAAAAATGGAATTTCCTGAACAGTAGGGGTGCTTAGGGACATCTTTTATTATTTGGTTTTTAACCTTGGTTCCTAACACAGAGTGCCTAACACCTTTGTAATTGCCAGAGTGATAGGAGCATCTGACACAGAGCTCCTAAATCCCTTGGAATGTTCTGGGCAATAGGAATATCTCTGGTTCTAATGAGGTGACTCTTGGTAGGCTCTTAAATGAAGGCTGGTTGCCAGAAAGACCAAGACATGGTTAGAAGCTTAGACATTTCACTCCTACCCCACATTAGTCACAGATGGGAAAGGGGCTGGAAAAAGAGTAATCAATCATGTCTACATGATGAAACCTCCATAAAAGTCCCAAAAATACAGGGTTACAAGAACTCCCAGGTGGACAAACACACTTATGTGCCACGAGGATGATGCACCCCAACTTTATAGGGACAGAAGCTCCTGCACTCTGGACCCTCTCAGACCTCCCCCAACTATCTTTTTATCTGGATGTTCATGTGTACCCTTTATTAATATCATAAACTGGTAAACATTGAGTGTTTCTCCAAGTTCTCTGAGCCTCTCTATCAAATTAATCAAGTGTGATGAGGGGTCGAGGGAACCCTCAATCTGTAGCTGGTTGGTCAGCAGTTCCAGAGGCCCAGACTTGACACTGGCATCTGAAGTGGAGGGCAGTCTTGATGGAGTGAGCCCTTGATCTGTGGAATTTGATGCTAACTCCAGGTGGATACTGTCAGAATTGAATTGAATTATAGGACATACAGTGGGTGTCCCCTAGAGCAGCAGTCCCCAACTGCTGCCCCAATAGGGCACCAGGGACCGATTTCAGGGAAGATAATTTTTCTACAGACCCTGGGGTGGGGGAAGATGGTTTCAAGATGATTCAAGTGCATTACATTTTTTGTTCACTTTATTTCTAGTATTATTACATTGTAATATATAATAAAATACTTACACAACTCACCATAATGTAGAATCAGTGGGAACGCTGAGCTTGTTTTCGTGCAACTAGACGGTCTCATCTGGGGATGATGGGAGACAGTGACAGATCATCAGGCATTAGATTCTCCTAAGGAGCATGCAACTTAGATCCCTTGCATTCACAGTTCACAGTAGGGTTTGCACTCCTATGAGAATCTAATGAGCAGCTGATCTGACAGGAGGTGGAGCTCAGGCAGTAATGCAAGTGATGGGAAGCAGCTGTAAATACAGATGAAGCTGCTCTCTCTTGCCTGCTGCTCACCTCCTGCTGTGCAACCCCATTCCTAACAGGCCATGGACTGTTCCTGAAAGGCCATGGACCGTTCCTGAAAGGCCATGCACCGGTACTGGCCCATGGCCCGAGGGTTGGGGCCCCCTGCCCTAGATAATTTATTGATTTGAGGAGAAACCCCCTCCCTACACATCTGGTGTAGGAGGTGAAATATTAAGAGTATTGTAAGAAGAAAACAATCCCCCCGCCCCCATATATATACTTGCTTCTATGAGGGAGAGGTTGATCTTATCTCTAATGATTTGGTTGAATTTAATCTAAGCCAGTCATACTGTTTCTATTCCTCTTGAAAGTTATCATCTTAAGAAGGAATATATGGTCTGTCAAGGTAAATGAAAAATGAGAGAAATCTTCTAGTTGAATTCTAGGAACTATTTTCCACTCATTAAGAAGATAGAGGCAGAGACTGGCATGGTGCAACTTCATGGTAAGGATCACTAAGGATTGCCAGCAGCCACCAGAAGCTGGAAGAGAGGTGTGAAGCAGGTTCTTCCTCAGAGCCTCTTTATTCCAGACTTCTGGCCTCCAGAACTGTGAGATACCACATTTCTACCATTTATAGCTTTGAAATCTGTGCTAATTAATTACTGAAGTCACAAGAATACATTACATAAATAAGTATAAATAATTCTTATGTATAGAATAAGGTCTATACACATACAATATATGCTTATACATGCATATGTATGTGTTTGTATATGTATTTGTGTGTGTATATATATGAAAATTTATATATATATATGAAAATTTATATATATATATATATCTCCAGGCTGGAGTGCAATGGCGGGACGCCGGCTCACTACAACCTCCGCCTCCTGGGTTCAAGCGATTCTCCTGCCTCAGCCTCCTGAGTAGCTGGGATTACAGGCGTCTGCCACCACACCAGGCTAATTTTTGTATTTTTAGTAGAGACGGGGTTTCACCATGTTGGCCAAACTGGTTTCAAACTCCTTGACTTCAGATGCTCTGCCTGCCTCAGCCTCCCAATGTGCTGGGATTACAGGCGTGAGCCACAGTGCCCGGCCGTATATGTATATTTTAAAGAGAATGTCTGTGGGGAGTAGGGTGTGTGTATAAACTTTACTTTGCGTGGTTCTAATATGCATAAACTTCACTTCTCACAGTTTAATTAAATAACTCCCCAACAGCACAGTTTAATTCTTTCAGCGTACTTATCTGTATTTGTATTATATTTACTGTAAGTAATTGTATAAAGTAGAAACTTCCATGCTAGTTTTTCAGTTCACGAATCACTATATACATGTTTGTATTGTGATTAACGACCAACCATGTCACTTTTTTCCAAGTCTGTCAATGATTGATTGGTCACCATGCATCTTTTATCAGTTAATACAGAATAAGATGGAGAGTTATTCTGTATTATTTTGTAAATGTCACATGGGTTTGTCACTGTATGACAAATTCCAAAGGAAATTTGAAACAGGAAGACAAGAAGAGGAAGGTAATTGAAACAGGAAATTGGTTAGTGACACAAAGTGCAGCAAAAAATGATGGCGCTGAAAGGGGAAATAAAATAGAAGAGAAATGAAGTTAGAGAAGCAATAGCTGTTGATAGGGTTATTAATAATTCACCTTTTGAAGAGTCTCTAGATAATGCAACCAGAGGAATTTAGTAAAGGCACACTTATTGACAAAAATAAGGTAAGTGGTTGTGATGAAAAGAATGAAGAGGTCCCAGAGGAAGTTATACGAGCTAAAGTGTTCACATCAAATGAACTCTCAATGTGTTTCCTAACATTTCAAGTGCAAAGAATAGTATATTGGAAGTCTATCCAAATTTAGGAATAAAAAAGCTTGAGAAGGCATCTAAAAGATGCTGGCTCCATATTGTAAGCGATAGAACAACAACAGCACGTACTCAATTCACACTACTCATTTTCTTTTAAGCAAAACACTTGAAACTCAGTGTTTTTAATGTTTTAATTATAGCATACTTTAAAAATATTAATTTTATTGTTGTTTACATTTCCCTATACGTTTATGAGTGACAGTAAAGTAATTTTCAATCAGGAAAAGAGGATAAAGGAAAAATCATACTTTTCCCTATTATTAAAATAGCTTGGTGTGATATCAGCTTGTGCAGTAATTTTTATTATCACACACTACAGTGCAAAATAAAAACTGCCTGTATATGAAACAAGCTTTCATTAGTTCCTATGAAAACATGTAAAAACAATGGCTTTGTTTTCCCACATTTTACTAAACACTCCACAGGTACACTTAGAACACAGTGGTTAAAAATGTAGAACAGAAAAAAGTTATTAAAAACAAGAAAATGGGGGCAGATCCACTTTGTGGCGTGAGAGAATGTGTACACTTTCCAGTGCAGGCAATTTATGTTATATACCTGTGTCCAATCGGAGATTTTTAGGGAGACAATATAAAGAAGCCGGAAAGGGAGGGTATGGGACTCCCCATTCTCTGCTCTGCGTACCAAGCAGGTGGGAGGTGAGGTGCCCATTAGGTTGAATTCTTATCGCTGTGCCCCAGCCAATCGTGGGCTGCGGAAATCATGGGCTGTAGAGTCATCGCTGCCGGGGCAGAGGCACCGTTGGTGCATGCCCGGCTGCCGTTGCTGCCCCTGCCTCGTACAAACGTCAGAGAAGGCACATGACACGCCCCTGGGGGCCATCTGGCCCAAGTCCACCTGCGCGGCTGAGTGGAGGATGCTAGGTTGCTGTGCTGTTTCTCCTACTGTCTTGCTGCCGCACCACCCCTCAGAAAAACCGGGTCGTCAGTTTCCTGCGGTTTGCACTCACCAAATATACTTAGCAATTTGCAATTCACCCGCAGGATTATTCCAGCCTCTGTGATCACACACAGAAGGATGAGCCTTCCTCGTGAGGGTTGGAGATGGAGGGAGAAGGGATGGAGAGTAAGGATGGGACGGAGGTTGTGGAGCAGCAGACCAACACGCCAGGTGGGTGAGGTTGTGTGATTATTCTAGCATCTTTTCTTGATCCTAGCTTGCACCCTTTTAGCATTGGGAGGGAAGGGCAGGGTAGGGGATAGCGACCATAATATAGATCTTAAGTAAAAGCAGTTTTCATTAATAAAACAAAGACTTCAATAATAATGATAATTGGCGATTCCAGCCTCCTCCATCATATTGGAAAAGACAGTATTTCATTAAAAATACTTGGAATTTTCCCTTGGAAAAGGCAGTATTTTATTAAAAGACGCTGCGAGGAAACTGTTGGTTTTCTGTTCTGGAAGCAGGGCAGAAGAATTAGTAACACAGTTCTGCCAAATAGCACAGGAAAGTGGAGCCAAAGCACCTTCGAGGCTCCTGATGTTCAAACGTTAGGTCTTAGTTCCCTTTCTTATTTTTCTAATACATTAATTGCTGAATTGTGAACAGTAGAACACGCGGAAGATAGAGAAAAGAGATAAACATGATGGGTTTTTTGTTGGTTTGCTTGCTTTTTTTCTCTCTGGAACATAAACAATGACATCTGTTTCTCTTTGGTATAATAGAAAGGAAAATAATGATCATCTCAATTTTTATATGTGGAGGCATTGCTTTTCTTCTTTGGGGGATTTTAAGATTTCCCAGAAAATGTAAGTAAACAATTTCTGCTAAAATTATTAAATTAAATTGTTAAAATTATTGTATTATTGATTCAGTTGGATACCAATAACTAGTCTTTCCTTCCTTAATATAGAACAATTTAGAGATAAAAGCATTTTCCAAGACAGTGCATCTAATTGCTCTTCAAACTTAGTCACCTGCTTCACCTTCTAGAATAATCAGTCTTTCAATAAATATGTATCAAGCTTTAGGCACAGTGCTGCCTGCTGATGATATAACAATGAAAAAAAATGGTATTTCTTGCCTGAAAGTAGTTTATCTTTAACTGAATATGGAAGCATGTAAGCAAACAACTGTAACACAAAAGAAATAATTACTAAATAGAACTATGTTGAATTTGAAGCAGGAGAGGAGATTATAAGTTAGCTGCTTGTAGTCAAGGCTTTAATGAAGGGAGAAATATTTGTGCTGAATCTTAAACTCAAGTAGGCGTTTATCAAAGATCATCTTAGAACACACATGTCAGAGAATCACACCAGGTATAATTATGATGGAGTTACAAAGAAGTAGGGTGAGGGACTGGCAATTGTATTATAGTTCCCTAGTGCATTAACTCTTTCACTGCCATTCATTAGCAATTTATACCTTGTCCTTCATCTCCATTCTCCTCATGCTCATTCTCATGTCTATACCCTTGCTTCCAACTTGTTCTAATTTTAACAATTTGTAGGAAACTTCCAAATGCTCCCATCACCACACCAGCTTACTTACTCCATCTCTGCCCCTACACTCTGCCTAGACTCCTGGAACTGTAGATGCAGTATTCATGTTCTACAATAGATCCTATATTCTTTCACTGGATCAGTAATATCACCCTAGTAATTCTCCACTCTCCTACATTATCCTTTTTTCATCCTCAACTGAAACATCTCCATCAGCAAATATGACATACTGGTATCTATATCAACCTTGAAAAAATAAACAACAAAAACAACAGAATTTATTAGACCCCACTTATCTTTTAGCAACCAATTTATTGTTTTTCTCCTTGGTACAGCAACCTCTTTAAAACGGCTTTTCAAAATAATTTTTTATCTTTCCTTTTTCTGTTAAATCCACTTGGATCAAGCTTCCACTCTGCTTTTTCCACCAAACTTGTCTTTCAAGTTCACCAATAACTTCCATATTGCTAAATCGACTGGTCCATTCTCCCTCCTCACCTTATTATATAACCTATTTGCAGCTTTTGGCACTCCCTTTTTCTAAAAAAAAAAAAAAATTTCATTTGACTTACATGACGCCATATTCTTGTGGTTTGCTTTCTACTCATTTTACCAACAACCGTGATTCCCTGATTCTCCTTCACTCTGATCTATTTTACGACAAACTATATAATTTCAGACGCATAAGTCCCATAAGAGTAGGTATTTCTGTATGTTATGTAGGCTATTCATAGAGTTACAAAAATGTCTGGCGTGTAGCAGGTGCTCAATCGGTAGTTGTTGACTGCGTAAATGAAAGAATGAATTAATTAGTAAATGAATGAGAAAACTGCCTTTCTGGTGACCCAAGTTTTGAATTAAGTATTTGGTTTTTATATTGGTTATTGATTTGAATTTGACATTTTAAAATAATTTTGAACATGACACATTCAAATAACTTTGATAACTTGATTTTTTCACTTCACTCTCAGGTCTCAACTATATAGAACCATATTGCCAGTTGATCCTTCCCATTGAGGATTTTCCCACTCACAGATTTGAAGATGAACCAGTCATTTATTTTAGTTGTGGATAGGAGGTGCTCTCAGAGCTTGTTTCTTTCAGGATTATACCTTAACAAGGAACTTCCTTTATCTAGTGCAGTAACTTAAGGAGTAAAAGTGGAGAGTAAAAAGGGAAATTTTAGCATTCTTTTTTCTGTGTTTCTTGTTTCATAACGGACAAGGAAACAGCGCCACCTTCTAGAGAAATGCTGTCTTTGAAAGACAATATAGTCTCAGTTAAGTTGATGATAGGAACCAGCTCACTGAAGTTATGAATATAGAAAAATTTGTTTATTTACACTGCAACTTGTTCTAGAGAGCATAGTAAATTTTAGGAAAGAAATAGATGAATAAAGAAAATTCATGTAGTCTAAAAATTAGGAGGGAAAATGGCTGGAAGATACTGAATTTCTGGAAGTTTGTTATTGAGTTTTTAAATTTTTCATAGCTCTCATTCTCCAGTGCTTATTCCTTTCATGTTCTCTTCTCGATATTCAATTTTTTTGAATTGATGTTTAAAGTTAAGTCATTCAAATTGAATATGTAAGTAAAACACATTTTATTAGTCTGAGCTATATAATAATATTTTACTCTGAAGCTCACTCTTTCTTTCTTTGATACTTTCTTTATTCTTTTTCTCTATTACCTGTTAATTTCAGTTGGAATTCCAAGGCACCTTAGAAACAAGACATGCCTAGAAAATTTGACTATGTGTCCACAAGGCTGGAACTGAATCAATAATAATTGCTTCTTTCAATCTGAACATGAAACAACGTGGATCAATGGCTGAGAAAACTGCAGAAGTTATGGATCTCTGGCCAGGCTCAACTCTCAGAATGAAATGGTTAGATTTCTTCTTTGCAATATTAAACTCATTTAATAGCTACTAAAAGACAGGCACACTCCTAGGGTGTAATACATTAGCAAACCAAAGAATCAAAGATCTTTGCCCTTGTGGAGTTTACATGCTAGGGGAAGAGATAAGCAATGAAAAATTATCTTATTAAATATGTAATTTATATATTGTGTTAGAAGTTGGAAAGTTTTATGCAAAAAAATGAAAATTAAGGGAGTGGGTTTACTGCAGGTAAGGTTATATCCCAATAAGATGGTGACATTTTAGGAAGGATGTGAAGCAGGTAAGGGACTATCTAGAAGTGAACTTTCCAGGAAAGGAAAATGGCTGGAGCGTGTGTCTTAAGGCCAGTGAATGTCTGGAATATTCAAGGAACAGAAAAGAAGCAGCCAGTCAATCTATCTAAAATGAGGGATTGAGTGAAGAATGCGGATCATTAGGGTCTTGCAGGCTATTGTAAAGAGTTTAGTTTTTGCTCCAAGCAAAATAGGGAGATACTGCCAAATTATGAGGGAAAATGTAATAGGATCTGACTTAAGTTTTAAAAGAATCATAATCTTTGCTGTGATGAGGTTGGCTACTGAGTCTCAAATGTAAACGGAGGGAATCATGTTATACGGCCTTTGCAGTAACTGTGCAAGATAATAATAGACTTAAAGGGCACTGGAGGGAGTGAGAATGAGAAAACTAGAAGAAATCTATGACAGCACTCTGTATTTTGTAAAGGGAATCTTTGATGCATTATCTGGGGCCGTCTTTATATTGGTTTGAACTGAGCAAGCACAATGCAAACAAAACGTGGATGTGGGCAGATGGAGCTACATTCAGCAATTGGTAAGCCTTACTAACATGTATTTACTATTAAATGTGTAAAGCGTGGTAAAGATTCTGAGTCTATAACTGGCTTCCTCCATAGATTCCTCCACATCATCCCCCCAAAAGACCCTCAAAAAATAGATGCCAAAGAGAATATTTAGACAAAGTTACGGTTTTTAGTGAGGGTTTGGCATCACATATCAATATTTATGTATATATATGGAATTGGTATATACCACATGTGAGTCACAAGTGTTCCCTTTATCCTGAACTGGATGCAAGTCTAAGCAGTTTGATCCTTTCCTCTTTGGACCTGGGACCTTGCCTTTTGTTTTTGTTTTTTTTGTTGTTGTTCCTTTGGCCTTTCATTGATGGGAGAGCATTAGAGAGTGTACTGAAGCCTACACTTTCCGCACCCACCAGTGGCCTGACATGCACAAGAGTAAGTTAAGAAGAGAACGTGTTTGCCTCAGTTTACCTTTGTTTAAAATTCAAGAACTTCTTTATATTCCATAGCTTGAAAAAACTCATCATACACTTAGAATCTATTTTGTTCTTAAAACACTTACAAATTTCTCCAACGTCAGGGTGGAGAAGGTCATATAAAGGATATTGAGTTCTCAGTATTCTTTGGTGAACTAAAGGTGACCACTAGCTACCATTTATTGACTGCCCACTTTGTAATAGATACTGGTTCTGTAGCACTCCATGCCAGATATTACATGTTGTATATAATATAATAAAGTTAGTAGCGGAACTTTCTAAAGTTGAGAAAATTCTCTTATGATTATTGTATTTACATTCAATTTGGGGTGAAAATGCACAATGATTTGAGAGGGATAATATACCCAATATTATATTTTATCTTTGAAAAATGTAAAAAAAAAAGACAGATTAAACTTTCTGACTATAAAACATAATATTATATTTTCTTGAAAGAAAATATTAACAGCTTAATGTGGCATTACATATTATATACAGGCCCATCAAAAAATGAGACAGGAGTTAACATTGGTGTATTAATTTGCTAAGTCTGCTGTAATAAATGCCACTGAATGGGTGGCTCAAAGACAGCTCTGGGGGCCGTTAAGTCCAGGATCAAGGTGTTAGTAGGGTTGGTTTCTTTTAAGGCCCTTCTCTTTGGCTTGCAGATGGCTGTCTTCTCACTCTGTGTTCATGTGGCCTTCTGTACACACTCAAGTCTGTGTCTAACTTATTTCTTCTTATAGGGACATCAGTCATATTGGATTAAGGTGCACCCTAAAGACCTTTTCTTACCTCAATCACTTCTTTTTTAAAAAAAACAAATACCTTATCTCCAAATCTGTTACATTCTCAGGTACTGGGAGTTAGGCACTTAATGTATGAAATTTGGGGGCCTATAATTCAGCCCATAACGGTTGTTATTAGTTGGCACTATGGATTGGATAAGCATAAAAATACACATATATTTTGGGAATGGGCAGGATAAAAATTTGAAGTTACCCTAGAAGTTAGGAAAGTGTACACCAGTACTGTGAAGTTCCCCCAAATAATTACAGTATAACCAGAAATGTATCATGATTAACCATCCTGTTTTCCTCCGTTTTGAATTTTGAATTTCACATGTTTATATGTATGGCATAAAATATAAATGTAGGAAATCTTTTCTTTAGATTTTATTTGTTTACTTATGTGTATCGTAATCTATTGAGTAAAGAATACCTGTTTCACTACAGTGATGGTGATAAAGAGTGGCCAAATGTGAACATTTATTTCAGCATTAATAGACCAATTTTGTAATATATGAAAGGTATGTTCAATGAAATGTCAGTTACACTCCCCTTCTTTATAATTTCTAAATGGCTAAACACATTGATATATCAATGTTTATGCTACAGTATAAAGGGAAGAATCCAATCCCTCACAAAATGATTACAATGTTTGCTATAGTATCAACAGCGTAAACTTCCAGGACTGTGTTGTTAGGCACTGAAGTCACATAGTGTCCTTTTCTTCCTGCCATCAGGGTCCTGAGGTAAAATTTGGAGAAAGATAGGAGGAGAGCAACAGCTTGTTTCACTTCCTCTACTCCTTCCACACTGCACGTGTTTTAGAAACCGGGCTAATGAAATTTACGTTCTATTTTCGAGGCTGTGCTCAGTTATTTCTCAGGAGGTCCAGTAAATAAAGAATTAATCTATTTGTTTTGTCTTTAGTCAAGTTATGAAACTAGCGAATTATTTACATTAAGTGGATTTGTTGTTGCTGTCGTTGCTGAAACTAGTGAAAGAATCGAGTTTTGTGCTATGAGTCATGGGAGCAAAACGTGAGTATTTAGAAGTGGAGAGGACCACGAAGAAGGAAGCCCTGGTGACTTGAAGAAATCATGGAGAGTTCTCCGGATTCCCACAAACCTATGGGGTTTAGATTCCAGCTAATACTTACACGGGTCTCAGAAGGACAGAGGGCAAGGGTTAACATCTGGCTGATATTAAAGTCTCTGCACCTCTTAATATTTTACTTTGGCCTAGTTTTCTTTTCTTCGCTTTTACATTTCCTGATATAATGAGTAATTCTCTTTTGAGTATTAACTTGTACCATGAACTATGCTAAATATTTTTACCCCTAAATGATGAAGAATTTTTATCATTTTTTGCTGAAATAAATGAGCAAATGAAAGATTGTTTACCTGGGATTATAGTAAATGGTAGAACCACATTTTAAATTCAGCTGGGTCTCACACACATTACAGACATTCAAACAATGTGGAAAATAATATTGAAAAAATAGATGGTTGGCCGGGTGCGGTGGCTCATGCCTGTAATCCCTGCACTTTGGGAGGCTGAGGTGGGCGGATCACGAGGTCAGGAGATGGAGACCATCCTGGGTAAGATGGTGAAACCCCTTACCCTCTACTAAAAAATAGAAAAAATTAGCCGGGCGGGGTGGCGGGCGCCTGTAGTCCCAGCTACTCGGGAGCCTGAGGCAGGAGAATGGTGTGAACCCGGGAGGCGGAGCTTGCAGTGAGCAGAGATCGCGCCACTGCACTCCAGCCTGGGTGACAGAGCGAGACCCCGTCTCAAAAAAAAAAGAAGAGAAAAAATAGATGGTATGTTCAGCATCATCAGAAGCAAATTTTATCAGCATCTCATCTTCTCATTCTCTATGGGGCCGGGATTTAATAGTGTGTAAACCGTGTTAGCAGGTTAAATGCAGGTGTTGTTAAATTATAATTTACATGCTGTACTGTACAAGAACAAAAATAATTCTAAAATTTTCAGATTATTGTGCTACAAAAAATGACCATCGTTAGCAAAAGGAGGATGGGGAATGAGACTTATGCATTTTTAAGGTCATTAAACATCTCCATTAGCCATCTCTGGAGTGGTGACTATCACATTAGAAGGGGACCGCTTTGCATCTCCTAATGATGACATTTCTATCCAGCTGTACTGAAATAGAAATAATGTTAAAAGGAGTCAGAGCGCCCAGTGGAGAAAATTTGACAGGTAAAGAAGAAAAGAGAAAGGAACAAATAATGGGCTGCGGGTTGAATTTTATGAACATGAGCAGAACTTTGAACATTTTTAAGTATAGTTATTCAGGCTAGGTGAGTGGATTGCATCCCCTTCCAACTTATTCTGAGGACAGTACCCAGAGTGAACATATTAAATGTATGTCAGATCACACCGCTATTCTGCTCAAAAGAATTTTCCATCTTCCCATTTCACTTAGAATATTAGCCACAGGCCTCAGAATGGCAAAAACAGAATTACCCTGTTGGTACTTAGCTGAACTCTTCTCTCACTGTTCTCCTCCAGACACAGCTGGCTTCCTCACTCTTTCCGGAATGTGCCAGGCATACATCTGCCCTAGGATCTTCACACAATTCCACCAGGATGATGGTATCCACATGGCACTTTCCCTCCTCAAAGTTCATTTACATTTCACTTTCTCAGTGATGCTTACCCTGACTACCCTATTAAAATTGCAGCTCACACTCCTCAACCTTGACATTACTAATCAATTTTAACCTGGTCTATCTTTTGTTTTCAGTGGAACTTATTACATACTGGAATATGGAATATTGTACCATTTGTTTACTATCTTTAGTCTTTATGTTTAAACTTCCTGGAATGGAAACCCCATGAGTAAAGGAATCTGTGTCTATTTTGTTCACAGACGTATTTCAAGCACCCTGAAAAATGCCAAGTACTAATTAGGCATTCTGTAAATGTTTGTTGAATAAGACAATGAAGAGGCAAATTAAATTAAATACAAAATAGTTTGTTATCCAGGACATTTCTGACTGTATAGCCAAAGCTTTAAAATGAAGATAAGAATAATTTTATAAAATGAATTAGACACATATCAACCCTAGGGAGAATCTTCAAAGTGGTCTGCTCCTTTGAAAAGCCTTAAACAGGAAAGCTTTTATTTAAAGAATGGGCTGGGCATGGTGGCTCACACCTGTAATCCCAGCACTTTGGGAGGCCGAGGCGGGTGGATAACCTGAGGTCAGGAGTTCGAGACCAGCTGGACCAACATGGAGAAGCCTCGTCTCTACTAAAAATACAAAATTAGGCAGGCATGGTGGTGCATGCCCATAATCCCAGCTACTCAGGAGGCTGAGGCAGGAGAATCACTTGAACCCAGGAGGTGGAAGTTGCGTGAGCCGAGATCACACCATTGCATTCCAGCCTGGGCCACAGGAGAGAAACTCCATCTCAAAAAAAAAAAAAAAATGACACTGTGCTTCTGGAAATAACCTAATTATTACCAGAGGAAGGAATTCATGTCTATGCCATACAAGAGCTTTCACCCTTTAGAAGTGTTTTACGGAAGGTCACACACACACACACACACACACACACTGATCAAATTGCGGAATTCTCTGAAGCATACAGAGAATGGCATTTATTCTGGCAAGAACTGTGCAAATTGTTACAAGAAACATAAGGGATGGCAAGTATGAACAATTATATTTCAACAGATGCAGGAAGCAGTTGAAATATGGCTTCTCAACATCTGGGGCTTGCATACTTGTCATCTGGAAACCAGATTGGGTCAGTTACATGTGGAAAGGAATAAGTTATTGCCAGGCCAAATTTCCATATTAAAAGAAGTCTCCATTACCAGATTCTTTTTTTACAGACACCAAATAGACCAGGGAGTTACTAAAAATGGAAGGAGGTCGTGAGAAAGCAAGTCATACTATGAGTAGGACCTCACCTTATGAATTGCCTCTTTAGCAAAATCAACTGCAGAAAGGAAAGACATTGTCTGTTAAATGAAAGGTAATAAATGGAATTCGCAGGTGGACAAAAATACCTCCTGAAATCCCGTAACCCAGCGGGGTACAGATGAGACACGCCCTCTGCAGATACAGTGTGCAACTACCAGTGTGACTCTGAGTGCCCGTTTTCTGTCTCTGCACCGAAGCACCAAAAGCAAAGATTCCAGGCTGAAGCAAATTTTTTTTTTTTTTTTTTGAGACGGAGTCTTGCTCAGTTGCCCAGGCTGGAGTGCAGTGGCACGATCTCGGCTCACTGCAAGCTCCGCCTCCCGGGTTCACACCATTCTCCTGCCTCAGCCTCTCGAGTAGCTGGGACTACAGGTACCCGCCACCAGGCCCGGCTAATTTTTTGTATTTTTAGTAGAGACGGGGTTTCATTGTGTTAGCCAGGATAGTCTCGATCTCCTGACCTCATGATCCACCCGCCTCGGCCTCCCCAAGTGCTGGGATTACAGGTGACAGACACCGCGCCCAGCCAGTTTTACAGCTTTTTATAAAGATAAACATACTTATATGATGCAGCAATTCAATTTCTGGGAATTTATCCAAGAGAAAACTTGCTCACACAAAAATGCCTGTGTACAGCAGTTTCATACATAACAGTCCCACCCTAGAAACAAAAGTCCATCAACTAGTGATCAAAGAGATAATTTCTGGTATAACATGCAATAGGAATACTACTAAGAAATAAAAGGGAATGAACTACTTACCTGCACAACAACTTGAGTGAATCTCAAAAGTATTATAAATGAAATAAGCAAGAGACAAGACACTACATATTATATGATACCATTTATATAAAATTCTATGAAAGGGGCTGGCCGTGGTGGCTCATGCCTGTAATCCCAGTACTTTGGGTGACTGAAGCCAGAAGATCACTTAAGCCCAGGAGTTCAAGACCAGTCTGGGCAATATAATGAGACCTAGTCTCTACAAAAAATAAAATTAGCAGGGCATGATGGTGCGCGACTGTAGTCCCAGCTACTTGGGTGGGTAGGGCAGGAGGATTGCTTGAGCCAAGGAGGTCAAAGTTGCAATGGGCCAAGTTTTCCCCACTGCACTCCAGCCTGGGCAACACAGTGAGACCCTGCCTCAAAAAAAAAAAATTCCATGAAAGGAAAAACTATGTTGATATAAAGCAAAGTAATGCTTGCCAGGGTCCAGGGTCAGAAAAGATAGTGATTACACAAGGAAAAAAAGAAAGATGATGGAAATGTTCCATAGCACGGTTGTTGTGGTGTTTACATGATTGACTTTACGATCCTTTTGTTATGGATGAGTTAATTTTTAAATTCCTTCCTTAAACTAACAAGTCTGCCTACTTTTATCTTTGATCTAAAATTAGTACTGATGTTTTCCATTTGGATTGGTTAAGTCTCTTTTGACTGAAGCTTGCTCAGTGCCTAAATAAGTGATGTACATGAAAAGCTTTCTAGTCCTCTCCTACTGATCTCCATCGGTTAGCGCCTTGCCATGATTAATCCAGAGCTGCGGGATGGCAGAGCTGATGGCTTCATACATCGGATAGGTAAGTTTTATAGAGTGAATGAGAAGGAAGTAAAGGAAAGATAAAACAAAATACAGGACAGCTTAAAAATATGGACTCTTTACTTACTGTGAAAGTCTACTAAAGTAAGTGAGGGATGGGGAAGCACTTCCGGAGAATTGTGGAAGCCTGTTAGAGCATGTAGAGTTTTATGTCTGCAAGAGAGGGTATAAGCTTGTGTGTAAGAAGGTTTTGGGGCAGAATTTTATGGTACGTGTATTATATCTCAATAAGAATATTTTTAAAATGTACTTTCACAGGGAAAAAATTGCTTAACACTTTTATACAGAATAAAAAGCAAATGCTTCACTCTGGAAGGAGGCTTGATGATTGTGACTTCATAAGACTGAAAAGAACTTTTCAAAAATTTTAAGATTCAGCTAAGGCCAACAATGAAGTTTGTTTTCAGTGGATTGAAACATAAACAAACCAATAAATAAAAACAAGGTACACATACAAACACCCTCCATTCACAATAGTTCTGAGGGTTTATGTTAAAGAAAACGAATGAATTGTATGCCAAATGACTGGAATAGGAAGCCTGCCAAAACTTTAAGATAAAGACAGTGAAGAGATAAAAAGTAAAATCTTGAAATGAGTTAAGGACTCCAGCTGAAACCACTATCAGAGTTTACTGATATGAATTCCCAGGGCAATTGGGATAATTCTTTTAATAATAAGTAAGCCTGATACTCTTAAAGGTTGAAGAGACCTCAGTAGCTACCTAGTAAAACTTTTCATCTACCATACGATTTCTAGCTACAGCATTTCTAGCAGCCTATACTAGAATGTTTTCAGTGATAATATCTCTCTGTCTTAGAAGACTTTCCATTTTAATTTAAGGATGTTCTATTTAGAAGTTTCTTTAGGGTAAGGTTAAATTTACTTCGTTGTATATTCTAACTATTGGTCATAGTTACGAACTCTTGATCTATGAAAACTTCATAAGAAAATTTTTAAAAATTAGTCTACATTTTACACAATTGGACATTAGTATTACAAAAAGAAATAAGATTCCATCCCTTTAGCCAAATAAATTAGTCAGGCTTGTCTGGGTAACAGATTTAAGAGTTTAGAGAGTAAAAAGTGGAAGAAAATTTATCTCATTGCATAACGAGAAGACAAAATATGAAGTACTGTGAAGCATGTACTGGAAGATTATGAGAAAGCCGGGCTGCAGGAATCATTAGAACATCTAGTCTGAGAATTTAATTAAAGCATAATAAAAATGCTCCAAAAGAAAAGATATTAATGAAATGAAGAAGCACCAAGAACACAATAAAAACCAAGTGAAAATAATAATTATAGAAATATAGTGTTTGAAATAAAGAACACTTTGAGGAGTTAATTAATAGAATGGACGCTGATTAAGAATGAATAAGACCTAGGAGATGCTATTAAAAACATGACAGAAAAGAAAACAGTTAGAAAATATAAAATAAAAGCTGAGAGATATGAAAAATAGAAGTAGAAATGCCACCTTCTAGATAACAAGAATCTGAAACAGAGAGAGAGAAAAAAAGAATAGCGGATAGGAAATATTTGAAGAAATAATATTCCAACTTCTAAAACTAATAAAAGCCAAATACCTCAAACTGAAACTTCAAAAGTGTACAAACAAAATAGATAAGAAAAAAACATGCATCTGGCACAATAGAGTGAAAGAAAAATATACAAAATTAAAAAATGAGATAATAGGAGACGTTAGTGAAAAAGAGAAGAAATGAGAGGGATAACAAATCAAATGGTGGCTATTAGAAAAGACGAGAGAACTAGATGTCTAAAAGTTTGCAGAAGACGATACAATAAAGAAAATATCAAAAAAGTACAAATAATCACAAAAACCACAAATATTAAAATTTAATAAAACATTATGGAAATAATTCATCAATTATTATGGGGCAAACTCTGTTCCCTTAAAATTTTATATATTGAGGCTCTAACCCCCTCTACCTCAGAATGTGATCTGGTTTGGAGATAGTGTCTTTACCACGTTAAAATTAGGTCGGTAGGTTGGGACCTAATTTAATATTACTGGTGTTCTCATAAAAAAGGAAAATTTAGAGACGGATCCATATACAGGGAGAATGCCATCTTCAAGCCAAGGAGAATGGCCTGGAACAGATTCTTTCCTTACAGGCCTCACAAGGAACCCATCCGACCAACATCTTAATTTCAGACTTCTTGTCTCCAGAACTGTACGACAATACATTCCTGTTAATTTTAGCCGCCCAGTTTGTGACAACTTGTTACGGCAGGCCTAGCAAACTAAAACACTAATGCGCTTATAAATATTAAAAAAAGAAGGTAGAGGTCTAAAAAATATAAAATGCCAAAATGTAATGAGAAGAAATAAATAATTATAGAATTATAGAAATTAAAAATAAATACATTGAAAAGGCAACTAAAATAGAGTAATCTACTGATCTTTCAAGAAATAGCTAATTTTTGTATTGGACATCTTGCTTCAAAAAACAGCAAAATGAGAAATTTACCCCGATTTAATAGACTTTTTGATTTCCAAACAAAGTCAGAACAAGACAAAAAGAAACAGACTCATCTTCTTATGAAATTAGAAGTAGAAATTCCAAGAAAATATTTATTTACTATATACAACAAAGCAGTTAAAAATTCATATACAAGTGGATTTATGTTAGGAATGCTTAGATATCAGAATATCAGTGCAAAAAATATTAAAATTTTTTGAAAGAAAGTCCACACAATTATTCAGTAAGTGCATTTGATAACAACAAGGAAACATGATAACATTCAATGTCTATCTGAGATAAGTCCCTGTTAAGAAACTAGGAATAGAAAAATTCTTTTTTAAATTGCTAATGTTGTATGTTAAATTTATACAGCATTTTTACAGTGCTTAATAATGAAAATTTAAACATTCCATTTAAGATTAAAAACAAGAAAAAAATGTTCACTGTAACTACTACTGTTTAGCAATAGTGTAGTACAATGCTAAAGGTAACCAGTGATATAAGAAAACAAAAGGAATTATAAAGGACAAGGATTGCAATGGAAGAGTTGTATCTGCAATATTTTCAGATAATTTGATTATATAAAAATAAATACCAATAGAATCAACTAGAAAACTATTAAAAATAATACCAGAGTTCAAGAGGGTTACTTAAAAGAGCACATTTAACAAATCAATACTATTTCTGTATACTAGAAGTGTTGTTTTTATTTAGTTTTCTCAGCTTTTTTTTTGTTGTCACTGTGAGAACAGTAGGGATGACTTCCAATCTATTGCAAATATCACATGCCAGAACAGGAATGAAGGACATATATTTTAATTAAAAATAAAAACTGCTAAAGAATTTTCCAAAACACTTATACATTTTTGTACTTCAACCAGTTGTGTATGTGTTTCGGTTCCCCTATATCCTGCTAACACTTGGTGCTGTCAGTCTTTTTCATTTTAACAGTGCAAGTGGCATGTAGTCATATTCCATTGTGGTTTTATTCTGCATTTTGCTTGTGACTAATAATATGGAACATCTTTTATGTGCTTATTGCTCACTTGCGTGTATTCTTCTGTAAGTATTTGTTCAAGACTTTGGTTCTTTTTTTTATCAAGTTGTTTGTACTATATCTCTAAACTACAGACCTTTTAGTATTTTCGATACCAGTCTTTTTTGCATACACATATTGTGACTATTTTCTCCCAGTCTGTAACTTGCATATTTATATTCACAACAGTGTCTTGTATCTTGAAATGGGCAGAGGTTTCTTTCTTTCTTTCTTTCCTTCTTCTTTCTTTCTTTCTTTTTCTTTTTTAAGACAGAGCCTCACTCTGTCACCCAGGCTGGAGTGCAGTGGCATAATTCTGATCACTGCAGCCTCCGCCTCCTGGGTTCAAGTATTCTCCTGCCTCAACCTCCCGAGTAGCTGGGATTACAGGTGCCTGCCATCATGCACAGCTAATTTTTTGTGTTTTTAGTAGAGAAGGGGTCTCACCATGTTGGCCAGGCTGGTCTCAAATTCCTGACCTCAGGTGATCCACCCTCCTTGGCCTCCCAAAGTGCTGGGATTACAGGCATGAGCCACTGTGCCCAGCCCTTAAATTTCAATTAAATTCAATTTATCATTTTCTTTTAATTTTACACTGTACTTTCTCTTCTTTCTCTAAGACAGCTTTACTAATTCTCATGGTCACAAACTATTTTATGTTTTCTAGAAATTGTATGGTTTCAGGTTTTATGTTCAGGTCAATAATACGTCTTAAATAAATTTTGTAAGCTGATGTTGTCGTATGGTAAAGCCTTTTTTTCTCAATTGTTTCAATACCTTTTGTGTAAGACATGGCTTTGCCCACAAATTACTATTTTGGGTGTCTGAAATTTGTGCAGTGGTTTTTATCTTTTCTTCTTCCTTGTTCTTCATTTCTCCCTAATCTTGAAAAAAAAAACACATTTTATGTTTTCTATCTTTAGCTATTGTTTCTCTAGATGTAAGATAAATTACCAAACTCTTCTTCCTATCAAACATTCTCTTTGTAAACATCTCAGAATCTGGCTTCTCTCAATCCAGTCTTGAAATTACTTTATTGCACATTATCTGTAGTCTGGTGATCATGAAAACTAGTAACTTTTTCAAGTTTTCATTCACTAAGGCTGCTTTAAGTTCTGAAGAAAGAGAGAAAACATGACTTCTTTTTAAATTTTTCTTTCTTCAAGTCCTCTTTTCTGATATTTAAATATATGTATGTATATGTACATGTATATATACATACATATAAAGCATATATATGCATATAGGCATGCATACATATATATAATCTGTGTTTATGCATATATGCACGATATACACATATAGTCATGCACCATAGAACAATGTTTTGGTCAATGACAGATTGCATAACAACAATGGTCCCATAAGATTACAATGAAGCTGCCTTGTAAAGGTGTACCATTTTTGATCTTTTATATGGTATTTTCACTGTACCTTTTCTATGTTTAGACGCAAGCATTTAGCATTGTGTTATAATTGCCTGCAGTAATTAGTACGATAACATGCTATCCAGTTTTGTAGTCTAGGAGCAACAGTCTGTAATATATAGCCTAGGTGTTAGTAGGCTATACTGTCTAAGTTTGTGTAAGTACATTCTATGATGTTCCAACAATGACACAATCACCTAAAGGCACATTTCTCAAAATATCTCCCCATTGCTAAGCTATGCATGACTGTACACACACACACACAGACACACACATACACGCACATTCTTCCTAGATTGTTTCTACATCTACTAATGATATATCAGCTACAATTACTTTATCATTAATAGAATTATTATTTGTTCTTAACCTCATAGCATTTCCACGAGTGTCAAATCCTGAGTTTTCTCTAATTTTGTTTGCTTACCACAAATAAATAAATTACTGCTTTTATCTTGAATATTCTCTGGCTGAAACACATTGTTTATTTCCTCCATGGCTTAAAGAATAAAGAAAAATATATCTCTCATTTAAGGTCTTCTGTCATGACCTTATGACTCCTTTCTTTCCTGTCTTTAATCCTATTGCCTTATATATCTGTTATAAACATTTGCTCTAATCGTGGACCTTTTGATGATCTTTATGCCTTTTTGCTTAAAATCCCCCATTCAAACTATTTCTACCTTTTAAGTAAACTTTCCTTTCCTTTCCTTCCTCATTCCCCCAAAACTCAGTGATTTCTCCACTCACCACTCTCTCGAGCCGAACAGCTATAGCAATCATTTTTTGGTACTTATCTTCCTTGCACTTTTTGATGGTTTGCTATCCTTTGTTATTTTGAGATGTATGTACTTGATTGAGGGTTTCCTGATTAACAATTATAGGAGAGGAATACACCAGTAATAATATCGAGTCAGTGTTTATTCAGAAATTGTAAAATATGTGTTGATTTAATTTGCAGTTCCCAAGTTGATACAAAACTGGAAGATTGGCCTTATGTGCTTCCTGAGTATTATTATTACTACAGTTTGCATTATTATGATAGGTGAGTGGTTTAATTCATACACTTTCTATGGTTCTTCACTCCTGAAGGGTCCATGTATATCTCAAGTTTAACTCCAAATCTCCCACATCTAGAGTGATTAAAGGGTTTTATAGACACTTGTCCTCAAATTTTTACCAGTTCAACAGTTTTTACCATAATCCTTGCCTCTCCCCCAAACACTCTCAGTTTTACAATAGAATTATGTTCTTGACTTTATAGTCCTTGATGCTTAAGAAAAATAATCTTAAATTCTTAGATGACCACCAGATGGCAACAGCAATAGCGATGTTACTGAAATGCCAGGGGTTCAGTCTAGGTCCCATTGCTCAGGGCACAGAAAGCCAATCCCGGAGACAATGACTATTCCCGAATTAGGGAGGGGTAGGGAAGAAGAGTTGGTCAACAGGGAGCAGGTGGTCGGTTAGACAATCATGGCAGTGAGGAGTCCCTTGTCTGGAAGTGGTGATCTGGTGACTTTCGGTTTCCTGTTACTATCTGAGAGGACTAAAGGTCAGATTCCTAAAGAATGAACTCAAATAAGACAAATGTAAGTTTCAAGTTTTAAAACTAGGAGGATCAATTTCTATATTTATAAAAAAAAATCCCACATAAACATCAGTTCTATGGGCTTGTTACAGATAATTTTCTTTTTTAGAGTTTGTGAATTAGTGAGCTAATGTTAAATACACTATGCTCTGCTATTTGTATTTAATCCTCATTAGACTAGGATACAGGTATAAGAAAATCCATTTACAGATAAAAAATATACAGGACAGAATGAGTAAGTTGCCTCTCACAAATAATACATTCCAGACCTAGGATCAAACACCTTGGCTGTATAACTCTAATGCTTGATAAATTTTAAAAACCATGCAGCTTGACCTTCATAATTGTAGCATTCCTTTAATTTCTTTTTAATCAAGAGTAAGTTATGTCACTAATAGTTTGTTCTATAAAACTTTATTTATTTCTATTAGTTGGAATGCAAAATCTTACCTCTACCCGCTCAGGGTTTTTCTGCGGGCCTGAGAATGAAATTGACACAAGACACATCAACTTGAGCAAAGCACATGCGTTTAGTTAATATAAGTTTGACGTGACATGCACGTCTTCCTTATGAAAGCCTAAAGATGCAGGTAGAGTTGAACACTTATATATTGAATTCAACAAAGGGTAATAAATTATGAAAATGTGGCAAGGCAAAGAGGTTTGATCTAGGGTAATTAATTGGGTAGAAAAGTGACCGGAAAGATAAATGTTAAATTAACAAATGTTGTTTGCACACATTTCCTTTGGCCTCAACTACCTATCCTTGACTATAAGAATGTTGCTTTCCTTCTGGTATAGAGAAGATATCTTTCACAAAGGTATTTTATCTCCTGCTTATAAGAAAAATAAGGAAGCTCAGAGTGTTTTCTCTTGCATCTGCTGTTTTAAAAGTGCGTTTAACTCAAAAGAGTCTATATGCCTGAGTGACATATTTCGGGGCATCATGTTCTGAACTCCTTCACTATCATATTAAGTTAAATGAAAAAAAACAAAGAAATAACGGCATATGTGACCTTTTGCAAGACTGTCTCATTGGAATTGCAATATTTGTAAAAATGAAGTTGTTAAATTTCCTCTGGGTTCTATGGGTTTATTTTGTGAAAAAGATCCAAAGGTAGAATTTAATTCCTGAGCCATGGCCAAATAGTCCCCAGCACTTGATTTTCCATATGCATGGTTTGCTTAATTTAGCACTTATATTTGGCTAAGTAGCACTGCTCTTTGTTTTGTTTTGGTTTGATTGGGTTGGGTTGGGTTGGGTTGGGTTGGGTTTCGGTCATTCTCAAGAATACTGATAGTCTTCTTGTTTATAGTCTCTACTGTCAGTGTAGTCTTAGAGCTTAATGTTATTGCTGTCTAAACATCTGGAAGTTAAATATAGACAAGAGTTTCTACAGTAAGTTTTTATGTTCATTTATTCATTGATTAAAAAGAGCAGAAAGACAAAAGAAGACATTTATGTGGCCAGTAAACATATAAAGAAAAGCTCATCATCACTGGTCAGTAGAGAAATGCAAATCAAAACCACATGAGATACCATCTCAGGCCAGTCAGTATGGCGATTATTATTTTTTCTTTTTTTCTTTTTTTTATTATTATACTTTAAGTTCTAGGGTACATGTGCACAATGTGCAGGTTTGTGTTACATATGTATACATGTGCCATGTTGGTGTGCTGCACCCATTAACTCGTCATTTACATTAGATATATCTCCTAATGCTATCCCTCCCCACTCTCCCAACCCCACGACAGGGGGGCTATCCCTCCCCACTCCCCCAACCCCAACATCACCCCAATGTGTGATATTCCCGTCCCTGTGTCCATGTGTTCTCATTGTTCAATTCCCACCTATGAGTGAGAACATGTGGTGTTTGGTTTTCTGTCCTTGCCATAGTTTGCTGAGAATGATGGTTTCCAGCTTCATCCATGTCCCTACAAAGGACATGAACTCATCCTTTTTTAAGGCTGCATAGTATTCCATGGTGTATATGTGCCACATTTTCTTAATCCAGTCTATCATTGATGGGCACTTGGTTTGGTTCCAAGTCTTTGCTATTGTGAATAGTGCCACAATAAACATACGTGTGTATGTGTCTTTATAGCAGCATGATTTATAATCCTTCGGGTATATACCCAGTAATGGAATGGCTGGGTCAAATGGTATTTCTAGTTCTAGATCCCTGAGGAATCGCCACACTGTCTTCCACAATGGTTGAACTAGTTTACAGTCCCACCAACAGTGTAAAAGTATTCCTATTTCTCCACATCCTCTCCAGCACCTGTTGTTTCCTGACTTTTTAATGATCACCATTCTAACTGGTGCGAGATGATATCTCATTGTGGTTTTGATTTGCATTTCTTTGATGGCCAGTGATGATGAGCGTTTTTTCCTGTGTCTGTTGGCTGCGTAAATGTCTTCTTTGAGAAGTGTCTGTTCATATCCTTCACCCACTTTTTGATGGGATTGTTTTTTTCTTGTAAATTTGTTTAAGTTCTTTGTAGATTCTGGATATTAGTCCTTTGTCAAATGGATAGATTGCAAAATACCTAATGCATGCGGGGCTTCAAACCTAGAAGATGGGTTGATAGGTGCAGCAAGCCACCATGGCACATGTATACCAACGTCACAAACCTGCACACTCTGCAGATTTATCCCAGAACTTAAAGTTTAACAAAACAAAACACAACAAAAAGAGCACAGAGACAGAGTTGAAACACATTATATCTTACACCCTGTGTAGTAGCCTGTATCCACTTCTGAGCACTACAAAATAATAATAATAATAATAAATCATGGTGGAGTAGGGGGTGCAGCCTTTGGAGTTTGCCCTACATTTGAGCATATAGTTGGCTCTTTATTACTTGCATTAATTTATTCAAACATGTGGAATGCATGGACTTGTCTTATTCTGAATACTTAGCACCTAAATAAAACCTTGAGACAGTAAATCTCCAAACAATGTGCTTTCATTATTATTCCATATTCTTCAGCACTGGATGTAAATGAAATGAAACAAAGGTTTCACTAATTCTTATGTTTCACTTATGTGTTGTCCTTTATGGCAAGTTTCACTTTCCTAGCTTGGGTGTTTTCATAGGTAAAGGAAAGCCTCCATTTCTTACCCTAACCTCGAAACCTAAATTACATGCAGATCTCCAGCACTCTACCTTGATTGCAGAATTTATAGCTACATTTTATGCATTGTTTTTGGCAGGATATTAATATAGATTATGAGAAGCTAGTGGTTCCATTTCTCAAAATAGAAGCCAGGGAAATAGAAAAAAGTATGCACTGCTTGATCACTAAATGATCTTCCTTACAGACAGGGGAAGTTAATTCATCCTCATTCTGGGGAGGGGGGAAGCTAACTTACGGGCCTCAAACTGTGGAAGCAAAAAGTAAAATTAATACACCTGAATGAGTAGAAACACTTTTTAACATATGCTTTATCTGATCATTTCTTTCTTTTTTTTTCAGCCACATGGTCCAAGCATGCTAAACCTGTGGCATGTTCAGGGGACTGGCTTGGAGTGAGAGATAAGTGTTTCTATTTTTCTGATGATACCAGAAATTGGACAGCCAGTAAAATATTTTGTAGTTTGCAGAAAGCAGAACTTGCTCAGATTGATACACAAGAAGACATGGTAAGAAAACAGAAAAGTCTTCAGTAATTTCAGAGATTGTTTGTATAAAAACATAATAAAACAATAATAGCTAATACTATAATACAATTGATCCTTGAACAACATGGGTTTGAACTGTGTGGGTTCACTTATACCTGGATTATTTTTCCTCTGCCACCCTTGAGACAGCAAGAGCAAACCCTCCTCTTCTTCCCCCTCCTCAGCCTACTCAATATGAAAACAACGAGGATGAAGACTTTTACGATGTCTTCACTTCCACTTAATGAATAGTAAATAGATTTTCTCTTTCTTGTGATTTTCTTAATAACATCTTCTTTTCTCTAGCTTCCTTTATGGTAATAATACAGCATATAATTCAAATAACATGAAAATATATGTTAATTTACTTTTATGTTACCAGTAAGACTTCCAGTCAACAGCAGGCTACTAGTGGCTAAGTTTTCTGTTTTTGTTTTTTGTTTGTTTGTTTGTTTGTTTTTAAGACAGAGTCTCACTCTGGCACCTAGGCTGGAGTGCAGTGGTGCAATCTCAGCTCACTGTAGCCTTGAATTCCTGGGATCAAGCAATCCTCCCACCTTAGCCTCCTGAGTAGCTGGGACTACAGGTGCAGACCACCACTCCTGGCTAATTTTGTTTATTTTTTGTAGAGATGAGGTCTCACTATGTTGTCCAGGCTGGTCTCAAACTGAGATCAAGCAATTCTACTGCCTCAGCCTCCCAAAGTGCTAGAATTAGCATGAGATACCATAAACAGCATGGTTAACTTTTTGAGGAGTCAAAAGTTATATACAGACTTTTGACTGCACAGGCGGTCAGTGCCCCTAACTGCCACATTGTTTGAGTCAACTGTGTATGACAATGTGTGCTCAACAGTGTTCTAAGCACTGAAACTATATAATCTCATGTAATCTTCTACTAACACCCATGAAGGAGTTATATAACTCTCCCTACTTTAAAGATGAGGAAAGTCAGTCACAGAAATGTTATGTAACCCAGCCAATGACACAGCCATAAGTTGTTGGGCTGGGATTTGAACCCAGGCAAGATGACTAGTGATGCCATGTCCTTTACCACAATGCATACTGTTTATGTATCTAAATGTCTTCGTTAAATGTTCTTAGATTATTAAGTAGATTTTTTAAACCCTTTTCAATTTGCATTCTACCAAGCATAGACAGAAAAAATTTTTAAAAATACAGCTCTTAGAATTTAGAGACAAGGAAATGAAGGAAATATGTGCACTTCGAAGACGCGAGTGAATTAATGGAAGTAAAGAGGGCAAAGAAGGAGACACGTGGACTCTAGGGACACAGAGTAAGAAAATAGATTAGTTTTTAAAGAAAAGCTGGGGGTTGGAGAGTGGCCAAGATGGCCGACTAGAAGTAGCTGGAGTGCGCAGCTCTCAAAGAGAGGAACTGAAGGGGTGAGTAAATACAGCACTTTGAACTGAAACATCCAGGGTACACGCAATGGAACTAATCAAGGAAACAACTCAACCCATAGACAATGAAGAAAAGCAAGGCAGGTCGATGGCCAACCTGGGAACGACATGGAGCCAGGGGAACTCCCCTCGCCCAGGGAAGTGGTGAGTGAATGTGCAACCCCTGGAACCCATGCTGCTCCCATGGATCTTTGCAACCCTCGGGTCAGGAGATCCCCTTGTAAACCAACTCCACCGGGGCCTTCAGTCTGACACACAGAGCTAAGTGGAGCTTCAAAAGAGCAGCCTCTCAGGCATGTGCAGTGACCCGGGAGCCTCAGATAGCCAGGAGTTCCAGGCTTCCCAGCAAAAGTAGTTGAAACTCCAGCGAAGAGGGAGGTTAGACCCCCTTACACATCCCTAGTAAAGGGGCTGAATCCAGGAGGCTGAGCAGCGACATTCTGCAGGACCCACTTCCATGGCATCTCACAGGATAGGACCCACTGGCTTGGAGTTCTAGCCAGCCATCAATAACAGCATTGCACCTCCCTGAAACAGCTCCCAGAGGGAGATGTGGGCAGCCATCTTTGCTGTTTGGGTGACTTAGCCATCCAGCCTTCAGGCTTTGGAGAGTCCAAGTTGACCAGGGGTGGAAGTGGTCCCCCAGCACGGCACAGCTGCTCTACAAAAAAGTGGCCAGACTGCCCTTGTAAGTGGGTACCCAATCCCATTCCTCCTCACTGGGCAGGATCTCTAACCAGGGTCTTTAGCTGCCTCCTACAGGTGTTCTTGGGCCGGTAATAGCTATGTACCTCCCTGGCACAGAGCTCACAGAGGGAGGGGCAGGCCACCTTCTTTGCTGTTTTGTAGGCTTCACTGTTGGTACCTACAGGTATCAGAAAATCCGAGGTAAATAGGGACTGGAGATGGCCACCAGCATACCACAGCAGCCCTATGATAAAGTGGCCAGACTGTTACATGAGTGCCCATCTCCTTGTCTCCTCACCAGGAGGGTCCTCCAGGCCTGGGCCTCCAGCCCCCCTCGCAAGCGCTATTGAGCCAGTAGCAGCTCTGGAATGTCTTAGAGAGAGCCTCCAGGGGCAACAGGAAACCTCTCTGCCACTGCCTCTGCACTGGAACTGCCCTTGCTGCCCTCAGACTAATGAAGGAGCAAAGACCCTAAGTCTCTCATCCACACCTCCAACAAGTTGCAGGAGAGGAGGCCAGTCCATCTCCACAGGCTCTGCTCACCCACCTTGCTCATCACCAGACATGGAACCTCCAGCTTGGGCCCACAGCAGAGACCCTCCATCCTGGGCTGATTGCACTGAATGATTGCTTACTTGCATCTCTCTGGAGTGAAGCTCCCAGGAGAAAAGCAAAAGACCATTGGCTTTAACCACTACTAAGGTCTCTTCCATTGCTGCCTCCAAGTTGGGGAAGAAACATAAACACTGAGATCACCCAAGAGCTGCAGTGGGCAGCCTAGAATTGCCAAGTCACAATCTATAGCCAGCACTCAAGTGGGAGAGAAACCCACATTTTCAGAACATTGAGAGAGAACATGGCTGCAACTGTGAGGAAAAGTAAGGGAGTCACACAATGGATCAAGAGTCTCCCAACTGACAAATACGTCCAAGCGCAACCTACTGGATCACACCTCAAATCTTCAACACCAAAAATATCTCACTAACATAACCCCCTCTAAAATTAAAGAAGTCACCTTCAAATAAAGACCCTGCACAAAGCTTCAGCCCTATGAAAACAAACAGAAAAGAGATCTATCGACTGTACTAAATATACACTGCAGTTAAATTGACACCCACTGCAGAGATGAGACAGAATTAATGCAAGAACTCCAGTAACTCAAATAGTCAGAGTGTCATATGTTTTCCAAACAACTGCACCAGTTCTCCAACAAGAGTTCTTAACGAGGCTGAACTGGCTGGAATGGCATTGAACTGACAGAAATTCAATGCTATTCCTGTCAAACTACCAATGATATTCTTCATGAAATTAGAAAGAAAAAACTATTTTAAAATTCATATGGAATCATAAAAGAGCCCAAATTGCCAAGGCAATCCTAAGCAAAAAGAATAAAGCTAGGAGCATCATGTTACCTGACTGCAAACTATACTACAGGGCTACAGTAACCAAAACAGCATGGTACTGGTACAAAAACAGGCACATAGACCAGTGGAACAGAATAGAGAGCCCAGAAATAAGGACACACACCTACGACCATCTGATCTTTGACAAAGCTGACAAAAACAAGCAATAGGAAAAGAACTCCATATTTAATCAATTGTGCTGGAATAACTGGCTAGCCATATGCAAAGGATTGAAGCAAGACTCCTTCCTTATACCATATACAAAAATCAACTCAGGATGGATTAAAGACCTAAATGTAAAACCCCAAACTATAAAAAGACTGGAAGAAAACCTAGGCAATACCATCCTGGACATTGAAACAGGCAAATTTCATGACAAAGACAACAAAAGCAATAGTAAAAAAAAATGCAAAAATTGACAAATATTATCTAATTAAACTTAAGAGTTTCTGCACAGCAAAAGAAACTATTAACACAGTAAACAGACAAACTACAGAATGGGAGAAAACTTTTGCAAGCTATGCATCTGTCAAAGTCTAACATCAGCATCTCTAAGGAACTTAAAACAAATTTACAAGAGAAAAACAACCCTATTAAAATTGGGCAAAGGGCATAAAGAGACCCTTTTTAAAAGAAGACATACATTTCACCAACAAACATGAAAAAAAGCTCAACATCACTGATCATTAGAGAAGTGCACATTAAAACCACAACGAGATATCATCTCACACCAGTCAGAATGGATATTATTAAAAAGTCAAAAAACCACAAATGCTAGCAAGGTTGTAGAGAAAAGAACACTTATACACTATTGGTTGGAGTGAAAATAGTTCCACCATTGTGGAAAGCAGTGTGGCAATTCCTCAAAGAGCTAAAACCAGAACAACAATGGTTGCGGTGGTGTTTACGTGATTGACTTATGATTCTTTTGTTATGGATGAGTTAATTTTTAAATGACTTTTGTGAACTAATGAGTCTGTCTACTTTTATCTTTGATCTAGTACTGACATGTATATTTGGATTGGGTAAGACTCACTTTTAATTAGTTAATTGTTCTGTTTAACACAGAAGTTTGTTCAGTGCCTATGTAAATGATGTACATAAAACACTTTCCAGTCCTCTCCTATTGATCTCAATTAGCATATTGCCATAATTAACCCAGAACTATGTGATGGCAGATATGACAGATATAACTATTGGTTAGTGGGCTTAATACTTGGGTGATGAAATAATCTGTAAAACAAACCTTCATGACACAAGTCTACCTCTGTAACAAACCTTCACATATATCACAGAACCTAAAATAAAAGTTAAAAGAACAAAAAGCTAATGAAAGGTTTGTGGCTTAATAGCAAAAAGCCAATAGAGCAGTGACTAAAGCCATCACATAATAGATTTCATTGCAGTAAATTATATTTATATAGAAGTTAGTTTTATCTCTGATTATATGAAAAAACATACAATATCAGTGACATTCATACTAAAGGGTATCAATGACTTGGTTGTAGCCCAATTATCTGGAGATACTTAAGATGCAAAAAAGCAAAATGAAAATCTTTCTGATAAAACTAACCCAAACATCAACATCTGTGCTGTTTGTTGTTATAGAAGCATCAGGGAAGACAAATTAGAATGTGAATCCTAAAAGATAGAATAATTGGGGTGGGAAGCATGTTCAGCAATGTGCTGTAACATATTAAGTAATCGCTGATTCCCTTTGTTTTGTGAAAGGAATTTTTGAAGAGGTACGCAGGAACTGATATGCACTGGATTGGACTAAGCAGGAAACAAGGAGATTCTTGGAAATGGACAAATGGCACCACATTCAATGGTTGGTGAGTTTCCAATGTATTAGCAATGTTCTTATTCTGGTGTGTCATATGAAAAATTTTAAATCATTTTGAGTTGTATTATTATAAACAAATCTTTCTGTTTTCCATGTGGAATTAACTTTTCAGTCTCCAATCGATGACATATGCCCTTTCACATTGAAGCATATCCTAGAGCAACCCATTTTCTTCTCACCTTGTTAAATGACACATGGTGAAATCTTCCATTTTTATTTTTATTTGTTATTTTATCTTTATTATCAAGCTCTTGCTTGACAATTAGTTCTCTTTTGCTAATTCAAATTTAATCATTCTGCAAATTTTAAGCCAAAACTCACGTATTACTTGTACTTCTTTCCAAGTAAAGTGTATATAAGATTTCTTTGTCTTTAAAGGGTTAAAGACTTTATAGTTGTCTTTAACATTCCAAATGCCCACCACAATGAATACTACTTGTTTTTATTTATTTGTTGCTTATTTTATTTATTTTTATTTCTGTAAGCATTTCCTGGGTGGGTTAAAATTGTTAAAAGTGTTTCTTGGGTTAAAATGGTTGAGGATTGTATAGTTGTCTTTAGCTTTCCAAATGTTCATCATAAGCAATATTATATTTATTTTTTTAATTTTTGTTTATTTTTTATTTAGCTTACTTTTTTATTTATATAATTGTTTCTTGGATACATATGTATCTCTGCCTTATTATTTTAGTAACGTGCTAGATTAAAAAAAGCAACCAATAAAACAAATATTGAAATATGCAAGACAGGACAAATTATACTTATAAATAAGGAAAGATTTGTTTATCAACAAAGAAAATTAATTAAAAAATATATTTTTATTTTACTGTAAGTTCTGGGATACAAATGCAAAATGTGTAGGTTTGTTACATAGGTATGTGTGTGCCATGGTGGATTGTTGCACCTACCAATCCATCATCTAGGTTTGAAGCTCCACATGCATTAGCTGTTTGTCCTAATGCTCTTCCTCCCCTTTCTCCCACCCCCTACTGCCCCCAGTGTGTGTTGTTGCCCTTTCTGTGTCCATGTGTTCTCACTGTTCAACTCTCACTTATGAGTGAGAACATGCAGTGTTTGGTTTTCTGTTCCTGTGTTAGTTTGCTGAGGATGACAGTTTCCAGATTCATCCATGTCCCTGCAAAGAACATGGACTCATTCTTTTTTATGGTTGAACAGTATTCCATGGTGTATATGTACCACATTTTTTTTTAACCAGTCTATCTTTGATAGCCCTTTGGGTTGATTCCATGTTTTTGCTATTGTAAATAGTTCTGCAATAAACATATGTGTGCATATGTCTTTATAATAGAATTACTTATATTCCTTTGGGTATATATCCAGTAATGGGATTGCTGGGTTAAATGGTATTTCTGGTTCTAGATCCTTGAGGAATCACCACACTGTCTTCTACGATGGTTGAACTAATTTACACTCCCACCAGCAGTGTATAAGCATTCCTATCTCGCCACAGCCTCACCAGCATCTTTAGTTTTTTGACTTTTTAATAATTGCCATTCTGATTGGCATGAGATGGTATCTCATTATTGTTTTGATTTGCATTTCTCTAAAGATCAGTGACGTTGAGCTTTTTTTTTCAAATGTTTGTTGGCTGCATAAATGTCTTCTTTTGAGAGTTGTCTGTTCATATCCTTTGCCTACTTTTTGATGTTTTTTTTCTTATAAATTTATTTAAGTTCCTTGTAGATCCTGGATATTAGACCTTTGACAGATGGGTAGATTGCAAAAATTTTATCCCATTCTGTTAGTTGCTTGTTTACTCTGATGATAGTTTCTTTTGCTGTGCAGAAGCTCTTTAGTTTAATTAGATCCCATATGTCAGTTTTGGCTTTTGTTGCTTTTGACGTTTTCATCATGAAGTCTTTGCCCATGCCTATGTCCTGAATGATATTGCCTAGATTTTTTTCTAGGGGTTTTATGGTTTGGGGTTTTACATTTAAGTCTTTAATCCATCTTGAGTTAATTTTTGTATAAGGTGTAAGGAAGGGGT
Source organism: Homo sapiens (assembly GCF_000001405.40). Lineage (NCBI taxonomy): Eukaryota > Metazoa > Chordata > Mammalia > Primates > Hominidae > Homo > Homo sapiens. The sequence continues at coordinate 9,914,680 of NC_000012.12, read as the reverse complement.
CCAGTTTCAGTTTTCTGTGTATGGATAGCCAGTTTTCCCAGCGCCATTTATTAAATAGAGAATCCTTCCCCCATTGCTTGTTTTTGTCAGGTTTGTCAAAGTTCAGATGGTTGTAGATGTGTGGCATTATTTCTGAGGTCTCTATTCTGTTCCATTGGTCTGTATGTCTGTTTTGGTACCAGTACCATGCTGTTTTGGTTACTGTAGCCTTGTAGCATGGTTTGAAGTCAGGTAGCATGATGCCTCCAGCTTTGCTCTTTTTGTTTAGGATTGTCTTGGCTATATGGGCTCTTTTTTGGTTTCATATGAAATTTAAAGTAGTTTTCTTCTAATTCTGTGGAGAATGTCAAAGGTAGTTTGATGGGTATTGCATTGGATCTTTAAATTACTTTGGGCAATATGGCCATTTTCACAATATTGATTCTTTCTATCCATGAGGATAAAATGTAAAAAAAAGACTATAAGCAGTCTCTTAGGTTTCTATTGCAGTATGCAGTCTCTTAGGTTTCTATTGCAGTATGTTTCAAAAGTACCAAGTAAATATAAATCTTATTTTTACTTTTTGAAAAAGTACATTGCCTAAAATTATGCCAGAAAACTGAATTTTTTTAATTTCAGGAATCTTTGAATTTGGCAAACACTCTCTCTTTGCATATAGATAGAAAGGAAAGAAAGAAGAAAGGAAGGAAAGAACCAAGGAAGGAAGGAAGAATGGAAGGAAAGAAGGGTTTTACCCCGTCTTTGTATACCTATATGTGTCTATCTGCCTATCTACAAGTTGTTCTAAATAGGGTTACAGATTTTAACTCCAACACTTATGTTCAGTCTTATTTTTCCCTTAATATACCAGATATTTTAATGCAGCATATGGTGATGGGTGGGTATATTTTCTGGGAGCTCAGTGTTTGGTATAATATATTTAAAATCACTCTATTATTAATTGTCTTTTTGATTACAGCCGTAAGTGGTTCCCAGACTGATTTAGAGTGTTCTTTTTCAGGTTTGAAATTATAGGGAACGGATCCTTTGCTTTCTTGAGTGCTGATGGAGTCCATAGTTCCAGAGGATTTATTGATATCAAGTGGATTTGCAGCAAACCTAAATATTTTTTATAGAGCAGAAAAAACTTGAAAATGATTATCACACTTCAAGATTGAAAGAAGAGCTAATTATGCAAAAGTGGCTTTCTCACTTATTCTGTTACAGAATACGGAACCTCTGGTGAGGGCCCATTTTCTAGTTTATAGATGGAAACTTCTTGCTGTGCCCTGCCATGGTTAAAGAGACAAGGCCGTTCTCTGGAGCCTTTTATAAGGGCACAATCACATTTACTATGGCTCCATCCTCATGAACTAATCACCTCCTGATGGATGGCTCCATCCCCTAATACCATCACACTGGTGATTAGCTTTCAATTTATGAGTTTTGGGAGGACCCAAATACTCAGAACATAGCATCTACAAATAATAAACACTGATAAATTATGAGTTATACATAAAAATTATAACATACTATATAGACTAGAGTAATAAATATCAAAGTGACCAAATAGTAGGTTCGTGAAAAAAAAAATGCAATCTCCCAAGTAAGAAAAAGGAAAGAAAATTAATTTGGGGCACATATTTGGATGCTTCATAAAATTTAAATTCTATAGGGCATTCAAAGGTTGTATCAAAGCTGCCTTGTTGCATTAGTGCAGTTTTAATTACCTGCCTGGGTAACTGTGATCTTTCAGAACAAGTAGGAATGTGAGTATAAATGGATAGATAGTAAGAAAAACTAGAGAAAAAAAAGTATCTTGATTACAGTGTGAAAATGAGACAGGCAGGTGGGAAGCAGTGCCCGGGAGAAACTCCCACCAGTCTGCCCACTGAGGTGGAGCCTTGGGAAGTTCACAACTTTTGCAGCAAAGAAGAGCGAGCACGGTCCCTCCTCTTCCTGTGTGGAACCTGAGATTAGAATGGTCAGCAGGAAGTGCTCTAGCAGAGCATCCTGTTTTCCTTTTTTTTTTTTTTGCTTTTCACCCAATAAAACCCAGATTTACTCATCCTCTAAAACATCTGTGAGCATAGATTTTTATGGACATGGGCAGGACAAGAACACCATCTTTAGCTGAACTAAGGAAAAGTCCTGCAACAATTTTGGCACATAACATGGGTGCTCGAGAAGAGGCGAATGAAATGAGGACTCGAAACCTCTCACTGTCGCTCCTATTTTCATCCTCCAGCTTCTGAGGGTGGGGGAAACATGCCCCCAAACCCTGTCACTCTAAGGGTCAGGGGAAAGGCCATTTTCTTCCTTTTTCAAGAGGGACAGGCAAGTGGGGTCTCCTCACTCTGCCTCCCCTCCATGCAGGGGTTGGGACTCACGGCCTAAGGGTCCTGCAGAGCCAGCTGGCTGGCTCCCAGCCATAAGCCACCACAGCCTTCCCCTTCCCCACCCAAGGGCTTCAGCTTTATTGGATGAAAATTAAGCTTTTCCCCTGGTGGAGCATCCACTTTCATAAGAATAAGAGGTTCTTCCCCAGGCATTTTAAACTGATTTTTTTATCCCCTTCTTCTACCCCATCAGCAGTTAACCTTTACATTTTTTTTTCCTTTTAGAGGACATTTTTACAAGGCCAGGCCCCCCAACTATCACTGTTTGTACTCTCTAAAGTTTTTGTTGTGAAAAAGGATTTGTGGGGCTAGTCTTGGGCTATAGCCAATCTGGTGTGCTTTGCATGTCTGTATGGTTTGTGTTGCAGGCCTCCATCTTGCTTTACATCCTGGGGGCATGGCCAGTAACTGCATGACAAGGCTTTGTTTAGCAGCCCTGCCTTAGGTGATGAGATATCTAACCCTATCAGGTTAGATATCTACATGTTCTCCTAGCCCTGTCTCTTAAAAAAAATGGGCCCAGGGACTGGGTTTTCTTCTGCCTGTCTGTGTGTATACTGTGTGTGATGTTTACAAAAAGAGCTCTAATTAATTTGTCCTAAAGAAAAGTGCTTGGATCAAGTATTTTTTTAAGGGGAAGATAAAAGCTGTGGTACTTTCAGTTCACATGACTTTAATCTTTGAGAAATAAAAACAGCCTTAAAAATTATTGGTAAAATGCAGGTGTCACTAAAATGTAAATAGGTGAGCTAAATTATGCAGGTTGGAGTCAAGGTTTGCTAAATGTTTTAAGGTTATAAACTACTTTTGGGGTTTTGAGAATTCTTGGACTTGCTGGCTTCACAACTGGTAAGGTCTGGCAACATATGGAACTAATCACACCATTAATTCATGCCAGAGAGGATAAATTCCTCTTCAAAGGGCTTAATTGTGCAATGTCCTTGTTCTTTGCTCAGAGGCTCAACCTTCTTGTACTCTCTTCTTTCTAGCCTGCAAACAGCCCTCCTGCTCTTGCTGTGCCCTGACATGCCTAGACATGTCAGCCTCACTCTACATTCCTTTCCTTATTTGGAAAAAGTTTAGCCTTATTCTCCACAGGTGGCCCTCTTCTCTTCCCTCCTTCTCCCCCATCACTCATCTACCTTACATAGAAGGTTTAAGTGTTTAGCCAATCAGGACTAGTTTAGGTTGTGTGGTCTTGACTCCAGCCAATGGGGAACTACACAGAAGCAGGGACCGTGTTAGGAATAAAAACTCTTACCCTCCTTTGTTCAGTGTGCTGCATGGCTGATGCAGGCAGCACCCTTCTGCAGAAGTAAATTGCCTTGCTGAGAAATCCTTTGTCTCAGTGCTGGTTCTTCTTTGCAGCACAGAGCACTTGTTTCTAACAATCATAGGGGCTCATCAGGGATACCCTTTCTCCTCTGGGGAAGGGTCCCAGATCATCTCCCATGAGGAGATGCGTCACACTCTCTCGTTGCGTTGGCCTCAGAGGGAAAGGGATCAGGACCTCCCCCAGCATGACGAATAAACCCACACTCTCAGCAACGTGGGTGGAAAGGATTCTTACCTACCTACCACGGCAACCAGGTAACTCTATGCACAGGACAAGGTAAGAAATGTTGCAGGGGCAATAAAGTATTTCCTTGGAGGTCGGGATATCTTGGAGGTTGAAAGTGTGTGAATGGTAACGAGCACTACTACTGTGCTGAGTGAGTACAAAACAAAAGGAGAAGATTGCAAGAAACATCCAGTAAAAGGGGAGCTAAGCTTCTAGGAGAAGAAAGGCAAGAAATCTCTAGTAGGAGAGATTGAGACTCACACACAGCTTCTAGAAGAAGGGAGGGCAAGAAATCTCTAGTAGGAGAGGTTGAGCCCCCACACACCCAGAAGCATTAGAAACCTCCAATAGAGGGGAGGTTGAAAACTCCAGGGAAAAAGCCTGCTCCAGTTAGACACCATACCAAACCTCCAAGATGGGAAATGTTTCAAATAAGACAGGGAAAATAAAGAGCCAGGCAGATGATGAAATTCCTCCTGATAGTTGCCTAGGGATTATGCTAAAATATTGGTAAGATAATAAAAGAACCAAACATAAAAGAAAGCAGCAAATGATAAAGTATTTTTGCTTCATTTGGGCTCGAGAGCCAATCCTCAAACCCTCAATTTTCTGGCCAAAATTTGGGTCCAGTGAAGAATGGATTTGTTAACTTTTAATGGAACATATTAATGACAAAAGCCCTGTGTCTCTGGAGGATATAGAGTATGCTCTTTGTTGGAGGCAAGGACCTGTCCTCCTTTACCCTCTAAAAATCAGAGGGAGCAAGCTAGAATCTTACTGCTCTGAAAGAGAAAAGGTCCCTATTCCTAGACAGCCCATCAACACATGGGATCCCCTAGACCATCTTCCTCCACTCAATACCCCCAATTCTCCCCCTCAAGCAGCTGTTGCCACCTCAGACCCCACTCCAGATCCCTCCCCTGCTCACATTGTTCCCCACCCCTTACAACCCCAATTCTTGGGAATTATCATCCCATGAGCCAGCTCCTTACCAGCCTAAATACTCTTCTCTAAAAGGACTCCAACGTGAGGTAGAGCAATGTAAAAAGGATATTCAAAACTTCCCTTTATCCCCTATCCCTGGGGAATCAGCTCTGACTCTCTGCCCCTTAAAAGAGGTGCTGCAGGGAGGGGGTGCCATCAGCTTCATAAATGCTCCTCTAACCAGTTCAGAAGTTCCAGGCTTTAAAAAAGAACTCAAGCCGCTGTGAGATGACCCTCATCGAGTGGCAGATCAGGTCGGTGATCAATTTCTAGGACCCCAGTTATATACTTGGGCTGAGTTAATGCCCATCCTGGGCATCCTGTTTTCAGGGAGAGAAAGGGGCATGATCCTTAGGGCCACTATGGTAGTTTGAGAACATGAACACCCCCCAGTTAAAACGTTTCTACAGCAGACGAGGAATTCCGTGCCCAAGATCCCTGGTGGGACAATAACAACATAGCTCACTGGAAAAACCTGCAAGACCTGAGGGAGATGATGATAAAAAGAACTCAAGAATAAGTACCCTGGACTCAGACTCTGTCTCAGACACTCAGCACACAACAGGGGAAGGATGAAGAGCCTATAGAATTCTTAAACAGATTAAAGGAGCAAATGAAAAAATAAGCAGGCCTAGATTTATAAGATCCCCTAGGACAAGGAATGTTAAAGCTTCATTTTTTTACTAATAGTTGGGCAGACATTTCCAAGAAATTACAAAAGATAGAGGATTGGAAAGATCATCCTCTAAGTGAATTTCTCAGAGAAACTCAAAAGGTATATGTGAGAAGATACGAAGAAAAGCAAAAAGTGAAAGCAAAATTCATGCTATCCACCTATCAACAGGGGGCTCCAAATCAATACATTTCTAAACAAAGCCCCCAGGGGGCCAAAATCTATAAATGACCCAAACCTCCATTTAGAGGCTTCAAGCCCCCTATTAAAGGATCCGGGACCTCATTTGCCAGACCCTATAAAGAACACAGGGGGGCCAAGCCAAAGAATCCCAAAACAGAGAAAAGACAGAATAGATGTTTTAAATGTGGAAGAACAGGTCTCTTTAAGAGGGAATGTCCCGCATGGGAAAAATAAAAAGAAGTCCTTCCACTCATGACTTTTGAGGAAGAATAGGGGGGGCCAGGGGCTCTGTCTCTTTTATCTCAAGTCCCACCAAGAGCCCTTGATAAACTTAGAGGTGGGACCCAAATATGAACTCATAACGTTTTTAGTAGATTCAGGAGCAGCCCGCTCCTCTGTTTCCCTCCATCTGATATCACCTGCTCCTCAGAACTTTCTGTCTCAGGGGTAAAGGGAGAAGGATTTAAAGCTAAAATCTTAGAAGAAACAGAAGTCAGTATAAAAACCGATCAACTCATATGAAGCTTCTATTAATCCTGGAAGCAGAAATTAACCTGTTAGGAAGGGACTTAATGCTAGAACTAAGCATCAGCTTACATGTTGGCCCAGAGGGATTCCTCACCTCACTAAACCTACTTACCAGTGTGGGTGAAAGACACATCCATCCTGATGTCTGGTCAAGAGAAGAAAATCAAGGAAGACCTCAAGTCCTTCCAAAACACATAAAGCTGAAAACTGCTGGGGAGGTAGTAAGAAGAAAACAATATCCCATTCCCCTAGAAGGCAGAATAAGCTTGAGGCCCGTAATTTAAAGCGTCATTCAAGACGGGCTTCTTGAACCCTGCATGTCCTCTTTTAACACCCCAATACTGCCTGTAAAGAAATCAGACAGGTCATACCGACTAGCACAAGACCTCAGAGCTGTCAACCAATTAGTCCAGATGACTTATCCTTTTGTCCCTAACCCTTACACCATCCTCAGCAAAATCCCACGTGACCATCAATGGTTTACAGTAATACACTTAAAAGATACCTTTTGGGCCTGTCCTTTGGCTGAGGACAGTCGGGACATATTTGCTTTCGAATGGGAAGATCCTTATTCTGGACAGAAACAACAGTACTGATGGATAGTTTTGCCCCAAGGGTTCACAGATTCCCCTAGCCTTTTTGGCCAAATTTAGAACAGGTTTCAGAATAAATTCATACCCCAAAACACATATGTCTGCTCCAATATGTGGATGATCTTCTCATATCTGGTGAAAATGTAGAGAAAGTAGCTGCCTTCTCTACACACCTTCTTAACCATTTACAAGGGGAAGGACTATGAGTTTCAAAAGGAAAACTCAAGTTTGTAGAACGTGAAGTTACATATTTAGGGCACTTAATAAGTAAAGGCAAATGAAGGATGGGACCCGAACAAGTAGAAGGAATCAGATCCTTACCTTTGCCTCAAACTAAGCAGAAGCTCCAAAAATGTTTAGGATTAGTTGGATATTGCTGCTTATGGATTCATTCATATGCTCTAAAAACTAAACTTTTATACCAAAAATTTACCCAGTGGAAACCTGACCATCTTCTGTGGACTTCTGAAGAAATTCATCAAATTGAAGAATTAAAACATATGCTTATAACTGCCCCTGTTCTAGCTTTACCCTCCCTAGAAAAACCATTCCACCTTTTTGTTAACATGAATAATGGGGTGGCTTTAGGGGTACTTACCCAGGAACACGGAAGCCACAGGCAGCCTGTAGCCTTCCTGTCAAAGGTTTTAAACCTAGTACAAGTGGGTGGCCTGAATGCATTCAGTCTATCACAGCAACCACATTACTGACTGAAGAAAGCAGGAAGTTAACCTTTGGGGGAAAATTAGTGGTAAGCTTACCCCATCAAGTTAGAACTATCTTAAACCAAAAGGCAGGGAGGTGACTCACTGACTCAAGCATCTTAAAATGCGAAGCTATTCTAATAGAAAGAAATGATTTAACACTAACCACTGATAACTCACTCAACCCAGCAGGTTTCTTAACAGGGTATCCAAACCTAAAAAGAGAACACATATGTTTAGATTTAATGAACTACCACACAAAAGTCAGACCAGATTTAGAAGACACACCTTTCAAAACTGGGTGGTATTTGTTTATAGATGGCTCCTCCCAGGTAATTGAGGGAAAAAGACATAATGGGTATTCAATAATAGATGGAGAAGCTTTAGTAGAAATCGGGTCAGGAAGATTGGCTAATAATTGGTCTGCCCAAACTTGTGAACTGCTTGCATTAAGCCAGGCTTTAAAATGCTTGCAAAACCAGGAAGGGACCATTTATACTGATTCTAAGTACTCCTTTGAGGTAGCTCATACCTTCGGGAAGATTTGGACTGAACGAGGTCTTATTAACCGCAAAGGCCAAGATCTCATCCACAAAGAGTTAATCACCCAAGTACTAAATACTCTCCAGTTACCCAAAGAGATAGCTATTGTCCATGTTCCAGGACAGCAAAAAGGCTTTTCCTTTGAAAGTCAGAAAAATAACCTTGCAGATCAGGTAGCCAAACAGGCTGCTATTTCCTCTGAAGTGCTTGTTTTTCACTTAACCCCTTGTCTTCCTCCCCCTATTGCAGTCCCCATTATCTCTCCCAATGAAAAGGAAAAATTAATCAAAATATGAGCTACAGAAAACCAAGAAGGAAAATGGGTATTACCAGATCAAAGGGAAATATTATCGAAACCCCTCATGAGGGAAATCTTGTCTCAGCTGCATCAAGGGGCCCACTGGGGACCCCAAACTATGTGTGACACAGCAGTTTATGGGTGTATAGGAATTTATACCCTAGCCAAACAAGTTAGAGATAGCTGTCTAATATGTAAAAAAAAAAAAAACAAAACTAATAAGTGGGCTCCAAGAAAATCACCACTTGGGGGAAGAAATCCAGGACTAACACCATTTCAAAGTGTTCAAGTTGATCACACAGAAATGTCTCCAATCGGTTGCCTGAAATACCTATTAGTAATAGTGGATCACCTCATTTACCGGGTAGAAGCTATTCCCTTTTCAAATGTGACTGCTAATAATGTAGTTAAGGCATTAACTGAAAATATTATACCTAAGCTTGGATTAATAGAAAATGTTGAGTCAGATAATGGGACTCATTTCACTGTACATGTTTTGAAAAAGCCCAAGTATTAGAAATAAAATGGGAATACCATACCCCCTGGCACCCATCTTTATCAGGAAGAGTAGAAAGAATGAACCAGACTCCGAAGAACCACCTAACCAAATTAGTCCTAGAGACTTGGTTCCCATGGACTAAATGCCTCCCCATTGCCTTGTTATGAAACTGAACTGCCCATCAAAAATATATTGGCTTATCTCCTTATGAAATACTATATGGGTTGCCTTATTTACACTCCACTGCTGATATTCCTATGTTTGAAACTAAAGACCAATTCCTCAAAAGCTATGTACGTGGACTGTCTTCCACTTTCTCTTGTCTCTGAACTAAAGGCCTATTAGCACAGACGCCACCCTTGGTGTTCCCTGCACATCAGCACCAGCCTAGGGATCACGTTCTCATCAAAAGCTGGAAAGAAGGAAAACTTGAACCAGCTTAGGAAGGACCCTACCTAGTGCTCCTGATTATAGAAAGCACCGCACAGCTGAAAGGAGATGGACACACCACATGTGAGTGAAAGGAGACACTTCCACAATCAGAGAAAAATGGGCCGTTATCCTACGGCCTACCCTCACCAAACTAACTCTAAAAAGGGCTTAATAATCACTTGTTTATTTTCCCTTTTCTTTCCAGCAGAAAGTCACCTCGTCATCAATGTGACTCAAACTAATCATCCCTTAACCCTCGAGTTTGATGCTTGTTCAGTTATCTCATGTGGAGATGAACAAGCTCAAAGGCAGCTATCAAATGTAGATAAGTATTTATGTCCATACCGTATTGAGTCAACCAAGTATAAGTATGGAGCCTTAAAAAGTCCCTGTGGTGACTGGACAGATGTTTGGCAGACCACCCAACATGGACGGTGGACAGCCAGGCCCCCTTTTTCAAAGTAGTTGCAAGGACTAAAACAGAAACTCCAACTTATTCATGGTCCCACCCCACCAAATTGTAAGTCATTGCAGTGTAACCCCTTATTGCTAATTATAGATAATCTCCAAACAATGGCCCAAGAACCCTCCATATTTGAATGGTATTGGTTAGGAGCAAATGTTACAGGACGAGACCCCATAGGAATCTTCTCTCTGAGGTTAGCTAGAGCATCAGCTAAGAACAATAAAGAAATCCAGACCCAGAGTCTGGAGAACATGTGGGACCCAACACTGTGCCCAAACATATCAGGCTCAGCGCTCTCCTCCCATCTCTAGAACCACCCAACTAAGGTAATGGTTGTAGAGGTAAAAGATTTAAGGCAGACCATAGCTCTAGAGATGGGGTACAAAGATGCAAATGCCTGGCTGGAAAGGATTAAATATTCCATCTGCAGTCTAAACAAAAACGATTGTTACACTTGCGTGCACTGCAGGCCAGAGGCCTAAATCATCCCGTTTCCACTCGTATGGTCCTCCAGCCGACCAGGCACAAATTGTAAGGTAGCTCTCTCCCAACACCCCACAGCCTGGGGTCATGAATCATGCGGAGCTCTCTCTCTGCTATTCCCCAAAGTCCAGCACCCTGTGGGTCAGTCCCCGAGGTCCATCCAGCTTCCATCTCCTGATGCCAGTTTTACCTTGTGTCTCTCATGACAGAGAGAAAACTTAGCATTTCTGGGAGACCTAAAGGGATGCAGTGAGCTTAAGTCATTCCAAGAGCTAACCAATCAGTCTGCCCTGATCCATTGCCAAGTGGATGTATGGTAGTATTGTGACGGACCATTGCTGAACACTTTGCCAAGTAGCTGGAGCAGAGCAGCACTTGCACTCTGATCCAACTGGCCATCCCTTTCACCCTGGCATTTCATTAACCAAAAAGGATAAAAACAAAGCATCATAAAACAAGAGATGTCCCTCATGGGTCCTTTGACCCTCATGTTTATATAGATGCCATTGGAGTCCCGAGAGGAGTCCCAGATGAATTTAAGTCCCAAAATCAAATAATTGCTGGGTTTGAGTCCCTACTATTCTGGTGGTTAACTATAAATAAAAATGTAAATTGGATAAATTACATCTATTACAACCAGCAACAATTTGTTAACTATACTAAAGATGCTATTAAATGAACAGCTAAACAGTTAGGACCCACCAGCCAAATGGCTTGGGAAAATAGAATAACATTAGATATGATACTAGCAGATAAGGGTGAGGTCTGTGTCATGATTGGAACTCAATATTCTACTTTTATACCTAATAATACTGCTTCCAGTGGAACCATAACAAAAGCATCACAATGTCTTCCTGTTTTATCCAATGAACTAGCTAAGAATTCAGGAATAAATGATCCCTTCACTAATTTAATGGAAAAATGTTTCAGCAGATGGGAAGGACTTATGTCCTCAATCCTTACTTCTTTTGCTGTTATAATAGGTGTGCTTATTCTTGTAGGATATTATATTGTATTCTGTGCCCGAGGCCTAGTACAAAGGCTTATAGAAACAGCTCTCACAAAAACCTCCCCTACATCTCCTTCTCCATATTCTTATTCCTAGGTGATCAAGAAGAACAGCAAAGCCAAATTATGTTAGAAAAATTTGAAGAGGAGGAATTATTAAAAAAAAAAACAAAGAGGGAAATTGCCAGAGATTATAAATTCCTCTTCAAAGGGTTTAATTGTGTAATGTCCTTGTTCTTTGTTCAGAGGCCAAAACTTCTTGTACTCTCTTGCTTCTATCCTGCAAACAGCCCTCCTGTTCTTGCTGTGCCCTGACACACCCAGACATGTCTCAGCCTCACTCTACATTCCTTTCCTTATTCAGAAAAAGTTTAGCCTTCTCGTGCTCCACAGGCAGACCTCTTCCCTTCCCTCCTTCTCCCCCAACACGTGTCTACCTTATATAGAAAGTTTAAGTGTTTAGCCAACTGGGACTAATTTAGGTTGTGTGGTCTAACTCCAGCCAATGGGGAATGATACAGAAGCAGGGACTGCATTAGGAATAAAAACCCTTACTCTCCTTTGTTCAGTGTGCTCTTGCGATGGTGGCTGATGCAGGCAACACCTTTCTACAGAAGTAAATTGCCTTGCTGAGAAATCCTTTGTCTCAATGCTGGTTCTTCTTTGTGGCACTGAGCACTTGTTTCTTTCTTTTTTTTTTTTTCTTTCAAGATTTATTGCAAAGAGCGAAAGAACAAAGCTTCCACAGTGTGGAAGGGGACCCGAGCGGGTTGCCCGGCACTGAGCACTTGTTTCTAACATTAAAAAGGCAAACCAGCTGGGCGCAGTGGCTCACATCTATAATCCCAGCACTTTGGGAGGCCGAGGTGGGTGGCTCACTTGAGGTTAGGAGTTCAAGACCAGCCTGGCCAACATGATGAAACCTCGTTTCTACTACAAATTCAAAAATTAACCAGGCGCAATGGTGCACACCTGTAATTCCAGCTACTTGGGGGCTGAGGCAGGAGAATTGCTTGAACCCAGGAGGCAGAGGTTGCAGTCAGCCGAGATTGTGTGACTACACTCCAGCCTGGGCGACAGAGTAAGACTAAATCTCAAAAAAAAAAAAAAAAAATGGCAAACCTTGGCTACACTTAGCACTCAATTAAAGTAACTTACCAGGTTTTACCTTAAAGTTAAAAATTGCTAGGCATTAGTGGAAACTACTGAAAATAGATTTACAAGCAAGGTATGTAAGAACAGTAAAATGTGTTTTTGTTTGCAAAAGGTTATAAGAAGGCATGGAAATGTAAACTTTGGCCTCGGGATAAAGGATTGTTTTGAGATAAAATAGGAAAAAGCTGAAGGTTCAAGGAAGTGGTGGAAGAATTGTGAAAATTAATTTTGCAGAAGAGGTTCTCTTTGTGAACATATTGGCCACATTCAAGAAGGATATTATATGATTTTTCTGTAAATTGAGCATTGAAATAAAATCATAACAAGGTTTTCCTATGGTGCTAATCTGCTCTTTGGCAAAATTTGTAAAGGGTTATAAAAGGTTTTTGCTTCTTTAAAATTTCTGAGTCATCATTTTGGCAAAATAAATAATTTATGGTAATCTGGAATTCTATTTCATATTATCAGTGTTTTAAATCTTGAACATATTTGACAGCCTTCCCAAAATCAAAATTCAGTTTCCAAGTAGGCTTCCCTGGCACCTGGCTTTTCTAATACTTCAGAGGGCCCCTACAGTGTCCAGAAAAATGAAGTAAACAGGATTATTTGACATGTTTAGGTACATGGGATTGCCAAAATGTTGTTCAATCTTTTTTAGGTTATATCTTGGTGAATAAAGCTAATGTATGCTCTAAAATTGTATGGGATTTCTATAATTCTAATGTCTGAGTGTATGCTATCACTCATAATTAAAGTTGTTATGTTAGGTTAATGTAAACCACGGAAATAACCAAACTTCTTTGTCAATTGTGTTTCTAAGTGTAACTACCCTGGACATTTTGCTATTCACAGACAATTGTTGTCTTGTTTTAATCCTTTTCAAAGATGGTTTATAATAAGCTATAGAACTTTGACAAGTGCTCTTAAATACAGATCTCTGATAACTTTAGAGATTGTGACATTGGAATAAAGAAAACTGTACAGGGGTCATGAAGAGCTGAAATGTTCACGAATGTCAAGCAAAACATGAGTTAACTAAATAAACTGAACTCAGAAAGCTGAAGCAACCTTTTTAACCTTTGCTTGGAATATTATTGATCCTTGTTTTGTTTTGCAGAGTCAACATTATTTTGAATTATTTACGGCCTTTAATAATTAAATAAGGTGTATACTCCTGTAATCAAGACCTGGAGCATGTTTTTTTTTCTCTCTGCCTGGTTCCTCTAGAATTTGGAAACTATCTGTGAGTGTTCTTAACTTATGGCAATATGGTTGTTTGCATCAGTGCAATAAGAATCCATTTTTCTTTTGCAACAGGACACAATTGGAGAAAGTGTTTATTTTACCAACACTTTGACTGGAAGGGTAAGCTTGCCTTTAAGGAGTCAATCTCGACTTGCAGAGCCAATAAAAGTCCAGTGGGGAAACTGGCCTCATACCCTTGTTTATTCAGTCCCTGTACAGGGTTCCTGACCTGTGGTCAGTAAAGAATGTCACTTTCTAACAGGTCTAGAAGCTCCAAGTTTATCCTGGGACCTTAAGAAGGGAGGATCACCCAACTCACAGGGTTTTGAGGATGCAAACCCATGACTGGGCTGGGCTTTAAAAGGTCTTATCTGAGAGTCCTTGTGGAACAAATTTCCATCAAAGCCAACCCAAAAAGCCTATGTAGAAATAGTTATTCTTGCTGCACTTTATGCAAACAATCAGGCCAAGCATAAAACTAAAGTCTATTTTGGAAAAAACTCAGTCTTAGGATGATTTTTTTTTTAACAAAAATGAGGACTGCAGAGAGAGAACTAGATTTCAAAGCTTATACATTTGTTATTAAATTCTAAGATCACTCGTTGTTTTGAAGTTTTTGCTTACATCTTAGACTAATCCTGCATGTTCTTGTGAAGCAACCAGCAATGTCTGGCTTCAGGTCAGAAAGAACAAGAGGGATGGGTAACGTGAAAATCTGGATCAATGTTATAGTTTTGAGCAATTATCCTGCAAATCCTGCCAAGTGATGGGAATAAATAGGGTGCCCATCAACGGAAGGTTTCTTTTGTGGGAAAGTAAGACAAAGGGAGCTAACCAAAGCCAAGCAGCATGCACCCAAATCCTAGCAACATAACTGTAGCCACCAGTTAGCTGGGTATGTCACAAGACATTCTTTCCTCTCCCTTATTGGAGGAGGACTCAGTTCCACACTTTCACCTTAGCATTTAACTTATGATAAGGAGTCCATGCAACTCCTCTGAGACATGTTTTTGTCCTAGACTCAATTCCAAGCTTCAGGTCAAAGCCCTAGGAAAGAAAACTGGATCTGAGGGATCCAGAGGCAGATGATAGTGGAAGTTAAGAGGCAGAATGCAGGTGAGTGTGGCTGGTTCCTGCTGATTAAGGCAACCCCAAGCTTCCTGGTTCATGGATAAAGGCCACATTGATATCCATGGCATAAATGAGGTCTAGGGAACTCCAAGGCTACTGACAGTAGGTGGGAAAGAGACATAGGTTAGAGTGGACATTTCCTATTCTCTAGCCTCCCCTGCTTCAGGGGTGAAAGCCGCTTTGGCACTCTTGGCAGGACCTGCCAATGTCACCGGGACTCAGGGATGCAAAGATGGAAGAGGGAAAAAGGTTGCTCTTCCCTCTCTCCCTCACATACCCTGGGTATCTGCTAGGAAGAGAAGGGAGTCAGGGACACCTGCTCCCCTCTTTCTCAATGGCAAGCCATTCAACTTCAGTCTGTGCCCCTTTCAAATGCATCCTGGACCCCTGGGACTCCTTTAAAAATGCCTTCTTTTTCCTTTCTTCTCCTCTGTTCTCTCTTCACAGTCAGGTAATTGTGTCTCCATACTACGGGATACTCCTCACAGTTAGGTAATTGTGTCTCCATACTATGAGATACTCCTCTCAGTTAGGTAATTGTATCTCTGTACTATGGGACACTCCCCTCAGATACATCCTTTAAAGTGGAAAAGGTTAATTTCCCAAACGTTAAACTAGTAGTTTTAGGATTGGGCTCAGGGGAAGGGAACCCAGGAGCCCAACATGCCTGCAAAAGGGTAATTTTTTTTTTTTTTTACTAGTAGGGCTTTTCGCCTGCCTCTCCCTGTGCAAACTGATAAAAGGCCTTGGAATTTTCGAGCCATTCTTACTCCTCCCCTTGTTTTGTTTCGTTTTGATATATGTTTTCTAATAATCCGGTTTGTCTGTTCTTGCTTTCAGGCCATCAAACTCCAAATGGTCTTGCAACTGGAGCCTCCGACAATGGCTTCTTCTGCTGGGACCCCTTAGATAGGCCTCTGAGGGAGCTCTGACTGCCGTTTCCCCAAAACAATGTCCCCTGTCAGCAGGAAGCAGTTAAATCTGTCTTCATCCTTATCCTTAATATAACGGCAGTTAGATGTACTTCTTTAGAGGGAGTAAATTTATCAATTCAGAGCAATTCATCCTCCTCTTTCCATCTTTGATTCACAGTTAATAGGCTATAAATTTTGATAATGTAGAATAAACTACAGAAAACTTCTTGAAGGAGTTAATTGCCTCATTTACATAGTGGACATAGCTGTTCCATTTATTATGAAATGTTTTAAATAAATTCTTACCAACATGCCAGGGGTTTGGTCTAGGTCCTGCTGCTCACCACACAGAATGCCAATCACTGAGATGAGTTTTGCCAGGAAAGAAGGCAATTGGGTGCAGTAGTCAAGGAGAGTGGGAGGTAAAGTTTCACACCTGTCTCCTTGACAAACTAAAATTGGGGTTTACATACCAGGGAAGGCAGGAAAAAAATACTAGGAAGAAGTAAGAAAGCAATGGATGAGGGGTCTGGCATATGATTGGATGTGGTGATCTGATGAGTTTCTGTTCCTCACTTGAGGGTCAGTTTCCCGAGGAAGGATCTCAGATAAGACAAATGTGAGTTTCACTTTTGAGGACCAGGAGGGTCAATTTCTATGTTTATTCAAAAAAGTCATGAATATCAGTTCTATGAGGAAATTGGGCTGGTTTCAAAATGAGAGGAAAAGTAAACTTTATATAGAATTTCATTTAGAAAAATAAAGTAGTTGGATTAACTATGTTTGATAAAAAGGGAATGAACTATGGCATCACATGAAAAACAAGCCACATGGCAAATTCCTTCAAATACTCATTTTATGCTTACAGCATTTTAGTACTTTATTGCCAGCTGTAAGTTTGATTTCTTTTTAATGAAAATTGAGAACACTTAATTTGGAGGAAATGCCATGAAAGAAATGCCATAACTATAGCCATGTGCCTGGTCTATTTTCCACCAAATGCTTAGAAAGAGTTAAAATCCAAGGAATAGAAAACGTGTATGATAGATGCAGTAGGCAGATAAGGGCAGATCCCCAGAGAATCTCTGACCCACCCCAAAAGTGTTTACATCAGATGCTTTTGTGCAGATGAGGGAAACTACCCAAGGCCTTGTCTGGTCATGCCCACAATGGACCGGGGGCCTGCTTGCACATTGGGAGAATGGGGTAGAGCCACCGAGAATTCAAAGCTTATGCGGGCAGGAGGAGCCTGGCCTCTTCAGCTTGTGTGTGTGATCGCCTGGTATTCAATCTGTGAGGTGGCACTGTTGGCAGGATGTCTCCCCTGGCTTTTTTTTTTTTTATACTGAGCGTTTTCTTTTGATAAATTCTGCTCTCCTCACTTTTCAATGTGTCCACGTGCCTAATTTTTCCTGGTCGTGTGACAAGAACCTGGATTTCAGCTGAACTAAGGAGCAAAAGATCCTGCATCACATACGCAGAAAAAGAGGCAGAATTAGATTAAATTTAATCTTTAATATACTGAAAAAATAGGGTTTTGTGTTTTTCTGTTAAAAATAAAACCCACAGAAACAGAGAATAGCATGCTAGTTTCCAGGGGGTAGAGGGAAAGGGAAATGGGAAATTGCTGCTGAAAGCACAGAAAGTTTCATTTACGCAAGGTGAATAAGTTCTAGAGATCTCTTCTACAACATAGTACCTACTATTAACAATTTAGTAATGCACACTTTAAAATAATTGAGAGGCTAGACACGGTGGCTCATGCCTGTAATCCCAGCACTTTGGGAGGCTGAGGCGGGTGGATCACTTGAGGTCAGGAGTTCGAGACCAGCCTGGCCAACATGGTGAAACCTCGTCTCTACTAAAAATACAAAAATTAGCTGGGCATGGTGGTGCATGCCTGTAATCCCAGCTACTCAAGAGGCTGAGTCACAAGAATCACTTAAACCTGGGAGGCGGAGGTTGCAGTGAGCCAAGATTGCACCACTGCACTCCAACCTGGGCAACAGAGTGAGACTCCGTCTCAAAAAAAAAAAAAAAAAAATTAAGAGACTGTATCTCGTGTTGTGTTCTGATAAAAATAAAAGCAGATAGACACAAAAGAACATAAGGACATATTTGGAGGTGATGGATACATTTAGTACCTTAGCTGTGGTGATGGCATCTCAAGTGTACACAAACTCACCAGAAAGTAAAAATTAAGTATGTGCAATATTTTGTATATCAGTTTGACCTCAATAAAGCTTTAAAGAATAAAGACATGTATTAAAAATAAAAACAAGTTATTGTAGTTTTTTCATTTAGAAGCATTACATTAAAATTTTATATTTGGATAGGAAAAGAAATAAATTTGTATTTCACTAAAGAAAAAGAATAGGCAGTGTTAACATCCGTACATATTTCTTTCAATTCTTAATTTACATGCACGGATTTGCTTTTTTTTTTTGTTTTGAATATTTGGCCACATGACTTTATTTTATTTTATTTGAATACATTTAAAGGGTACAAGCATAATTTTGTTACATGGATATATCACAAAGTGGAGAAGTCTGAGCTTTTAGTTTATCCATCACCTAAATATTGTACATTATACCCAGTAGGTAATTTCTCATTACCCACTCCCCACCAAACACTTCAGGCTATAATACACAGATGAAAAATTCAGAATTCCATGCTTCAAATATTATATTTGTACATATACTGCTTCTTTCCTTCCAATCTACCACATAGCACATATAGCTAAATAACATTCCTTTAAAGTTGTTTTATTCTATGCTATTTTAAATGCAAAAAAATCAAACTATTAAATAACTATTAAAATAATTACTAATTTTTTATTTAGCTTTTCTTGTCAATGCCATGGAAAAGACAAACCAGAAATCCAAGTATAGAGTAAAAGTTCTGTTCAGAAGTTGTCTTTATAGTCAATTCAGGATAAAATACTTTTCTCCTATTTAGATGATGTCTGTTAGCAGAAACTTTCTGTTAGAAACTTTATCTAAAAATCTTAAGTCTTTAAAATCTAGCTCTGCTTTAACATGCAAAGTATTTCTATGTTTGGTTGTACATTTACACACCACTGGTTCCATTGTGCGTCAAGATCGCATCTCTCTGGCAAATGCCCTTAAATGTGGAGCTACAGTCTTCAGAATACACCCAGTTTCCTGTGATAACGGCACAGCTCCTGTCATCAGTTGGTCCAATCACTGAAAACCTAAGAGACAAAGGACAGATTTTTCAGCATTTATCTTAAAATGATAATAGTATCTTTTAAAGTTTTCTCCAGCCAAACTTTTATAGGTAATTCTTCAGCAGCCAAAGTTTTGCAGAGGTTTTAGAATGGAATTTTCATTGCTAATGCAGCCTCTTCTCCTCTTTCCTATCTTGGTAACAACACCATGCAAGCTTGAGCTACACTAGAAGACATCCCAGCTTCTTCCTTACCTCTCAAACCTCTCATTATCTACGCCTGCAAGACCTGAGTATTCTATTTCCAGATTATCTCTTCTAACCATTCACTTCTCCCAGCTTCTCAATTTAGACTCAAGCTACCATTATCTCTCCCTTATCTCTAGCCATAGCCTTCGAACTGACCTCCATAATTTCAGTTTTGTTTCCTATCTATTAATTCTCCACATAGCAGCATAAATAATTTTTTGTAGGTAAGTAGATGCCAAAATGAACGTTTTCAATAGAAACTACATAGTGATAGGTATGCTATAATGATGTGAGTTGGGAGGCAGTCGCCCAAGATTTTGTTTAAGTCAAAGTAAAACCTATTAGATGACTCTTAAATTCCTCATATAACTTCCACAGTATAAGGTTAGGATGATGCGCAATGTATAAATGGAATGCCTTTGAAGAGAGCTATTTTGTAAACTATTCTTTCTAGTTACTAATGATTATTTAAGAAAATACAGACTGAACACTGTTATAACCACCTGCATGTGTGTTGTTTTCCTTAAATGATAAGATAAAAGCTTTTAAAAGTGATATTTTACCTTTATAGTAATGCTGGTTTCCAAAAAAGTAAAAAATAATATTAATTATAATAAAAATTAGTAATAAATCTTACTTTTTTTCAAATATTGCATTAAAAGCAGGTCCAGGAAATGGATACTACTTCATCCTTTAGTTTTATGCTCATGAAGGATGATAATAAATGTAGAATAGATGTATCCAGGAGTAGATAAATATCTGAACTGAAATGAACTATGACTCCATGGCCTTTGCTCCAGACTTACCACATCTCAAGTGTTTTGGTAGTATGACTAGTAACTGAAAGCACAGAAGAAAATGTCTAAACGTGACCCTTCAGAATTTGAAAGCACTCTTACATGCAACACCTCATGTTGTTCACATAAGAACAATGTGAAGAAAGTATCGTGGATCTTTTTATACAGATAAAGAAGCAGGTATCAGGCTGGGAGTGGTGGCTCACACCTGTAATCTCAGCAGTTTGGGAGGCTGAGGTGGGTGATAGTTTGAGCTCAGGAGTTGGAGACCAGCATGGGCAACATGGCAAAACCCCGTCTCTACAAAGCATACAAAAAATTAGCCAGGTGTGATGGCACCACACCTGTAGTCCTAGCTACTCTGAGGCTGAAGTGGGAGAGTTGCTTGAGCCCAGAAGGTCAAATCTGCAGTAAGCCACGATCATGCCACTGCACTCCAGCCTGAGCCACAGAGCAAGGCTCTGCTGAAAAAAAAAGAAAGAAAGAAAGAAAGAAACAAAGAAGGAAGGGAGGGAGAGAGAGAGAGAGAGAGAGAGAGAGAAAGAAAAGAAAGAAAAAGAAAAAGAGAGAAAGAGAAAGAAGAAGAGAGAAAGAGAAAGAAAAAAGAGAAAGAGAAAGAAAGAAAGAAAAAGAAAGAGAAGAAAAGAAAAAGAAATGGATATCAACAAGTTTAGTTGAATTTCTGAAGGGCAAAGTTTTTAAATTCATGTTTTCTGATTTCAACTCCAGACCTTTCTACACATTCCAGCTTTTATTTATAGGTGAATTTTGTCTTTGCTTTTACCACATGAGAAGTATTTGCATAAAATTATTTCAAATGAGATTTAAATCAGCTTAGAAATTTAAAAATTATTATGAATTTTGGACAATTAAACTGCCAGGTGACAAAATGAATACTTTCCATCCCATTTTTCAAAATTAGTGAATGTTAAAGAAGAGAGGAAGCAAAGAAAAAAAAGGGAGGGAGGAAGGAAAGAAAAGAGAGAGCTAAAAGGGAAAAAGTAGAAAAAAATGTAAAGATAAGGGAAAACAGAGAAAGAAGGAAAAAAGAATGGAAAGTGAAGAAGTTTAATATAAAAATAATTCTATAAACATTAGCACCCCTCCCTTACAAATAACTACTCACAATTCTGGAACTAAAAAGTGTTCATCTATCCACATCCATAGGTTCCCTTGGAATGTAACATATAGTCCAATCCAACCAAAATGTCCAGGTTTTAAACTGTTCTGTATGAACTCCTGCAGAAGAAATAGTGCATTTATTCATTCATTTGTTTAAAAAAATTTTGATGCCTTCTATAGTGTAAGTCTCTGTGCCGGCATTAATAAAATATATTTTTTCATATACATTAGCATTTTTTTCATGAACAATAGTGACTACATTGTGGCTAACACATGTTCAGAAGCAACGACAATAAACCTCCCAAGCTTCTTAGGCAGTGAACTTGCACCTAAGCCATTTTTCCTTGTGCAGTTAGATCCTGTTTTTGATTTCTCACCAGCTCATCCAAATTTTGAATCACCAGTAAATGTGCCTGTAGCTGTGTACAATCACGTTGACTCTCTTTCCACGTTTTAAAAGAAGTTGAAAACCAGTAACATTTCCCTTCGTTCAACAGCCAGTCATTTGGGCACAAGTAATTGTGTCCTAAAGGAAAACATAGGGGAAAATTAATTAAACTTTACAGCCAACAGGGAAGATAGAAATATTATCAAATGTGACTACTTGGAAAATAGATTTTTCCAACTCATTTTTTTTTTTTTGGTCAATAAAAAGGAGTTCAGACCAGGCGCGGTGGCTCACGCCTGTAATCCCAGCACTTTGGGAGGCTGAGGTGGGTGGATCACCTGAGGTCGGGAGTTCAAGACCAGCCTGACCAACATGGAGAAACCCTGTCTCTACTAAAAATACAAAATTAGCCAGGCATGGTGGCCCATGCCTGTAATCCCAGCTACTTGGGAGGCTGAGGCAGGAGAATCGCTTGAACCTGGGAGGTGGAGGTTGCGGTGAGCCGTGATCGAGCCATTACACTCCAGCCTGGGCAACAAGAGCGAAACTCTGTCTCAAAAAAAAAAAAAAAAAAAAAGCAGTTCTGTAAAATGAGAATAATTTACTAACCTGTGTATTTCCAGGAGTCGGGCAGGGTTTTGGATGATGGATTAGGGGAGAACAAAGCCTGTGAATTCTGATCCCCATAATCAGAGGAAGCAAATTATAACATTTTTGACAGTTAATTACCAACTGAAAAAGTAAAAGCTTATTATTTAATTTCCTCCACTATCTGGTTCTAATTCCTTTGACATTTCAAGATTGTCTTTACAACCTGCACTTCATGTCTGTGAGATTACTTACTATTACTGATGCATTGGGTACTTATTCTCCTGTGCTTTTCGTTCATACTGTTCCCTTAGTCTTGAATAGCCTCCTCTTCCTTCTTTACCCGCTAACTTTTTCTTTAATATACAGTTATATTTCCACCTCAAAAAGGAAGCCTTGAACCGTCAATTTCTGCTATCTGTAAGACTCAACACATAGATATCATAATTGATACATTTGCTAAAGCAAAGGACAAATGGTTTACATCCTATTCACTTGTAAAAATCTCCATATCCTCCACCTGATTGGAAGGTTTGTGAGGTGGGACTGTCATATTCATCTTTGACTCTCTTATCATTTAGTATTTTGTATATAATAAATGCTTATTGTTGAATGTTGAATGGCTGGATTAAATATTTTTAAGTTAAAACATGTCATATTTTCATTAATATTTTAGTCTGTCAACTATGACCCTAAAATTTTATTTAAAAATTACTTTTAGAAATTAAACTATATGTCCAGCTAAGATTAAAAAAGTAACCTGAGCAAGTATAATTTGAAGAAGGTTATTATGACCTAAATTTAGATTCATGAAACTTCATATATATTCTTAACTCATTAATACATGCTGTATCCGGGCAAGAGTGGCCAATGCTGAAAAATTGTAATTTAAAAAAAATTGAAAAGATTCAGGATAACTAAATTGTAATTTCAGTTGTACAAATACATAGTTGTTTGCTAAAAGGTATAAAATGACCTCTCATATACCTCCCAAGTTATGATTTGAGAGGGGATATTTATTAACTATTACTAGTGAGAATGTGCCACTTGGATGAAATAATTTTATTATGTAGATATTGACAGACTGGTCAATGAAGTACCACTGGAGTGCTGCCAGACACAATGGAAATACTCCAAATGATGAGTGTAGCATTGTAAAACACCAGAAGATGCAAGATGTGGACACTTACTGTCCAAAAGAGTTATTGTAGGTAACTCAGATTTAAGTCCCATCTTCTAAAAGAAGAAGAAATACAGGATGAAAATTGAGAAAAACATTTATTGAGCAACTCTTTATATCAACTGCTCTATTAGATGCTTTAGATAATAATAACAACATACACATATAGCCATTGTCGTGGGCCAGGCAGGTTTCTAAGCACCTTATATACACTTAGTTTCTAAAATATCTTTGTAGAGTTAAATGACACCAGGAAGATATGAAAAGGAAAATTCAGAATATGAGAAATTGTGCCCAACCATGACCTACCTTTTGACAAATAAAGGGCAAAAAAAAAAAAAATTAAAAGGAGGGGACAAGTGTCTATAAATTAAGACTCAAGAGGCATATTAACCAAATGCAATTAAAGTCTTTGATTATAATTCTAAGAAATCAAATGAAAAGAAAAAAAGACATTTTAATGCTGACTATTAGAGGATATTAAGAAGTTTTTGCTAGCTTTGTTAGGAATTGCGGTAGACAGAATTCCAAAATGACCCCATAGGTCCAGCCTCTGGTGCACATGACCTGTGTAATTTCTTCATAACTATGGGTAAGACCTGTGAATATGACGAAATATCACTTGCATGATTAGGTTATGTTAGACAGCAAGATGACGGGATTTTGAAAACAAAAGAAGAGTCCCCATCTGTTGATTTTGAGTTAATCTAAAGAAAGATTATCCCAAGTAGGTCTGGCTTAATCAGATGTAAGTCCATGAAAGAGGGTTGAGGCCTTTCCTGAAGAGAGAGATAACTCCTGTTGCCTTTAAAGAATTCAGCTTCCATGTTTCGGGAGGGTGTACAAGAGTGACACGTGGTAAATGCATGCAGAGGCCTCCCGAAGCTTAGAGGAGTCATAGCTGAAAGCCAGAAGGAAAGCAGTAACCTGTACCCTACAACCACAAATAATTGTGCCAACACCGTAAGAGAGAGCTTGGAAGAGGAACCTCAGCTCTCGAAAGATGGGTGGTCTGGCCAACATCTACACTGCATTGCCTGTGAGACCCTGAGCAGAGGACTTAATTAAACGTGCCCTGACTCCCAACTCGTGGGAACTGTGAGGTAACAAGTATATGTTGTAAAACTGCCAACTGTGTGGTAATTTGTTATATATCAATCAAAAACAAATGCAGGAGTTATAGTGAGATTGTGATTGTGTTAAGCAAAACGAGCCTTTAGCTATAAGATTCACATATTGAAGTATTTAAATATTCAATGGTATAATATCTAGTCACTACTTTAATATAATCTAGTTTGAGGGAGTGATGATGGTGGAGATACAGATGGAAAATATTGATTATGTATTGATAATTATTGGTGCTGTTTTAAAGGTACAAGAAGATTTATTATACAATTCTCTCTACTTTCATGTATATTTATGTAATAAAAATTTAAGTATATAATAAAAAATAAAATCCTATTGAGTAGGTGTCATTATCACCCCCAATTTACAGATGAAGAAATTGAGGTACATAGGGATTATTTAACTTTATATATTGATATAGCATATAAATATCAGAACTGAAACTCTAACTCTGTTAGCTTAGTTCTATAGCCTATGTTCTTATCCACTGCACTATACTGCCTCCACACTGTATTACCGTATTGGAGTTCTCCATAGCCACAACCAATGGCATTTACATATATGTATATATGTGTGTATATATGTATATATATACATATATATACACACACACACACATATATATACACATATAGAGAGAGATTTAAGGTATTGTCTCATATAATTGTGGGGGCAGGCAAGTCCAAAACGCACAGAATAGGCCAACAGGATGAAAACCCAGGAAAAATTAATATTATATCTTCAGTCTGAAGGAAGTCTGGAGGTCAAAATTCCTCTTCCTTTGGGGACCTCAGCAGTTTTTCTAAGACTTTCAATTGATTGGATAAGATCCACCCACTTTATGGAGGATAATCCATTTCACTCAAAATCTACAAATGCAAAATCCAATTTCATCTAAAAAATATCTTCCCAGTGACATCTAGACTGGTATTTGACAAACTGCCTAGGTATGGTGGCCTAGCCAAGTTGACACAGAAAATTAATCATCACAGTTTGTTTAATCTACATGAAATATTCTGTGACACAGTTATTATTATAATATCCTCATTTGAAAGTTTAAAAAACTATGTTTAATTTGCCTAAATTCATGTGAACAGTTGGCTGAAATCTCTTGATTCAAACATAGGTCTATCTCAAGCCCACACTCTTCGCACTACAGCCTGCAGCCATTACATGTCACACCTATCAGTGGATGCTCGATAAATATTTGGCAAGTTAGGTATGGCAGGAAATCCACTATCATCCTGTTGTTGACTCACTAAAACCCTATTTTTTTTCCTCCTAGAAATCACCACAATTGTCCTGCCTTTCAACCATTTGATACACAGCAATGGCACTGAGGAAGAGGATGTCCTTTTCAGCCCCATACCTTTCTCCACCAGTGCTGTTGGCTTACTGTGTAACATGGGTGAACGCCAGGAAGAGGGAAGCCAAAACTAAATTTACCCCTAAGAGTAGCACATAACAAACAAAAAGAGTATTACCTGATAGACTGCTGACGTTTACATTCTGGGAGAAATCCATTTTTTTATCTGTACTCAGTGCAAAGAAAAGATATGAGAAACATTTAAAAATCAATAGCAATCTAGGTACATGAGAATAAAGTACCAGCAGAAAATGAAGGCATACTAATAAAAATTGTGAGTTTCTCTTCTCCTATGCATCCACTCCTCTTCTTCCCCAGATTTAACTACGTTTCGCCATATCTGTTTTTACTCCTTTAAGTGCAAATCACAATTCTATTTTTTAATTTTTATTATTTTTATTTTTTTTTTGAGACAGAGTCTCACTCTGTTGCCCAGGCTGCAGTGCAGTGGCGCAATCTCGGCTCACTGCAAGCTCCGACTCCCAGGTTCTCGCCATTCTCCTACCTCAGCCTCCCGAGCATATGGGACTACAGGCGCGCACCACCATGCCCAGCTAATTTTTTGTATTTTTAGTAGAGATGGGGTTTCATGATATTAGCCAGGATGGTCTCGATCTCCTGACCTCGTGATCCGCCCGCCTCGGCTTCCGAAAGTGCTGAGATTACAGGTGTGAGCCACCATGCCCGGCCTGCAATTCTAAATATTATGTGAGATCTTAGACTTCATGTATGATGTTACATTTTTGTATATTATTTTTTTCACTGGACTTTTTAATTGACATTCTGTTTTCTTTTTTTTTTTCATTTTTATTACTATTCTTAACTTTTTTTTTTTTTTTTTTTTGACACAGGGTCTGGCTTTGTCACCTAAGCTGAAGTGCAGTGGGCCATCATGGCTCACTGCAACATCTGGCTCCTGAGCTCAAGCCATCCTCTTGCCTCAGCTTCCCAAGTAGTTGGGAGTACAGGCGCACACTTCCACACCCAGCTAATTTTTGTGTATTTTTTTATTAGGGACGGGGTTTCACCATGTTGCCCAAACTGGTCTGGAACTCCTGGGCTCAAGCGCTCCACCTGCCTTGGCCTCCCAAAGTGCTGGGATTACAGGCATGAGCTCCAACGCCTAGTCTTGATCTTATTTTCCCTTGTTGCAGACCAAAAAAAAAAAAAAAAACTCTTTTGACCATATCATCAAGTTCCTTCAGCTTCCTAGTTGCATTATTTATAGTTTGTTTTCATATAGACAGAATTAATTGCTAGCTAGGAAAACAGAACAGTTGTTAATTTGAAAAGTCTTTTAATTATATTCTTGGGCTAGCTTCATTCTATCCAAAGTTAGCCACCCACCTCCCACATTCTTTTTTGCTGTTGTTATTCCAAAACAATGAATGGAAAAAATATTTACTTGATTACTCTTGTTTCAAATCTAAGTTAAAATCAAGATTGCTCATAACTTTGAAGGCATTGCTCCAGTAGAATCTTTTTAGGTGCGTTTAAAAATCTGATGCTAATTTGCTTTGGGGGAAAACTAATTATTTATGTAAACCCTTTAGGATTATATTTTTACTCATGGTGTTCTGAAATTATCTATCTATCTATCTATCTTTATCTATCTAATCTATCATCTCTTTCTATGTATTATCTGTTTTTGTATTCTGTTCCGAACTTAGTGGGTTCTTGTAAGCTGAAAACTCATGTTTTTTGGTTTTGCTTTTACTCTTGAGAAATGGTTTATATTACTTTTTTCATTATTTTATATCTACTTTTTTTCACCTATTTTCTTCTTCTGGAAGCTTGTTAAAAGAGCTATTGACCTTTCTGGATAAATAGGCATTTTTTGATTTTCCATCTCAGATATCCTCTTATATTTATTTATGTTTTTTTTCTGACATTTTGCTCTGTGCTCCGGGATATTTGGTTAGCTACCATGACTTTTCAGAAGAAATGGCACAAGAAATAGCCAAGCTATGTAGTAGACCTACACACTACTCCCCTCTCTCACTCCAAAACCAAAACAAGTGGGTATACACCTTATTGCACCGACCACCAGTCCATAAATCAGGAGCTCTACCTGGCTCTATCTATATATCTCACTGTTTTAGAGAGTTCTTCTCTCTTTTTTTTTTTTTTTTTTTGCATGATATAGGGGCAAAATCCACTGTGTAAATAGACCGACAGATTGACAAGACACCAATCAAAAAGAGCATGGCTTAGAAAGTCTTTCACTTAATTAGTTTGCTTCATATTTTTGGCTTTCAAAAGTTATTTTTAAATTTAATTGGTAATAAGCATTGTATGTATTAAAGAATTACCTTGTTTTAGACCTCCATTTACCCTCTGACTCTCCTCTCTGAAATGGAGCCCTGCCTTAGCTTAACCATGATGAACAGCTTTCATCTACACTGCAGCTGTCTTTTATGCTTTATTTGAACTAAGGTTCTCCCCATTGATTTATCCAATAGCATTATGCTATCCACTTTTCATTTTCTTTAAAATTTTCTCCCCTTTCCATTCTATGTGCTTTGATTAATTTACTCTATTTTGTTATCTTTTCTTCTTCTATGGATAGATTATTGGGAGAGAGGAGATATAAATATTTATGGTCAATACTCCATTTTGACTGGAAGCCATGAAGAATATTTTAAACTGGTCAAAACCCAAGGACAAATTTTATAGAAACACACATATTGTAATTGTTACTAATTTATTAGAATAAAAAATATGGCTAGAAAAAAATATTTTTACTACTAGTAATTCATCAACATGTCAAATTTCATTGATTTCTTCTCAATAGCGTTTTTCTTTAAAAGAATAATTATTGCATTATTTATGTCATTTTACCATTTATATTTTATTTGAAGAGAAAACTGATTTACAAGAGAGCAGAGTGGCCTGTAAAGGTCATACTCAGTGTCTAACAAGAAATTATCTCCTGAATTTTAGGAACATTTTTAAAGCCATAGTAATTACTACAGTGGATTCAACTTCTTAGAATTACTGGTTAACAGAAAGCAATACCTACTTAGATAGATTCATAACGACTAAAAATAGTCGTTTAACATTGAATGTTAAATAAGTGGACATTTTCAGGTAATTAGTAATTGATTTCAATGTTGCATTGAACAATTTTGAGGTATATGATTGATATTTAGAGAAAAAATACATTAAGTAGGATATATCTTTGGTCTGAGAAAAGTCTGATATTTTCCCTTGTTGTATTGGGAAAAACACAAAATTGCCCAATTGCCCAATACAAATATGGATCCTTTATTAAGAAGTAAAGGATCTTCTACGCTACAGAAGTTGCTTTAGGACTCACCTATTTTTAGAAATCTCATCTCAAAAGCCCCCAAAATCTATTTCCTGTCATGTTATATGTAAAACACTACTCATTTGAGCTCACAGCCTTAAAAGCAAGACAGAAAAATCAAAGATAATGAATTTCTTTGGTTGTTCAAATAGAATAGCTACAGTATACACATATAAGTACCACTTCAGGAAGAAAAAAGTCTGGAAGTCTACCTAAAATGGTTTTCAGATGGGTCTTAATATATATATATATATACTTAAATAATGATCTCACAAAGTGATACCAATGAGCACATACTCTTTTAGTAAAGATACATTACTTTTTTAATTATAAGATAATAAAGTCAACCTCTATTGGGGGTTCTTTATAAGAAAAGATGCAGAATAAATACCAAGCTTGCATTTGAGCATTTAATTTTTTAAATTTAATATAATTTTATAATATGACATATGCCAGTTTTGGACTACAGTGTAGAGTTTATCTTGGCATTAAGAGGAATGAAGGATCAACATTTATCTTCTGAAAATGTTCAAATAAATAAAAATTTACTACTCACGCCAGAACTTCAGGTCAATCCCTGTCATAATGAATATAAGGATCACAATGCATCCAAATATGAGCAGAAGACAATAATATTGTGGATATAGGGAGAAATCTGAAATGTTGAATTTTAGAATTCTTGTGATTATTCACTTTATAAATATTTTTCTGTTTCATTTTTATTACAGAGACAACTCATGTTCATTTTAGATATGTCATTAGAATTTATGATTAAATGAAAATCTAAAAATAAAAAGTCTAGAATCCCAAACCAAGGAGATACTACTATTATTAAACGTTTTGGATTGTACTGACATAGACTTGTTAATTATTTGGTGGTGTTTTTGAGGACCTAAAAATGATGTCTTAAATTCCATATAAATTATACATACAAATACATATTATATATGATATAAATATTTGTTATAACATATTATATAAAATATAAATATATACAATGTAAACATATATATTATTCTATACATGTAAATTATATAGAAAGAATAATATATAAAATGTATATATCTATGTCAGGCACAATTACGTGTGTTATTCAATTTAGTGACTCACTGCTAAGAAATAAAAGAGGGAAAGAAATATTTATTAAAATTCTATTATATACCAGTCACTGTACTGGAAATATCCACATTTTATTTCACCTTACACCTGTAATATATTATATTTTTCTGGGTTTGACTCTTTAGACAGGAGTCAGTTTCAGCTTAGGTAGTATTAGATCTCCAATTAATGATGCTTATATGACATCTATGCTATAGTATTTCATCGCATTAGAGTTGGCAAGAATAGCTTCCTTATAAAGGAATAAACAAGTAATCTCTAGAGAGGTTAAACAGGGGCATGTATAATAATCCTCTTTCAATTTTATCTACTTTTTTCCACATATTAGCACTTTTGAATAAATTGGATGTATACACTTTTTTCACAAAACTATGACAGGTTCCTTTTATATGCAGACATCATATAATTAATATCTCAATCTACAATCATTTTAGTCAGTTTGCCAGGCTAGTGGCCAAAGAGAAAGCAAAGTAATTTGAGATACTCTGATAATTATTCCCTATTTTTTATTCTTTTATCTATAAACAAACATTTAATTTCATCACCTTGGTTGTACATTTCACAAATAATTTGTCTTCTAAGTCATAATAAAAGTGCTGTTTCTCAAATCTAATTTCTGTGTGGATGCTTTACTTCAATAGGTTTTATGGATTTACTGCATTTGATTAGATCTATAGTATATACTTAGAGAATTTACTGTATGTAGTGTACCTTTTGAAATTTGCTACTCAATTGTCTGTATTACTAAGTCCAAAATAATTTTCTTTCTTTTTCTTCCCTGTAGATATTTCTGCTGTTCAAGCAAATATGGAAAGACTTCTACTTAATTGAAAATCGTCAAAATACATTTCTGCAATTTTATGAGAAAATATCAATCAAGGGTATATGGATCTGTAGTTAACAAGTGCTCTTTCCATACATGCCAGGGAGGGAGACTTTAAACTTCTTGCCAAATAAGATTTATAAAAAACTGAACAATAGACCAAAAATTAATATTTTCATGTAAGCCATGATTTACATACTATATCAAGCCAGGTGAACAGAGAGCTGAGTACATGAAGTGCAGTATGCTGGCCTATCCTAGCACTGCTTGGCTAGATGCCATTGGCTTACACAGGGCTATATGAAGAAATTGTCTTACAAAATCTGCTGGTGCTACTATTGCAAGAACACTAATTGTATTATTTTATGTGCTTCATGAGAACTCAGGAAAATATTTTTTCTGATTTAGGATCAAGATTAATTATATCAATCTTAAGGAATAGGTGTAACTTTATCTTATACACAATGTGAACTGAACAACTGGTAAGAATTCCCTTAGGTCAGTAATAACAAGGAAGCTTGGAAGCAAATGTATAGCAAGCACAAACATGCCTACAGTAATTTTTCTGGCCCAATTTATTTTCCCAGCCCTATCCTTCCTTCATTCATAATTTAAATGGATATTATCTTATATTTTATGTATCAATACTCAGATTTTAAGTCTCTGTACACATTTGTATATTAAAAAGTAGTTTATAGATTAAAAAATAGTAAATTTAGTTTAACATCCACATAAAAGCATCATCAGGTAGATTTTTCTTATTATATATCAAAGTATTGAGATTTAAGAAGGCTAAAAGCTTCTGCCCAGAGCCATACATTTAGTCTGTGGGCTTTAGGGTCTGAATAATTTTTTTTGTTTTTTTATATATGGAGTCTTGCTCTGTCACTCAGGCTGGAGTGCAGTGGCATGATCTCAGCTGACTGCAACCTCCGTCTCCCGGGTTCAAGCGATTCTCCTGCCTCAGCCTCCCAAGTAGTTGGGATTACAGGCACACGCCACCATACCCAGCTAATTTTTTTTGTATTTTTAGTAGAGACGGGGTTTCACCATGTTGGCCAGGCTGGTCTCGAATTCCTGACCTCAGGTGACCCGCCCACCTCTGCATCCCAAAGTGCTGGGATTACAGGCATGAGCCACCGTGCCTGGTCTGCCTCAGTCAATTTAACACCAATGGTACTAGTTTTTGCTGCATGGAAGTAAGTTACTATTGAAAAAGTAAACATTTGTTTCATGATATTGAAACACAAAAAAGATCTGAGTCTTCAGATAATAACAAAAGTGTCATTTTGTGGGGGCAGGGGGTGCAGGGGAAGTTTGCATTTGCTAGATATAAAATGAGATTGTACACGAGAATGTTCAATACATATGGCAGAACTGCCACTGCGACTGGTAATTCTGAATTTCTGGCCTATGTCATCTTAACTTAGGTCTTGGCTATTTCAACAAGATTGTTTTCAAAATTCCTGAAAAAGCAAACAAAGCCAACCACAGAGCAGCCCTAAGGAGCAAAGATTAATGTTTTTTTGTTTTTTTTTCTCTCTTCTCGCATTCCCAGTAGATTGTTCTACCAATCCTATAGGGCTTTTACGAAGATTAAAAATATTATATATGTATAAGCATAAATATATATATAAGCATATATATACGCTTTAAGTTTATATAAACTTTAAGTTTTGTAGGAGGAAGTTTCTGTAAAAACACAATTTTTCAGCCTTTTCTTCGAAAGTGATGTTCTTATGCTACAACACACAGGATTACACATCGTCATATTCGCATTTCTCTTACCTCATGGCTCTGAAAATGCAGACTTTTTATTGTTGATGCTTTCATGAATCTAAATAATCTAACAGACAATTTATGACCATTTTTATATTCCTTATTATGATCAATGTTAAGATGTTAAAAATATTCTAAGATAATTCTCTTCCTAGAAGAATAATGAAATTTTAAATGCGGTGATGGGGAGCAGTATTCCTACCTTTAGATTTCTGCTTCGATTTACAACGATTCTTGAAACTCAGCGTCATATACCCATCTTCATTCTCCATCTCTTCAAATGTCTAATGTCTTATTATCCAGAAAATAGTACAAAGAAAATGGAAACTAATCTCAACCTTGGATATGTCTCTTTGGCACAAGGTACTAAAAGAAAACTAAAAGGAAGGCCAAAAATAGTCAAAATTTACTCAGACACAGATGTCTAAAACCACACAGGATGTGTTGGTAAATGAAAATGGATATAAGCTTGTTAATATCTGGCTACAATTCTGTGAATTTCAAGGTAAAGGTAGCTAGTGTGTTCCACTGTTTTCAACAAATGGACTTGTGTGTTCCTGCCACTTGTGTGCGGTGTATTAGAAACATAATTCCTTCCTTCATGTCTTTTATAATAAAGTAAGAGAAAAAATAAAATAAAACAAATAATCTCTAAACAAACAGAACAAATGTCTAGGTAAATAAAAATTCAAATTAAAAAAGTTAAAATAGCAATTTTGTTATTTGGGACATATTTGACTAGTAGAGTCCAAATAACGATGGTTAGATGGGACAAAAATAGGAAAATAAAAGATCAGCAAGTCTCAAGTTAGTGAAAATCGGAATCACTTGCAAAGAATTTAACTTTTTAAACTTTTTTGTTTGTTTGTTTGTTTTTCAGAAAACGCCAGGCAGATTTTCCTTCAGTAGGTGTGGCAGTTTATTTTGTGTCAACTTGGCTGAGTCACAGAGAGTCCAGATAGTTGATCAGACATCATTCTGCTTATTTCTGTGAGGGTGTTTTTGGATGGGATTCATATTTAAATAGGTGACCTTTGAGTAAGGCAGATTTGCCTCCTCTGTAATGTGACTGGGCCTTATTGAGTCAGTTGGAGCCTTGAATAGAACAAAAAGACTTGTCTTCCCTGAGTGAGAGAGAATTCTCCAGCAATGGCCTTCAGACTATCTGCAGCATTAGCTCCTCCTGATTCTACAGACGGTGGACTTTGCATTTGAATTGAGCCTTCCTAGGTACCCAGTCTGTCCATGCTCATTTGCAGAATTTTGACTTACCAGCCTCCATAATCACATTCCTTATTTTATATATATTTCACTTAACACGCACACACACACACACACACACACACATGCTAATGGTTCTGTTTCTGCTACGTGGCCACTCAATATCAATCCATTGATTTAACACCGAGTGTCTGGGGAAGGTGGCTGACTGTTTCCCACAGCACATGTTGTGTTCACCTGATTATTGAGTCTCCTCCTCAACACTGGATGTCACTTGTGAGTATTTACATGGGAATGAATATTTACACACGCCGCGTCCATTCTGCATGATCTCTATATGTACCTCTTAGCTTCTCATTCATTTTTCTATTTTGTTCTTTTTGAGTTTCCGACAAGTCATCTCACCTATTAGTTTCTGATAAGATGATTTAGATGTATTTCTCTGAGTGCTTATCCTTCCTGTTAGGTTCACAACCAGACATATTGTCCAAACTTCTGTTCAGTGGGAAGACTTACCTTCACTTCTGTCTTTCACAGTCTTCTCCTGAATGGGACTGTAGTGTGGCATCTATTCCAGCTGCCGTATTTTACATAACCACTGATAAACTTATTTTTTTCAACTACTTCAGTGTAAGATCGTACAGAACCCTCTTTTCCATCCCCAACCCGGGTCATAGGTATGGTTGAGGTGGAGATAGCAAAGGAATGCGAACATGTGCCATCGGAGTCTGAGCCATCTGCTCATGCAGTTTACTGTGCTTCTTTGGAACTGTTCAGGCCTTGCCTCCAAAATGGCACAATTATGTTTGTGATAAAATGCTTCTGTGCACTTCTAAACATAGGGTTCATTGGGTCAAAGTGGTCAAGTTGGATCAAGTTAATGGTGGTGAACATATGTCTTATAAAAATATGTAGTAGGTTTACTGCCTACTTTTCACCAGGAACAGTTGGCATGATAGCATCAATGTAATGAATCTATTGTGTGCAACCAGTTCTGAGGTATAACATATTGGGAGCTATATCAAGATGATTTAGTTCCCTCTGGGCCATCTTATAACAGAGATCAGGAGAGCTGACATACACCTGGGCAAGGCAGCAAAGAAATACTTGTTATTTCTGTTTGTAAATACAAGCCGGAAACCATCACAGGTTCTCAGCTTTTTCCCAGTGTATAGTCATTCAAGAAAATGACTGAAGTTTCCTCCGGTTTAGGTGTTGGGGAATAAATATCATAATTACACCTGTGGCCATGTTACAATGTCCTTCACCAAGAGACCAAACCTACCTCCTCCCCAGTTGAGTGGTTCCTGGTCTGCGAAGAGCTTTGCCTACTAACTATATGGAAGTCTGGGGATTGGGTAAGACACAATGAATCTCCTCTCTGAAAATACGGGCTAAGTTTCTGGGCAACATACATGTAATTTTCCTTAGCATATCAAGCAGCTCCTTAGTGAAATATCCTTTTTTGTTTGTTTTTCTTTTCTTTTCTTTTTTTTTCATTTCCCAAAACTTAAAATCAGCTAATCATTGTCACAGATTTCTGTGGATGAAAACTCTGATTACTAATCATTCCCTCTGGCTTATTGTGGCAACTGCAACCCCTTGACCTCTAGAATCAAATTATTGCCGTTGATATCAGAAAGCCTGATTCCGCTGTAGCATCTCCCAATACATCTATAGTCAACAGTGAACAGTTGCCACAGCAGGTCGTCACCAGGTTCCCTCACAAAAGCATTCTCCATCCCCCCATCCTCCTAAAAAATCGGTTCACAAAACTGACCTTGAAGAGAGGAAATCAAAGCCTGGAGGAGGCTGTAGAAAGGAGAGAGAAGGTGGTCAATGACTGCCTAGCCTCCTCACTGTATAAAAGGTAGCAACTTTAAAACTGTTCCCCCACCCTCCATCCTGGGCGCCAGACCCCTCAGTTCTACCCAAGGGCCATCAAGTACCTTCAGAAACTTCTCTTCCCTTTACCTTCTATGCCTGGGCCAATTCTCTCAGTATGGGTCTAACAGATTTGGTGGGATTGAATGCTGAAATATTTTAGAGTATCAAAACTTGAAGATGTCTAAAATTTGTATCTTAATGTTTTTCCCAAACTATAGATTTATTCAGTGTTCTCTATATAGTTAGTAATTAAGTTCTGTCAGTTTAACCCCCTGCGTATTTCCCTAGTAAATTCATTACTTCCCATTTTAAAAGCCATCATCTTGGCTCAAACTCCGTGTGGGCTGACATTATTCCTTCATGGCATTTAGTCTCCTTTTGCCCTCTCCCCTTGGCCCATATAAAACAAAAGAGTATCTTTAAGGGTTGAGATACTCAATAAATCTGATGCCCCACAAATCCAAAATAGACATAGAAAATGTGCATCTTTTACAAAATTCATATCCTCATGTATGAATTAGTTAATAAAAGGAAGTCTCCATTCTCTCCAGAAACGTTACAACTTCTACGCTTCTGAAATTTAGAATTTCCCACACCCATACCAGATTATCATTTTAATCTTAAATGGGCATTTTTTTTTTCAGACAGGGTCTTGTTCTGTTACCCAGGCTGGATGTAGAGGTGTCATCATAACTCACTGTACCCTCAAACTCCTGAGCTCAAGTGATTATAGACACATTTTTAATCTGATAGGCTGCTGCATTGTTTCACTTTAGATTTCTTGGATTTTCATTGTGTTTAGACAACTTTGGATACACTGACTGTATATGCATTGTTATGGGTTAACTATTTGTGCCTTGTTCATTTTCTGTTACTAATGTATTTATGACTATTCCTCTGTATATATTCATTCGTATATTGATTCATTCAATAAGACTTTTTGAATATATGTTATGCTACAGCCACAGTTCTAACCACTGAGAATACATCAACAAGTAAAACAGATAAACCCCTCTGATTTCATGACTTCGTGGAGCTTTCACTCCAGTGGCAGAGACAGAGACACATGTTACCCATTGCCCAGGAGTTCATATATGTTTTAAATGTGAGTTATTTTTATTGTCTTATGAAGCTCAGTTAGTGGTGCTGTCGTGTAACCATCGTCCAATTAGAGCTTTCATCTACATCCAAAACAGACCTTTCTGAGAACCAACTAAACTTTATTCCTTGTTTATCAGCAGGTAATAGGAAATATCTTAAACAGCCATAGACATGAGCCGAGGGAGAGGTGCCAGTGAAACAGTTGGATAGTATCATTAGTATCATTTCTGAAGCTTGCCTGTGCTCTCTGGTTGGCATAGGGGTCTTCAGCTTGCCTTTTCACTGAGAATCTGCCTGTGCTGATTCTGGATATACCAATCTCATCATATAATGAATTGCTGCTGGGAGTGCCTGAACTTATATTTGGTGAGTCTTACAGGTTTCTCTTTCCTTTTTTTCTTGAGAGGGAGTCTCGCTCTGTCACCCAGGCTGGAGTGCCATGGTGGAATCCTGGCTCACTCAACCTCTGCCTCCCAGGTTCAAGTGATTCTCCTGCCTTAGCTTCCTGAGTAGCTGGGATTACATGCACCCACTACCACGCCAGGCTATTTTTTGTATTTTTAGTAGAGACGGGGTTTCACCATGTTGGCCAGGCTGGCCTTGAACTCCTGACCTCAAGTGATCCACGCGCCTTGGCCTCCCAAAGTGCTGGAATTACAGGCATGAGCCACTGCGCCTGGGTGGGTTTCATTTTATTAATGGCAGTTCAGAACATACGGATGCCTGCTGACTCACATCCAAGTAATCTATTTCTGCAAGGTCCAGTAGCATGCCAGGAGCTATTTCACAAAAGCTCTATAAATGCTTAGCTATAATTGACCTGGTATTGCTCTAGGACTCAAAGGATCAGTAGAAATTATGTTTCACCCGTTAGGACTTGGCCATAAATTCCACAAAATTTTTTCTCACCGTTGATACCTCTGGTATTACACAGTGCGGTAAGTTACATGGCTCCAGTGGTAGAGATGCTTCTGCTGCAGCCAGATTTGCGGAGGAGTCCATGTTTACTCTCTGGGCCACGATGGGAGCCTTGCAGCCTTTTGTGTCCCCTAATGAGAGGTGACAGCGTGCTGGCAGTCCTCACAGCCCTCGTTCGCTCTGGGCACCTCCTCTGCCTGGGCTCCCACTTTGGCGGCACTTGAGGAGCCCTTCAGCCCACCACTGCACTGTGAGAGCCCCTTTCTGGGCTGGCCAAGGCCGGAGCCGGCTCCCTCAGCTTGCGGGGAGGTGTGGAGGGAGCGGCGCGGGTGGGAACCGGGGCTGCGCGCAGTGCTTGCGGGCCAGCGCGAGTTCCCTGTGGGTGTGGGCTTGGCAGGCCCCGCACTCGGAGCAGCCGGCCGGCCCTGCCGGCCCCTGGCAATGAGGGGCTTAGCACCCGGGCTAGCGGCTGCAGAGGGTGTGCTGGGTCCCTGGGTCCCCCAGCAGTGCCGGCCCACCCCCTGCTCCACGGCACCCAGTCCCATCGACCACCCAAGGGCTGAGGAGTGCAGGCGCAGGGCGCGGGACTGGCAGGCAGCTCCACCTGCAGCCCAGGTGCGGGATCCACTGGGTGAAGCCAGCTGGGCTCCTGAGTCTGGTGGGGACAAGGAGAACCTTTATGTCTAGCTTAGGGATTGTAAATACACCAATCGGCACTCTGTATCTAGCTCAAGGTTTGTGAACACACCAATCAGCACCCTGTGTCTAGCTCAGGGTTTGTGAATGCACCAATCGACACTCTGTATCTGGCTACTCTGGTGGGGCCTTGGAGAACCTTTGTGTGGACACTGTGTATCTAGCTAATCTGGTGGGGATGTGGAGAACCTTTGTGTCTAGCTCAGGGATTGTAAACGCACCAATCAGCGCCCTGTCAAAACAGACCACTGGGCTCTACCAATCAGCAGGATGTGGGTGGGGCCAGATAGAGAATAAAAGCAGGCTGCCCTGGCCGGGAGTGGCAACTGGCTGGGGTCCCCTTCCACACTGTGGAAGCTTTGTTCTTTGCTCTTTGCAGTAAATCTTGCTACTGCTCACTCTTTGGGTCCACACTGCCTTTATGAGCTGTAACACTCACAGCGAAGATCTGTAGCTTCACTCCTGAAGCCAGCGAGACCAGGAGCCCACCGAGAGGAAGGAACAACTCCAGACGCGCAGCCTTAAGAGCTGTAACACTCACCGCGAAGGTCTGCAGCTTCACTCCTGAGCCAGCGAGACCACGAACCCACCAGAAAGAAGAAATTCTGAACACATCCGAACATCGGAAGGAACAAACTCCGGACACGCCGCCTTTAAGAACTGTTAACACTCACCACGAGGGTCCGCCGCTTCATTCTTGAAGTCAGTGAGACCAAGAACCCACCAATTCCAGACACACCAATATGTATGTTAGAACTCTATTTCCAAGTACGAACAATGGCCCTTCAGTATCCAATGAAGACTACCAGACATTGTGTCCTCTATTTTTTTAAAGAGATGCCCTGGCGTGCACCAAACCCATGTAAACATAAAAATTTCACTGATGCACTTTGGGAGGCCGAGGCGGGTGGATCACGAGGTCAGGAGATTGAGACCATCCTGGCTAACATGGCGAAACCCCGTCTCTACTAAAAATATAAAAAAATTGGCGGGTGCCTGTAGTCCCAGTTACTCTGGAGGCTGAGGCAGGAGAATGGCATGAACCCGAGAGGCGGAGTTTGCAGTGAGCCGAGACTGCGCCATTGCACTCCAGCCTGGGCGACAGAATGAGACTCTGTCCAAAAAAAAAAAATTCACTGATGTGATGCAGTGGCCATTCAATCTTTGCTGTATTCACAACTCACTGAAGTGTATGCATCTTACCAATGTCTCCAATGTACTTGCTCCTTCTTTCTCATCTAGTTCAATTTGTATACTGTCATTAGCACAGTGAACAAGAGTTAAATTTTGTAGGCTGTCCAAGCAGTCCAGGTCTCTTCACTATATTATGATAGACAGTGGGACAGTTAACAGACCTGGGGCAAGAATGTAAGTGTCTACTCATGTCAGCCCTAAATAACTACCAAATATTTTTGGTACTCATTTGTTAAAAGAGATAAAAAAATAATTCTTTTGCCAAATTAATGGCCATATTTTCTGTACCTGAGCATAGGGTAATTTGCTTTAACAAGTATTCTGTATTTAAATCAGCAGCTACACTTGGAATTATTGTTTGATTGAGCTTGCAATAATCAATTGTCATCATCCAGAATCCATATAGTTTTGTCAGAGCTGCACTGGTGAATAAAATAGAGGTAAATGGATACCAGCATCCTTGTGTCTTTGAGGTATTTATGGGTGGCAATAACCTTTGTCATTCGCTCTATAATGCAGAATTATTTTGGGTTGACTATCATGTCCAGTGGAGAGGAGGGGAGCAGTTTCAGGAGCCTTGGTCTTTCTCACCGCAGTACATACCAAGCTGGCCAAGGAACCAATGTGAACTTTGTACCAATTCTTAAGTATGTGGTGTCCCATTATGTATTCAAAGACCAAAGAATGTCTACTGGGTGAGTCCTTGGGCCTACTGTGAACCAGACATAAGCAAATACTCTATTACTGGGACTCCATAAGCTTCTACTCTAACAGGAGGGTCATGATCCTTTCTTGGGAATCAATGTCAACTTACATCTGCATTCTGTAATCCTAGAAATGTATGTCCTGGATTTTTTCCCAGTTATTCAAATAAATGGCCATGAATCCTGTTGTGAACTGATTTGTGCTCCTATCCAAACACATATGCTGAAGACATAACCCCCAGTGTGACTATATTTTAAGAGAGTGTCTTTAGGAGGAACCTAAGGTTAAATAAGGTCATAAGGGTAAGGCCTTAATCTCATAAGACTGGTATACATATAAAAAGAGGGAAAGATACCCTCTCTGCACATACACAGAGAAAATGTCATGTGAGGACACAGTGAGAAGGCAGTAGTCGGCTCCAGGAAGAGAGACCTCATTGAACACTAACCTGGCTAGCACCTTGATCTTAGGCTTTGAGCCTCCAGAATGATGAAAAATAAATTTCTGTTGTTTAAGCCACCCAGCCTATGTTATTTCATTATGGTAGCTTGAGAAGCCTAATATAAGTCGCACTGGGGATGGACTGGAGAAATACTTACCATTTACTCTAGTCTTGGTGTTGAAGAGGGCTTCTTTTTAAGGATGAGTTCTCCCATTATTGGGTCCTCTGTCAGAAAACTGGCTTGGGCCAAACTAGATTAGGGTAATAGTTTATACGTTTTGAGTACATGGTTGCCCTTAGCCTACTAGTAATCCACCCTTGATTTCTTTCCCGTTGTACATGTCCAGCAAAGTCAGTGGTATACAGCTGACTGTTAAATTTTCAAGGGTTCTCGAGCCAATTGTTAAACATCATTATTTTTAAAAATTATCTAAAGTAACTTTTGCACCAACAGTAAGGTGCATAAATGTGCTTTGGTCAAGAAGTAGGCTGAGGCAGACATCCAGGCCATAGTGACTTAATGAGTTTGGAGTGCAGGCATATAACTCCACTTGTTATATAACCTGTTTGTGTAAGCTCATACTTGGCTCAAATCCACTATTGTTTGGAAAAGGTATAACTGCCCTGCTGATGCTGTACAGGCGCTCTTGGGCTTGCCTTGGCTCAGCATGGCGTGGCATGGCATGACATGGCTCGCACTGGTGCCCAGAAAGAGAGTAGCACTATTGACCCTTGTAAGGGAGAGCCAGTCGCCTTGAAGGCAGGCAGAGGGGAACCAGGAACGAGCTTGTGCCCAGAGGGAAAGAGTTAAGCTGCTAATCCTGACAGAGCTGGCCTTGCAGGCCAGGGCGTGCTGCTGCAGGCGTGGCGGCGGCAGGAGTCCCAGAGCCAGAGCAGACAGCGGAGATAAAGGCAGACAGTGTGAGAGAGTCGCTGTTGGTAAATAAAACTACATTTCACCTGCTTAGGGCCCCCAAGTGTTCTTTCAGCTATCGCCCATCCACCCACTCCCCTCAGACCTCAGCATGGGCTGGAACCTAACCTGGGTCATGACATTTGGAGTCATTGTGGCCCTAATGCCAAGCTAATAAAATAAATACTTAGAACTCATCAATTTGTGATGATTTTTAGAAGATTTTGCTATTATCCATGCATGAAATTATTAACATCTGTTACATCCGTATAGTGAAAATAATACGTAATGCTGTACTACTGCATATTTATTTCCAACTCTGTGTGTTCAGTGATGTCACCTGGGTACCTTGAAATCAGCAATGGTGGGAATAATTACATCACGGAAATCAGCTGGTGTTACAAACCAGAGCTTGTTATGTGTGTGTTTTTCTCTGTTCCACCAGTTGTTAAAGGACAGCACAGAAGTGGAAGCACCCTTTTTGGCTCTCTATATTACTTCTGTGAACATTGAGCTCTATCTGACATTGCTATGGCTCTATATGTCAGTAATCCTGGCTGCTATTGCAATTTGACCCTCATTACTATAATTGGCCCCAGCTTGTTTCAGAGTGGCACTCTGACACTTGGCGTTTCCTACTTCAAACCCTGTCCCAATACTCTCTCTGAATTCAGTTCTGTGGGAACATCTCCCACTGTAATCTTTGGCATGTAGAGAAGAACTATGCTAAGCTTCTCAGTGATGTTTATGTAGGACTTAAGTTCTTCCACCAGCGCCTTCCTTACTGCTTTGGTAAATAAGGTGCCCATTATATCATCCCATAGAACATAGTCAGTTGGTGGGTTTCCTGTCCTTATCTAGTTTATCCACTGTAGCATGCCCACTTCTCTAAGCATT
Organism: Homo sapiens; assembly: GCF_000001405.40. NCBI lineage: Eukaryota > Metazoa > Chordata > Mammalia > Primates > Hominidae > Homo > Homo sapiens. The sequence goes on along the minus strand of NC_000012.12, from coordinate 9,871,893 downwards.
TTTATCTTTTCTTCAGCTACCTGCCATGGGAATTCTGGAATGTTACTCTACTCAGCGTGAGCCATTGCTTTCTCCAATCTTCTTGGAGTTATTTCAGCAGTATGTCAGCACTGTTCACAGTATTTTTCCAAGTTATTAAATTCTGTATTGCAACTGAATGCCCTAATGTTGATAAAATCTCCCTTATCCAGCTTTATGTTTCTCTCATGATCTAGCACCCTCAGAATCCAATCCCATTGTGTACACTCCAAGCTGTTGTTATTATATATTGGTTAGGTCCAAATTCATTCTGAGTATAGCCCTTTCTCTCCCTTATAAGCTTAGCACATAACCTTAGTTATTGGCCTTATGACCAATAACTAAGAAAGGCAAGTAAGGGAGGGATTCCTGTAAGGAGGGTGTGAAGGGCACAATATTTTCTTTAAGGAAAAAGGCATGACCTCGACAAGGGAGAACATGTAACTTTGTTAGGATTAGAGAGTCCAACGTTTAGAAGCTTCTAGATTTTTAAAATTTTTGAGAAAAAAAATTGTGAAAAGTCACTATACAAATGATGGAAAGTATTTTTAATACATTTATCTAAAAATGGAATTTTTCTATATTATGTTGCAACCCATTTTACTTATTTATATACACATTTTTATGTGTATGTTTCTCTACATATATATTTACATATATATAAAATCTTAAAAATCACCATAAGGAAACAAATAAATCCATAAAAATGGGAAAAATATTTAAATAGGTCATTGAAAAAAGATATATGAGTTACCAATACGCACGTGAGTAAATGCTCAATATAACATCAGAGATGTACAAATTAAAATCACATTTAGATTCTACTACACGCCTACTAGAATGGTTAAATTGAAAAAGATTGGGCATATCTAATATTGCTATTTATGTGGAGCAAATAGAACCATCCAATATTCATGTTGGGAATGGCACAACTTTTTGGAAAAAAATACATTTATAAAATAAAACATACATTTTCTATGTAACCTAGCAGTTTCACATCCAGGTATTTCTTCAAAAGATTAAAAAACGTGTCAATAGAAAAACTTTTGCATAAATGTTTATTTTGACCTTATGATATCCAAGAAGTGGAAAAAGCTCAATGTCATAATGGATACATTTTATTATAAAATAGATAAAAATATTTTATGTCTGTACAATGAAATACTACTCAGTAATAAAAAGAAATTAACTGCTGATCTGTGCAAAAACATGGATAAAACTCAAAAACATTATGCTCAGTGAAAGACATCAGACTTACAAGAATTGCCAACTGTATCATTCTGCTTAACAGGAATTTCTAAAACCAGCAAAGCTCATGTTTATTGACAGTAAGTTGGCTGCTGCCTGGCTTCAGGGGTGAGGATGAACTGCAAAGCAACAGCGGGGAACATTTCCCTGTGTTGAAAATGTTTTATATCTTAACTGTTGTATCTTGACTGTTTTCCTTTTTGGAACAAAACTAAATTTCACTCAACCATACTTGAGTAATCTCTATATTTTTCTATACATGCTTTTCTAATAGTTCTTTGGATACAATCTTTTGTTAACAACAAAGGTAGAATATATTCATTTCCTCATGAATTTTCTGTCTTTTTTTTCTGTCCAAAAATGAAAAGAGCAATTTTGTTATCTGTCCTTTCCTTCTGCCCAGAAATGATTAAACCTGTATTTCTTATTCTCTTCATATTTTCTTTGTTTTAATTCCTTTGTACTACAGTTTCTTCTCTATTCTCATTTGCTTTTCCTCTTCAAGTTTCTCTCTCAGAACAAATGCAGTGTTAATCCCGAAGCCGCTTGCGGGACACTGGCTTCTTCTCCTCAGTTTCCTCCCTAATATATTTGTTGAGGGGTAATACAAAATCACTGGGAAACTGATTAGAGCAGATTTGAAGACAAAATTGTGGCCTGGTAACTTAGCAAAAGCATAATGGTGTCATCTTGTATGCTGATGATAACGTTCTGGGCACTTTGTTACTTTCGTTTTCTTTTTTCCCTCTGTGTGTCTTTGTGTGTGTTTGTGTGTGTGCTCACACCCACACGTGTGACTTTGCACGCATTTGTCTTTGAGAGAGAGATAATAGTTTTTGTTTTTCTTTCAGTAGCCAAAGTTTAAACCATTGCTTTTTCTTTGATTCTATCGCTTTTAAGGTGATCTTTCTTAACACAGGATAAGAAAGCAGTAATGTCCTAAAGAATGCTGTTGAATTAATTAGTATCAGCCTCTCCTACAGTTCTGGAAGGATACGTGGTTAAGTACCACTCCTGGATGAATCAGAAAAACAGCCACTTGAGCAATTTCGTGTTCTGTGGTTCAGATGAGAATCCCAGTTGAGAAAGTAAGAAAATATGTGTTTATTCTTCAGCTTTAAATTGTTATATCACAAACTTCCTTCCTCCTTGGCAAGCTTTCTTTTTTGACGAGAAGAAAATTGTAATAAACAACAGTATGACTAATAGATAGTCACATGGTTACTTCCAGTTTGCAAAATGCTATTTATACTTTGAGTTACTCTTCAAAAGTGGTATACCTCTAGTTTGGAGCTGTGCTGTAAAAACAAGAGTAACATTTTTATATTAAAGTTAAATAAAGTTACAACTTTGAAGAGAGTTTCTGCAAGACATGACACAAAGCTGCTAGCAGAAAATCAAAACGCTGATTAAAAGAAGCACGGTAAGAACATTTTTGTTTGTTTAGAATGACCGTTATTTATTGAAATTGTGATGCAGAATGTTAAAGCCTTCGAGAAAAGAATTAAATTTTGTGGTTTCTTTTGTGAAACTAGAAAATTCCTTCTTATAACAAGATTGAGATTTGCATATGACTGTTTTGTCCTAATAAATTCAGACTTACTTTACATTATTTGAATTACAATGGAGAAGGATTAACCATGACTTAAAACTGCTCAAGATTTAGTTTCATTTTTACTAAGTATTTTATAAAACAAATACTTGAGAAGATGATAGATATGATCCAGATACTCATACAGTTCTCAGAATGCATACATAATATGATAAATTTAGCCAATAGTTCTAATATTTTTAAAGATTGCTTTATTGGATGGTGTAAAGATACTCCGGGCTTTAGGAGTACTTAACGGAAAGAATATATCCCTTTCCTACTCTTACTAAGGAATTGCTAGTACTCCGATATCCATGGAGATGTCTTTACCAACCCTAAGAAGGATAAGGAAAGAAAATGTTCTAAAAAATACACTATGAAACAACCTGGTAACATTGGATTTATTAAATAGCAAGTTCGGAATATATAAGATCCAAGCTACATCTTTGAGATTTCAACAGGGTTTATTTATGTCAAAATATTTGAAAGAGAAAAGGCTGAAACTAAATGCATTCAATACAACGATCTATGATTTAGAGATTTAGGGACTGTGATGAGCTTTAAGCATTTCCCGTTTAACTAAATGTCAACCTACCAGCGTATGCTACGGTCAAAAAAATTATTGCTGTGGTACAATAGAATGCACACTTTATCCTTCCTCCCGTATTTTAACCGGTTTTATAATTCTGCCTAAAGTTAGATAAAACAGGTTTGCGGGGAATGAGATCAATATTTGATGGTAGCATAAAATATCATTTTAATCAAAAGTTTTAAGAAGGCCTTCCAGCCACTAGTAAAACCAGTGTTATTTTCTACTTTCAATCAATTGTATAAATTTATACATTTGTATATAAATACATTATATAATACAATATTATATATCATATTACATATGAATATATTTTAAAAGTTACTGAATAATATATTCAGTATAATATTGTATATATTATAGATACATATATATCTGAAATTATGAACATCGTTTTAATAGCGGTAATTTAGGGCAGTGTGATATAATTCAGTCAGTTTTTATATACATTTTAACAAATATTTTATTTGCTCTGCTTATCAGTATTTTATGATTTTTTTCTATAGCTATTAGCCAAGAAAAATAATATTCTGTTTGATTTTAAATGCATTGGTCACTCTGCATCTTTCTTATCTTTCCTTAGAGAGCAGAATCAAACAGAAAACAGTTGAGTCACTGAAACTTTTCTATGGGGAAAACAATTGCAGTCCTTAACTGTTTAGATTATACATTTAAATATAGAACTATTTTAGTTACACTGTTAATTAAATCCATTGTTCTCGAACTGTCTGGGGAAGTGTCCTTTTAAGCATAGCCTCATCAAACGTTAAGAAGGCTCAACAACTTTGAAATTCATGTTTCGATATCAGCTTCATCGTGGGAGATCACAATTTTTTAATTTGTTTGAAAGGCAGCTATGCTAACCACATTCTACCAATGCCACTAATTTTTCTGATAACTCATGTAAATAATTACAGCCTCCTAAATAAGTATTGAGAATTCAGTAACAATGAAAAGATTCTGGGAAATTAAAAACAACTGAAAACAACTTATGCTGAGTGTAAAAAGCTAGATTTCAGGGTTCACGATATAGATTAAGTAGAGAATGAACACATAATAGGTTTAAATTTGTACCTACATATTCAGACATGCAATAAATGTTGAATTCATTAGTTATTTAAATAAAATTAAATGTTACTTCAAGTCTCCATCCCACTGAATGGACAGGACAGTTTACTTACTTTCTGTCATTTGGTGGTATTGAGAGTGAGAGATTTCTTCCAAGGTTATATGAAGTTTCCCAGGTTGTATAAGACACCAAAGTGTTATAATGGTCTCCATTCATCAGTTTCCACTGATTACACCTGAGAAGACCATGTTCCAATATAAATGACCTCTTCGGGTCTAGCTCTGCTATTTTGTGCTGAACTCATAACAAAAGCCACACTGTTTCTTTGCCACATTTAAAGTACGATCATCTTTTTTGAAGCTGGGGTCATCTGTACGTAAAATCTACCAACTCTGTATACACCACCAAGTCCTTATACTCTAATACCTTGCCAACTTTGCAATGGAAAGGGCTCCTATTTTCCGCTGTATCTGCAAATTGTCATTTCTCATATTGTCAGGATGTGCATTGCCCTTCTCTCTACCTGTTAGCTCGAAGTTATTTCCTCTTTTTAAAATCCCTTCACAATTTTCAGAAACATTACTTCAATAAGCTAGATTTTTTTTTAATTGAAAAGGCCATTGATTTAAGCAGCTTAGGGTTTTCTTTTCAACAGTCATTCTGGAAGAAAGAATATCAAAATGGTCTGACTACCTCCTTCAAATAACAGATATGAAATTGACTCAAAAAATACTTCCACTTGCTGCAAATGTAAATAATCTTTACACTCTTAACACACACAAAATAATTAAAATATTTAAAAACAGGACAACTATAACACAAGAAAAAAATAATAGCAAAAGTTACCTTTTATTTACTTCCTGTTGTAACTATACTTTCTAAAAACACAACACACATATGCTCTTTAAAAAAAAATAGAAGTGGTACTAGTTAATGGATGAAGAGTATAGGATCAAATGGGGGTAAGAAAATACAATTACATGCCACAAAGGTTTGATCAAGATTTTGAAATCATGATATCTCTAACATCTATATTTTTACATTATGCCAATTCATGGGGAGAAAAACGGAATGACATACTGACATATTTACTTGATTCATGGCATTGAAAACAGAGAAAAAACTTCCTGTCTTTTCGATACCTGAGGTTTAAAGAAAATTAATAAATAATTCATGATATTAATAAGGTTATATATGAAAGATAAGAAACCTCATCAGAAAGAGCTTGATTTTTTAACACTTCTTTTTTCTACTAATTTGGGGTTTGGTTTGTTCTTGCTCTTACAAATCCTTTAAGTTCATCATTAGGTTATTTATCTGAAGTCTTTTTACCTTTTTTTAAAGGCATTTATTACTATAAACTTCCTTCTTTGTACTGCTTTTCTGCATTCCACAGATTTTAGTTTATTGTGCTTCCATTTTCATTTGTTTCAAGAAATTTTTAAAATTTTCTTAATTTCAACATTGACTCTTTGGTCGTTAAGGAGCACATTATTTAATTTTCATGTTTGTGCAGTTTCTGAGGTTTCTCAAGTTATTGACTTCTAGTTTCATCCCATTGTGGTCAGAAAAGATACTTGATTAGATTTCTACTTTTTTTAATTTATTGAGACTTGTTTTTTGGCCTACAATGTGGTCTGTTCTGGAGAATGCTCCATGTACTGATAAAAATAATGAGTATTCTGCAGCAGTGCTTCTGTACGTGTCAGTTGGATATATTTGGTAAAGTGTGCAGTATAACTCCAATATTCCTTGTTGATTTCCTGTTTAGATTATCTGTCCATTACTCAGGGTGAGGAGTTAAAGTCCCCCAATATTATTGCATTGCAGTCTATCTCTCCCTTTAGATCAATGAATGTTTGCTTTATATACTTGGGAGATCTGGTGTTGGGTCCATAGATTTTTAGAACTGTCATATCCTCTTGCTGAATTGACCTCTTTAGCATTATATAGTAACCTTTGTCTCTTTTTAAAGTAGTCTTTTAAAGTTTTGTAATCTATTTTATCTGATATAAGTATAGCTGCTCCGGCTTTTTTGGTTTCTATTTGCATGGAATATCTTTGTTCATCCCCTTCACTTTCATTCTCTGTGTGTCTTTATAGGTGAAGCAGATTTCCTGTAGGCTGCATACAGTTAGGGTTTTCTCTTTACCAAGTCAGCCACTTTAACTTTATGCTTTTTTTTTTTTTTTTTTTTTGAGAGAGTCTTGCTTTATTGCCCAGGCTGGAGTGGAGTGGCATGATCTCAGATCACTGCAGCCTCCAACTCCTGGATTCAAGCGACTCTCCTGCCTCAGCCTCCTGAGTAGCCAGGATCACAGGCATACACCACCACACCAAGCTAAGTTTTGTATTTTTAGTAGAAATGTGGTTTCGTTATGTTGGACAGGCTAGTCTTGAGCTCCTGACCTCAAATGATCTGCCTGCCTTGGCCTCCCAAAATTCTGGGATTACAGGCGTGAGCCACTGCACCCGGCCTGCACTTTATGTCTTTTAATTGGAGAGTTGAGTTCATTTAAATTCCATGTTATTGTTAAGTAAGGATTTTCTGGGGCTGTTTTGTTGCTTGTTTTATGGTTGTTTTTAAATTTCTCTCTTTTTTCTTTTCTTACTGTCATTCTTTGGGGTTATATAATTTTCTCTGGTGGTATATATTAATTAGTTGCTTTTTATTTTTAATGACTCTACTATAGGTTTTGCATTGTGATTACTATGAGGCTTATAAAAAATCTTATAGATATAACAAGTTATTTTAAAGAGATAACAACTTATATCACAAAGAATAGCAACAAAGGAAAAAAACACTTTTACTCCACCCTCACACATTTTTAATTTAGTTTTCCCAATTCACATATTTTTATTGCTTACCTCTTAACTGGTTTCTGCAGTTATCATTGTTCTTGATAGATTTATCTTCCAGTCTTCATTACTAGGGATATGAGAAGATTGTGCACCACAATTACAGTATTAGAGTATTCTGGGTTTGTGCATACACTTAATTTTATCAGTGTATTTTAGATATTCAGCTGTTTTCTGTTCGTGTGTTTTTTTCTTTTTGGTTGAAGAACTCCCTTTAGCATTTCTTATAAGATATGTCTGGTGGTGGTGAATTCTCTCAGTTTTTGTTTGTCTGGGAAACATTGTCTCTTCTTCATATTTGAAGGTCAGCTTTGCAGGATATGGTATTCTTAGATGGCAGGGTTTTTTTTTTTTTTCAGCACTTAAAAAATGTCATCACTTTTCTCTTGGTCTGTATGGTTTCCACTGAGACGTCTATCATCAGATAAATTGGAGCTCCTTTAAATATTATTTGCTTCTCTTCTCTTGCTGATTTTAGGATCCTCTCTTTTTCCTTGACCTTTGAGAGTTTGATTATTCTATGCCTAGGGGTAGTCTTGTTGGGGTCGGAATCTGTTTGGTGTTCTCTGACCTTTATCTGCCTGAATCTTTATCTCTTTCTCAAGCTTTGTAATACTTTCTGTTATTATTTCTTTGAATAAGCTTTCTACCTCTTGCTCTGGTTTGACTCTCTCTTAAACACCAATAATTCTTAGATATGGTCTTTTGCAGTAATTTTCTACAAGATGTTGGCATTCTTCCTTCCTTTTTATTCTTTTTTTCTCCTTTCCTTGTGTATTTTCAAAAGCCCATCCTCATGCTCACCGATTATTTCTTCTTCTTGATCCATTCTCTTTTGAGAGCCGCTAATAAAATTTTCGGTTCAGCAAATGTATTTTTCAGTTCCAATATCACTTTTTGATTTTTAAAAATTATTTCAATCCCTTTGTTAAATTCCTCTGATATATTTCTGAATTGTTTTTTGTGTTATTTTAGAGACCAGTGAGTTTTCTTAAAACTACTATTTTGAATTCTTGGTACAAGTGCTCACATATTGCCATTTCATTAAGATCTGTCTCTGATTCCGACTTTGTCCATTTAGGGGTATCGCAGTTCCCTGTTTGCTGTTGTTTCTTATGGATATGCATCTATGTCTTTGTGTTGAAGGATTTTATATGGCTTGTTTTGGTTTACATTGAATATGTTTGTTTAAATATTCCTTGTAATTTACCTGTCGATTTTTTTGGGGGTGGGGGGCGGCAGCTAGGTTTCGGCCTCCTTGTTATGACTACATGGTGCCTTAACCCAGGTTTGCCTTGGTTCTAGTAAACAATTAGAGTGCCACTCATACCAAATGAGGGTGCTTCCAAAGGGGATATCCCAGTAGTGTGGGAAGACTGACGAGGTGTTCCAGCCCAGGGGACCTGTGCAACAAACCTCCTATACCATGATGCTGCTCGACAGCCACTCTAAGTTGACATCTCCTTTGGCCAAGTAACAGAGCACAGTTTCTGGTATTGGGGATGGTAGTCCTGCCTCCCCACTTTGTCTCTGCCTGTCCTCGTTCAGGCACCCCGATGCTTCCCAAGTGTTAAGGCAGGGGCAAGTTTCCTGCCAGGAAACTCAAGCTGGTGGGGAAGCTGGTTATCCATCTTGATCTCACTTTTTCCAGTATAGAAATGATGTTTCCATGCCCTTGGGTACCGGAAAGATTGCAGGGAGAGTCCTCATGGATATGGAAGTCTAATTCTCTTATTATCTGTATGGAGTTTTTTGTTGGTTTTTCACTTTCCTGTGGCTCCAGGAATTGTCTTCTTCTCATATTTGAATTCTAGGATATTGCTGGGGATAATCACAGCACTAATATTTTGTTGTTGTTTTCTGTGGGGGACATTAAAGCCAACTTACTTTTATGCCATCATTTTGGAGCCAGAAGTCTCCTAAATGTCTTTATTTTTATTTTTCAGGTATGATGACCAAACATAAAAAGTGTTTTATAATTGTTGGTGTTTTAATAACAACTAATATTATTACTCTGATAGGTAAGTTACATCCTTCATTTTATTTTTCATGGCTTTCTATGTGTGATCCTATTCCTTTCTGTCTCAGTCATGATCTTTTCTCAGTATCTCATTATCTTCCCATTATACATGATAACATTTAATTGGTACAAATGAATAAATTTTATTAATTACATGACCTATGTAAGGCATCAGAGATACCAAAATTATTGTGGTAAAATTATTCACCCTGATAATCTCACTTCTATTCAACACTTTCTTGCCTATGTTAATCACTATCTTGACTTCTATTGCTATAGCTTAGTTTTGCCTACTAAAAAATTTTATATAAATATAATCAAATTTAAATACATATAAAATACAATATACAATTTGCATGTATCATAAATACAGTCATGCAATTTGCATGTATCTTTGTATCTTTTCCCTTTTATTCAACATTATGCTTGTGTGATTTTTCAATGTCATCATAGGTAGCAGAAGTTCATTAACTCACTATTATGGAAAAAGGTTGAAATTTTTTTTATAAAAAGACCCAGATAGTAAATATTTTATGCTTTGTTAGCCATACAGTCTCTGCTGCAACTACTTAATTTTTCATAGAAACACAGTCATAGAAAATGCATAGACATTGACCATGGCTGTGTGTCAATAAAATTGAACATGGAAATGTAAATATTATAAAATTTTATATGTCACAAAATATTGTTCATTTTTAATTATTTTGATTACTTTATTTCTTTTTAAAATGTAAAAATTATTTTTACCTGGTGGTTGTACAAAAACAGAAGGTGAGCTGAGTTGGCCTCAGGCTGTATTAGCGGATGTTTAGTATAGTGCATTCACTGCTATGTATCACTTTTGATGAACATTTGGATCGTGTTACATTTTGACTATTGCAAATTGGGTGGTTGTGAACAACTGTATAATTTTATATTTTTGTCTTTTAATGAATACTGGAAATAACTTGAGATATAAGAAGAATTATTAAGCACAGAATACGCATAGATTAGCTTAAGTGTATTTTACCAAAAATGTAGATAATCTCAGCAGAAGTATATGAGAATTCCAATTGCTCCATGCCATGTCAATACTTTATTGTTGGTTTTATCAATTTTTGCCATTCCAGTGAGTGCATGTTGTTACCCGATTTGGGCTTTAATTGACGTTTTTCTGATGATCAATACTGTTCAGTACCTTCATAATTGTTGTTTATTTAGGTGTAATATTTTGTGATGGGAATGTTTCAATACTTTCCCCATATTTTAGTAAGTTAGCTCTCTTTTTCTGCTTGGTTCATAAGAGTTGTTTAATATTCTAGATGAGACTCTTTGTAGTTTATAGGTATTGCAAATATCTTCTTTAACTATGAAGCTGAAGTTTACCCTCTGTGTCATGTCTTTCAATCGACAGAGCTTCTGAATTTTAAAGTAGTGTAATTGTGTCTTTCTCTATTGTCACTATATTTTTCATTCTAAGAAATTCACTTTACTTCAAAGACATAAAAATATTTTTGTAGGGTTTCTATTTTCCTTTCACTTTCCAAAATATAGTCCTCTTGAAGTTGATTTTTATAAATTTTAGGAGATAGATATTAGGATGCATTATTTCCCATTTAGTTAATCTTTCAACCTGAAATAACTTATTAAAAAGACTATACTTTCCCTACTCAACTGCAGTTGGTCTTTGTCATCAATCAACTGTGTAGGTGAAGGTCATTTTTGCTAAAATTTTATTACATTAATTTACTCTATTTTATCTATCTTTGTATCTATATCATTCTGTCTCAATACTGTTGGTTTATAATTAAGTCTTGATGTCTGGTTGTTTAAATGTTTTAAAAGTTTTATTTTTATTCTTCAAGTTTACCTGGAGCATTTTAGATCCTTTAAGCTGCCATATAAATTATCTGTAATTTTGATTGAGATTGCATTAAACCATAGTCAATTTTCATGGAATCATTATCTTAATATTGAATCATACATTTAAAATATTGATTCGGTGTTCCGTAATTTCTGCCAGCAATTTTTTAGTTTTCAGAATAGATTTCACACACATCCTTTTAAGAATTTTTTAAAGACTCAATGCGCTATAATGCAATTGTAACTAGCATAGAAGTATTTTCATTAACACTATTGTCCTATTTAGTCTCTTGCTGGCCTATAAAAATTATCTATATAAATTTAATATATACCTATATAAGCCTCATATAACAAATTTGCTATAGTTAACTATTCATTTTCATAAATTTTCTTCAGTTTCTTTTGCAAGTTCTATGTAAAAATTTACATTATCTGAAAATAATAATTGTTTTACCTATTCTGTTGGAAACCTTATGCCTTTTTTATTCATTGTATTCTCTTATTTTACTGGCTATAACTTCCAGTATAAGGTTGAGTATAAGTAGTAACAGCTTACATGTTTGTCTCATTCTTAAATCAGTAAAATTTTTTTAATATTTCCCAATTTAGTAGTAGTATTTGCAGATATTCTTAATCAGATTAAAGGTGTTTTATTTACTTCCCTTTAATTTAATTTAAAATATCAAATGCTTTATCTTGATCTATTGAGATACTTTCTTTTCTCTGCTAATATGTAGAACTACACAGATTTTGTAATATTGAGATAAGATAATCTTCAATTTCTGTGATAGATTCAACTTGATCATAACCTATTAACCTTTTAACATTCTTCAATTAAGCTGAATAGTATTTTAAGATATATGCACATATATCCTACGTCTTCATAAAAGATCTACCTATAGTTTCTCTTTCTTTCAATACTATTATCAGGTATTGATGTGATTATGATGGCTTCTAAAATTTGGTTGGAAAGTATTCCCTCCTATCCTATTTTCTGAAAGAGTGTGTATAACGTTGGTGTTATGCCTTTCCTAAACGATTAGAAGTATTTCTAATTGAAGCCATCTGGACAGGGAGATTTCTTTTTGTGCAATTTTTTAAGTTAAAGATTTAATTTTTTAACTAGATATAGTGTTATTTAGATATGCTGCTTTTATCTTGTCAGTTGTGTTAAATTGTGTTCTTCTAGAAATTTCTCTACTTTTTCATTCTTTGTGTTGCTAATTTGTGTTTTTATCTCTCACAGTTACATTTTTTAAAATCAGTTTTCCTAGTGGTCAATCCTGTTTTAGAGTATTCAACAAAAGTCATCTTATGACTTTAAACTTTTCTTCTATTTGGCATTAATTTTTTATTCAATTGATTTCTGTTCTTTTTGTTTTCTAAATTGTGTCTTTCTACTTTGGTTTTAATTTATCACTATTATTAACTTTGTAAGGTAGGATAATTATCTTTTCAAAAAGTCTTTCATCATTTCTAAAACATAATCTTAAGCCAATAAATTTTCCTGTAAGCTTTAAGGGAGTTGCTGTGTCCCACAAGTTTAGTTGAATCCCATAAGTTTGGATGCTACTGTGTTTTGAGAAAGAACATTGAAGACACACAGGATTTTGATGTAAAAGATTATGGTCACAGCAAAATTTGTATATCATATAACAGGTTGAAAAAAATTTATGTCTTGTCATGTTAGGTCAGATGACAGTAGTTTAGGATTTATTAGGGCATTTATATTCCTTTCAACTTCAACTTCAGTGATATATCTTCCTGAAGGCACCAGAATTATTCTATTTGTAAAGGTCATCCTTACCATTTCTGGGTAAATGAACTATAATGAAATCCTAGCATTATCTAAGAGTAACACAAACACTAATTTATATTAGACAGTACATGAGAGAGATATATACACATATGTGTGTATATGTATATATACACCCTTATATGTACACATACCTATATACATATATATATACACACTGTGTATGTATATAAAATTTTATCTTCTATAGACTCTTGGCAGCAGATGACTATAGGTGATAATTTAACTGATTATTTTGCTACTATGCTCCACTGCCATCAGCATTCTATTTATAACTGGTAGTTGGATCAATGCCTTTAAAGTGAATGATATTGAAAAACTAACACCATATCTCATCCTCAAGGTTCTGTTTCCTTAGAATCATGTTTGGTGCCAAAAACTGATTCAGTCTGGGTGTGTTCCAAAATACAAACACATATTATGAGAATAAGGCTTTTATGTAGAAATTAGGGATAACATGAATGTGGGAAGATCTGGAAGTGATGCATAGCTCAAGGCTGGGGCTGTGCTACAAGCTGGAGGAGAAATGGTCACTAATAATATTGGCATAATGCACTCATGCATTTGGAGGAAAGTCTAAGAAGCTAAGATATCTAGCTGCCAAGACTGCAACAGGGGAACACATGGAAAGACCTGTGAAGTTCCTATGCTCATGGTCTCCAGGAATTATATCTTCTGCTTTACTTCCACCTTCCAAATCTCATGTTAGTTCCATTCATTGGCTAAACCGGAGCTATACAGTGATGGTGATTCCTAGCTGACAATAAGCAGTCCAACTTATTTTGTATTTTGCTTTATTATTTTTGTTGCTTCTTTGTAGATTAAATCATGTGTTTAGATTCATTAGTGACTAATACAAATTATTACTTGTATTACTCTTAGGTAATGCTAGGATTTCCTTTTAATTCATTTACCTAGAAATGGTAACGGTAACCTACACAAGTAGAATAATTCTGTTGGCTCCTGGAAGGCCTACGTATCACTGAAGTTGAAGTTGAAAGAAATGCCCTGATAAATCTTAAACTACTGTCATTTGACCTAACATGACAAAGACATAAAATTTTTTCAACTTATCATATAATAGATATACAACTTTCATAGTGACCATAATCTTTTACATCAAAAACCTGTGTCCAGTGATCTCAAAACACAGTAGCATATTATTCTATATGGTACTTAAGATATATATTTGTCTCATTTCCAGTTAAACTAACTCGAGATTCTCAGAGTTTATGCCCCTATGATTGGATTGGTTTCCAAAACAAATGCTATTATTTCTCTAAAGAAGAAGGAGATTGGAATTCAAGTAAATACAACTGTTCCACTCAACATGCCGACCTAACTATAATTGACAACATAGAAGAAATGGTAAGTAATTTAATATACATTCTTTGTGAATTTTCTTGAGTCGGAGCATTAGAAATATTCAAACACCATTATAATCTTGAAGTCTTTTCACTCATGCCTATCTATGCAGAAAATTGAAGATGTTCAGAGTATGCCATGTGACATAAAGGTGAAACACCTAGTGATGCTTTGTTTGAAGAATGTAAGACTAACATCAAGTAGTAGACTTAATACCTATCTTTATATTTTAAAGAGTGTACACAGAAGAGCTTGATAATGTTTGAAAACGTTTTAAGAGCCAATACTCCACCAAGAAAGGAGAATTGTCTGAGGAAGGAGGGGATTCTGCATTCTACTTCCTGAGAGAAACTTTGCTCTGACTTCTCCATTTTGTTTTGCTGCCTGTCTCTGAGGTCCCGTGGCAGCTTCCATTAGAACACTCTCTACCAGTAATGCAATAGAGAGGAAAATCAAAATTTCCTCCTAGACCGGAGTGTAAGTTTTCAGTGAGCAGATACCATGTCTTCTGTGAAATTTTATCCTTAGCATTATGCACAAAGCAGGTACAAATGAAAAGTCTAATGGATCCTTGTTGAATAAATTTTGATTTACATGACAAAATCTCTATGAGTAAAGAGGCTCTCCAAGAACTTTAACAAGGGATTGAAAAACTGCACCTCTACATTCATGAAATTTGTTCTTTCCCCTAGTCATTTATATTGTAAACATACTTACCTTTGTTTGGTCTCTTTAAGAATGAAAAGAAATTATAAGAGGTAATATAACTTGATTAAAAATATTTTTTGCAAATAATTTGCTGTTGAGAAGTGTTTCAATGAAAAGCAGAATAGCACAAGAGTCAACACTGTTAAAAGACAATTGTGTGTTACCCGTGTGGTGAACAAAGTTTATTTACTCAATCTGCCTGAAGATTGGTTCCAATTTAAATGCATGTGAATCAGGCAGAGCCAATTTATAGGTCAGTGAAAGGAAACAAAACTATTTTGCAAGAAAAAAAGGTAGTAAAATGTTGAAAGCTAGATGGATTAGGAGTAGATACTGCAAATCAAGAATTAAGGTGCAAGTTTAATATCATAGGAAGGGCTTCTGTAGTCAATAACGTCACTGCTGAATTTTGCAAGACTTTTGAAAATGAACATTCTGAGAAACACTCTGACTGTTCCTTACAGTTCCTCTTGGGGGAAAGAAAGCTAAACTAGCAGTGAGATGGAAAAATAATGAGTGTTAATAAAATGAAAGATGAAGAAATGTAAAGACAATCAATATTAAAATAAATGTGTCCACTATAGGAATATTGTCAGCAAAGATTGACTAAATAAATAGTGAGGATCATGGAATGTGAAGACCAGAAGTACATAAAAATAATTAGTTTTGAACTTAAGAGAAATCTTCAAATGTATCAGGGAAGAATGCTTGTACTGTTTGGATGAAGAAAAAATACTGATCATAAAATATCCTGATATATTTTGAAGACCATGGATGACTATTATATACTACATACACTGGCAAAATTTAAGTGACAAACAGAATGAAGTAAAGCTGTCTGTGGAGTGGAGAAGAAATTTACATAAGAATTGTAATCGATTATTTAAAATAGTTTAATTTAAATGTGCATTTTAATTACAAAATAATATGAGATAAAGTTTGTCTTACAAAATATTTTTATATCTATTTCCACCTATTTAGAATTATTGCACTTCTAACAAGGGGCTAAAATGGGGCAAGCTTTTATTGAGCAAATAATGTTAACATTTTTCATAGAGCAGGACTAGGAAACACATCTCCCAGTTCTCTGTCACCAAGACCAGTCAAGCTCTCTCCTGAAGCCTTTCCTGAGTCTAGACTATGAATTACCCTCTTCTCCTTGGCCGTCTGCATTTACACGGAATATTCTACTCTTCCCTTAGAGCACATACTGTGTCAAAGTTTCCCTTAAAAACTCATATTTTTTTCCGTAAATTCCAATTTCACATTGTATTGATCACACTGATAACTTTTCCATGTCTAGTAGAATATTTTCTAACATTATGTTTACATTATTTTCCTCACTGTAAATGAAGGCCTTTGAATGTAGGACAATGTTTTTATTAATCTGTTTATTTGTAAAGCCAAAACTTAGCCCAACTAATTATTTTTTTCAAATTAGTTTATGCAATGCTGTGAAGATAGTGTATTGAAATGTCAAAAGTCACAGGTGTCACTGTTGGGGTAGATAGGATTTGACCATAGTGGTGTGATCTGGCCTACCTCCTTTATATTTCTCTTAAATTGAAAAGTAGAGTGATACAGTGTGAATATAGTTTCCAAGCTATTTAGTAGCAGAGTAGCCTCAAGGACTTTCTCATGTAATTCTATGATTAAAGAAAAAGGTCGAGGGTTAAGCAAGGTCGAGGTAAGTTAAACAATGCATCAGAAGAAGAAATGTCAGGAAAAAAAGCATTGTATTTATTTCTGAATGATGTATTTGGAAATTTAAATGTTCAGCAGAAAAATAAAATTTGATAATTAGGTTCTAAAGAAACTGGATATATGAGGATGTGTATGTGTGTGTATTTACCTATGTAGTTTGGGAAGATAAACTGAAGTAAAACATAACACTAAAATGAAGCTACTACTATTTACTGGGAAGTGGACAAATAGTGTAATAAATATGTGGTAATTGGAAATGCTGTGCGAGAGCTCAATTTCAAACTTGTCTTTCTAGGAGCTTACAGTTTGAAAATTGTGAAGGAATAGATATTCAAATTGAACATTTATCAATTTGGAATCATATCTAAAGAAAATGTATCTAACATATTTGTTTCACAAAAAAAACTGAAGGTCAGAGGAAAAATAAAGTACTTTTTCAAAACTCCATAGCTATTTTCTAGTGAGGCCAGGAGTTGAACAATTGTTGCCTTGCACTTCACAACCTACGAAACAAGAGGTACACAGTAGGTTGTCATAAAAATTGGCATGTATGATTTTGAAATTAATTTTGTCTCTAAAGAATTTTCTTAGGCGGTATAAATGCAGTTCTGATCACTGGATTGGACTGAAGATGGCAAAAAATCGAACAGGACAATGGGTAGATGGAGCTACATTTACCAAATCGTGAGTTTATTTTTTTCTGGGATCACTTAAATTTAGATAGTGCAGCCTTCTCTAGGACTTATGCTTTAGCTAAATTTCTCTAGAGCCCAAGAGTTTTGCACATGTTAGAAAGATGGAGGGGGGATTGAATATATATTGAGATTCATGTAAGGAGGCAACCATGAAGGTTGGAAATTAAGATGTAAGGGAACAGATCTCCTAGTTGGCTATTTTGAAAATAAAGACCTGAGATTCATATACACAACTCCCCCCACCCCAATTTAAACTTTTCTCTGATTATAAACTATCCTGTCCAATTATATGACTCTTCTTTAAACTTTTTGTTGACTATTTTCTGATGTCTTTTACAGTTCAATTTCAATTTGACGTTCATTTTCATCTGATTTTATTTGCAATTTCACTGTTATGCAGTTTGTCCTGGACTTCATATCTTTAGCATTATAATTTGGAAAATGTGTGTACACATCCCAAATGGTGACTCTCAGTCACTTAGCCACTTAGTTTATGTTAGTTTCTCAATAGAAACACTACTGATATTTTGTACTGAATACCTCTCTGTCGTGGAAAAGGGGCACTTTTCTTTGTGCATTGTAGGGCATTGGCAGCACCCCTGGATAAACTATCCACCCTACTCACCTCTGCCTCCGCTTGAGACAATAAAAAAAATCCAAATACTGTCAAGTGTCCCTTGGTTTGGAAGCAAAATCACCCCTAATTGAAAACCATTGGTTTATACGAACTGATAGCTCCACTGATTACATGTAACCAACCTAATGCCAGTTTAACATGTACAAATTCTTGGAAAAGAAACTCTTTTGATCCAAATTGGTATAGGTATCTCAACACTAGCAAGAGAGAACTGTGCCATAGTACACCTTGCAGCACTTTAGACAAGTAGAATTTTTGTTTAAAGGTGTCCATGGGCAAGGAAGAAATCACATGACTACATAATGGTTAATCCCTTTGTTGCAGGTTTGGCATGAGAGGGAGTGAAGGATGTGCCTACCTCAGCGATGATGGTGCAGCAACAGCTAGATGTTACACCGAAAGAAAATGGATTTGCAGGAAAAGAATACACTAAGTTAATGTCTAAGATAATGGGGAAAATAGAAAATAACATTATTAAGTGTAAAACCAGCAAAGTACTTTTTTAATTAAACAAAGTTCGAGTTTTGTACCTGTCTGGTTAATTCTGCTTACGTGTCAGGCTACACATAAAAGCCACTTCAAAGATTGGCAAAAAATGGTTACAGGTATTCTGCTGAGTTTTTTTCTTTCTTTCTTTCTCTCTCTCTCTTTCTTTCTTTCTTTCTTTCTTTCTTTTTTTAACTGTAAACCAGAAAACAATTGTGGGGATCAAGGACAGACATAGCACTTAGACAGGACTTTCATGACCCAATATGGAACAATTTGAGTACCAGAATAGGAGATTATGGCCTATTGAACAAAATGTGAAACTGGGAGTCCACAAAGACATAAATGGAAAGATGAAGTACCTCCTGACAGAGCAAGAATGGCACTGAACAATGTTATATGGACAATGGCTATTTTATTCAAGACTATTACAATAGGGAAAAGAGACTAGGACTCAGTCTGAACTGAAATCTGTCAAAACAAAGGGGGGTGGGGCTTTAAGAGTGAAGGTGAGGAGGAGATCACACACCGTATGTGTTTGCTAACTGGCTTTACCCAAAAGAAAATTAAACTTTCTTTGATCTGTACAAGTTGATCAAACAAATGGGGTCATTCTTGTCATATGCAACTAAAACAGGGTAGACAGGCCAGGGGAAAAAGGCACTCAGGGCACACAGCATTGCTTCAAAATATAATTCTCTACAAACCTAGTTGCTAAAACTACCTGTTGTAACCTAAAACCAGTTTTATCTAACAGCTATTAAAACAACCTACTGTGACTGCAAAACTGGTTTTACCCACCACTGTCACACACCAATCAGAACTTGCCAGCTCCTCAAAACTTTACTAGGGCCAATAAACTTTCTTTCAAAACAATACGTAACTTTGTTGTTGTTTTTTTTTAATAACATCTCCAACCTTCGTTTTGTGCTTTAGACAAACCAAAGACCCCCTGGTCCTCGCATTTATGCCAAATTACAATTCTCACCTCTCTAATAAAATATTTTAAGTGTAGAGATCTGTCCCAATATTTTATTTTGATTTTGACCTACTTGGTGTCAAGCTGGGTTCCAAAGCTGACTCAGCTTGGGGAGAATCACTGGCCCACAGAGCTAGGGCATGATGTACTCACACTGGGGCTCACTGACTCACACAGTGGGGTCACTTTTTCTGCAGGTTGCCTCATTTCTCCCTGGTGAATCTCTTGGACTGAACTCCAAATTTTAGTTTGCTTCTGTGTTATCTGGATTTTGGATGAGGAGGAATCTTTCCTCTTCTTGTTTCAGAGACCTCTTTCTCCCTCTGCTTGGAAGATCTTCTGTTAGGAAGGACTATTTTCTTCCTGGCAGAGCTCAGCTGTGAGGTCTGGGTGATGGGATTTCTCTTTTCAGGCTGAAGCCTCATCAAAAGCATTTTTATTTTTTCCTTCAGTTGGAGAAGGCAGCTGATCTTCCTTCTTGGATTTATTCGGCTTTTTCATAATCAGTGCTTGCATTTAATTGGCTTTTGTGTATTTGGCATTAAACAAAATCACCTAGATAAATTAATCACCTAGATAAATGTAGTTACAAATGGATTCTCAAAGTTTAAAGGCATGCCAAGATATTTTTTGTGACTCTAGCTGGTAGCATGTTCAAATATTATAGAGATCATTCAACACTCTATTCTTAGGCCAGGCGCGGTGGCTCACGCTTATAATCCCAGCACTTTGGGAGGCCGAGGCGGGCGGATCACGAGGTCAGGCGATAGAGACCACGATGAAACCCCGTCTCTACTAAAAATACAAAAAAAAAAAAATTAGCCGGGCATGGTGGCGGGCACCTGTAGTCCCAGCTACTCGGAGAGGCTGAGGCAGGAGAATGGTGTGAACCCGACAGAGACTCTGTCTCAGAAAAAACAAAACAAAACAAAAAAACCTCTATTCTTAAATCTAAACTAAAAGAACACAGCTATAAAATTATGCACTCCAAATAAGCCTCCTATATCTTAATCTCAATTGATTGCGTCACCACAAAATACTACCTCAAAGCTAGCTGAGACTCTTTCCTCTCCAGGGCTTTCCTCTTCTAATTCTTCCTCTTTATCTTTCTCTAAGCTAAATTCTTTCCAAACTCCTCAAACATTCTGGCATACTGGTTATTTAAGTAAAAACACTGGAAAGTCAGAAAATATAAAAGAAAATCATTTTTACTTTTATGCTGTTTCTTAAAAGCAAAAGGTGAAATTCCCACGTGAAAGACACTTTTCCTATACTAAAAGGAATAGCAACATTATTATGACCAAAGATAAGTATTTGAGACCAAGAAAATACTGTATGAACCTTGTTAAAATCTTTTGGGGGCCCCCTCACATAATCCTTCACTCATAGGTGGGAACTGAACAATGAGATCACATGGACACAGGAAGGGGAATATCACACTCTGGGGACTGTGGTGGGGTGGGTGGAGTGGGGAGGGATAGCATTGGGAGATATACCTAATGCTAGATGACGAGTTAGTGGGTGCAGCGCACCAGCATGGCACATGTATACATATGTAACTAACCTGCACATTGTGCACATGTACCCTAAAACTTAAAGTATAATAATAAAAAAAAAAGACAAATCCCGTGACAGGTGATAGTTTTATAAAGTGAAGCAAGTTATCACACTGAAGTTTTAGGCTCCTACCCTCCCACAGAGACTGGGAAATAGAGGCTCTATCATGCTTGAGGACTACATTTCAGAGATGGTCCCAGGTCCTTTAGGAAGACATTCCTGGGTTATAAAATCTGTCAGAGGATTTTTAAAAGATTGATATGTCAAAAGGGCAGAGTAAGAATTTACAATTATAAGTTTGCTAAAGTAGATGCTCTAAGAAAAGGGAGGTTAGGGACCTATAATTGAGAAGAAACCTGTTTAGAATGTAACCTCAAGGCCAGGCGCAGTGGCTCACACTTGTAATCCCAGCACTTTGGGAGGCCGAGGCATCCAGATTGCTTGAGTCCAGTTTGGGCAACATGGCAAAACCCCATCTCTACAAAAAATACAAAACTTAGCCAGGCATACTGGTGCATGCCTGCAATTCCAGCTACTTGGGAAGCTGAGGCAGGAGGATCATTTGAGCCCAGGATGCAGAGGTTGCAATGAGCTGAGATCATGCCATTGCACTCCAGCCTAGGTGACAGAGTGAGACCCTGTCTCAAAAAAAAAGAAGAATTAGAACACTGGCAAGGTGGCCAAATAGGAACAGGTCCAGTCTGCACCTCCCAGAGAGATCGACACAGAAGGTGGGTGATTTCTGCATTTCCATCTGAGGTACCCAGTTCATCTCACTGGGACTGGTTGGACAGTGGGTACAGCCCAAGGAGGCTGAGCCGAAGCAGGGTGGGGCATCACCTCAACCAGCAAGTGTAAGGGGTCAGGGAACTCTCTCTCCTAGCCAAGGGAAGCCATTAGGGACTGTACCATGCACTCTGGCCCAGATACTGAGCTTTTCCCACAGTCTTCGCAACCTGCAGACCAGGAGATTCCCTCCAGTGCCTACACGCACCAGGGCCCTGGGTTTCCAGCACAAAGCTGGGCGGCCATTTGGGCAGACACCAAGCTAGCTGCAGGAGTGTTTTCTTTCATACCCCAGTGGTGCCTGGAACACCAGCGAAACAGAACTATTCACTCCCCTGGAAAGGGGACTGAAGCAAGGGAGCCAAGTGGACTGGCTCAGTGGGTCCCACCACCACAGAGCCCAGCAAGCTAAGATCCACTGGCTTGAAATTCTCCCCGGCCAGCACAGCAGTCTGTGCTCGATCTGGGATGCTCGAGCTTGGTGGGGGAAGGAGTGTCTGCCATTGCTGAGGCTTGGGTAGGTGGTTTTACCTTCACGGTGTAAACAATGCCACCGGGAAGTTCAAACTGGGTGGATCCTACTGCAGTTCAGCAAGGCCTCTGCAGCCAGACTGCCCCTCTAGATTCCCTCTTCTCTGGGCAGGGCATCTCTGAAAAAATGGCAGCAGCCCCAGTTAGGAACTTATAGTTAAAACCCCCAGCTCCCTGGGACAGAGCACCTGAGGGATGGGGCGGTTGTGGGCCAAGCTTCAGCAGACTTAAACGTCCCTGTCTGGCAGCTCTGAAGAGGGCAGCAGATCTCCCAGCACAGCGTTCAAGCCCTGATAAGGGACAGAATGCCTCCTCATGATCCCTGACCCCCATGTATCCTGACTGGGAGATACCTCCCAGTAGGGGCCGACAGACACCTCAGACAGGAGAGCTCTGGCTGGCATATGGCGGGTGCCCCTCTGGGACAAAGCTTCCAGAGGAAAAAGAGGCAGCAATCTTTGCTGTTCTGCAGCTTCTGCCAGTGATACTCAGGCAAACAGGATCTCCAGCAAACTCCAGCAAACCTGCAGCAGAGGGCCTGACTGTCAGAAGGAAAACTAACAAACAGAAAGGAATAGCATCAACATCAACAAAAAGGACATCTACTCAGAGACCCCCTCTGATGGTCACCAACTTCAAAGACCAAAGGTAGATAAATCCACGAAGATAGGGAGAAACCACTGCAAAAAGGCTGAAAATTCCAAAAACCAGAATGCCTCTCCTCCTCCAAAGGATCACAACTCCTCACCAGCAAGGGAACAAAACTGGATGGAGAATGAGTTTGACGAATTGACAGAAGTAGGCTTCAGAAGGTGGGTAATAACAAACTCCTCTGAGCTAAAGGAGCAGATTGACAGAAGTAGGCTTCAGAAGGCGGGTAATAACAAATTCCTCCGAGCTAAAGAAGCATGTTCTAACCCAATGCGAGGAAGCTAAGAATCTTGAAAAAAGGTTAAACGAATTGCTAACTAGAATAACCAGTTTAAAGAAGAATATAAATGACTGACGGAGCTGAAAAACACAGCACGAGAACTTCGTGAAGCATACACAAGTATCAATAGCCAAATCGATCAAGTGGAAGAAAGGATATCGGACATTGAAGATCAACTCAATGAAATAAAGTGAGAAGACAAGATTAGAGAAAAAAGAGTGAAAAGAAACTAACAAAGCATCCAAGAAATATGGGACTACATGAAAAGACCGAACCTATGTTTGATTTATGTACCTGAAAGTGACGAGGAGAACGGAACCTAATTGGAAAACACTCTTCAGGATATTGTCCAGGAGAATTTCCCCAACCTATCAAGGCAGGCCAACATTCAAATTCAGGAAATACAGAGAACACCACAAAGATACTCCTCGAGAAGAGCAACCCCAAGACACATAATCATAAGATTCACCAAGGTTGAAACGAAGGACAAAATGTTACGGGAAGCCAGAGAGGAAGGTCAGGTTACCCACAAAGAAAAGCTCATCAGACTAACAGTGGATCCCTCAGCAGAAACCCTACAAACCAGAAGAGTAGTGGGGGCCAATATGCAACATTTTTAAAGAAAAGAATTTTCAACCCAGAATTTCATAGCCAGCCAAACTAAGCTTCATAAGTGAAAGAGAAATAAAATCCTTTACAGACAAGCAAATGCTGAGAGATTTTGTCACCACCAGGCCTGCCTTACAAGAGCTCCTGAGGGAAGCACTAAACATGAAAAGGAACAACCCATACCAACCACTGCAAAAACATGCCAAATTGCAAAAACCATCATCGCTATGAAGATATTGCACCAACTAATGGGCAAAATAACCAGTTAGCATCATAATGGCTGGATCAAATTCACATATAATGATATTAATCTTAAATGTAAATGGGCAAAATGCCCCAATTAAAAGACACAGACTGGCAAATTGGATAAAGAGTCAAGAACCATTGGTGTGCTGTATTCAGGAGACCCATTGAATGTGCAAAGACACACATAGACTCAAAATAAAGTGATGGAGAAATATTTCCCAAGCAAATGGAAAGCAAAAATAAATAAATAAGTAAATAAAATAAAATAAAATAAAGCAGGGGTTGCAAACCTAGTCTCTGATAAAACAGACTTTAAACCAACAAAGATAGAAAGAGACAAAGAAGGGCATTACATAATGGTAAAGGGATCAATGCAACAGGAAGAGCTAACTATCCTAAATATATATGCACCCAATACAGGAGCACCCAGATTCATAAAGCAAGTCCTTAGAGACCTACAAAGAGACTCCCACACAATAATAGCAGGAGACTTTAACACCCCACTGTCAATATTAGAAAGATCAACAAGACAGAAAATTAACAAGGATATCCAGGACTTGAACTCAGCTCTAGACCAAGCGAACCTAACAGACATCTACAGAACTCTCCACCTCAAATCAACAGAATATACATTCTTCTCAGCTCCACATGGCACTTATTCTAAAATTGACAACATAATTGGAAGTAAAACACCCCTCAACAAATGCAAAAGAACTGAAATCATAACAAACAGTCACTCAGACCACAGTGCAATCAAATTAGAACTCAGGAACAAGAAACCCACTCAAAACTGCACAACTACACGGAAACTGACCAACCTGCTCCTGAATGACTACCGGGTACATGACAAAATGAAGGCAGAAATAAAGATGTTCCTTGAAACCAATGAGAACAAAGATACAACATACCAGAATGTCTGGGACACATTTAAAGCAGTGTGTAGAGGGAAATTTATAGCACTAAATGCCCACAAGGGAAAGCAGGAAAGATCTAAAATCGACAGCCTAACATCACAATTAAAAGAACTAGAGAAGCAAGAGCAAACACATTCAAAAGCTAGCAGAAGGCAAGAAATAACTAAGATCAGAGCAGAACTGAAGGAGATGGAGACACGAAAAACCCTTCAAAAAATCAATGAATCCAGCCGCTGGTTTTTGAAAAGATCAACAGAACAGATAGACCGCTAGCAAGACTAATAAAGAAGAAAAGAGAGAAGAATCAAATAGATGCAATAAAAAATGGTAAAGGGGATACCACCACTGATCCCTCAGTAATACAAACTACCATCAGAGAATGCTATAAACACCTCTATGCAAATAAACTAGAAAATCTAGAAGAAATGGATAAATTCCTAGACACATACACCCTCCCAAGACTAAACTAGGAAGAAGTCAAATCCCTGAATAGACCAATAACAAGTTCTGAAATTAAGGCAGTATTTAATAGCCTAACAACTGAAAAAAGCCCAGGACCAGATGGATTCACAGCTGAATTCTACCAGAGGTACAAAGAGGAGCTGGTACTATTCCTTCTGAAACTATTCCAAACAATAGAAAAAGAGGGAATCCTCCCTAACTCCTTTTATGAGGCCAGCATCATCCTGATACCAAGACCTGACAGAGACACAACAAAAAACGAAATTTCAGGCCAATATCCCTGAAGAACATCGAAGTGAAAATCTTCAATAAAATACTGTCAGACAGAATCCAGCAGCACATCAAAAAGCTTATCCGTCACAATCAAGACAGCTTCATCCCTGGGATGCAAGGTTGGTTCAACATAGGCAAGTCAATAAATGTAATCCGTCACATAAACAGAACCAATGACAAAAACCACATGATTATCTCAATAGATGCAGAAAAGGCCCTCAACAAAATTCAACACCACTTCATGCTAAAAACTCTCAATAAACTAGGTATTGATGGAACGTATCTCAAAATAGTAAGAGCTATGTATGATAAACCCACAGCCAATATCATACTGAATGGGCAAAAACTGGAAGCATTCCGTTTGAAAACCGGCACAAGACAAGGATGCCCTCTCTCACCACTCCTATTCAACTAAGTATTGGAAGTTCTGGCCAGGGCAATCAGGCAAGAGAAAGCAATAAAAGGATATTCAAATAGTAAGATAGTAAGTCAAATTGTCCCTGTTTGCAGATGACATGATTGTATATTTAGAAAACACTATCATCTCAGCCCAAAATCTCCTTAAGCTGATAAGCAACTTCAGCAAAGTCTCAGGGTAAAAAATCAGGGTGCAAAAATCACAAGCATTCCTATACACCAATAACAGACAAACAGAGAGCCAAATCATGAGTGAACTCCCATTCACAATTGCTACGAAGAGAATAAAATACCTAGGAATCCAACTTACAAGGGATGTGAAGGACCTCTTCAAGGAGAATTACAAACCACTGCTCAAGGAAATAAGTATATTCTTTTTCTGCACCTAATATCTTCTTATAAGTTTGAAAGCTTCTAAATTTGGAAAGAAAAGTGCAACATATAAAAATTGTATAAAATATAAAACAACACATTTAACACTTTTACCTAGAAATACTACTTTTAGGGCTTCTATCATAGAAATAAAGGTGCTACTATTTAAGAAAACATTCAGGATGTTTATTGTAGCTGAGTGAAGAGTAGCAAAAGCCTGGAAACAAAGTTAATTCTCTTTGACAAAAGGGTAAAAAATGTATAAACCCACATTATAATTCAACCATTAGAAATATAAGAAATTTTGTTTAGGACCTTATTAAGAATTTAAAACGCAAGATACAGAAAAACAGGCATAATTTGATCACATTTGGCATAAAATAAGCGACGAATAAAAATCCTGGATATGATCACATGAAGTCACATTGGTTTATACTATCACGTAAAAATTTTGAAGTGTACATTTTAGTTTGTTAACAGGGGTTACTCTGAGGCTAGACCAGTGTCGATGATGGAGGGAGAAGGGAGAAGAGATTTTGGCATTTAATTGCACTTTAAAATCTTACACCTGGAGATTAATATTAGAAACTAATAGGCCAAAAATAGTGATCATTGATTATTTCACTGTGAATTTTGTCAAACTCTAATACTGACAAATCCATTTGAAAACACTGCTGCAGGTTTCAGAGAAAATTTTGCTTTCCTTAATGGCAGCACAGCTGTTTTCTTTAGCTGGTCCCTTTATGAAGAATCTAGGGAAGAGAGAATAAATACTTTGTTAATCACTGTAGCTGAAGACATCCATTTGTGTCTTCTGCTAATATCCTCTTTTAAATAAAAAAGTAATTCAAAATCTCAAAGCATTTTTACATACTTGGATTCACTAACGATTACAGTAACTGTAACTTAGCCTTGTTAGCTGTGGTTGGTCAAGAGTTGCCAGAGAGTCTGCAACTAACAGAAGTAAGAATAAATTTCCCTCCACATTCCCATTCTAGTATTCCTCCTCTTGCCCCATGTAGTTCAGTTAGATTAAAAATAAGATTAACTCCATGTGGACACCTCACTTAACAACCTCTCTTGCCTTCTTATATCTAATTGTATAAGAACGATAATAATACTTCATGATATTGTTTAGCAGTTATATGAATTGAGGTTTGTAAAGAACTCAATACACAAAACGAACTGTGCATGACCTAAATAATAAATTGCATATTTATTGCATTATTTACTTATAATGTAACATATTAAAAATATTAACAAATTTATGTATAAAATAATGTAGTGTTAGTGATACATTCTGATAAATTTGTTTGACCTGTGGAAAAAGTTCAAGAAAGAATCTTGGAAAAGGTGCACATGATCTTCAAAGCTTCCAAATTGATAAGGGCAAGTAAGTACTGAATTTTCATATTAGAAAATACACTTTGTCCGAGTTTAGTTTTAAATTTTGTATTGAACATATTATGGACAAAAATCTCCAAGCATGATCTAGACTTAAAACTCAACCCTAACGGGTAGTGATGAATGGATTTGGAATGAAGACAAAACCAAGTTGGGCAACTTCATGACGTTCAGTGACACAACTCTGCTCTCAGATGACACACATCCATAATTTTACACTGCATTCCAAATAATGTTTTTTATTCACTTTTTATATTGATTTAGTGCAGTCAGATAGAAAATATGTAATATTTAATGATGAATAGAAATAAGGGGAAAATAATACAATAACACCATTAAGTTGGTTACTATAATGTACTATTTTTCTATCACTACTATGACAAATTATCACAAATGTAGTGGCCTAAAACAAGGCTAATTTATTATCTTACACCTATGAGTATCAGAAGCCCAAGATTGCCCTACAGGGCTAAGATCAAAACGTCTGCAGAGTCACCTTCTGGATGTACTAGGCAGGAATCCGAGGCCACCTGCGTGCCTTGGCTCACAGACGTGATTTCACATCATATGAATCTCTGTGTTCCACTTCATATCTCCCAATATGACTCTAATTCTGCTTCCTCCCTCTTCTAAGGACCCTTGTGATTTAATTGGGGCCACCCAGATAATCCAGGATAATATCCCTATCTCGAGATTCCTCATTTAATCATACCTGCAAAGGCTCTTTTGCCATATAAAATAACACATTCACAGCATTTTGGAATTAGAATGTGGACATCTTTGGGGACCATTATCTTGCCTGCTAACATAGGAATAGGATTTTGAATTTATCTGTTTTACTGTTTATATTTTTAATTAAATATTTTATTATAAAATAATGCGCACAAAAATGTTGACAGAACTTTTAAAATCAATAATTCCATGCATTTGTTCAGAGACTTTTGGATAATCTTGTTCTATGTTGTATATACCATTTGTATTTTGACACTATGATAATCACATAACACAAAAAATGCACATTGGTTTTATTTTATTACTGAAGATGGCTAAAGAAAACATTGAGACCTTTAAAAATAAGAGACTGCATTCATTCAATCTACTTTTCTATATAAAGTGTGAGAAATTTTAAAATCATAAACCACCATTTTCAAATCCTTTTTCTTTAAAAGTCAAATCAAACTATCCATCATTACTCCTGTAAATACTAAATTAATTTTCATTCTTTTGAATTCTGTAGTACCAGTAACTATTTCAGAGTTGAATTTGGTGAACCTGGAGGAGACATATTCTACAATAAACAATAAATCAGATTGCCTTTTAAGAAAGACTCACATCTTTGAATCTATTGGAGAACCATCCACCCAAGTCCATGTCATTTTCAAGGAGGTAAAGTTAAGCCCAATCCATACGTAGTTTAATTGTCTTAGGTTTTTCTGTATAAAAGCCTAAAATGTGGACGAGGGACTAAATGAACAAAATATTTTAGCAATTCAGACACACTGAATATTTTAAATGTTATTGCAAAAAAGCACTCTGCATAGGGATTCTTATGGTAATCAATTCATATCTTACTTATACACACATTATATCATATATATGTTACACACACACACACACAATTGCAAGTTGAATATATGAATTTGGGCCAGATCTAGCATGAGAAGTGAGGCACTCACTTGGAATACAAAATTTAAGAGGGTGCCCAAAACTCGATAATCAAGGTAAATGATGATTTAATGCAAAGATGGAAAGATATTTGAGGAAAGCCATTTTTTACTGCAAAGATGCCATAACCCTGATACTAGACCAATTACCATTTCAAGTTGGTCATGTATGATTAGTAGATGAGATTTTCTTTCCAAACAATACACATAACTGTCACTCCAGCTTTTCATCTCATTAGAGAACCAATAACACTTCCCTTGGTATTTGAGCCATTCTGATTGGCATAGTACTACAGAGAAATGTAGAAAACAAAATGAAATTAAATTACATATGCATCTCTGAAAATTGGCCATAAGAACAATACTTACATGTTGTATAAATAAGAGTTGAGCTACAATAAAATCACTTATAGCAAATTGTCCAGACACAAAAGATGGCCAAAACACAAATAATGGTCCTTGGGAATTAAGACAATTAATTTAATGAGATGAAGCAAAACCTAGACATAATGGGATTTTTGATGCAAGATCTATTATATTGACTAAAATAGCATGAACAAAATAAAATAGCTATTTGAGAGATTAGATAAAATATAATTTGTATCACTTAGAATTTATCCACACAAAGGTTTTTTTTAACTTTTAAGTTCAGGGGTATACGTGCAGGTTTGTTACATAGGTAAATTTGTGTCATGGGGGTTTGATGTAGAGATTATTTCAACATCCAAGTAGCACCCAGTACCCATTAGTTATTTGTTCTGATCCTCTCCCTCCTCCCACCCTCCACCCTCAAGTAGGCCCCAGTGTGTGTTTTTTCCCTCTATGTGTCCATGTGTTCTCATCATTTAGCTCCCACTTGTAAGTGAGAACATGCAATGTTTGGCTTTCTGTTCCTGCATTAGTTTGCTAAGGATAATAGCCTCCAGCTCCATCCATGTTTCTGCAAAGAACATGATCTCATTCATTTTTATGGCTTCATAGTATTCCATGGTATGGAATGGTATGGTATATGTACCACATTTTCTTTATCCAGTCTACTATTGATGTGCATTTAGGTTGATTCCATGTTTTTCTATAGCGAATAGTGCTGCAATGAACATACACATGCATGTGTCTTTATAATAGAATGATTTACGTTCCTTTGGGTATATACCCAGTAATGGGATTGCGGGGTTGAAGGGTATTTCTGCCTTTAGGTCTTTGAGGAATTGCCACACAGTCTCCCATAACGGCTGAACAAATTTACGCTTCCACCACCAGTGTATAAGCATTCCTTTTTCTCCACACCCTCACCAGCACGTTATTCTTTGACTTTTTAATAATAGCCATTCTGACTGGTGTGAGTTAGTACCTCATCGTCGTTAACATCACTGATCATTACAGGAAATGCAAGTAAAAACCACACAAAGTTTTAAAATCGCTCTCCTTGTAGTTTTGTATGTGTATCCCTTTCTCCCTCTTAATATTAATTAATGATTAAATGATTAAATTATGTCAAGAATAACAATTTATTTTCAACTTCTTTATTTTCAACCTCTTAATAACTGAAATATTATGAAGTTCTTTGATTTTCCTAGCTTAATATTAAGGTAAATTAAATTAAATGGAAAATATCGAGATTTTTGGCATAGTATTGAGAAAAAGTGAGATATATATAAAAATATATGTAAAGGCCAATATAACTATTTTAACTTATGGCCCATTACAATCTGTCTCTTTTTATTTATTTTTTATCGTGATTATTTTTCTTCACGTAACATAAAATTCACCATTTTAGCCATTTTAAAGTGCAAGTGCTGTGGCTTTTAATACACCCACAATGTTGTACAACTATCACTACTATCTCATTCTAGAACATTTTCATTACATATAAACACTAAGTAGTCACTATTCATCTTCTACTCCCCCAGCGCTGGCAACCACTAGCCTGCTTTATGTCACTGTGGATTTAACTATGATGGACCTTTCATATAAATGGAATCATACAATATGTGGCCTTTTGTATCTGGCTTTTTCATTCATTCAGCACAATGTTTTCAAGGTTCATAAAAGTTGTAGCATGTATCAGTACTACATTCTATTTTATGGTTGTAAGAATATTTCATAACATGTATGTAGTGCATTTTGTTTATCTCTTCATCAGCTGATGGACATCTGAGCTGCTTCCATTCTTTGGCTATTATGAATATTGTTACAATGAACATTCATGTACAAATTTTTGTAAGGACATATGTCTTCCATTTTATTAAATATATACCTAAAAGTTGAATGTTGGGTCATGTGATAATTTGAGGAACTGTCAAACTGTTTTCCACAGTACTATAAAATTTTACATTTCTACCAGAAATATGTGAGCAATTTCTCCACATCCTCACCAACACTTGCTCTTTTTGTGTGATTATAGCCATCCTGGAGGGTGTGCAGTGGCTTTCCACCCTGGTTTTGATTTCATATTTCCCTAATGAATGATCATATTAAACATCTCTTCAAGTGCTTATTGGCCTTTTGTATAGTGTTTTTTGGAGAAATGTCTATCCATTTTTAAATGTTCATTTTTAAACTGGGTTGTGTTTTTGAGTTATAAGTGTTCTTTCTATGTTCTGAATATAATACTCCTATCTGATATCTTTCTCTTTTGGTGTGTTGTCTTTTCCATTTGACATGTTAGAACGACATGAATTTTGGGAATTCAGAGGTAAAACTTTATGAACTGAATGTTTGCATACCCCAAAATACATATGCTGAAATCCTGCCTCCCAATATGATGGTATTAGGAGGTGGGCATTTGGGAGCTAAGAACAGATGATCAGAATGGGATTAGTACTCGTAAGAGTCCTGAGATAACTTGAGTCATTCTGCGATCTGCCATGAGAGATTACAATGAGAAGCTGGCAGTCTGCAACAGAGAAGAGGGCCCTCACCAGAACCCAACCACGCTGGCACCATGATCTCAGTCTTCCAGTCTTTAGAACTGTGAGGAATAAATATCTGTTGTTCATAAGCAACCTAGTTTATGGTAATTAGCTGTGGCACCCCAAACTGAGTAAGGCCCATCCACATGGCCTCATCTAAATCTAATTACTTTCTAAAGACCCCGTCTCCAAATCCCATCACATTTGGGAATTAAAGTTTTAATATATAAATTAGGGGGAGGGCACAATTCAGTTCATAGCAGCAACCAAGTAAATGTGAAGGCAAATTGTGATTGATTCTCCTGAAAAATGTGTACTAAATAAAACATGTTAGCTAAGTCTGTACCCAAACTATTTACCCATGTTTTGAAGGTCATTCATTAAAGCAATTATCCAATAGAGGTGCTCTAATAAAAGGAATAATTTTTCTTAACTCCCTGTAGTCTATAGTTAGCCTTCACTCTCTAGTAGTGGCTTTAAACATAGGCCACACCAGGAAGTTAAAAGGCAACATGGTAAAAAATAGAATTCCTTTGACAAAGTCAGCTATAACAGACCACAATCCTGCAGTTCTTTGCCTTGGTTGGTATCTTGGAGCATTTACCACTCACACTGGCAGGGAAGATTGACTGTTTTCCACTACGTGGTGCCCGCCAATAGTGTAAAAGCTTTCCATGAGATCACGTGCTGACTGAGAAGGTCCATTTCAAGGATGAACAAAGGAATAGTCTTGGGGGACAACCGGGATGAAAGCATCTTTTAGCAAAATGGGGCCAATTTTAATAGTTGAGCAGGGAATTGCCTCTTTAATTTACCCTTCCTCAAAGCTATTCACCCCCCCAGAAAAATCACTTTAACTTATGAGTGCTTCCTGGAATAAGAGGAATTTGGGCATTCATGTCTAAAAGTCAGTCAGAGCCAGTCAAAGTTGTTTATTTTTTGAAGACTCAACCTCAATTAATATGGTAAAAGAGTGGATGTCTACTAGAAGAGGCCTGCTTGCATGCTCACCATATCCCTATGTGGGAGCAGGATCCTGCCGTTCATGGATACAGAGGGAGGTGCAGAAGGAAAGATTGCCTCCAGAAGCTAAGGAGTAGACTGGCACTGTTGTCATGTAACCCTAGTAAGTATTGTAATTGTTTCACCAATTTACCGGAGATTATCCAACCTGGGACCCACTTGTCTTTTGGGGTCCGATATAAACTCTCTTGTTCTCAGGGCTCACCCTGAAGCAGGGGCCTGGCTGTAGGTGGTTTGTTTGGCCTAGCAAAGAGGTGGCCTTGCTATCAGTAGTAATTTTGATTCAAGTCAGGTGAGGTGTTATTTGTAGAATTAGCAGACAACATGTAACTGAGTTTGTTTTTCATGAGTTTCTATGAAATCCAGAGCACCTATGGACTCTTGAATTGTTTTAGCAGTAGATATCACTGCCAGTAAAGAAGACTTAGATATCTGCCTTGAGGCTACCAAACGATGTTTGTAAAAGTTAAGTTGAATGTGTTAGCTTTTGTCACATGAGGCAAGGTATAACAGTTGGAACAAACAATAGGACTGACTGAAAAGCTTGAGAGGAAAAGCCGGGGAATGAGCTGTTTCATGAATAAGGACTTTGGAAAGCTCCCACATAATCCTGAAAATCTGGAAGGCCAGGCACAAGCCCTGAGCTGGATGCATGCTCAGAAATTACCTGAAAAGGTCCTAAGATCTCACCTTTGGCTGACCTTTAAGCTCTGCACACACAAACATTGTGCATATCTATATTTACAGATATACATAAAACTATAAATATTTATAGATATAGAGATACATATAAATATATATGTATTTATAGATATAGAGATACATATAAGTATATATGTATCTATATTTATAGATATACATGCACAATGGACTATTATTCACCCATAAAAAGGAATAAAATGTGGATGAACTTTAAAAACATTATGCTAAGTGAAAGAAGCCCAAGGCCAAATATTGTGTGATTCTATTCCATGAAAATCCAGAATAGGTAAATCCATATAGACCGAAAGAAGATTTGTAGTTGTCAGAGGCTAAGGGGAGAGAGAATGGAGAGTGATTTGCTTGTTGGGTATGTAAGGGATTTATTTTTGGGAAAAGTTTTTCAACTAGATAAACATGGTAGTTCACAACGTTTGAAGGTTCTAAACATCATGAAATTGTTTACTTTTAAAGGTTCAAATTTTGAATTGTACCTCAGCTAAGAAAAGGAATAGGAAATAAATATATTGTAGCTCAATATACAGTATTTATACCTACTTTAATTAATGTTTACTGCCATGTACATGATTCCATGTTTACCTACCAAAGCCGCCTTAATTTTTCTA
This sequence comes from Homo sapiens, assembly GCF_000001405.40. Classification (NCBI taxonomy): domain Eukaryota; kingdom Metazoa; phylum Chordata; class Mammalia; order Primates; family Hominidae; genus Homo; species Homo sapiens. The sequence goes on along the minus strand of NC_000012.12, from coordinate 9,836,841 downwards.
AGGTGTCATTGCAATGATACCCAACACAGTGACAGACATTACAGATAGGGAGACAATAAAATATGAGGTAAAGCTACAATATCTATTAGTTTGGGAAATATACCTGTAAAACAGACAGATAAGCCAAATGAAGACAGTGTCAATAAGTAGAACATAAAATATATAAAATTTTCACGTATGATAAAGGAGGAAATACGAACTAGTAGATTAGAAAAAAATCCTTTTATAATAATTATACATTTATCTGGAAAGTCATAATATATCATCTCATACAATAAAACAAATGTCAAAATGATCAGTTAAGTATCAAAAAGTTAAACTTAAAAGTAAAGAATAGAACTTCATCAGGGTGGAAGTATTGGAGGGTCCCCTGCCAGCAAAGATCACCTATCCACTCTAAGAGGGAGTTAAGACTGGCGGTTTGGGGATAGCACCAAGAGATATCAGCTGTGATGGCTTGGAAAAACAGTGTAAACCGGCAGTGTAAACAAGAGTAGGGCATTTATAAGTAGTTGAGAATGGTGAATAGGAGTATGACTAGACAGAAGATAGTAGGGATGACTAGTTTTTGGGGCTCGGTCCAAGTAGTGGGGGTAACTTCGTAAAGCCCTGTTGCAAAAAGTAGGGTAAGGACAAACAGACCTAATAGAATGAAGGGATCATTCCCATTCTTATGTCACCCTCTACCTCTCCCCAGCTATCTCCACCACACTACCAACGTTACTTATTCTCTCCTAGCCATTTCTAATCTCTCCTTATTGAACAACTGCTGGCTTTGCATTTCCCTTTCTTCCAGCGCCTACACAGCTGCCCCCACCTTACATGTAGACTGGGCAACATCTGTCTCCCTATACCTCTGAACTTCCTTTAACAGCCCTCACCTTTACCCTCCTGAAGAACTCATTTACTTTCTAGACAGGTCCAGCAAGACCTCCCCAGACATTTCATATCAGCAAGCTGCCGCCCTCCTCCACACTTACTTAAAAAACCTTTCTCCTTATATCAACTCTACTCCCCCCATATTTGGACCTCTCACAACACAAACTACTATTCCTATTCCTGTGGCCACTCCTTTATGTATCTCTCGGCAAAGACCCACTGGAATTCCCCTAGTAACCCTTCACCTTCTCCATGTTCCTTTACTCTTCATCTCCAAAGTCCAGCTATGCATGTCACCGAAACAATTGGAGCCTTCCAGCTCCGTATTACAGAAAAGCCCTCTATCAATACTGGCAAACTTAAAAATATTAGCAGTAATTATTGCTTAGGAAGACACTTACCCTGTATTTCACTCCATCCTCGGCTACCTTCCCCTTGCTCATCAGACCCTCCTCCCAGGCCCTCTTCTTGTTTACTTATACCCAGCCCCGAAAATAACAGTGAAAGGTAGCTCATAGACACTCAACATTTTCTCATATACCATGAAAATCGAACCTCCCCCTCTACGCAGTTACCCCACCAGTCCCCATTACAACCTCTGGTGGCTGCCGCCCTAGCTGGATCCCCAGGAGTCTGGGTACAAGACACCCCTTTCAGCACTCCTCATCTTTTTACTTTGCATCTCCAGTTTTGCCTCGCACAAGGTCTCTTCTTCCTCTGTGGATCCTCTACCTCCATGTGTCTACCTGCTAATTGGACAGGTACATGCACACTAGTTTTCCTTACTCCCAAAATTCAATTTGCAAATAGGACCGAAGAGCTCCCTGTTCCCCTCATGACACCAACACGACAAAAAAGAGTTATTCCACTAATTCCCTTGCTTGTTGGTTTAGGACTTTCTGCCTCCACTATTGCTCTCGGTACTGGAATAGGAGGCATTTCAACCTCTGTCACGACCTTCCATAGCCTCTCTAGTGTCTTCTCTGCTAGCATCACAGACATATCACAAACTTTATCAGTCCTCCAGGCCCAAGTTGACTCTTTAGCTGCAGTTATCCTCCAAAACCACCGAGGCCTTGACTTACTCACTGCTGAAAAAGGAGGACTCTGTATATTCTTAAATGAAGAGTGTTGTTTTTACCTAAATCAATCTGGCCTGGTGTATGACAACATAAGAAAACTCAAGGATAGGGTCCAAAAACTTGCCAACCAAGCAAGTAATTATGCTGAACGCCCTTGGACACTCTCTAATTGGATGTACTGGGTCCTCCCAATTCTTAGTCCTTTAATACCTATTTTTCTCCTTCTTTTATTCGGACCTTGTATCTGCCGTTTAGTTTCTCAATTCATCCAAAACCGTATCCAGGCCATCACCAATCATTCTATACAACAAATGCTCCTTCCAACAACCCCACAATATCACCCCTTACCACAAAATCCTCCTGCAAGTTGACCTCTCCCACTCTAGGTTCCCACGCCACACCTAATCCCGCTCGAAGAAGCCCTGAGAAACATCGCCCATTATCTCTCCATGCTACCCCCCGCACCCAAATTTTTTTTTCGCTGCCCCAACACTTCAATACTATTTTATGTTATTTTTCTTATTACTGTAAGAAGGCAGGACTGTCAGGCCTCTGAGCCCAAGCTAAGCCATCGCATCCCCTGTGACCTGAACGTATATACGCCCAGATGGCCTGAAGTAACTGAAGAATCACAAAAGAAGTGAAAATGGCTTGTTCCTGTCTTAACTGATGACATTCCACCATAAAAGAAGTGAAAATGGCCAGTCCTTGCCTTAACTGATGGCATTACCTTGTGAAAGTCCTTCTCCTGGCTCATCGTGGCTCAAAAAGCTCCCCCACTGAGCACCTTGTGACCCCCACTCCTGCCTGCCAGAGAATTACCCTCTTCGACTGTAATTTTCCTTTACCTACCCAAATCCTATAAAACGGCCTCACCCCTATCTCCCCTTCGCTGACTCTTCTTTTCGGACTCAGCCCGCCTGCACCCAGGTGAAATAAACAGCCTTGTTGCTCAAAAAAAAAAAAAAAAAAAAAAAAAGTTAAACATTTAAAAATAGAAGGTAATGTTTTCAAAATTCTGTATGACTGGAATTTCTAAGCTTAAAAGTCTAAGCTTAAAATCATAATGAATAATTTTTAAAATATTGACTTTTATCCAGTCTGTATTTCAGAAAAAGAAGAATAAATAAGTGACAAACAAGAATGGCTATTTACATACTGCTTTTTAATAACAACTAACTTTCCATATTTATATGTATCAACTGGATTTTAAATTCCTGGAGGGCAGAGCCTATTTCTTGTGTTGTTTTACCATTTTCTCCCACTGCAACAAGTTTAAAGATACCTAAATCGAGTTTTGAATGAAAAGTAGACTTATACCAAACTTTTACTTGTTACTTTAATCTATTGCATACCTGTTCAAAAATACTTCACATTTAGAGAGTCCAAAAGATTAAAACTAGGATAAGCCAAAGCCTTGAGACATACCTGTCTGGTCTGCAGATCTCGAAGCACAAAGGTCCTTATTACTTATATTTCTTCTTGTGCCATTATTCACTTTTAGATCTCCAGTGTCCTCATACTGAGTGGCATTTGAACAACTTCCTTTTTGGCATTTTAGCAATACTCCCTGAGAAACTTGAATACAGGACTATTTTAAGGTTAGGTAAATATCTTCTCTATGGAATGTTTCAGGGACACATTCAATGGAATGATTCCGATGATTGGAACAAGAAATAATTGAAACGGTCACTAGGATCTTTTTAAAATTTTCATGTCTACTGATGGAAAGAATTCAAAATATTATACAATCAATTCATTTATACAACACATATTTGGTGAGAATCTATTCTATGCCAGGCATTCCTACGAACTGGTAATACAATAATAAATAAAGCCAAGTTTCTGCTCTGGGAAGTATATAGGCTCTTTTCATCCTTTCTTAATGTTTTTCTGCAGCCTCCAACACTGTAGTCAGAACATTGTACCATAATTACTTAGTACCTGCTTCTCCCACTAGAATATCACATTCCTCACCCTGACTATTCTTTTCTTAAAAATTTTGGGGAATTTGTAATATTTGGAGTATTGTAGCTGCTCGGTGAATATTTGCTGGACAAAAGGAAAAGCAAACTAAATGCAACCTTAGATAAAATGTATTAAAATATTTAAGCAAAACAGTAAAATTTTATCTATTAAAGTATCCAAGAAACACAGAAAAACTGTTTCAAATACCACACATACACACACATACACACACACACACACACACACACACACACACTCTACACATACACTCCTTTCTCCGTATTAGACTGTATGCCACTTGAGGGCAAGATACTTACCTGATTTGACTGCATATTAAATATAGCACTGTGGAGTGTACTAATAGAGCTTTACATGCAGTAGCTTCTAATTCAATCTTGGTTAATGTAGTGAAGAATGAATGAATAATTATAAAAAGATTTATAAGAGACAAGTAAACATCTTTCATATTTTTATTTAATTAAGATCTTCTAAACTTACCCAACAGGATCAAGGAGATCAAAGTCAAAGTGAGAATACCATTCACGGTTCCAGATATTCCCAGTAAGATTTTATACCAGTGCAACGTCACTGAATAATCTGAGACATTAATCACATGAATTAGTTTAGAAAAGTATGCTTCCAGGAAGTAATACAATAGCAATTGTAATAATAGGATTGTATAAAATATTAGTTTTGGTTTCAAAAGATATTAGGCAATCAAAAGCATGAAGGCTAAGTAAATAGAAAAATATATACATTTATTTAACAATGATAACACTCTGGATGGTCAGAAGCTATGATACGTGTCATATCAAATCTGAAGAAATTGCTAATATTTAACATTATTAATTTGTAGAAAGAATTTTACTCTATGCACTGAATAATTTTCCAACCATTGCGGAGACACACGCACTCATGAACATGCACATGCATTTACAGATAATACATGTGTATCCACATAAACACTTTCTGATTAATCATTAATATAACATTTACAAGTCCTTTGAGCCTTTTTTATTTACTAAGGATGAATCAGAACTAAATATGGCTTTAGGTATCCTGCTATTTTAATCAAAAAAACCCTAAAATCCTTTGTAAGTCATGAATAATATTTCATCTTCTTATTAAATGCTAAACTTTTAAGAACTGTTTTATTTTTCATAGACTTACACTGTCAGGTTTAAGATAAGAGTGCTTGTTCAATGATTATTATTCAAGAAACTGCTATCATTGGACAGACAGTAGAGAGTCTCATCCAGAGGATTTAGGTCTGCTGGGCACTGACTTACGAAATTACATGAATAATTATGTTATACTGAATAAGTGAATATCTATACTTTGTGAAACATTTTGTCCTTATCAAAGATAATTTATGTAAATCTATCATAATAATTGATAAGAATCCTCTATTGTAACCGAAATTATTCTTATTGTTCAGTCAATAAATTGAATTATTAATGCTGAAATTTATATTCTAAATACTCTTTAAACCTGAGAAAATAGAGAAACTACATTTGACGCTGTCAAGCCCTGTCAAGAAAGCACATGATGAACCCTATAGAATGATATTTTAGATAAATAGTTCGCAGGGTTTCTCTTATCATAACATTGTCAAAGATATTAAAATAATTTTATCAGAATTCATTTAATGAATACTCCACATTTCTGAGATTATTTTTGAATTTTTGATATATTAATATTGATAAGCAATAAATTCCAAGAAATCAAGCATGTGTCTTAAAAAAGTCATATATTTATTTTAAAACTTAAAAAATAATTATCAGAAAACATTAGGAAAAAAAGTTGTGGAAGGTGGTTGAAATTCAACTCAGACTGAATTATTTCTCCTAAGCACTACAGGTTGTAGTGAGCTGAGATCGCGCCACTGCACTCCAGCCTGGGCGACAGAGCGAGACTCCATCTCAAAAAAATAATAATAAAATAAAAATAAAAGTAAAAAAAAATTTTAAAAGATGCTGAATAATGGAGAAAGTAAAACTTTCATTATCCTGTGTTTTCTCCTATAAGGAAATGGTTTAATTTAACTTATAAAGGTTAAAACACAAGCCTTTTAACCACCCAAAACCAGAAATAATAAAATGGAAAACCAAAATCAGTCTTATGAATGTCTGTACAAAAATGGTAAATACATTATCAGCAACCAAAATATATTATAACCATGATTGGTTTATTCTAGGAATATAAAGATTATTCAATAGGAGGAAATCCATATTAATATTATATTAATAAAGCTAAGGAAAAAAATCTATCATCATCTCAATAGATGTAAAAAATGAAATTGATAAAATCTTATATCTTTATGTTAAAAAACAGAAATTAATAGATACTTGTTCAACATAATAGTTTTATGTCTAATGAAGCTAACATCTTATTCAATTGAGAAAACTGAAAGAAGGTTTTCTGCTTAAGTCCAGAAAAAGAAAGATAGCTCAAATCTCCACTACTTTTTAATACGAAGAGGTAATATATAATTCAATGAAGAAAAATATTCTAATTACAGGTAGAAATATTAGAAAAAGAAGGTAAAATTATTTGAAGGTAATGTGAGTGCAGATTTGGTAAAATAAAAGAATCAATTGAAAAACTACCGTTAATTCCAGAAACAAAAAATAGTAGCTGCATTTATAAAAATAACATACTAAAATCAGTGCCCTGTATAATCCAGTAACCACTGTGAAAACATAGATGAAAGAAATTCATTACTCACGGATAGTTAACCAAAAAAAACAAACAAAAAGAAAACTAGACAGAAACTCGACAAGTGTCCCAACCCAATACAAACAAAACAAAACAAAACTAACCGAAAACTGAGTAACATTAATTTGATCATGTGCTTGGATAAGAAAACTATGTGTCAAAAATATAAATTCTCCCTAAGCTTAATGACAGACTAGGAAGTAATTTAGACGTAAAAGCTACATCGGGTTGTTTTATTTGTTGTTGTTTGTGGTGAGTGAGCCTGAATAATTTTTTATAAAGTTATCTGAAAGAACAAAAGAGTGAGAATAGCTAAGTAAACACTGGAAATATAGAAATACAAAATGGTAAATTTTATGAAGGGTGCTGGATTTATGCAAGGTGGATTTCTCTGAAAGTAATTTTTTAAACTTTTTAAATTCTTATTTATTTATTTGAGACAGGGTCTCGCTCTGTTGCTCAGGTTGGAGTGCAGTGGCACCATTAGAGCTCTTTGTAACCTTGAGCTCCTGGGCTCAGAGATCCTCCCTCCTGAGCACCCTGTGTAGCTAGGACTACAGGCATGTGCCACCATGACTGATTAATTTTTTTATCTCTATTGTTTGTAGAGATGGGGGTCTTGATTTGTTGCCCAGGCAGGTCTTGAACTCCTGGCCTCAAGCGATCATCCTGCCTCGGCCTTCCAAAGTGCTGGGATTAATGGCATGAGCCACCACACTTGGCCCCTCATTATATAAGTTTGACTGAAAATATGTAAATGTTTTATGCTACTATAAAGTAAGTTAAACAAAAATGAAAAAAAATCCATAAAAAATGAAGAAAAGGAATCTAACTAGGTATTGTTAGTGTCTTCACTATAGAGAGAGGAATTACTTAAAGTGATTTTAAAACATTTAACTGTGCATGCTCAATGGAATATATCTTAAGGATTTTTTAAAACCGCAAAACATTTTAATCTGTTTTAAGTAACTATTATTATAATATTATTTCTATAGTGATTCTGAAACTACTACATATGTATAGTGGGATAGAGCAATTATGTAATTTCTTACTATCACTGGCAACAAAGGTTTTTCAATATATGAGAAAAGATTTACAAATATGTCATCACAAAATTAAGTTAAATGAATGAACATCATAACCCCAAGGCTCACATTGTCAATCTAATTCACATAAAATACGTCTTACCTCAAGCTTTAATAAATATTAGCTAAAGGTACAAGACATAAATATTAGTATGTGTCACTTAAATATCTGGGAGCCGAAAATCTGCACATTTTTGCTTCAGAGAGACATTTATGAACAGAGTGTGGAAAAAAGTCTGCAGAGAAGTCACTACATGTTGTAGTCTTTCAGGTTTAATATCTCTAATTTCCAAAAATGAAATAAAAATTGAGTGTAGGAAGTAAAGACTTGAAAATATGGGAATCTAAAAATTCACATGGAAGAGGCAATAAATTTCTTATACATAGCACGTATGTAACTCTAAGATGAATCACTGATGGATGATACTTGTGGAAGGACTCAAGAGATAAGTAAAATTTTCATGGGTGAAGTTATTAAAAGAGAAATATTTAGAAAGCAACAGAACAGAACAGACAGTCTCTATAACTGTGATTATTTGTGTCTTTAATTTCTGCTTATCTCTTTTGCCAAATCACATTAAGGTGGCATGATGGAATTGCATTGTGTATGGAGGGTATGCTTGAAGTAGCAAATTAAAATGTTGATTGCTGGTGTATAAACTTTATTTTGAGTCAACTTGGTGAAAAGCATAAAGTTTTTGAGAAGTTGAATTAAAAATTAGTATTAAAGGCTGGGCGCGGTGGCTCATGCCTATAATCCCAACACTTTGGAAGACTCAGGTGGGTGGATCACCTGAGGTCAGGAGTTCAAGACCAGCCTGGCCAACATGGTAAAACCCCATCTCTACTAAAAACGCAAAAAATTAGCCAGGCATGGTGGCGGGCACCTATAATCTCAGCTACTCAGGAGGCTGAGGCAGGAGAATTGCTTGAACCTGGGAGGCAGAGGTTGCAGTGAGCCGAGATCATGCCATTGCACTCCAGCCTGGGCAACAACAGTGAAACTCCGTCTCAAAAAAAAAAAATAGCATTAAAACACCATATTCTATGAATGATAAGGAGGTGAATGGCAGCAAATATTCACTAATTTGAAATTATTAATTTTAATTGAGTATGCATATTTCCTCAGAGAATGTCCTTAAGAAATTATATCAGACAAAATATTACAAGTAAGTGTTAGTTCCACATTGATAAATGGGAGAGAGAGAGATTATCTCATAGTAAATTTGTAAGATTAAATGAAGGAACATAGATAAAACATTCTGTATAGTGCCGGAAACTGGTGTTTCTTAAATGGTAAGAGAGGTTGTTATTTTTAAATCATTATTAATATTGAAAGAGAGGACAGGTGAGAGAGATACAGAGACGGAGAAAGAAAAGCACCCAAATACTGAAACAGTCCAATAACACAATGGAACAGGATACGGGAAACTACCATGTTAATTCACACCAATTGAAAAAATGAAATTAAATTCCATACCTTTAAATGTAAGTTGAGATGTTTGGGCAGAACTCCTTTTCTTTGACTGTACATTCAATGTCATGTATCTTTCTTCATCTTGCATCTTCAATGTGAGTGAATGTGTGTGTATACAGGTATGTTTTGTTTTATTAAGTATAACATGAAATGAGGAAAGAATAATAAATCTGCTGCTAATCAGAGATGCTCCTCAAATTGTCCTTTCACAGTACATATGAGGGTTCACAGTTTCACTTATTTGTGAAAACCTCAGAGGAAATGTTTTCTTTTTAAAAGTTGCTTTCCCATGACATAGATAACACATAATTTCTCAACTGTCCACCACATATTGAATTGAATATTCTTTTGAGTGCTTTACAAATTTCTCTTAATTTACCCTTAAAGTCAAGGGAATGGAAATTATGCCCCTTTTTGAGGTGAGGTTAATAATATATAGCTGCCTTTTGTTATAGCCTAAATATTTATATCATTTGAATTAGCCTCCCTAACATATTGATATTTAATTTAATAATTTGCAATTGCCAAGCAATTAAATTCTTTATCCTAAAACAATATTGTTTATAAATCATGCTAATAATTTAACAGTATAATTTGATTTTTTTTAACTTTTAGGTTCAGGGCTACATGTGTAGGTTTGTTATATAGGTAAAATCATGTCACAGGGGTTTGTTGTACATATTATTTCATCACCCAGGTATTCAGACTAGTACTACATAGTTATGTTTTTCTGATCCTGCCCCTCCTCTCACCCTCCACCTTCAAGTAGGCTCCGGTGTCTGTCATTCTCCTCTATGTGTACATGTGTTCTCATCATTTAGATCCCAATTATTAGTGAGAACATGTGGTATTTGGTTTTCTGTTCCTCCATTAGTTTGTTAAGGGTAACGGCCTCTAGCTTCATCTATGTTCCTGCAATGGACATCATCTCATTCTTTTTTATAGCTGCATAGTATTCCTTTGTATATGTGTATCACATTTTCTTTATCCAGTCTACCATTGATGGGCATTTAGGTTGATTGCATGTCTTTGCTATTGTCAACAGTGCTGCCATGAACAGATGCATGCATGTGTCTTTATGATAGATTTATATTCCTTTGGGTATATACCAGTAATGGGATTGCTGGGTCAAATTTCTGGTTTTAGGTCTTTAAGGAATCACCATGCTATCTTTCATAATGGTTGAACTAATTTACACTCCCATCAAAGGTGTATAAGTGAACCCTTTTCTCCACTACCTCATCAGCATCTGTTATTTTTTGACTTTTTAATAATAGCCATTCGACTGGTATGAGATGGTATCTTACTGTGGTTTTAATTTGCATTTCCCTAATGATTAGTGCCTACTGGAGGATAGAGGGTGGGAAGAGGGAAAGGATCAGGAAAAATAACTAATGGGTACTAGGGTTAATACCTGGGTGAAGAAATAATCTTTACAGCAAACCCCCATTACACAAGTTTACCTATGTAACAAATTTGCACATGTACTCCCAAATTTAAAATAAAATTTTAAAAACACAATATACCCTTTTAAATAAGATAAACTATTAATTCAAGGAGAAAATATTTGACAAATTATCAGAAATATATTTGTTGCTTAATGACAAAAGTAAAAGGATAATACATTTTTGTGTTATTTTTGTTTATTTTTACTTGCTAAATTTTGTTCTTTAATTTATAATTACAATTTCTTTGGCCATTATTTGACACTCCAAATGGATAAGAAGTAAATTAAGATTGATAAATAAAACACGAAAAGTATCTGTTCATGTCCTTAGTCCACTTTTTAATGGGGTTGTTTATTTTTTGCTTGTTGATTGGTTTAAGTTTCTTACAGATGCTGGATATTAGACCTTTGTCAAATGCATAGTCTGCAAAAATTTTCTCCCATTCTGTAGATTATCTGTTCACTCTGTTGATAGTTTCTCTTGCTGTGCAGAAGCTCTTACAGTTAATTATTTTGTTTGTTTGTTTTGTTTTGTTTCACTTTTGTTGCAATTGCTTTTGGCATCTTTGTCATGAAATATTTGCCCATTCCTGTGTCCAGGATGGTAATTCCTAGGTTATCTTCCAGGGTTTTTTATATTTTGGGGTTTTAGACATAAGTATTTTATCCATCTTGAGTTGAGCTTTGTATATGGTATAAGGAAGGGGTCCACTTTCAATCTTCAGCATGTGGCTAGCCAGTTATCTCAGCACCATTTATTAAAAAGGGAATCCTTTTCCCATGGCTTGTTTTTGTCAGCTTTGCTGAAGATCAGATGGGTGTAGTTGTGCAGCACTATTTCTGGGCTTTCTGTCCAGTGGTCTATGTGTCTGCATTAGACCATTGTGTTCCAATGGTCTATGTGTCTGCTTTTTTTTTTTTTTTTACCAGTACCTTGTTATTTTGGATATTGTAGTACTGTAGTATAATTTGAAGTTGGGCAATGTGATGCCTCCAGTGTTGTTCTTTTTGCTTAGGATTGCCTTGGCTATTTGGGCTAATTTTTCTGTTCCAGATGAATTTTAAAATAGTTTTCTTCTAGTTCTGTGAAGAATGTCATTGGTAGTATGATAGGAATAGCATTAAATCTGTAAATTGCTTTGGGCAATATGACCATTTTAATGATATTTATTATTCTGATCCATGAGCATGGAATGTTTTTCATTTGTTTGTGTCATCTCTGATTTCTTTAAGCAATGTTTTGTAATTATCCTTGTAGAGCTCTTTCACCTCCCTGGTTGACTGTATTCCTATGTATTTTATTGTTTTTGTGGCTATCATAAATGGAATTGCATTCCTGATTTGGCTGTCAGCTTGGGTGTTGTGTATAGGTGTACAGGAATGTTGGTGATTTTTGTATGTTGATTTTGTATCCTGAAACTTTGCTGATGTTGTTTATCAGTTGAAGGAGCTTTTTGGCCAAGAGTATGGGGTTTTCTAGGTATATAATCATATGGTCTGAAAACAGGAATAGTTTTACGTCCTCTCTTCCTATTTGGATGCCCTTCATTTCTTTCTCTCACCTGATTGCTCTGGCAAGGATTTCCAATACTATGTTGAATAGGAATGTTGAGAGTGGGCATTCGTGTCTTGTGCTTTTCAAGGGGAATGCTTCCAGCTTTCACCTGTTCAGGATAATGTTGGCTGTGGGCTTATTACAGCTGGCTCTTATTATTTTGAGATGTTTCTGCAATACATAGTTTATTGAGTGATTTTAACATGAAAGCGTGTTGGTTTTATTGAAACCTCTTACTGTTTCTATTGAAATAATCATGTGATTTTTGTGTTTAGTTCTGTTTATGAAATGAGTCATATTTATTGAGTTGTGTATGTTGAACCAACCTTGCATCCCAGAGATAATGTCCACTTGATCATGGTGAATTAGCTCTTTGAGTGGTGCTGGATTCAGTTTGTCAGTATTTTGTTGAGAATTTTTGCATCTATGTTTTTCAAGGATGCCGGCCTCGAGTTTTCTTTTTTTTGTTGTGCTTCTGCCAGTTTTGGTATCAGGATGATGTTGGCCTCATAGAATGAGTTAGGGAGGAGTCCTTTCAACTCAAATTTTTGGAATAGTTTCCATGGGAATGGTACCAGCTCTGTACATCTGGCAGAATTTGGCTGTGAATCCATCTGAGCTTTTTTTGGTTGGTAGGCTATTTATTACTAATTCAATTTCAGAGCTCATTATTGGTCTGTTAAGGAAATCAATTTCCCCCTGGTTCGGTGTTGGGAGGCTGTATGTGTCCAGGAATTTATCTATATCTTCGAAGTTTTCTAGTTTGGTATACATAGAGGTGTTTGTAGTAGTCTTTGATGGTTATTTATATTTCATGGGGGTCAGTGGTACCATCCCCATTGTAGTTTCTAATTGTATTTATTTGAGTCTTCTCTCTTGTCTTCATTATTAGTCCAATGAGAGACTTTTTTTTTTTTCCAAAAAACCAACCCCTGGATTTGTTGATCTTTTTGATGTTTCTTTTGTATCTCAATCTCTTTCCGTTCAGCTCTGATTTTGGTTATATTTAGTCTTCTGCTACCTTTGAGGTTGGTTGGCTCTTACTTCTCCAGTTCTTTTAGTTATATGTTAGAGTGTTAAATTTGAGATCTTTCTAACTTTTTTGTGTAGGCGTTTAGCGCTATAAGTTTTTCTCTTAATACTGCCTTAGCTGTGTCTCAGAGATTCTGGTATGTCGTATCTTTGTTCTCATGAGTTTCAAAGAATGTTTCGATGTCTGCCTTAATTTCATTATTTATCCCCAAAGTCATTCAGGAGCATGTTGTTTAATTCCCATGTAATTGCATGGTTTTGAGTGATTTGTTTTGTCTTGATTTCTATTTTTATTGCGTTGTGGTCCAAGAATGTGTTTGGCATGATTTTGCTTTTTTTGTTTTTTGGTTTTTGAGTTTTTGTTTTTTTTTTTTGCATTTGCTAAGAATTGTTTTACATTCAATTGTGCGGTCAATTTTAGATTATGTGGCATGTGGCAATGAGAAGAATGTATATACTGGTTTTCTGGGTTCGGAGTACTGTAAAGGTCTATCAAATCCATTTGGTCCAATGTCAAGTTCAGGTTCTGAATATCTTTGTTAATTTGCTCCCTTGATGACCTGTCTGGAGTGTTAAAGTCTCCCACTATTATTTTGTAAATATTTAAGACTCTTTGTAGCTAAGAACTTGCTTTATGAATTTGGGTGCTCCTGTACTAGGTACATATATATTTGGGATAGTTAAGTCTTCTCGCTGAATTGAATTTATTATTATGTAATGTCCTTCTTTGTCTTTTTTCATCTTTATTGGTTTAAAGTCTGTTTTGTCTGAAATTAGGATTGCAAACCCTGTTTTTTTTTACTGATTTTCATTTGCTTGTTAGATTTTCCTCCATCCCTTTATTTCAAGCCTGTGTGTCATTGTGTGTGAGATGGTTCTACTGAAGATAGCATACCATTGAGCTTTGATTTTTTATCCAGCTTGCCACTCTGCACCTTTTAAATGGGGCAGCTAGTCTGTTTACATTCAAGGTTAGTATTCATATGTGTGGATTTGATCCTGTCATTGTATTGTTAGTTGGTTATTATGCCAGCTTGTATCTCCCCATCCCTTTCAGGGATGTCGATGATTTGTAGATTTGGCGCCTTTACATAATCCTATATTTCTCAAAGATTTTGTTCCTTCCTTTTCATTCTTTTTCCTTTGTTTTTGTCTGACTGTCTTATTTTAGAGGGCTAGTCTTCAAGTTCTTCAGCTTGGTCAATTCCACTGTCAATACTTGGAATTGTATTGTGAAATTCTTGTAATGTGTTTTCCAGCTCTAGCAGATCAGTTAGGTTCTTTTCTATAGTGGTTATTCTGTCTGTCAGCTTTTGTATTGTTTTAGTGTGATTCTTAGTTTTCTTGGATTGGGTTTTACCATTTTCCTGAATGCTGATGATCTTCATTTCTATCCATATTCGGAATTCTATTTCTGTCATTTCAGTCAGCTCTGCTGGTTTAAAACCCTTGTTGGATAACTAGCGCAGTCATTTGGAGGACATAAGAAACTCTGGCCATTTGAGTTGCTGGAGTTCTTGTGTTGCTTCTTTCTCTTCTCTGCATTTGAGTGTTTCTTTAGCCATGATGTAGATTGCATATAGTCAGTAGACTTCTTTTCTGGATGTATTCACAGGGTTGAGGCTTTGTGCAGGGTCTTTACTTGCAACTGACTTGTCTTTGGTCTCATAGTGGAGTGGGTGGTATGTTAGTGAAGTAGTTTGGTATTAAAGCTTTGGGATGTGATGCAGTAGGTTGTGCTTAGGCAGAGTGTTCAGTTGGTTGGCTCTTGATCAGTTGTGTGGCTCCCTTATATTTCTTCACAGTTGCAGCCATGCTGCCTCTCAATGCTCTGAAAGTTTGGGATCCTCTCCCACTTGAGTGTTGGCTGTAGATTATGGCTTGTCATTCCTGGGCTTTCCCCCACAGCTCTGGGGTGATCTCAGTGTTTATGTTTCCTCTCCAACTTGGAGGCAGCAGCAGAAGGGACCTTAGGAGTGGTTGTGGCTGAAGGTCTTTTATTTACCTCCTAGGGGCTCTACCCCAGAGAGGTGTGGGTCAGCAATTGCTCAGTGCAGTCTGCCCAGGATGGGGGTATCTGTGCTATGGGCCCAAACCAGGGTTTCTCTGCTTGGTGATGAGCAGGGGAAGTGTGCAGGACCTGTGGGAGATGAACTTTGCTCCTCTCCTTGGGTCGACTGTTGCTTGATGGGGGTATGGATAAGGTAGTTAGGGTCTTTGCTCCTTCATTAGTCTGAGGGTAGCAGGAGTAGTACCGCTGCAGAGGCAGTGGCAGATGGGCTTTTGGTTGCCCCTGGGGGTCTCATGTCTGAGGAATGCAGAGCTGCTGTTACTGGAAGTGTTCAGCCATGGGGGTGGGGCAGCTGCATTGCTGGCATGAGCTTGGTATTCCACTTTTTGGGGAGCAGAGGATTAAGAGTAATCAGGAGGAGAGAATGGTCTCCTCTCCCTATGGTGTCTGTGGCATGCTGTAAGCTTGAGTGTAGCCCTCAGGATCTTTGTTTCTTCCCCAGACTGAGGGTAGCAGGGATAGAACTGTTTCTATCCCTGTGGCAGAGGAGCTGTTGGATGCCTCTGGAAGCCTCTCCCCAGGGGAACTCTGAGCCACTACCAGTGGGTATGGTCAGCCATGTATGGGGCAACCATTCTGTGGTCATGAGCCAGGGGCCCTGCCTGGTGAAGAGTTAGGGGGTGTAAGTTCTCAGGGAAAAGGGGCTGGACTCTTTCTGTATGTTGACTGTGGTGTGCTGGAGGGGCCAGTGTGGTCACTAGGCCCTTTGTTCTTTCCCCAGCCCAACGGCCATTAGGCAGCACCGCTGCAACTGCAGTGGTGGAGGGGTTGTGGGTTGACTCTGTGATTTCCTCCTCAGAGAAATGCTGGGCTGCCTTTGATTGAAGTGGTAAGTTGGGGGCAGGGTGGTTGTGCTGCAGTACCATGTCCAGCGGCTGTGCCCAGGGAGGAGAAGTGAGGTCCAGCATGTGTGTGGAGAACAGTCCAGCCACTTATTCATGAGGTGGGTGCTCTGTGCTGAGGGCCAGATCAGCCCCTGGTCCCCACAGACTCTCCAGAGCCTGGAGACAGAGCGAGGGATGCAAGACGGCAAAGATGGCAACCTTCCCCTCCCACTGGGAACTCTGTCCAGGAAGTGGCAGAGCTGCTACTGGCTCGAGAGCCACAGCAGGGGGTGGCTGGAGGCCCAGGCTGAGAAGACCCGCCCAGCGAGGAGATACGGGATCAAGGTAACAGTCTGGTCATGTAACAATCTGGCCACCATTCTTGCAGGGCTGTTGCAGTATTCTGGGAGTCCACTCCAGTCCCTAGTTACCTCGGATTTTCCAGTACCTGAAGGTATCAACAGTGAAGGCTGTGAAACAGCAAAGATGGCAGCCTGCCTCTCCCACTGGGAGCTCCATCCCAGGGAGGTTCCAACATGTTGCTGGCCCAAACACACTGGTGAGGGTGGCTGGTGATCCCAGTTGGGTGGTCACACCCAGTGAGGAGAAACAGGATCAGTGACTGCTATAAAAAAGCACTCTGGCCACTTTCTTGTAAAGCAGCTGTGCTGTGTTGAGGGTCCAACCAGCCCCCTCATAACCTCAGACTCTCCAACGCCCAAAAGTGACAACAGTGAAGGCTGTGAAGCAGCACAAATGGCAGCCTGCCTTTCCCTCTGGGAGCTCCATCCTAGGGAGGTACAGACGTGTTGTCAACTGGAAAACACCCGGTGGTTGTAAATCTTGGTTTTGAGATTCCAGCCAGTAAAGAGAAACAGGGTCTGGGATTCACATGGAAAGGCAATCTGGCCACTTTTCTGTAGAGCTGCTGTGCTCTGCCAGGGGACCACTCCAGTCCCTAGTCGCCTCAGACTCCCTGAAGGCAACAATGGCTAAGGCTGTAAGACAGCAAGGATGGTGGGCTATCCTTGCCTCTGGAAACCCCATCCCAGAGGGGTACAGACCTGTTGCCAGCTCAAAAACACTTGTGGAGGTGGTTGTGGACCTCAGTGAGGAGATTTTGCTCAGTGAAGAGAAATGGGATCCAAGACCCACGTGAAAAAAACAGTCTGGCAGCCTCCCTGTAGAGCAGCTGTGCTATTTTGGGGGCTTCTCCAATCCTTAGTCACCTTGGATTTTGGCAACAATGGCTAAGGCTGCAAAACAGCAAAAATGATGTCCAGCCCCTCCTTCTGAGAGATTCATCTCAGGGGAGGTATAACCTTGCTACCAGTGGCTGGCTGGAGTTCCAAGCCAGAGGGTCTTATCCTGTGAGGTGCCATGGAAGCAGGGCCTGCGGACAATCCCTGCTCAGCCCCTTGGATTCAGCCCCTTTCCTAGGGATGTAGAGATGTCTAAATTCCCAGCCACTTTTGCTGGGAAGCCCTGGTATCTAAGGCTCCCAGGGCTCTGCGTGTGCCTGAGAGGCTACTCTTCCAGGACTCCCTGTAGCTCTGTGTGTCAGACTGCAGGCCTTTGTGGGATGGGTTCACAAGGGGATCTCCTGACCCAAGGGTTGCAAAGATCCATGGGAGAATTGTGCTCCCCCAGGTGCTCAGTCACTCACTGCTTCCCTGGGTGGGGAAGGCTCCCCTGGCTCCATGTTGCTCCCGGGTGGGCAGTCGTCCTGCCTTGCTTTACTTCATCCTCCACGGATTGAGTTGTTTTCTTGATGAATCCCAATGTGTGTAACTGGATGCTTCAGTTGAAGGTGCTGTATTTACTAGCCCCTTCTATTTCTCCTGTGAGAACAGCACACACTAGCTGCTTCTAGTTGGCTACCTGCACTTGCTCAATATTATAACTTGAAGAAGACAAAAAAATACTGACAATTTTTTTGGCATTCTAAGACTAATTCTAAATACAAAAATAAATAAATAAAAGCAAAATTTAGGGGGAAAACATTTTCATTTTGGCATGGACTATGCCTGGAACCAGGAGATTTACCAGCCAGTCACCTAAGGGCAGATTTATTACTTAAGTCTCTTTAATCTTGGACTAGATGCTGCTTGGTCTTCATAGGAACAATCACATATTTTAGGAACAGATTTGCCTTCTATGCCTACAGTGCTTCTACTAACATCAATACTTAAGAGTTACAGAATGTCTTATCCATTGTCATGGTTCCTCACACAATATTGTATTTGACATTTTACAACAAAGAAAGATTGACAATCAGTTCATGCCTATAGAAGTTACTTGCCCAGTTGCTCAGGATCTCACACACATTCCATGGGCAGTTGGAGGTGAGCTGCCGCTGGCCACACCAGAGGCTGCAAGACCAGACATGGACAGGTACAAAGAAGAGCTGTGCCACTTGCACAACCCAGAGGAGAATTGATACATCCTTAACGTTGATTCAAGCAGTGATGAGAACCACGGGTCTTCTATGGCCAGAAGAGCTCAGAAGAGACAGTCCAGCTCTATGGTAGTGATCAACTCTGACTCTGATGATGAATGCTACTCCTATGAGGAGAAGAAAGCTAAGATATTCTAAATAAGCAGTGACGATGAGAGTCTGGAGTGTTGTTATGTGCAGCCCACCATCCAGGAACCCTCCAATAGTTATTAGTGATGGTGATGATGACAATGATGACAGTAATGATTTGGAAGTTTCTGTGCCAGCAGAAGATTCGTATGATGAGGACCAAACTGCCTCAGATGAAGAAGAGCTGGATGAGGCTGCTGTCTGCCAGCATGATTCATCTGATGATGCTGGTTGAGCATGATCTTGGTGAGAATCTTAGTGAACCACCAGGTGATCCTGAGACTAAACTTGAGGTTTCAGAGAGGAAGCTGCCAACTGAGGAAGTGCCTGCACCTGTGGTGGAATAATCAAGGAAAAGGAAGGCAAAGACCAAAAAATATCATGGGGTGACTGAGGAAAAGACAGGCAAAGACCAAAAATATAGTGGAGCCACTGAGGAAGAGGAAGGCAAAGACCAAAAATGTATCTGTAACACCTGCTGGTAAGGGACAGAAAAACCGTGGACCTTCAAAGAAGAAACCCGGTGTGGCCAAAGTTGAAAAATGCAAGACTAGGACTCATAAGCGCAAAGTCCCTGGATGTTTCTTGCTTGACCTTGAAAAGTCAAAACAGTACTCTGGAAAAAAATCTCAAGCGAAATAAGGATGAACTGGTTCAGAGAATCTACGACCTGTTTAACAGCTCCGTCTGTGATAAAAAGCTACCAGAGAAACTAGAGATCAGCTAGAATAAAAAGATGCTGAGAACTGCTGGCTTATGCAGCACTGGCAGGAATTACAAAGCAAGGCAGAATTCTTAAGGTTATCTGAGAGTATATTCGTGTGAGCTAAATCCTTTACTGGTAAGAAGTGTTAGAAAAGTTTGTTTTTGTGAAATTAAGGATATTAGAATTTAGATACTGTTAAGTAATATTAGAATTTAACATTCATGTTATTAACCATGATTGACCTTAACAAGGGGCTCTATTGCTAACCATTCTGTGCCCTTGACAGGGTAGATCTGAAGCCCTTGGGATCTACCTTGGGTCTTACTTCAGCTCAATAGTTTTCACACGTAGGACAAAATGCAAAAGAAAAGTGAGTTTTCAATAGTGGCAGGTTGAGAGAAAGAAGAGAATGCTGGATGGGAGGCTGAGGCGGGCGGATCACGAGGTCAGCAGATCGAGACCACCCTGGCTAACACGGTGAAACCCCATCTCTAATAAAAATACAAAAGAAAAAAAAATATTAGCCGGGCATGGTGTTGGGCCCAGCTACTTGGAAGGCTGAGGCAGGAGAATGGCGTGAACCTGAGAGGCGGAGATTGCAGTGAGCCGAGATCGCGCCACTGCACTCCAGCCTGGGAGACAGAGTGAGACTCCGTCTCAAAAAAAAAAAAAAAAAAGAAGAGAATGCTGGAAAGAGGACAAGTTTTAGAGGCAACACTTAAAAACCAGGGCTACTGTGACATCTACCTAGACAGGAAAGATGAACATGTTTCATGAAGTTCATTGCTGATGACACTGAATGAAACTATCTGAGCCATGTAATCAAAAAATAGAATGTTTTCTGCATCTCAAAAAAAAAAAAAGAAGTTACTTGCCCCTAAGTAACTGGCTAACCAGGGTATTGAAATGACTTCCTGAAAGCACACTAATGACACCAGTTGGAATAAAACAGCTTGCAAGTGTGGGATTCAGTTTTTTAAGAGGGGGTATTTGCCTTACCAATATATGTTGCTGTCTCTGCCATAGCCAGAATGTACAGGTATGGGAACAAAAGCATAGAGTTAGGATTCAGATTTGGAGTAGCCTTGTACTAGTACACCTAATAATTCACTTGAAAATTGTCTCCTTTTCCCAAGATCTTGTTTGTGCTGGGTTTAGAGGTTCTAATGCCTATGGCAAGATTATTCTAATAAGGAATATGACCATTATCCTGATGAACAGGAAGATGAGACTTCCTTGTTGCACGTTGGGCTCCGCAGTCATTGAAGCAGCTGGCAGAGAAGAAGATTGCTGTGGCCAGGCGCAGTGGCTCACAGTTTAATCTCAGCACTTTGGGAGGCCGAGGCGGGCAGATCACCTGAGATCAGGAGTTCGAGACCAGCCTGACCAACCTGGAGAAACCCCATCTCTACTAAAAATACAAAATCAGCTAGGCGTGGTGGCGTGTGCCTGTAATCCCAGCTATTCAGGAGGCTGAAGCAGGAGAATCACTTGAATCCAGGAGGCGGAGGTTTCAGTGAGCTGAGATCACGCCATTGCACTCCAGCCTGGGCAACAAGAGTGAAACTCCATCTCAAAAGAAGAAGAATAAGAAGAGGAATAAGAAGCAGCAGCAGCCGCAGCAGCCATACAGGCAGAAATTGGGTTGCTCTTACACATTGTGGTAAGGACTATGCCTGGAAGCCAGGAGATTTACAGGAGCGTATTTTAGCACCACTTTCCTCATAGTCTTGGTAAATACAATGCTAGGCCAACCCAAGAAACACACCAATAACTTGGATCCAATATAATGATAATCTAGGTCATTGCTTGATCCACACACTTTGTACAATTAGCTGGACAGAGTCAAAGAAAAGAAAGATGGAGTGCGTAGCAAGCTATACCTTGTCTCCTGCTACTCAAGTGGTATCTGCTGACAGAGAAATAGACCTCAACCACACAAAAAATCCACAGAAGTCCATCTGCGGCTCAGATAGAATCATCCTGGATATAGATAGCTCCTATCCCAGAGTCCTCTTGTCAAATCTTCTCTCAGAAGTTAGTGTAGAAATGATTAATCAAACCATAGCATGTTGAGACATTTCTGTTACTTCCACAAATAAATTTTGAATTCATTGAAATAACTGGCTTTTTACATTTAAGCTAGAAAGTAGTATATTAGAAAATAGGTAGGATTTGCCTTGTCAAGTTAATTTGAAGGTGCAATTTCTATAGTTCTTGTTATCATCATGATTTATAAGAAAAGTATTCTTGTTTCATTTTATTTCTTTTTTATATTCTTATTGGTACATAATATTTTCATGTATCTCTAAGGTACATGTCATATTTTGATACATGCATCGGTTGTGTAATTATCAAGTCAGGGTGTTTAGGATATCCATCACCTCAAGCATTTATTATTTCTTTGTGTTGGGAACACTTCAAATCTTCTCATAACTATTTTGAAATATAAAATACATCGTCGTTAACTATAGTCACTCTACTATTCTGTTGAACACTAGAACTTATTCCTTCTAATTGTATGTTTGCATACCTCCCCCCTCCCACACACACACACACACATCCTTCACAGCTGCTAGTAACTATCATTCTACTCTTTACCTCCATTACAATAACCTTTTATGGTGGCAGCAAAGGGTGGGCTGGGCGGGCAGCCCTCGGGCCCCCAAAGGAGTGCAGATGTCAGCGGTGGTGGAAAGGCGGTCCCCAGGCCACTGAATGATGCACTTGGGCACTTGTGGGCCGTACCAGGCTTTGCGGGTCCAACCTCAGGCCTCCTGATGGTGCACACAGGCTGTGGTAGGTGGGGCTTGCGAGCAGCCAGGCTGGGTCTTCAGTCAGGCCTCCTGATGGTGCAGGAGCATACGCGGAGCTACGGGTGGGACAGGGCCATGGATCCCCAGGCCCCTGGGCAGTGTGCTCAGGCACTGGGAGAGGCTTTGCTTGGTGGTGTGGTCCTACCCTCAGACAACCCAATCCCCTATGTTGTGCTCAGGGCTCAGGCTGTGGTTGGCAGAGTGGGCAATCCCCAGGCGCCTCCCAGCGGCGTGCTTGGGTGGTGGCAGTCCCGGCTGTGGAGATGGCAGTGGGTGGAGAAAGCCTGTCGGTGCGCAGCTGCTTTGCTATTGGGAGTCGGGGTGGCTGTCAGTGGCAGCGACCTCACTCAAGTGGCTGTCAGGCTCTGGGGAGCTTGCGTTTTGGCTCCCTTTGACTGGAGGCAGCCTCCCCAGTGCACTGCACTGCCGATTCCCCCGGGGTGTAGAACACCTTTGGGGCTAGAGTGCCAGGGACCCAGCCACACGGCTGGCACCAATCAGCCTTGTGCCACTACAGCCCTCCCGGTGTGTGGGGTGTTGTGGGGGAAGTGAAGGATGTCTGCGGGGCTCCAGGGATGTGGAGATGCGGAAGCTGTTGAGACCCGAGGCAGGATGAAGTCTTGTTGGGGCTGGGCTCCAAATAGCCTGGTCCAGGAGGTGTGTGGGACCTCGCCTGAGCTCCGTCCTGGAACAGTGCTGTTGCGCGGTGCAGGCTCCAGGCAGCTCCCCATCCTAGTCTCGGGGCCCCCAGGGCTCTCCCATGGCTACGACTGCAGGAGTCTGCGGTGGGAATGTGGACACACTTTCCCTGCACTAAGAAGTCTCTGGGCTCCCAGACAGTTTCAGCTGAGCTACCTGCCTCCCCTCTGTCTCTTTCCTGCCTCAGAGCTTTCCTGTCGCTTCTCTGCTTAATTCGAATGTGTTCTTTTAGATGCTGTATTCCAAGTCTGATTTTCTACTGGGTGTTTTGGTTCTTCTTTGTGGAGGAAAGTACTGAGGGCCTGTAGACAGCCATCCTGAAGCCTCTCTCGGGGGAAAAATGTTTTCTTCCTCCGTATCATGAAATGTGTGAAAAGAGTCGAAATTGCGACCTTGTAAATTTGTTATTCTATTTTTTAAAATTCCAGCTGGGCGTGGGGGCCTGCGCTTGTACTCCCAGCTACTGGGGAGGCTGAGGTGGGAGGATCACATGCACAGAAGTTAAAAGCTGCAGTGAGCCCTGATCATACCACCGCACTCCAGCCTGGCTACAGAAAGAGTCCCCGTCTCGAAAATAATTAATTAATTTTAAAATCCTACAAGGTTTTTAGGAAGGAATTTTTGGTTAGATTTATATGTCAGTTAAGACATAAAAGAACCAGCATGGCACATGTATACATATGTAACTAACCTGCACATTGTGCACATGTACCCTAAAACTTAAAGTATAATAATAATAAATTAATTAATTAAAAAAATAAAAAAATAAAAAGACATAAAAGAGGGAATGCCATGAGACTGGCAGCAGGTTTCCACAGTGCACTTTGCTGCAAGGATATTCCCCCAAGCCTGGAGGGCAACCCAATGGCTGACCACCCACTCTGTGATCGGCCCATCCCCCATGGAAGTTTTACCTCTTGATGATGAATGCTCTCATATCCTCCAAGTGTACAAGCATTTGAAATGCTTAAACAACACTACAAAATTAAATGAATAAGTAACTGATTTGACAAATACGGTCAAACTGCATTAAAAGAGAAAGCAACAACAATATTCTGTCTCAAAACTGCCCCTGCTTATTAGGAAGTCAGACTGATTTCTTCCCACATCATAGGCAATTCCCATAAGTTTTCCATTCTCTCTAAGGTAATAAATATTATCCTCTGTATTTCAGGTGATAAAATATACCCCAAGGAACATGAAACAGACTCCCTGTGGGTAAAATAACAGAAACAGACAAACAAATGAGAAACCAGAATCTGATAGATAGCAGGATGAGGGACTAGTCAGGTATCCCAGGGTTATTAATTGCCATAAGTTTTCCTTCCCATAATTAAACAGGAAGGAAATACTGAAAAGCATTGCCAAAACAACCATAGCTGGGAAATTTCCAAAATATCTTGACAGATTGCCTGATGCCAGCGGACAACCTTCTCCCCAGCCTTGCTGTCCTGCCATAAGTCAGACTGTCCTACCATAACTCAGATTGGAAAAAGAACCCAATCTTTTTTTTTTTTTTTTTTTTTTTCCTGAGACGGCGTCTCGCTCTGTCGCCCAGGCTGGAGTGCAGTGGTGCAATCTGGGCTCACTGCAAGCTCTGACTCCCGGATTCACACCATTCTCCTGCCTCAGCCTCCCGAGTAGCTGGGACTACAGGCGCCCGCCACCACGTCTGGCTAATTTTATGTATTTTTAGTAGAGACGGGGTTTCACCATGTTAGCCAGGATTGTCGTGATCTCCTGACCTCATGATCCGCCCGCCTCGGCCTCCCAACGTGCTGGGATTACAGGCGTGAGCCACCGCGCCCGGCCAGACCCAATCTTATAAACATTCTTTATTGATGAATGGCCACAGACCTTAAACCAGTTACAGACAGCTTGTGGAGATTATGTACAAACTATTTTTGTACGCTATAGTTCACCTTTTGAGGTAAAGAGCCAAATTCCACCCGATTTAATGTTAAAACACCATCCCAAAGTGACCGTGGGGTGCATGTTACATCTGCTTACCCAATGCACTAGTGCTTGACTTCCTTCATGAATATTCATAAGTATTCACAGAATTTTCCCAACCCTGCTCAGTATGTATGTAAAACTGACTGTATAAGACATGTATACCAGCCCCCTCTCACTTCTTCAGAGAGTGAACTTTCGGATTTTCCCGAAAGCTGCATTTCCCTAATTCTAGGGTTATTTTTCCCTCTGAAAATAAAGTCTTCTCCTTTCCTTCCTTTGTGGATCTCATGGTCTTTTGATAATGAAGATAATAAAAGATCCAATTCCGCCTAATATCTTAAGTCCAACTTTTATCTAATTTAACACTTTTCCTCTCTCTCAGCTTGGATTGGATCTGCTTAGTTTGGGACCATTAAGGGGGCAAGTGAGTATAACGGGCTCTGCATGAGCTTCTTCCCTCTCTAGTATCTCTTTCCATTCCCCAACCCTGATCCCCAGAATGAGTGAAGGTGAAACAAAGGGAATAGAAATAAACACGGAATAAAGATGTTACCAGCCTGGACAGTTTTAATCTGTATGCTGACACTCCAAATGTTTTCTCTCTTTTTTTTTTTTTTTTTGGACTACTTCTATGGGTTTTTCAGAAATTCTGCTCCTGGGGTACTCTGCAGTTGTCTGATGTGTGATGTCTCCTTTGGCAATCCTGCTTGCAAATCACTGTACCTCACCCCTCACAACTCCCCAGGTACCTTTTTTTTTTTTGCTTTCTACTCTATACTTCCAGCTTCTTTTCATTGAGGCTGACTTGCCTGTGGTAAGAAGCAGTCTTAGGTGAATTTTATTTTAGGATGGTTCCCAAATGGCTGCTTTGTATGAGATCTTCATCCGGCCCACAGGAAACACTCCCTTCAGCCTCACCATTGCTGGAAGTGTGGCTTAATCTACACATCTGCTTTTACTCTGTGGTTATGTGTAGTTCTAACAAACTCACATACTGAAAGTGTTCACCTCTGCAACCTCCAACTCCCAGAGGACACTTGCCAATATATGACAGAATCCAAACTTGGCTTAAGGTAAAAGAGAAGTTCTTTTGCTTATTGACACAGAAAGATATTGGGAAATGGGAAGTACACTGGCAAGTCACTTCATAAAAAAAATTCTCACTTCCTAATCTCTGAACACTCATAAACTCTTAATGTGCTCTGAAAGTAGATGATAGATCGAAATTTGAAATAAACACTTTTGCAAGCTTGTTAGCATGTCCTATATAGGAGGTCTAGCACCTATAGAATTGTTCTTGACATTTGTGCCCTCAGATAAAAGTAAACAGCAGGAATGACCACATTTTAATATCCTACTAGTCATTCAATATTTATGAATTATTTTCTGAGGACTTATTACATGTCAGACACTGTTTGGGGAGTCTATTTTAGACTTCAAACATCTTTTAAAAACAAACATTTCATTAAACTATAGGTGAAAATTTAAGCATATAGTCATTAAGTTTGTGAATCAGACCTATCTTGGAGAGGAATTTAATTTGTTTAAATTTATCAAAGGACACACAAAAGATAAGCCCTAGTTATTCTAACCACTTATTAACACAGCTACCTGCGATTTCTGGGAGCTTAACTTCCGTTCAGGCTCAGAAACTCTAATTTTGGGAATATACTTGGACCACATTGTTAATTTGGGAGGATTCAGATAAAGTATGAGAAATGCATTCACATTTGACTATGAGAACATCAAGTTATATTGTATAATACCAAAAATAATGGTCCCTTGAATATATCCAGGATGACCTACAAACAGAATTGTTCCTAGATAAAAACCCTCAAGCTTGTAGAAAATCTATGTTGACACTCACTATTCAGATGTTGTCATTCACAACTCTGAGTTTCAGTGATTTAATGATGAAATTTAGGACTGAGAAGCTTGTTTCTTGCAGATTTATCAACCTTGCTAATTGATCTTTATGTCATTCTCCTTTTGTATACTTCAGGTAAATAAATAAATATTTGATTTATTCATGGGGTGATTTTGTTTGATACATTAATCCATAGGCACAGTCAATATTTTCAAAACAGTAGTTTTACATCAAATAAAGCAGCATTAAAAAAAACAGATTTATCAATAGAATAACAACTTTTGAAAGTGGAACTTATTTTTTTAAATCAATTTTCTTAACCTAAGTTTAAATCTAAGTAACCCGCTTTTTCCAACAATAATAACAATTTATCTTTGAATACTACACAAAATCTCATGACATAATCAAAATTAACTGGGGTATATGGATGCTTCTTTCAAGAATTGGTATCAATTCTGCCTTCTGGAGCCAGTAAACTAAGCGTAACATCAATATGACAGCTGTTGGAACAATTTACGTTAACAAACTTATTCCCAGCAGCCCTTTTCCTGATTCTGGCTAAGTAGCTTTAGTTCCTGGAAATAATACTTAAGTTACGGTTTCAACTAATTCAAATCCCTGTTTTTTCTCATCTGTACTCTTAAAAGTAGGCATTTACATATGTGCATGTATGCAGAGGAAAACTAAGAGAAAGTTAAGATGGTTTGAAACAATCACATAAAAATTATTTCAAAGAATTGGGCCAGGAATGGAGGAAAAAAGTCCCACCCTTTCTTTTTAGATATATTTGTATTGATTTTACCTAAAATTCATTACTTCACACAATCTTATTTTGAGCTTGTTGGTCATTGAATTTCCCCTAGTGCTCTTGCATACATCTACAAATAAAGGCAATTCTTCCCATCTTGTTAACTTCTTCAGTTTAGATTTTAATACACTTAAAAAATTCATCTCGCTAAACTCTCAATTTTCTCCGAAATGCAGAATGTTTGGAGTTTATGATTCTATTACTCAGTGTATTAGATATCCAAGTTGTATGTCATCTATACATTGAATATATTAACCTAAGCATTTATAAAATGTGGAGTAAGAGAGAATGAAATGCAAAACATTCTGGCATATAGAAAATGATCTCTCTCCTAACTAATGGCACCTAACCTGAGGTAGCACTGCTTTCATGTAGATATTATAGCATTCTGTGGCATACATCTCAGTGAAAATCATATACATGATACATTCATTGTTTTCCAAAACCATTAATGTGATAAGTCTTTTAACACCAAGAATACGAGGTCATTCTAGCATGACTTGCCTGCTTACTCATATTACACATATGGATATTTACTAAGACTTAGCTAACTATATTTTTAATATTGCACTCTGCCAACTCTTGCCTAAAGCTCTTTGATTCAAACGTCTACCAAACCAAGGCTGCATGATTGCAGCATTCTGTGGTACATGGAGAAACTACTGTTAGCATTCACTCCTGCTTTTGGGGAGGATGCGGGTCTTTTTTGAGCCTACTGTTTTCTTACCATCCTGTCATTGATCTTTAAGCTAGTTAACTTTAAGTGAATATATTTTCTAACATATTAGGATATATAGATGATTACCATGAACCTAGTTACCTGTTATTACAACTAGGGCATAAGTTCTAATTATTTGAAATCACTGTTATTCTGAAAAAAAAATCAAAAAGCAAGTAAATTTGACTCAAAGAAGCAAGTGGAGTGAGATTTATTTTAGACCAATTATTTCTTCTTACTTTTACAAACACATTGGGGGAAAAGCATTAATCAGGAAGGAGCACAAAGGAATTTTCTATGGTACTGGAACTATCCCACAAATGTATCAGAATGGTGATTACATGGATTCACACATATGTCAAATGTATTAAACTGCACAATTTAAATTGGTGCATTTTATTCACTGAGCTGTAGGCAAGTTTTACTTTAGTTAAAAAAAAGAAGTACTCACATACAAAATAAACCAACATATCAAAACAGAAGCATCATTATTAGAGGGGAAATATAATTATCCCTTTTAGTTCCTATAAATACAATCCAGTTCCTAATAAGAAATTGGTACTGTAAGTTGAAATGTCCCAACCCACCTTTACTTTTTGCTTGATGGTTGTTTTTATTAGTTAATAATAGTTAACATAGGAATGACATATTCAGTGTGCTGAGTAAAAATAAAAGTTAAATTACATTTTAAAAATTTAAAAACTCTGTCAACTAAGAGTCTTATGTCTGGTTACACTATCTGTATTATCTTTCAAACATGACAGTGAAATGAACACCCCTCCCCGCAAAAAAGTAAACTGAGAAAAGCCATTGATAGCAGACTTACTTTGTAAGAAATACTAAAAAATATTCTTAAGAGTGAAAGCAAATGACACTCAACAGTAACTTGAATCAACAGGAATAAACAAATATTAGTAAATATGTAGCTAAGTATATAAGATAGTATAATTGTATATTTCTTTCCTTTCTTCTTTTAACTTATTAGAAGTCAGTTGTATAAAACAATGTGCAAACAATTGTAATGTTGAGTGTATAACAAATAGAAATATGATGTGTTTGACGATAGCTGCACAATGGAGGAAGATGAGAGAAACACTTATATTGGAGTAAGTCAACTGTATCAGATACCTGAGAAACAAAGAAATGAAGATAATATCTTAAAGAAGAAATAAGGAAAACTCAGAATAGTAAGTAAGAAGGTTAATATAGCAAAATCTAAAAATGTTTACTTGTTTTCTTTTTTAAAAGACATAAAATTATATAAAGTAATAACACAATAATTTATTCTTTGGTCTGTAACATATAAAGACATAATATGTATAAACAGCACCAAAAAAGGCAAAAGGATTAAAATCATGAGTGATTTTCTAGATCCTACTGAAATTAAGGTAGTATATATCTCAAATAGATTCTTATAAGTTAATTGTACATCATAAGCCCTACAGTAAACATTAAAAGGAAACCTGAAAAGTGTACTAAAAAAATCTTTAAAGAAATTAAAGTTAAACTAGGAGGTATTACATTAACGCCAAAAAAAATTAAGTAAATAGAAAACAGAAGACATAGGCCAGGCATGGTAGCTCATACTTGTAATCTGAGCACTTTGAGAAGCTGGGCAGAAGGGTCATTTGAGGTCAGGAGTTTGAGACCAGCCTGGGCAACAGGTCAAGGCCCTGTCTCTACAAAATGCTTTTAAAAGTTAGCCAGGCATAGTGGCATGTGCCTGTCGTCTCAGCTACTAAGAAGGCTAAAGCGAAGGATTGCTTGAGCCCAAGAGGTTAAGGTTGCAATGAGCCGTGATTACACCACTGTACTCCAGTCTGGGCAACAGAATCAGACCCTGTCTCTAAAAAAAATAGAAAAATGAAACAAAAATGACTTGAGACACACAGAAAACTGAAAATGGCAGACATAAAACCAGCCATGTTAATAGTTCTAGTAAACAGAAATGGATTAGCCAATCAAAAGGCTCAGATTGTCAAACTGGATTAAATGAACACAATCCAACTATATGCCATCTACATAAGAAACTTCAGATTCAGATAAAAATAAGTTGAAAGTAAAAGTCTGTAAAATGATACCAAATGCAGAGCCAGTATTAAGCGACCTGGGCTAGCCTCAACACATTTTAAAAAATTGAAATCATATAAATTATGTCTTCCTACAACAATGCAATAAAATTAGATATCAAAAAAGATAGAATTTTTGACATTTACAAATATGTGGAACTTAAACAACTTACAGCTAGGTTTGTCAATGGATCAAAGACAAAAATCACAAGGAAAATTAGAAAATACTTTGAGATAAATGAAAAATAAAGCAAACATATAAAAATTATAGGATGCAAACAAAGCAGTTCTTACAGTAATATTTACACCTACAATGCTATACTATTAAAATAGAAGAAATCTCAAATAATAACCTAAGCTACCACCTTAAGGAATAATAATATTAAAGTAAAATGTACAACGAAATAAGCCTAAAGCAAGCAGAAAGAAGGGAAAAAGAAAGATTACAGTATAAATAAATGAAATAGAGAATAGAAATCAATAGATAAAATCAACAAAACAAAAGTTAATTCTTTGAAGATATCAACAAACTCAACTAAACTTTAGGTAGACTGACCAAGAAAATACGGAAAATACCACCAAAATCAGGAATGAAAGAGGGGAACATAACTACTGACTTTACAGCAACTTTAAAAAGACAAAAAAAGAATTGTAAAGGAGTAATACAAACAATCAAGTATTACAAATTAGATTACTTAAATGAAACAAAAAAATTTTTTTGAGAGATTCAACTGATGAAAAGTCTCAAAGAAATAGAAAAACCACATAGAAATATAAAAGTAAAGAAATTAAATCAGTGGTTTTAAAACTTCCTAAGGAAAAGTCCAGATCCAGATTACTTATCTGGTGAATTCTACCAATTATTAAAAAAATTAATACAAATCTTGCACAAACTCTTCCAAAAAACTATAACAAGAGAGAACATTCTGCTATGGTTTGAATGTCTGTGCTCCCTTCAAAATTCATGTTGAAATATAATCATCAACGCAATAGTATTAAAAGGTGGGACCTTTTGGAGGTGATTAGTCCAAAAGGGCTCTGCTCTCATGATTGGTGACCTTATTAAAAGGGCTGGAGGGAATTAGCTTGGGTCCTTTGGGCCCTTCCATCCCTCTTGCCCTTTTGTCCCTTCTGTCACGTGAGACAGAAGGGACACACAAGATGTCAATGTGTCATCTTGGAAGCAGAGACCAGGCCTTTACTGGACATTGAGCCTGCTAGCAGCTTGATTTTGGGCTTCTGAGCCTCCAGAATTGTAAGAAATAAATTTCTATTATTTATAAATTGCCCAGTCTAAGGTATTTTGTTACAGCAGCAGGAATAGATAATCACAATTTCCCAACTCATTTCTTGAAGCCAACAACACACTGATAATAATATAATACTATGTTAAAAAATTACAAGAAAAGAAAACTACAGGCTCTTATTACTATAGATATAAAAATTGTCAATAAAATATTAGCAAATTGAATCAAACAATACACAAAAAGTATTACACAATGATCAAATAGAATGTATCTCAGAAATGCAAAATTGGTTGAACATCCAAAAATATATTAATTTAATATACCATATCAATAAAATAAAACATCAAAACAATATGATCTTCCCAACTGACATATAAAAACACTCTTCTATGCTGAAAACAGTCAACAAATGATTAAGGTAAGGGAACTTTTTCAATCTGATACAGAACATCTACAAAAAAACACATTTGGTGTTATACTTGGTATAACAGACTTGAGGCTTTCCCTATAAGATCAGGAACAAGACAAGGATATCTACTCTCAGAGAAGTATTTGAACAAATGATTCTTGAACAACTGGATATTCATATACAAAACATAAAGTTAAACCTCTTGCTACACCATATACAATTTAAATCAAAAAAATCAACAACCTAAAGTAACAGAAAAACAATAAAACTTTTAAGTGAAAAATGACCATAAATCTTCATAATCTGTTTTAGAAATAGTTTCTTTAGATATTACACTAATCGCACAAATAATCAAAGAAAAAACAGATAAATTGAACTTCCTCAAAATTAAAAACATTTTTGCTTAACATAATACTATCAAAAAAGTGAAAGGATAACCCATAATGTGAGAAAATTTTTGCATATCATATATCTGATGGAGGACTTGAAAGAAGAATATATAAAGAACTCCTACAATTCATTATTTAAAAGATACATTACCCCATTAAAATATGGGCAAAAGATCTGAAAAGACATTTCTCCCAAGAAGACATAAAAGACACAAATTGAAAAAAGGCCATGAATGATTATCAAGAACATAGTTATTAAAGAAACACAAATGAAAACCATAATAAGATATCATTTCATGCCCACTAGGATAGCTATAATAAAAAAGACAGACAATAACAAGTATTGATAAGGATGGAGAAAAATCAGACCTAGCTACCTTGCTAATGAGAATGTAAAATGGTGTAGCCACTTTGGTAAACAGTTTGGCAATGCCTCAAAATGTTAAATCCCAGCAAGTTATTTCCAGGATATCAACAAAGTTATTCTAAGGTTTATATGGAGAGGGAAAAGAAACAGAAAAGCCAACACAATATTGAAAGAGAAGAACAAATTTGGACTGACATTACTTGACTTCAAGACTTAGTATAAAGCTGCAGTAATCAAGAGTGTGTTGTTAACTAAAGAAAAGACAAACAGATCAAGGGAACAGAATGGACAGCCCAGATGTAGACTCACATAAATGCAGTAAACTGATCTTTGACAAGGCAGCAAGAGAGTACAAAGGAGCAAAGGATCTTCTTTATAACAGTGATGCTGGAACTGGACATCCACAAGCAAAAAATAAGAAGAAGAGAAAAATTTTTAAATAAAAACAGACAGAATTTGTACTCTTCTCAAAAATTAACTCAAAATAAATTTTATGAAAAAATGTAAAACACAAAACCATAAAACTCATAGAATAAAACTTAAAATAAAATCTAGATGATGTTGGGTATGAGAATTTTTTAGATACAACACCAAAGATATGATTTATGAAAGAAAGGATTAATAAACTGAACTTTTTTCAAACTAAAGACTTAAAGACTTCTACTCTGCCCAAGATACTGTCAAAACAATGAAAAGGTTTTCTTCCAGGGTTTTTATGGTTTTGGGTTTCACACTTAAGTCTCTAATCCATCTTGAGTTAATTTTTGTATAAGGTGCAACGAAGAGGTCCAGATTCTGTTTTCTGCATATGGCTAGCTAGTTCTCCCAGCACCATTTATTAAATAGGGAATCCTTTCCCCATTGCTTATTTTTGTCAGGTTTGTCGAAGATCAAATGGTTGTAGATGTGTGATGTTATTTCCAAGGTCTCTGTTTTGTTCCATTGGTCTATGTGTCTGCTTTGGTACCAGTACCATGCTGCTTTGGTTACTGTAGCCTTGCAGTATATTTTGAAGTCAGGTAGCATGCTGCCTCCAGCTTTGTTCTTTTTGCTTAGAATTGTCTTGGCTTTACGGGCTCTTTTTTGGTTCCATATAAAATTTAAAGTAGTTTTTTCTAATTCTGTGAAGAATGTCTGTGGTAGTTTGGTGGGAATATCATTGAATCTATAAATTACCTTGGGCAGTATGGCCATTTTTATAATACTGACTCTTCCTATCCACGAGCATGGAATGTTTTTCATTTGTTTGTGTCCTCTCTTATTTCCTTGAGCAGTGCTTTGTAGTTCTCCTTGAAGAAGTCCTTCACATCCCTTGTAGGCTGTATTCCTAGGTATTTTATTCTCTTCATAGCAATTGTGAATGGGAATTTATTCATGATTTTGTTCTCTGCTTGTCTGTTATTGGTGTATATGAATGCTTGTGATTTTTGCACATTGATTTTTGGGCTCATTAAGGAGTTTTTAGGCTGAGACAATGGGGTTTTCTAAATATAGAATCATGTTGTCTGCAAACAGAGACAATTTTATTTCCTCTATTCCTATTTGAATATCCTTTATTTCTTTCTCTTGCCTGATTGCCCTGGCCAAAACTTCCAATACTTAGTTGAATAGGAGTGGTGAGAGAGGAAATACTTGTCTTGTGCCGGTTTTCAAAGTGAATGCTTCCAGCTTTTGCCCATTCAGTATGATATTGGCTGTGGGTTTGTCATAAATAACTCTTATTATTTTGAGACACATCCATCAATACCTAGTTTATTGAGAGTTTTTAACATGAAGGGATGTTGAATTTTATCAAAGGCCTTTTCTGCATCTATTGAGATAATCATATGATTTTTGTCATTGGTTCTGTTTATGTGACGGATTACATTTATTGATTTGTATATGTTGAACTAGCCTTGTATCCCAGGGATGAAGCCAACTTGATTGTGATGGATAAGCTTTTTGATGTGCTGCTGGATTCAGTTTGCCAGTATGATATTGAGGATTTTTGCATTGATGTTCATCAGGGATATTGACCTGAGGTTTTCTTTTTTTGTTGTGTCTCTGCCAGATTTTGGTATCGGGATGATTCTGGCCTCAGAAAACACAAACCATAAAAATCCTAAAAGAAAACCTAAGCAATACCATTCAGAGCATAGGTATGGGCAAAGACTTCATGATGAAAATGCTAAAAGCAATTGCAACAAAAGCCAAAATTGACAAATGGGATCTAATTAAACTAAAGAGCTTCTGCACAGCAAAGTAAACTATCCTCAGAGTGAACAGGCAACCTACAGAATGGGAGACAATATTTGCAATCTACCCATCTGATAAAGGTCTAATATCCATAATCTAAAAGGAACTTAAACAAATTTACAAGAACGAAACAAACAATCCCATTCAAAAAGTGGGCAAAGGATATGAACAGACACTTCTCAAAAGAAGACATTATGTGGCCAACAAACATATGAAAAAAAGCTCAACATCACTTGTCATTAGAGAAATGCAAATCAAAACCACAATGAGATACCATCTCACACCATTCAGAATGGCGATTATTAAAAAGTCAAGAAACTATAGATGCTGGTGAGGCTGTGGAGATAGTGGAATGCTTTTACACTCTTGGTGGGAATGTAAATTTGTTCTACCATTGTAGAAGACAGTGTGGTGATTCCTCAAGGATCTAGTACCAGAAATACCATTTGACCCAGCAATCCCATTACTGGGTATATACCCAAAGGAGCATAAATCATTCTACTATAAAGACACATGCAGACATATGTCTATTGCAGCACCATTCACAATAGCAAAGATATGGAACCAACCCAAATGCCCATCAATGATAGACTGGATAAAGAAAATGTGGTACATATACACCATGGAATACTATGCAGCCATAAAAAAGAATGAGATCATGTCCTTTTCAGGGACATGAATGAAGCTGGAAGCCATCATCCTCAGCAAACTAACACAGGAACAGAAAACCAAACACCGCATGCTCTCACTCATCAGTGGGAGTTAAACAATGAGAACACATGGACACAGGGAGGGGAACAACACACACTAGTGCCAGTCAGGGGATGGGGGGAAGGGGAGGGAGAGCATTAGGACAAATAGCTAATGCATGTGGGGCTTAAAACCTAGATAGTGGGTTGATAGGTGCAGCAATCCACCATGGCACACGTATACCTATGTAACAAACCTACATGTTCTGCACTTGTATCCTGGAACTTAAAAATAAATGAATAAAATTTTTTAAAAAATGAAAAGATAAGCCACAGACCAAAAGAAAATACTTAACAAAAGACATATCAGATAAAGGACTGTAATCCAAAATAGATAAATAACTCTTAAAGCTCAACAATAAGAAAATGAATTACCTGATTAAAAAATGGGCCAAAGATCTGAACAGATACCTTGTTAAGAAGATATACAAATGGAAAATAACCTTATTAAAATATGATCAATATCATATGTCATTAGGTAATTTCACATTAAAACATGCTATTACAGAAAAACCAATTACTATATGTTCTCACTTATAAGTGGGAGTTAAGTTATGAGTATACAAAGGCGCACAGAGTGATATAATGGACTTTGGAGACTCAGAAGGGGAAGAATAGGAGGGGTTTTGGAATAAAAAACTACATATTGGGTAAAGAGTGCACTACTTGGGTGATTGATGAGTGTAATAAAATCTCAGAATTCACCACTATATAAATTCATCCATGTGACCAAAAATCACTTGTACTCCAAAAGCTATTGAAATTTAAAATTTTCTTTGAAAACATTTACACACCAATTAGAAATGTCAAAATCCAAAATATGAACAACACCAAATGCTGATAAAGATGTGGAGCAATAGGACTTTCATTCTTTGCTGATTGAAATGCAAAATGGCACAGCCACTTGGAAAACATGTTGACAGTTTCTTAGAAAACTAAACACATTCTTACCATATAATCCAGTAATCCCACTTCTTGGTCTTTATCCAAATGAGTCGACAACTTATGTCCACACAAAAGCCTGCTCATGAATGTTTACAGCAGCTTTATTCATAATTGCCAAACCTTGGAAGAAACCAAGATGTCTTTCAGTAGGTGAATGGATAAACTGTGGTACATTCAGACAATGGAACATTCTTCATCACTAAAATGAAATGGGCTATCAAGCTATGAAAAGGCATGGAAGACCCTTAAAATGCGTAGTTTAAATAATTAAATAAATAAAAGATTTAAATAAAATACAAGATTTAAATAAAAAGTGTGCATATTAAAAATACATGAGCTGCAAAAAATATATTCTTGAGGCACAAAACTATAAAATATCACATAATCACTTTTTTAAATAATTATGGGGCCCTTTTCTTATAGATGTTTGTAATGTGTTTGCTTACATGCCTTTAATGGATATGTGCTCTGAATTTATATATTCATTGTCTAATTATTTTAAAAGTTAATATTAAATGCCTATACATTATAAATTAATAAATCAAGAACTTATTGCTTGTCAGCTAATGTGCTAGATACTGGAGAATAAAGATATTAGTAAAAGCTTCAACTGCCTCAAAGGATTTTATATTTACAATACAGGCTAAGCTCAAATATAGAGAAAAAGTGTATGATGGCAAGGCTTAGAAATCTCTAGAACTACATCTGATAGAACAGAAAGGGAACAAATTGACAAGACAAAGGTGGATATTAAGATACTTTTTCTGATTGAGCATTGGTAGTGGTAATTCAAACATGAAGTGATTTCTACATGTATTCTACATGCATTATATCATTAGAACCTCTTATCACACTTTAGTTGCAGCTTAGATTGTTAACCTTGTTTGAAAACGAAGAATAGAAACATAAGAAGAATCATATTATTCTCCAAAGTTACCTAGAGATAGTAAAATTCTGGGGCTAGGACTTAGAGGCCTCAAATCTGACTTCATGGAGCTGTTTCTCCACACAAGCTTTACCTAGACTAATGAGTAGTACAATCGGTTCTATACTCTCTTAAAACCTTAGTCCTTCAACAGCTGGAAACACACTGCTTTGCAAATCACTTAAATATCTAGTTAAATTAGTTTTTTTTTTCTTTTTATGCAAACAATGACCCCTGAAAGGAAAAAAAAAAACACCCTGGTACTTCTATGGGATCAAAAAATAGATATTATATAATAAAATACAACAGATGATATAATTTCTGTGATTTCACATCATACAAAGTTGAAACATATATGAAAAATATATTAAAACCATGTGATTGAACATTCACATAAAGTACAAAAGACCAAAGTTTAGAAAATAAACTGCAAAATCCTCTGTTTCTGCTCATATATCTAAGCCTTTTCTCTTGGTCATAAACACTACATAGATAGAGAAAGCAGCTTTGCTCTTAATAATACCTGAGCATTGAAGACCGTTTTCCCCAAAATAGCTTCTACCATACACGCATTCATTCTTTCACTCATTCACTCACTCAATATCAATTTAATACCTAGAATGTTTCAGATATTGAAAGAACAATAACTTAAGATCAATGATTTATAATTGAGAAAGGAAATGTCAAATATCGGTGATGGAGGTTATTCTTACCTAATTTCTATTTTTTAATTTATATACCATTAATACTTTATGAAACACATGAAATAGAAGAGTCTATAACTTTTATTTGTGTATTTCTAACATCTGTCAGTTTCTGGCCCACTTGTTTGTCTAATAAGTGTTTGACTAATGATCAAATGGAAAATAGAATCTGGTGAAGGTGTCCAAACGCAGAAAGGAAGGTGTTTACAGGGAGGACAATATGAGAGCCCAGCACTTTACCTCCTGACCACACAGTAGCAGGTGTTTCCTTAAGGCCTCACACCACCACTAGAGAGCAACAGTTCACAAGCGAACTGAAGGTCTACGTGCAAGAGCCCTTGCAGGAATGCAGAAGAACAGGAAGGCTGTGAGGTGTAGGCCTTGTGTCAGAAATTGGTCTGAGGAGCTCATTTACTCCAAGGCAGTTATTTGAAACACAAAATCAAGTGATGTGCTTTAATTCGCTGGCCCTGTGCCCTCTATTATTTAACCCGATTCTTTCTTCGAGTCATACAAAACAATTACTCTAATTATTTTTTTAAAATATTTTTAAGCATCTGTCCTGATCTGGTCATTGTGCTCAGTATTGCCACACTGCCTATTATTATGTGCCTGCATTCACCATCTGTTATACAGCAGGAATAATGAATAGTTTCATCTTTTAAATTTTAGTTTTTAGGATTATCTCCCCCTCCAAAAACATTGAAATGATTACAATTATATAAATTAAAGTAATTTTGATTTAGGATATCCCCCTACTATTAAATACCAAATAAGACAACTGAATATGCATTTCAAGTTTATGAATGCAAATAAACATATATGTTAATGATTAGGAACCCTCTTGTATTAGAGTCAATTGCCCTCAAGCTGGTAAAGAAATTAGAGTTTCTTTTTCCCAGCTTTATTATATAAAAAGTTTATATGCCACAAATAGGCTAATTTGATTGCTTTATAAACATATTGCCTCTTTAAAATACAAAGTAAAATAACTTGCAAAAGGAACTTGAAATCTGTCAATGTCAATCTGTTCTAGCACAATCTATCCCAAATCTTCAATAGGCCTGAAAACTCCAACATTACTGTAAATTCATTTATTTTCTTTCTTTCTTTAAGGAATAAAAAAGAGAGTTAGTAACTTACTCTGTTAGGCATTGCGCCAAAGTAAGTTCCACTAAAATTTGTGTAAACGTTCAATGTGGTGTTTATTTTTTTTTTCTGAGAATTCCTTGTCCTAAATGATGCTTACTTCCTGTTTAACATTTACGAAGAAAACAATATGCAACACATACTTTAGCTGAAGTTATAATGGAGTTATCATTACAGTTCATTACAGCCAGTCCTTGTTACCCAAGATTAGATGCATAAAAGGCTGATCGCCGGCCCCTGCCTTTTGAAAGCTACCTAATTGTAAACGACAGCATGTATTAGATTGGTGCAAAAGTCATTGCAGTTTTTGCCATAATTTCAACAGCAAAATGAATATGCCTGCTCCCCCCAAAAATGTGGTTGGAATACTCGTAAAAAAGAAGAAAAAAAATTATTCACAGAGGTCTAAAATCCTGAAACCAGCTCAAAGAGTATCTGAATGTTTATATTGTTTTGAATTGAATAAAATGAGCAGTGAAAAAAAACAGACAGAAGTATGTCTGTTTCCAATTTATTCTGTGTCCTGGAAATAAATTTTTTCTCATTTTTTCTTTAAAATGAAATTCACACACACACACACACTTATGGGAAGAAATTAACAAAAGATCTCTAACCAGAGAGTATAAAATTTCAGGCAGTCTCATGAAAATAATTCACCATAAATCCTCCACTATCAAATGATTACATAGGAAACTGCATATTATAGTTACAATTATGAGTACTTTAAAGAAAACACCTAAGAAAGTTAATATGAAACACAAAACAACCCTTATGTGTAATTCACATGAAGAGATTGATAGTGGTAGAGTCAGCGGCAGCATTAGAAGTGGTAAAGATGGTGATGTTGATATCACTAGTATTATCGATACTACTTCTCTAGCAACCAAAGGAAGGAAGTGTATAAAGGAAAAGTAAAGATCAATTACGTCAAATTTTTCTGAGAAGCCCGGTAAGAAGAAAACCGAAAATTAAATATATAATATAGCAACATATCAGTAATTATTTAATACCTTGACAAAATCAGAACAAAAATTATTCTGAGAGTT
This sequence comes from Homo sapiens, assembly GCF_000001405.40. Taxonomy (NCBI): domain Eukaryota; kingdom Metazoa; phylum Chordata; class Mammalia; order Primates; family Hominidae; genus Homo; species Homo sapiens. The sequence goes on along the minus strand of NC_000012.12, from coordinate 9,796,312 downwards.
ATCCAGAAGAATAATTACAGCAGAAAAGCCAAGATGGTTTTTCCTCCTAAAGGAAGAAAATGGTGGGGTCTTTAAATGACAGATATTAAATAATGACAATCAAAACAACAATGGTAGTGTCTTCCCAGACAAATTCAATCACCATTCAGATCTCAGCTCAATTTTTAATTTGTGGATAATCAGAAGGGATGTGGACTGACACTGTCAATCATGTGGTTCTTCCTAAAACCCATGTAAAAGCCAATGCGTTCGTCCTCACAGTATTCCAGTGGTTGACATACTCCCCCTCCTTGATTTCCACCATTCTCCTGTAGAAAATATATGAAAAGTGTTGAGGATGTAAACTTAAATCATGATAAATGTTTGGTGGTTAACTGATGCAACAAGAGGAATCAATACAAGACACGCTATTTGAAAAAGTTCTATTTCTCAGGCTAGACCTCCTGGCCAGGATGCTGCCAATATCACCTGCCCAGAAAAAAAGAGCTGGAGATTTTTCAGCGAGCTCAGGCTGAGTATATATTGGACCACTGGAAATGAAATTTTGAGAGGTACAGAGTCACGGTACCTTTCAAAGCAGGGTAAAACCAAAGAGAATATATGGTACACGAAGGTAAGAAGGCTTCTGCTTCTTACTTCTTGGACTTGCTATCTGCATATCACGTCTGCAGTGCCTTTTTCTCTCAGGAGCACTACCATACTTACAAATGAGAAATCTAGAAGAAATCTGGATTATTCAGAGAAGTCCTCTCTGATCACATCTTTTAATATAATCATCCTCGATCTACCCACTCTCGCTCACTATCATATGTACACATCGATGTCTGTATTAATTAAACAAATACTTATTGAACATCTGCTATCACCTGGCAATGTTCTCGGCACTAGGTATATAGCAATTAGTACAAGAAAACTGATGCCCTTATGCTGCTTACATTCAAATGAAGGGAGATAGGCAGCAAACAGAACAATCTTATACTAATAATTCGGCTGGAGGAAAAGTGCCTTGAAGAAACAAAGCAGGGTCCAGGCATAAATATGGGGGTCCAGGGAGTTCTTTACCATTGCTTCAAGACAGAAGCAGAAAGATCACAATTAAAACACTGTTAACGATAGCAGGCAATTGTTGGTGTTAGCGTGAAATGTGAAATACAGTGGTCGCAGTGGACGTATGATTCTGTGTGCATTGCTCACTGAGGGTTAGATGTTGTGTTTAGGAGAGAGAGGACAAAGTTGTCTCAGGAGTTTTTGATATGTGTGAATGTGATAAAACTACCATTGAGATATGAAAAGCTGGAGAATAAGCTGGTATGAAAGGCAAAATGAGAAGATGAGCTTTTAACATTTTAAATTCAAAATGTCAATTTGACACTGAAGTAGAGAGTGTGACTAAGCGGTTGCCAGACAAATATGGAATGCAAAAAGGAGGTCAAAGCTGAAAAACAGGTCGTAAGAATATGGAAGGCATTAATGCTATGGGCTGGATGAGATAATCTAGGAAGCTTGTGCAGATAAAGTAGAAGAAAACAAAGGGGTGAAAAGGGCTTCTTCAGAGAAATGACTAGTGACATAGAAGAAAAGTTTCATGCAAGCCAAACTGAGAGAGAGAAACAGAAAGAGAAAGAAATGGAAATCAAGATGAAAACAGAGAACCAGTCATTAGTTTTGTAAAATGAAGGTCATTGGTGGTCTTGACAGGAATAGTTTAGGGTGCAGTACTAACTACAAAAGCCTGTTTCAAGTGGGTTATGTTTTTTAAATGAGACATTTCAGCATGATTTTTTATTTCCCCAGCTAAATACACCTATTAAGGTGCAGGTGTAGTGTAATCAGAAAAGTAGATTTAATTGCTGGGGAATTATATAAGCCAAATTATATTAGTCAAATCACACAGCTGTGACAAGAGACAGTAATTTCATCATTGTCATGATACAAAGGTGATTCCGCTGTTACTAACAGGATTTTACAATCCCAGCCCACTTAGTGCTCATATAAACACAGATATTTTAAGAAAAACAATTTGTTGCTTCACTGAAATTCAAGGTACGTTGGGTTCTATATTTATTCTTCTTATTAATGTTCTCATTTTATCTTCTTTTAAATTAATTCAATTATTTGCTAGTTTGACATATTTTGTATTAGGCTTTTCTTATACTAAAAAGTGTAACAAACTATGACAATAACCTTGAATGAAATTGTAAACCGCCAATACCTCCAAAAATACCCTTGAAATTTGTAACTTCTTGTTTCTAAGAAAAGAAGTTAAATTGACTTCCTATAAATTACATAGTTTTGTGGTGAAATGAAGAGAAACGTGTATAGGAAACAGATGCGTAGGAGTTACTTCCTTATTTGGTTGCAAATGAATTCTGAAGTTTCGAAGAAAGGTAGAAGGTGAGTTTTCCTAAAACCAGGACATTCAAAAACCGTTCCAACATCCAAAGCAAGACTGAGAAGTATATTTCCTACAACTGGTTTATCACACGGCTCCTTAGCCCCTTTATTAGAACTTTTCCTTTTATCACCTTGTGTAATTGTGTAATCATATTATTTTATGATCACTTTTTTTGCAGGTAAAATGCTTTATTTATAAGGCTTATATGTATAAAATTCAACTGTAGACACACAGGTCGGAGACTATGTTAATTCATTTTTTATCTCCCATGGTTCTTACTTTCCTGATATTCATCGTGAAGCATGGGGCAATAGTACTTTTTAGTATTAACATGTAGGTAAACAAAGATATTTCCTATTTTATGCATCAATTTAATATTTGATATGTTCTGCTGTACTTCTGGATACAAAGTGCTCCTTGATTTTATCATTCAATTCCATTTGACTCAGTACACCTATGACTCAAACCAACCATGTGGTCAATGGAAAAAACACAGAGATACGGCCTTAGCCACTATAGTCAAAGGTATACATTTTGTCTTTACAGCCACTTTCCTGTCTATTTCTTTGGAAAAAATCATTTGCCTACATAATATGGTCCTGGGAGGTTTTCAGTCAGAATATACCATCCTCCTGGTTGAAATGATTACTTTAAAAATGGCAGATGAAGCTTCCAATGCAATAAAATATTGATCTACATACTCTGATGACAGTAAATAGAACTATGTTTGCTTTTTATCTGTATGACTCATGTTTATGGTTTCCTACAAAATGTTCATTTCTGTGTGTTTATCAGAGAGTCAAAACATTCCTTATGATTATCCCCCAAAAAATGCCAGATGCAAGGAGTTGGAGGAGCAGATCTTGTTGAGATACAGGCTGCAGAGAAATTCCGTTTGCTCATTCTTTTGTAGTATTGATTGGTATGGCTCTTAGGGAGTAAAATGATATGTATCATCCAAAAAATAAATACATCAAGAATGATATCCCAATTTTTTGCTAGGATTTGTCCCCAAATTTCTTCAGGCTGTGTTACAGGTCAGGTTCCTCAAAAACAGACTCTCAGATGAAGGATTACATAAAGGATGTTAAGTACCTGTGGATGAGAAAGAAAGGATTGGGCAAAGGCAGATATTGAATTGTGATGCAGTAACACAAAGGCTTCAGCTAACAGTATAGGGAGCTCTGGAGGTGAGTGCCCTTTCAAGTTTATCTTGATATAAGGCAACAAGTCCAAGCTTTTATACTCCCACACGAACCAGCCGTTTGATACATCTGGCACTGGGAGAAAGTGTGACTTTGAGAAGGCACTTCTGTTTAGCTGAGAGCCATACAAGGAAGATTCAGTTGAAAGCTTCTGACTCCCAGGTGCTGAGACAATGAGGCTTCAGTCCAAAGTGGAGACACACCATTGCACCCATTGTAAATGGAAAACCAGTTTTTAAATCAAAAGATAAGGAAGACATATATATATATATACACACACACACACACATATATATACATATATACACACATATATGCAGATAGATAGATAGATAGATGGATAGATAGATAGATAGATAGATAGATAGATAGATAGATAGATAAATTTTCCTGATCAGACTCCTTTGCTTAGGGCTAGCAGCATATATCCAAAAGTCCATTAAAATATCCAACTCAATCTCCCACATATTCCAGAAACAAAAGTGATCATTTTGATTCTTTTCTAAATCTAATTTTACCCCCTAATTTCTGACTCATTTGAAAGAATACTGCCCACAGTTTTAGGAATCAAAGCATGAAGGCCATCCTTGACTCTCTGTCTGCATTTTTTTCTGATTAAATGACCCTACCTAATAAATCATAGACTGTAATGACTAGTAATGTCTTTAATTCAACAACTTTCCATCATCTCTACTTCCACTGCATTGGTCTTAAAGGCAGTCATCTCTCTATGGTATCCCTTTATTCCAGTTCATCTTGCACCTGTTAGACTGAGTAACTTCCAAAAATTGCACCTGTTAACTTCCAAAAATTAATATCTAATTGCAATTTGTCCCAAATTTATAAGAATTTATTACTTTCTTTCTGCACTTAGAATAATTCCAGACTATTTAACAGCATTGATTTCACCCTGTAATCTGGCTTTGTCTCTTGTTCCATTCTTCAGTCTCACTGTAGTGGACCATTCTTTCTCCCATCTCTAAGACTTGTACATTTTACCCTTGTCTACAAAGTTGTTGTTGTTGTTGTTTTTCCTCTGCCTTATTCACCTGGAAAACTGTCTCATCTTTCACTTCTCAGATTAAATATTTACATAATTTTATAGAATGCCACCTTGAGAATAAATTCTCCAAGATGTGTTCTACATGCCCTCATAATTACCTGCTTAATTGTCTTGCCAGACATGAGCAGAAACAGTGGAATAAAGACCTACAAAAAGCTATTCCTTCATAAAATCAACAAGAACATTGACAAAAACTGTCAAAACAAACTTCCTCAGAATACTGTGAATTAACCAAAGACTTGCAAAAATCTGGCAAGCATTTACTCAAGAAAATAGGTGAATTTAATTGAAAACAGTGACCTTTGTGGAGATTTAACTTGCTCTATTCCTATTCCGTATTCCTCAGCTTCACAGTAGCCTTGAAAAACTATAGTAGGTCTTACAACTATAGTAGCAGTAGTGAACTGTAGCCCAACAGGTCTCAGAGGGGCCATAAAGGGTTTAGAAGTCCCAAAAATTATTCTTAGAGTACTGTCATTATTCAAACTATCAAACATGATCTTGGAAATTCCCACCTACGACTTTAGTTGATCTCAAACAGAGCTCGCTCAGTGCAAATGACTTTTTCCCTAGGGGTATTTGACAAAAACAATCAGCACCTATTGCTGTACATTGCAGCTGCTTAATATGGAATAACAGCTGGGGCAAAGGAAAAGCTGACCAAAAAACTTAAGAGGGAAACTTAAGGGATGGGCTGCCTATAGTAGTTCATTGAAATGATACAAAATATTGATACAGCTTCAATGAATGGAGGAACACCAGAGTCCTTTGTCTCACGCCAATTTAGATAAGACAACATGGACACACATGGAGTGGTTTTAAGGAACAGAGAGTTTAATAGGCAAGAAAGAAAGAAGAAGCTCCCAGCTACAGAGACGGGGGGTCGGTGAGGGGTGGGGGTGGCTCCAAGCAGAGAGAGGAAACCCCAAGTATGGTGGAAACAATCTGTTATATTAGAAGGCTGGAGGAGGTGGTGTCTGATTTTTATAGGCCCAGGGGATTGGTTTGACTTAGTATGTCATTCACATAGCCTGCAAAAAAACTGGCTCTCCCACCCTAGTCTTTTAATATGCAAATGCAGGCCGCCATGATTTTCTGCACAGTGGAGACCTCTGGGGGTGCCATGATGCTTGGCACATGTGGTGACAAGGAGAAGAAGGTGGGACTTGCCATATTGGATGGACCCAGCTTCTAATAGCCAGCATTTGCATATCAAAGCTTGCTGGCTTGGCCCTTCAAGCCATTTTTTTGCTAAAAAAGAAATGTTTCTGGAGCTGCTTTTATTTAAAGAAAAAAACCTTACCAAGGACCACTTATCCTATCTGCCTGAAATAATTTCTTAATAATTTCTATAATAATATGATCATCAATATCATGAAAATGACCACACTGCCCAAAGCAATCTACTGATTCAATGCAATTCCCATGAAAATATCAACATCATTTTTCACAGAACTACAGAAAACAATTCTAAAATTCATATGGAACCAAAAAAAGAGCCTGAATAGCCAAAGCAATCCTAAGTAAAAAGAACAAATCTGGAGGCATCACATTACCTGACTTCAAATTATACTACAAGGCTATCATAAACAAAACAGCATGGTACTGGTATAAAATTAAATACGTAAGCCAATGGAACAGGATAGATAGATAACCCAGAAATTAAGCCAAATACTTATAACCAACTGATCTTTGACAAAATGTACGTAGATTGGGGAAATAATTCAATAAATGGTGCTGGAAAAACTGGACAGCCACATGTAGAAGAAAGAAACTGTATCCCTATGCCTCACTATATACAAAAATCAACTCAAGATGGATTAAAGACTTAAATCTGAGGCTTGATACCATAAAAATTCTAGAAGAAAACCTAAAGAAAAACTCTTCTGAACATTGGGTTAGGCAAAGAGCTTATGATTAATACTCCAAAAGAAAAGGTAACAAAACAAAAATAAATAAATGGGACCTAATTAAATGAAAAAGCTTCTGCACACCAAAAGACATAATCAGAGTAAACAGATAACCCACAGAATTGGAGAAAATATTTGCAAACTAAGCATCTAACAAAAGACTAATATCCAGAGTTTATAAAGAACTCAAACAAATCAGCAAGAAAACAAATAATTCCATCAAAAAGTGAGCAAATTGTATAAATAGACACTTCTCAAAAGAAGATATACAAATGGCCAACAAACATGAAAAATGCTCAATATCACTAATAATCAGGGAAATGCAAATTACAATCACAATGAGATACAATCTAACTCCTGCAAGAATGGCTGTAATTACAAAACTGGAAAACTCTGGATGTTGACATAGATATGCTACAAAGGAAACACTTATACACTCCTTGTGAAAATGTAAATTAATAAAAACCCTATGGAGAATAGTACAGAGATTTCTCGAAGAACTAAAGTAGACCTGCCATTTGATCTAGCAATCCTATTACCAGAATTAACAATCCAAGTTAAATATAAATTAAAAGAATTTGTTATTAGCAGATTTGTCTTACAATAAATGCTACAGAGAGTCCGTCAGACTGAAATAAAAGGACAACTAGGAAGTAACTTGAATCCACATGAAAACATAGAGATCATTGGTAAAGGTAACTATATGAGTAAATATAAAAGACAATATTAATGTATTTTTGTTTAATAATTATATTTTTTTGCTAACTTATTAAAATAAAATTGCATAAAGCAATAATTGTAAATGTGTATAGATGCATACTTTATAGACTTGCATAGATATTTAATGTATAAAGCTGTAATTTATATGGCAACAATAAAGACAGTGGGAGGGTCCAGAGCTATCCAAGAGTAAAGTTTGGAGATACTGTTAAAATTAAGATTGTATTAATCTTACCTAGATTGTTATGAATTAGAATGTTAATGGTAATCCCCCAGAAAAACCACTAAAGAAATAGCTGAGAAAATGTATTAAAATAAAACAATATAGTTAAATTGGAGAAAATATCTATTTAACACAAAAGAATATAGTAATGGAATGATAAAGAAATAAGAAGACATAAGACATATAGAAAACAACAAAAGTCGGATTTAAACTCTAACAAATCAGTTATTACATTAAATTTAGATGGATTCAACATCGTGATCTAAAGGTAGATATTGGTGGAGGCTGGGAGCACTGGCTCATGCCTGTAATCTTAGCACTTGGAAGGTTGAGGTGAAAGAATCACATGAGGCCAGGAGACCAGTCTGGGCAACATAGTGAAACCCATCTCTACGAAACCCTTTGTTGAAAAATTAGCCAGGGGTGGTGGTGCACACCTGTAGGATTAGGCAGGAGGATCACTTGAGCCCACAAGTTCAAGGCCACAGTGAGCTATGATCATGCCACTGCACCCCAGCATGGGAGACAGAGTGAGACACTGCTTCCGGAAAAAAAAAAAAGGCAGATATTAGAAAAATTGACACAAAATGGGATCCAACTAAGTGCTGTATACATGAGACACATCAAGGTTTAAAACACACAAATAGTTAGAAAATAAAAGAATAAAAAAGGTATACCATGAATACAGTTATGAAAAGACAAAATAGGCTTCGAGATAAAAATTATTTCTAGAAACAAAAAAGGGCATTTTACAATTATGAAAAGGCTAATCTGTCATAAAGACATGACAATCTTAAACCTATATGCACCTAAAAATATACCCCAAAATTTATAAAGCAAAAACAGAATTAAAGGGGAAAAAAAGACAATTAAGCAATAGTAGTTGGAGATTTTTGTATCCACTTTCAATAATGAACTGAACGAAACAGAAGATTGTAAATTGTAAACCAAAACCAAAAATGACTGAGGAAATTCTCAATAGTTTTACGGTTTATTTTGCCAAGGTTGAGGATGCACATGGGGGGGGAAAAAAAAAAAACAAACAAGTAAGTTACAGTACAATCTGAGACTTACACTTTATCCAAAGAAGGTTTTGAGGACTTCAATATTTAAAGACAAGAGAGTGAGCAGGAAGAGAAAGAAGAAAGAAAAGAAAAGCCCTGCTCACTCTTTTGTCTTTAAATATTAATATTCTCAAAACCTTCTTTGGAAAGTGGTTACATTCTTGTGTAACCACAAGGCAAGTGGTTACATTCTTATGAGGCTTTGATTCACACTCACTGAATCTACATTTTACATGTAAAAAGAAGGAGTGGAGAAACGGCCGATTATGCATTCGGATTGTACTCCGTAAATTTACATTTTACATAATATAAAGTCAGCATGTGAAATTGCATCTCTTTGGTAACAACAACAACAAAAAAATCAGTTTTTGCATGACCTAGTTCCCAAGCCTAACTTTCCTTTTTGCACAGTGTTTCGGGTCCTGAGATTTTATTTTTCTTTTATATATCCCTCCTATTGTTCAAAATATTTTGGGGAAAGTATTGTAAAAGAAAATGAGTCTCTTGTCACAGACTTGATCTGATCCCTTGCCACTACAATGCTTTATTCCTAGAAGGATAGGTCCCACATTGTTAGGAAGGCTCATTCTAGGAGATCACAGAGTCTTATGTCCCACAGAGTAAAATAAGGGGAGGAAGAAAGAAGGGGGGGAAATGTAGGCAAAGAAAGACTGGGGGAAAAGGAGGGAAAAAGAGGGGGACCAAAGCCAGATTATAGCAACAAAAGGGAAAACAATCTTGGATAACTGATTCAGGCTATATTACCGAGATGTCCACACATCAGGAGGCAGGCAAGAATGTGGGGAGTGTGTGTGTGTGTGTGTGTGAGTGTGTGTGTGTGTGCATTTATACATATAAATAAGTTGCCTAACTTCAGCTTACAGGGCTTTAAGAAAAGCAGTTATAATTTCTAGTGATTCCAAGACAGAAAAATGGGAGAAGAAAATTTTTGGAAACACTACTTTGCAGCCTTGTAGGTAGTATTCAGGATCCAGTCTAGTTAAATTGTACACAAATGATAAAAACTGAAAAACAATGGACAGCGCTAGAATCTAGTAACAGGTGTACTATAGTTTCTTTTGAAACACAATTTTTCTCTCTCCAGTCCCACATTGTTATCAAAGACAACATCATAGTAGGACCAATTTATTTGCAAAATAAATTTTAGTCTCACTTTACTTTGCCTGATTATTTGCAAAAGCTGCTCCAAGAATAATTATTTATCCTATAGGATCCTTTTAAAATGGCTTTGCTGAAACGTTTTTTAACATAAGAAATCTCAGGTTACACTTTTTAAAGCCTTTTGAGCCTAGCCAAGGATTTGAATATCTGCAAGATGCCTGTAGGGATTGAGTGAATTTCTCTTTTCATGAAGTCTCAAGATAACTTGGGGTTCCTGGGCCTGTCAGAAAGTAACATTTTTTCACTTATCACAGGTCAGGAATCCTGTGAAGGAACTGTGTAGACAAGGTACCAGGCTCCAGAGCTCTTGTTCTGCTTGATATTCAGTTAGCAATTCTCATGAACACTATCAGCCTTTTAGAATCTTGGAAGATGTTTTTTGTTTGTTTGTTCATTTGTTTAGTCCAATGGTATGATTTCCAAAGTTATCAGAAACCTGTATTCAGGAGTACTGGTGAACTCCTTTCAATTAATTTTATTAAAGAAGGAAATTTTGGACTATGGCAGATTATAAACTGTTTTTTTGAGAAGAATCGAAATAAAACAATATCTGTGGATGACAGTCTTAGGAGAGTAACAGTTAAAGACATAACTGGTAAGAAAATTTTGTTATTTCTGTGGCATACAATAATTTAACATAATAATAATTATTACTTATATATTAAGACGTATCAGAATTATAGGAACTTCATACAATAATAGAACACATATTAGTAACATTTATATAAATAGAACCCAAAGAAAGGAAAACATTGTTTCGTATTTGACAATGCTTTCTTTATGATTTTTAACATATCAAATAATCCGAATATGTCTTTTTTTCAGACTTCAGGGAACCTAGTATCTAAAAAACTTAATAAAGTCAAAAAGACTGAATTTAGAACTTGAAATTTTGATTTTGGAAAGTTTGTCAAATAGCAAACATTAAAACGCTTGATATGACAAAATAAGAGCACAGATCTCTGTAAAGTAAGTCATCCATTTAGCCAAAATGATAATTCAAAGATTTTAAAAAGCAAAAACCCTTACTCTGTAATAGAAGAATATCTTTCCCAAACAATAAAGGCTAATAAAGATGGCATGAAGTCATCTGAATCTGTGTCTTCTCTCCCCTTACTCTTATTTTTTTTGCAGTTTACTCAAAAGGTAAACAAAAATATTTTATTATCTCTAAATATTACACAGAAATCTTGTTTAAAAGAGAAAACCTATGTATAGTGTATTATTAACACTAAAGCTAATTTTAATAAAATCTTATAAAGAAATACATCCTTAAAACTTCTAAATTAGACAAAATTACTTTCACTTTAGCAAAAACTGTATTTCCATGCCTTCTTATAACCCTTCTATTTACCAAACACATCCTGCTTTCCTTATACTCTTTATATACAGAGATGTTTTATATCCATTAGCTTTGTGTACATACATTATACAGTTAACTCATAGTAATTCTTATTTTTAGTGAAAAACCTAGAAGTTTAGAAATTTTAATTACGTACGAGGAGCAAAGCTCAGGACAAAAGACAATGCCTGAAGGTAGACTTCCCCATGGCCCCTAATGGCTTATATGTAAACACCTAAATTTACAGGGAAATAGAAGCAAAGTTTTATCCCTTAAAGCATCTAGCAGAGACAATATCTGACCTGCTGGAATAATTCAAATGAAACGTCTAAATTCAATGGAAGACATTCTGATTATTTTATCAAAAATTTGCAAATTATCTCTATTTACTAAAGTTTAGTAAAGTCACGTGAACTAAAAGTCTTTGAGTTAAAATTTTTATCTTTCTGTTAAAATATTTAATTTAAGTGCTTATTATTTTAAAGCCAATTAACTAGAGCTCTTTTATATATTTTGGTAGTAAAACATCACATTCAAATGACATGTATAAACACATAGACATACAGACATAGAAGCAGATCTTGTAGATTTATAAGTTCATTATTCGCCAGTTTTTTAAGTTCGCTTCTCCCATTTTAGACTGTCAATTTCTTTCAATTACCTGCCTTATTGCCTTAGGCAATTGTTGGCTAGGCAACCTTAAATTTGCATTTCTAAAGGCACAACTTTGGTAAAACAAGATAGAGAATTTGTATTTTAAAATCACAAGGCTAAGAAATTAAGCCTAAGTACTGCATCATCATTTGTTCAAACCAAAGGGAAAAAATGCTGTAAGTAAAAGTTCAATTAAGACAACCAAAAAAGGTACCTTAAACAAAAGCATATTTGTAAATTTAAAACAATGGTAAAAGTTCCTAATGTACACAGGTAAGCACCCTTACAAGAGATTTCCTTAAAGACATAAATTTCTTTTTAGGATAGCCAGCTAATGCTACAAAGTTGTATTTTGGCTTTTTAACTTAGTCTTGTTTCTTAGTTAGATTATTGGTTTCAGGGTGGAGCCCTTCAGTAAACATGGGAAAGAGAGCATGCAGTCTTTAGGACCTAATATTTAAATATGTGAGGCCGGGCGCGGTGGCTCACGCCTGTAATCCCAGCACTTTGGGAGGCTGAGGCGGGTGTGTCACGAGGTCAGGAGATCAAGACCATCCTGGCTAACACGGTGAAACCCCGTCTCTACTAAAAAATACAAAAAATTAGCCAGGCGTGGTGGCGTGCGCCTGTAATCCCAGCTGCTCGGGAGGCTGAGGCAGGAGAATCACTTGAACTGGGAGGCAGAGGTTGCAGTGAGCTGAGATCGCGCCACTGCTCTCCAGCCTGGCGACAGAGCAAGATGCTGTCTCAAAAAACAAAACAAAACAAACAAACAAAAAACGTGAGAAGCAGCTATAGCTGGAAGGCAAAACACAGATCCAGCAAAATAAAAAATCTCATTTTTACATTGAACCCTGGGACCAGAAAAAGAAGGAAACATTAAGGGATGAGACAGTGTAATGCCCCCAATGTACCTCATTGTAAGGATATTTCCCCAGGGCTTCGGGGCAACCCAAAGCCAATCAGCCTACTCTGTAATCAGCCCATTTCTTAGCCATTATAAATACCAAAGGTCAAATTATCTTATAATGCAAAGCAATTTCTGGTACCCCCAAAAGCTGAAAAGATCAAGTACCACAATGCAAAAAAATGCAGAGCTTTAGACCTGAGAAATGTCTACCTATTGTGTTAGGAGTTACTAAGAAATTATTGCAGGCAGAGAGAAAGGAAAAGGGGTCCTTGGAAAATTTTCGTTTCTTTTAAAGCACCTCCAGAAATGTTTCTTGTGGAGCAGGAAAGGCCACTCTTAGAGCCCTGCGGTAACCTTTGATATGCAAATGCAGGCCATTAGAAACTGGGTCCACCCAAACGTGGAGATTCCCACCACCTTCTTCTTGCCTTTGCCCCACATGTTCCTGGCAACCTGGCCACCCCCCACATATTCCCCATGTGTGTAGAACATCATGGCGCCCTGTATTTGCATATTAAAAGACTAGGGTAGGGGGGCCAGTTTTTTCGTGGGTTACATGAGTGACATACTGAGTCAAACCAATCCCTTGAGCCCTATGGAAATCAGACACCACCTCCTCCAACCTCCTCCTATAAGCAGCCAAGTTTCCACTACATATGAGGGTCTCCTCTCTCGGCTTTGGAGCCCCCTCCCTCTGTCTCTGTACAAGGGAGGTTCTTCTTTCTTTCTTCTACCTTCTTTCTTGCCTCTTAAACTCTCTGCTCCTTAAAACCACTCCATGTGTGTCCATGTCACATGAGATAAGACCCCTGGTGTTCCTCCACTCATTGGAGCCATATCACTGTGACTCTTGAAACTCCACAAAGAAACCAGAAAACCCCAGAAAAGGGGTAAGTGTCACCTTTATTCTGAGTTCTTTAAGGGGTCTGAGTCATTAGAAGTCTTGTGTACATCTTTTCACTTGGTGTTTATTATAGCAAGGGGAAGGACGAATACTGTGGAATAAAAGTAAATAAAAGAACAATTTTTAAGAAAAGGAAGTGAATGGAGAAACCATGCACAAGCATTTATTTTAAAAGGTTTCAGTTGGCCAGGCATGGTGGCTCACGCCTGTAATCCCAGCACTTTGGGAGGCCAAGGCAGGCGATCATGAGGTCAGGAGATCGAGACCATCCTGGCTAACATGGTGAAAACCTGCCTCTACTAAAAATACAAAAAATTAGCTGGGTGCGGTGGCAGGCACCTGTAGTCCCAGCTACTCGGGAGGCTGAGGCAGGAGAATGGCGTGAACCCGGGAGGTGGAGCTTGCAGTGAGCTGAGATCACGCCACTGCACTCCAGCCTGGGTGACAGAGCAAGAGTCCATCTCAAAAAAAAAAGGTTACAGTCAACTAAAAAAAAAAAAAAAATTCCCCAAACAGGATTCAAAAAGAGAAAAAACATAAAATATTTTTAAATATATATATTTTAAATATATATATAGCTCATATATATTTAAAATAATATGTGTGTGTGTGTATATGTGTGTGTGTATATATGTATATATATATGCCCACCAGTGCCCACCCCCCCCCAGTGCCAACACCACCACAGGTATGAATGCACAGAAGAAGGCCGGAGTCCCCACCCGCCCACCCTAAACCAAGACTGCTGCTGCTGCCAATGCCTGCATGGAGGATGACAGCCCTGGGCCTGCCAGCACTCCTACCCAGCCACCAAATTATGCACCATGCTGTGATGCCATTGCTTCTGGCATGAGTGAACAAGCATGGATCCTGCTGCCACTGCCTGACAAAGTCCATTGGCTGGGGCCACCCTTTGAAATTTTGTTGCCAGTGGTCTGAGAACACTTCATCCCCTTCAGTGAAGCAGGTTGCCAACCTTGATGGTCCAGAGAACAAAGCTGGGAGCCCTATACCAGCCTCCCAGAGTGCACAGCCCAGGAGTGCTGAGCTGAATCTTGGCCCCCCAAAAATCTATCAGAAACAAAGTCAGTCAACTGCACCCATTTTATACCATAGCAAACCTCCAATGACATCAAACAAGATCAAAACAAAAAATAAAAACCCATCCAAACGACAGTAACTTCAAATATCAAAGGAACTTCAGCCCACACAGATGAGAAAGAGCCAGTGCCAGAACTCTAACAACTCAAAAAGCCAGAGTGTCTTCTTACCTCCTAATGACTGCACTAGTTCCCCAGCAATTGTTTTTAACTAGGCTGAAATGGCTAAAATGACAGACATATAATTTAGAATATGGATAGGAACAAATGTCATCGACAATCAAGAGAAAGTCAAAACCCAATCCAAGGATTCAAAAGAACACAATAAAATAATACAAGAGATGAAAGATGAAATGGCCATTATAAGAAAGCATCAAACTGAGCTAATAGTGCTGAAAAACTCATTTCAAGAATTTTAAAATAAAATTGCAAGTATTAATAGCAGAATTGACCAAACTGAGGAAAGAATTTCAGAGCTTGAGGACCAGCTGTCTGGAATAACTCAGTCAGACAAAATACAGGAAAAACAATAAAAAGAGTAAACAATGTCTCCAAGAAATCTGGGATTGTGTAAAGAGACCAGATCTACAACTCACTGGTGACCCTGAGAGACAGGGAGAGAAAGCAAGTAACTTGGAAAATATGTTTCAGGATACCACCTATGAAAATTTTCAGAACCCTGCTAAACAGCCCAACATTCAAATTCAGGAGATGTAGAGAACCCCTGTAAAATAATATACAAGAATTCCGTCCCCTCAACACATAGTCATTAGATTCTCCAAGGTTGAAATGAAAGAAAAAATATTAAAGCCAGCTAGAGAGAAGGGGCAGGTCACCTAGAAAGGGAACCCCATCAGCCTAACAGTAGATCTTTCAGCATAAACCCTACAAGTCAGAAGAGAATGGGGCACTATATTCAGCAATCTTGAAGAAAACAATTTCCAACCAAGATTTTCATATTTAACCAAGCCTCATAAGCAAAGGAGAAATAAGAGCCTTTTCAGACAAACATATGCTAAGGGATTTCATTATCACCAGACCTGCCTTACAAGAGGTCCTGAAGGGAGTGCTAAACATGGGAAAGAAAGACTTTTACCAGCCATTAAAAAAACACACTTATGGACATAGACCAGTGACACTATAAAGCAATCACACAAATACGTCTGCATAACAACCAGCTAACAATATGATGACAGGAACAAATCTGAACAAATCAATACTAACTCTAAGTGTAAATGGGCTAAATGCTCCAATTAAAAAGGCACAGCATGGCAAGTTGGATAAAGAAGCATGACCCAACAGTATGCTGTCTTCAAGAAGCCCAGCTCACATACAATGACATCCATAGTCACAGTAAAGGCATGGAGAAAAATCTACCAAGCAACTGGAAAATAGCAAAAAGAAAGGATTGTTCTTCTAATTTCAGACAAAACAGACTTTAAACCAGAATTTTTGTTAAAAATCTTGTAACAAAGATTTTTGTTAAAAAGCACGAAAACAAAGAAGTGCATTACATAATATTAACGGGCTTGATTCAGTGAGAAGTCTTAAGTATCCTAAATATATACGCACACAAACAGGAGCACCCAGATTTATACAGCAACTTTTTAGACACCTATGAAGAGACTTAGATTACCATACAATAACAGTGGAAGATTTCAACACCCTACTGGCAGTATTAGACCAATCATTAAGGCAGACACCTAACAAAGATATTTAGAACCTAAACTCAACACTTGACCAAATGATCCTAACAGATATCTACAGAACACTCTTCCTAAAACAACAGAATTTACAGTCTTCTCATCTGCACATCATGCATATTCTAAAATCAACCACACAGTTGAACATAAAACAATTCTCAATAAACTCCAAAGAGCAAAATCATATAAACCGTGCTCTCGGAACACACTACAATAGACATGTAAATCAATCTCAAGAAAATATGGCTCAAAACCACCTAATTACGTGAAAATTAAACAACTTACTCCTGGATAACTTTTGGGTAAATAATGAAATTAAGGTAAACATCAAGAAATTCTATGAAATTAATGAGAACAACGATACGACATACCATAATCTCTGGGACACAGCTAAGGCAGTTTTAAAAGAGAAGGTTGTAGCACTAAACACCATGAAAAAGTTAGAAAGATCTCAAATTAACAACGTACCAACACAACTGGAGGAACTAGATAAACAATAGCAAACCATCCCCAAAGTTAGCAGTAGACAAGAAATAACCAAAAATCAAAGAAAATCTGGAAGTGAAACTGAAGGAAATTGAAACCTGAAACAGCATACAAAAATCAACAAATCCACGAGTTGTTTCTTTTAAAGAATAAATAAGATTAATAGACCACTAGCTAGACTAATAAACAACCAAGAGAGAAGATCTAAATAATCAAATGACTTAGGGGACATTACCAGTGACTCCACTGAAATTAAAAAAAAAAAAAAAAACTCAGAGACTACTATGAACACATCCATGCATACAAACTAGAAAACCTAGAGGAAATGAATAAATTCCAGGAAACATACAATCTCACAAGACTGAACCAGAAAGAAACTGAGTCCCTGAACAGAACAATAATGAGTTCCAAAACTGATCCAGTAATAAAAAGCCTATCAACGAGAAAAAGCCCAGGACTATACGGATTCACAGCCGAACTCTATCAGATATATAAAGAAGAGCTGCTACCATTCCTACTGAAAGTATGCCAAAAAATTTAAAAGGAGGAGCTCCTCCCTTACTCATTTTATGAGGCCAGTATCATTCTGATACCAAAATCTGGCAGAGACGTAACAAAGGAAAACTTCAGGCCAACAAAGGCTCAACAACGGCCAGGCATGGTGGCTCATGCCTGTAATCCCAGCATTTTTGGAGGCCAACGTGGATGGAGTCTCAAAACCTCAAAAGTAGAGAAGCTGACAGTGCAGCCTTCAGTCTGTGGCTGAAGGCCTGAGAGCACCTGGCAAACCATTGGTTTAAGTCCAAGAGTGCAAAAGCTGAAGAACTTGGAGTCTGATGTTGAGGGCAGGAAGCATCCAGCACAGGAGGAAGATGAAGGCCGGAAGACTCAGCAAGTCAAGTCCTTCCATCTTCTTCTGCCTGCTTTATTTTAGCTGTGCTGGCTGCTCATTAGATGGTGCCCGCCCAGATTGAGAGTGGGTCTGCCTCTCTCAGTCCACTGACTCAAATGTTAATCTCATTTTGCAACACCCTCACAGACACACCCAGTAACAATACTTTGCATCCTTCAATCCAATCAAGTTGACACTCAATATTAGCCATCACACTGGCTATATAACCAAAGGAATATAAATCATTCTATCATAGAGACACATGCACACATATGTTCATCACAGCACAATTCACAATAGCAAAGACATGGAATCAACCTAAATGCCCATCAATGGTAGGCTGAATAAATAAAATGTGGTACATATACACCATGGAATACTACGCAACCATAAAAGAGAATGAGATCATGTTCTTTGCAGCAATATGGATGGAACTGGAGGCTATTATCCTATGCAAATTAACACAATAACAGAAATCAAATACTGCACATTCTCAATTATAAGTGGGAGCTAAAATATCGATTATACATGGACAACACAAAGAAGGAAATGATAGATACCAGGGCTACTTGAGGGTGGAGTGTGGGAAGGGGTGAGGATCAAAAAACTACCTATTGGGTACTATACTTATTACTCGGGTGACAACATAATCTGTACACCAAACCCCCATGACACACAATTTACCTATATAAAAAACTTGCACATGTACTGCTGAACCTAAAATGGAAATTTTTCTAAAAAAAAAAATTACAAAAGTCACACATATATCAAACCAAAGAAGACTCATACTCTGGCTGGGAATTGAAGCCAAGCCACTGTGGTGGAAGCACAGAGCCTTAGCTGTTGGACTACAGCATGCGGTGGTCTTTGTTGTTCTTCCCAGAAGAATACCAGATCAAGCAGAGTTCTGAGCTTGCAAAGGATTTTAACTTTTAGGTCACAGAAGTCTCAAGGCTAGCCATGACATCACTTTGTATCCTATTTCAATTTAACCTTTTCATTAATTGTTTAGAATAAGAGATCTCTGAAATCTTGTTTTATTTTCAGTGGCATACTCAGGTCCAACAGTGACTCAATCCAAATGCCTCAATCCAAATGCCTCTTTAAAGTTCAGATGCTACAAAAAGTACCAAAAGTGCACCAGGGTCACTACAACCCAAGAGCCGTCACACAAATCCTTTTTTCTCATTAAACAAAACCTTCCAGAGGAGACAGTGATTTTTACCATCTGCCCACCAGAGTGCACAGAGTCCAGGAGCCTGGTGGGTAAGAAACTTTTACCCCTTTGCCAACAGATCAGGTTACTGGGTTCTCTTCTCAGCAGCTTCTAGAAGCGAAGAACAGCTTTGAGTCCTTTTTACTGCACTATCACGGGGGCCATGGCCATTGGCCCACTAAAGTTTTGCTTAAAAATCAGTGGCATGAGGCACATTAATTAATAGGAGAAAAGGCATACAAATTTATTTAATCTGTATATAAAGAGACTTCAGAATGAAGACGGTCCCAACAATAAGATTAAAAAGCCACAGTAAAGAATGCAGAATCAGGGCGTGGCCAAAACCAGGTTATGTTGCTAAGTCAGATTTAGTGACAACACAGGTTATGAGGGAAAGAAAGGCAGGAGCTTGGCTAGCAACAGAGACTTTGTTACGTAGATGAAATTCTCAGGTAGTCAAATTTTTTATCTTTCTTAACCAACCAGGTTTTTTAGAGGTGGAAATTTGACTTTCTGCAGCTGTGGGAGTTTCAGTCAACATTAGAGATGGCCAGGAGTTGGTCAAATCTAACAGAAGATGAATCAACCACCGCCCCCCCCATAAAAAAAGGTCCAGAGAAATTAAAAAAAAAATGATCACACAATTTACATATAGTCAATATCTCTCAGCATAAGGAAAAGTTATCACTAGCTGACAATAGATCTTGTCCTTCAGCTACCAAATCCCAAAACGAAACCCCAAACCATCTCTTTACCTGCAGATGGAACCCATGCTGAAGACTGCTTTCTGTCACCACAGAAGCAGAAAAAATCCCAAAAGGAGTCCTACAGCAGAAATAAACCTCAGATTGCAACGAAAACCTTTGGGAGACCAGGGATCTCTAGAGGGAGAAGCCCCCAGACTTCAGCATATTTTCCTATCAAAGCAATGAAGATAGCCCACCCCAGTACCAGGCACCAATAAGAGAGTTGCCACAGGTCGAGGGCCAAACTCCACTCAGAATCCCCTCATGTTTATGAAAATGTAAAGCAAAAAAATTTTTTTAAATGACTGAGGCAAGTCTCAATCAGTTTTGAGGTTTATTTTGCCAAGGTCGAGGATGCTTCTGGGAAAAAGAAACACAAGTTACAGTAAGATCTGTGACATGTGCTTCTTCCAAAGAAGGTTTGGAGGACTTCAATATTTAAAGGAGGAAAAGAGAGCAGGAGGGGAAAGAGGAGAGTTTAAAAAAAAAAAAAAAAGGCCAGGTGCAGTGGCTCACGCCTGTAATCCCAGCACTTTGGGAGGCTGAGGCGGGGGGATCACGAGGTCAGGAGATCGAGACCATCCTGGCTAACACGGTGAAACCCCGTTTCTATTAAAAATACAAAAAATTAGCCGGGCGTGATGGCGGGCGCCTGTAGTCCCAGCTACTTGGGAAGCTGAGCAGGAGAATGGCGTGAACCTGGGAGGCGGAGCTTGCAGTGAGCCGAGATCACGCAACTGCACTCCCGCCTGGGTGACAGAGCGAGACTCTGTCTCCAAAAAAAAAAAAAAAAAAGCAGAGGAGGGTAAGCAATGAAGCAATGAAGCAAGTGGTTACATTCTTGTGAGGCCTTGGTTAGCACTCATTCGATCCACATTTTATAAGTAAGAGAGGTAATAGAGGAACAATCAATTATGCATTCCTTTTACACTCAGTAAATCTACATTTCACATAAGATAAAGTAAGCATGGGAAATTACAGCTATTGGTTTGGTAACAAAAGGAAGGCAGTTTTTGCATGACTCAGTTCCTGTACTTAATTTTCCCTTTGGCATAGTGGGTTTGGAGTCTTGAGACTTTCTTTTCACAAGATCAACAAGGAAATAGAAGACCTGAATAACGCTACAAATCAATTACTTAACAGACATCTATAGGACACTTAACAGGCAAAAACACATTTCTTTTAAGTGGATATGGAAAATCTTCCAGGTTAACCGTATGTTAGCTCACAACAAGTTTAAAAATGTCTTAATTTAAAATGATGGAGATCATGCAGAGTATGTTCTCTGATCACAATGAAAATGAAAATAGAAATCAGTAAGAGAAACAAATTTGGCAAATTCATATATATGTGAAAATTAAACAGCAAACTTCTAAATAACCAATGGGTCACAGAAGGAATCACCTGGGAAATTAGACTTTGGATTGTATGACAATAAACAAAACATATCAAAATTTATAGGATGCAGTGAAAACAGTGCTCAGAAGAAAACATACTGCAATAAACACCTACATTTAAAGAAAGATCTCAGATTGTTACGGTAGGTGATCAAGCAGACATGAGAAGGGTGGGAGAGGTCCTCCACCCACCAGGAATGTCAGGTGATGGTCAGCTAGTTGTTACGCTCTCGTTCCAAAATAATAATTGGTTGCAGTTGGCCCTAGGGAAAGGCAGTCTCCCAATAGATAGAAAAACCTGAAACTGCTGATTAGCGTCCCAATAAGATCTCAGGTGTTGGGCGAGTGGGCTCAAACATGCACACTAAGTGGCAAAATGGCAGAGCTTAACTGGTATATGGGCTTCTAGGGGCATTCAACTGGTAAAGGAAGAATGCCTCAAGGTGCATGCATACAACTCCAGTAAACACACTGCGTATGCTCCCCTCCCAAGTGCTAGCAGGCCAGTACACATGCGGACAGCCCAGCCCAAGGGAAGAATCAGGGGAGAAGGGACACAAGACCCTGGAAGTATGCCAATGTATAAAGCCCTAAGTCAAAGTCAAACAATGTATAAAACCCTAAGTCAAAGTCAAACAGTTCGCTTGATCTCTCCAGTTGCCTGCTGGGCCCTTTTCCAAGTGTACTTTACTTCTTTTCATTCCTGTCCTAAAACTTTTTAATAAACTTTCACTCCTGCTCTAAAATTTGTCCTGGTCTCTCCTTCTGCCTTATGCCCCTTGGTCAAATTCTTTCTTCTGAGGAGGCAAAAACTGAGGTTGCTGCAAACCTGTAGAGATTCACCACCAGTAACAAAATCAATAATCTAAACTTCCACCTTAAGAAAACTGAAAAAAGAAGAGCAAACTAAACCAAAAGCAAGAGGAAAGAAAGTAATGAAAATTTAAGAGAAAATAAGCAAAATACAGAATAGAAAAGCAATAAAAAGAATCAGTGATATCAGAAGTTACTACTTTTAAAGATTAACAAAATGGATAAAACTTTGACTAGAATGACCAAGAAAAAAAGGAGAGAAGACTGAATTACTCATTGTGTGTCCTCTTTGCTAGACGGCACACTCCCTAAAAAAATGGCTATAATTGTTTTGCTCAATACTGGATCTTTAGCACATACTTATTTCAGTGTTTGGAACAACGTAAGTGTGCATTAAATATTGGTTGAATATTGAATGAATTGGTGCAATTCAGTGAAATGCAATTACTTATCTAATTTTATGCATTAGTAGCAGTCAATTTTCAAATCACATTCCTTTATGATTTCTAGCCTGGGTCTCTACAACTTGCAACCAGAATATATATCTCTTAGGCCTTCTCCATTTGAAGCTGTTGCTACTGATGTGTGCTGGTTCTATTTTGTTTCCTTTTTATCTGATTCTGCTATTCCCCACCCACTTCTCTAAACTTTACTTCATAGAAAACCTGTCTATGGTGTTTGGACAATAGCACTTTTTTTTTTTTTTTTTTTTTTAAGTTTCAAGTTATCTGATGTGGTTTTAAAATTTCCTGTTAGGAGATTAAGACAAATGTGAGTTAGGGACATAAAGTTCCAGAGCTTGAATATGAAGATCGGTAACAAAGATTTCTTTTTGGCAAATATTTTGCCATAATTGTTGCAGACTGTGTTGATTTCATAGCCAGCATGCTATTATTTCTTTCACCTTTCCTACTGGAAAATGGAGACTATTTAGATGCTCATCATTTTTCATGTGGTCCTGGTGTTTCAAGAGCAGTAGATTCCATCCTGTAACTCAGAAGACGAATCCTAACTGGTCCAGATAACCATGGTGATATCAATTCTATGCTAGCAACTGGGTTATAAAAGGCCAGTAAGGCTAGCATTTGTAGCTAATGTTGGCTGAGCACCAACTTTCAACCATATATTACATTAAGTGTTTTTGAAGTGTGAGCTCATTAAGTTTTTGCAACAATTTTATGTGAAAGTACACATGTTGTCTCATTTTACGATTGAAAAAATTGAATAATTAAGAGAATTTGAATTTGATTATTCTATACTTGACAGCCCTTGATAAAGAGGAATTGGATAGATTCTCTGGAACAAGCTTTCTTGGAGACGTGCTGTATCTAGGCTAGGACATTGAGATTGCTAAAGGTTCTGGTTCATGTGTGAAGAACCTGAAGGAAAATACTCTAACAATTAGAAGATGAGTTATATACAGTTATTTATGTCTTCCTTACTGGTTGTTCTTGTGTCTGCCTGTGATTCTTAGAACAGACACAGCCATTTTGTAATCGTTAGGAGAAATGATGCCAACTAATAAGAATAGCAAAATAGAAAGATAACTCCTGGGTTCTTGAACTGCTGAAATCACCACCTCTCAACCTGCAACGAGATAATAACGTTTAAATCACGTTGAGTCAATTATCTGGTATGCACATCCACGTGCATCATAATTGTAGAGACCCCTTCTGACTTTCTTGTTTTAAGTGATTGTGATTCTTTATTGTTTTAGTCAACTGACACAGAAGTATTTGGTTTTTACAGCTGAAGTCATTCTTATTATTCAAATGCAAAGAAAAGTAAAGATATTAAAGATGATGAGTGAAAAGATATGGAACCAGCCTAAAGAGGAATCTTAGTGTCTAAGAAGTAACAAGTTGAACATTAAGAAACGATGAGTAAATTTCTGCCTCCATGTGGTAGTGTTACCTATATTCCCCTTTGCCCCAACAAACACACACACGGACCCACACAATTACTGATTAGAAATATGTCATCCAGACAAAATACAAAAAAAAAAAAGAACCCAAGTAATCTAAAGACCTATAAGAGCAATTAGAATAGTTGTATGTGGAAAATAATCACACCTTGGAGAAATTATCAGCATGAAGATGAGTTTCCCAGTGATATTACGGCTCTGCCTCCAGGCATACTGCAAGATGTTTGGTTATGAGTGATCAATTTCCGATAAAAACTCTACAATTTTTCTAACTATACGTACCAGACAAAGTGTGTTACTTTGGGTCCCCTGAGAAGCAGACTTCAATAAAGAATTAGACATGCAACATATTTGTTAGAGAAAATACAGTTGACAAAAATTGAGAAGACTCCAGAAAAGGATGGTAGAGCTTTCATATTATACCATGTGAGGAAAAGAAGGAAGGAAAAGAGGTTGAGTGTACAAGCCTTAGAATGTAGTGCAGTTCTAAAAATGTTTGTCAAGACTGGTAGGGAATCATCACATCAAGGTTGCCTGCCAGAGGAATTCCACATCTAGGAACAGAGCTACCTCAGTGTCCTTCCAAGCTAATTCACTGCCTGGGAGATACATGTGAAAAGATTGGCTTTAGTATACATTTGGTAAGGAAGTTCAATGGGCAAAATCTGGGGTGAAGATTTGAAAAAAACATTTTCATAAAAGATAACACAAAAGAATAAAGAAAATGGTAGTGTGATGGTTAATTTTATGTGTCATAAAAGATAAATATAAATTCTATCTATCTATCTATCTATCTATCTATCTATCTATCTATCTATCCTATTGGTTCTGTTTCTTTGGAGAACCCTGACTAATATAGTAGTTACCACAGAAAGAGATAAGAATCCCAGAAAGAAAAGAGCCAGAGAATGGGTTCAAATGTTGTAAAATATCCAGGCTGGCCCCTGAAACAGGCATGTGCAGGACAGGGGACAGTCTCCCTGCAATGCAACAAAAGCTAAAAAAATGAAATGAGATATGTACCACTGTATTGGTCAGGGTTCACTATATATTACATATATATATATATATATATATGTATGTATTTATATAAGCTGTTCTTAAGCATAGTTTAAATTTTAAACTGTGGGCCAAATTCCTCCCGTCACCTCTTTTAGTAAATGAAGTTATATATATATGATAAAACTTCATTTACTAAAATATATACACATATCTTATATATATCTATCTTAGATAGAAGATAGATAGATAGATACATAATCTTATTGGTTCTGTTATATACAGTTATTTACTGCTCCCTCTCTGGTTGCTCTTGTGTCTGCATGTGATTCTTGGAACAGACACCACCATTTTCTGACCATTAGTGGAAAGAATGCAAACTAATAAATTTATACTTACATGCCATTTTCTGAAGACGCAGGAAAGCCAATGGTGTAATTCAGTTCAAATCTGAAGGCCCAAGAACCAGGGAAGCTAAGGGAAACAGAAGATTAATATTCTAGTTCAAGCAATCAGGCAGGAAGGCCTGAATTCTGCCTTCCTTAACCTTTTTTTTTTTCTATTCAGGCCCTCAGTAGATTAAATAATGCCCATTCACACTGGGGAGGCAAACAACTTTACCAAATCCAGATTTACAGGTTAATTTCGTCTAGAAACACCCTTGCAGACACACCCACAAATAATGTTTGGCCAAATATCTGGGCACTGCATGATGCAGTCATGTTGACCCATAAGATTAACCATCACAACCACCATCCACAGAAGTTAAGAGAGCTCTAGTGTGAGTTTAATGGGTCATTGGGCGCTAAAACAAAAATATCAATATATTTTGAATATATATTCAGAAAATATTGCAGAATCTAAAAGGGCAATGCATCAGTCAGAAACATTTTAAATATGAATATGTTTAATAACATAGCCTCAAAATCTATTAAAGAATTTTTGACAGATTTTAATGAAGAAATAGACAATTCTATAACCAAAGGGTATTTTAACATTCCTCTATGAATAATTTATAGAATAACCAGACCAAAATATCAGTAAAGATATAGAAGGTTTGAACAACACCATCAATCATCTTGGTCTAATTTATGTTTACAGAGCAATACACCCAACAACTTCAGACTGCCCCTTTTTTTCTGAATGTGCATGGCACATGCATTTGAGATAAACCATGTACTTAGCTATAAATAAACCTCAGTGTGTTCTCTGACCAAAATGGAAAAAACACTTATTTGCAAATTAAGCAAGTCTTTTCTAGATAATGCAAGTGTGAAATTATAAGGAAATTAGAAAATATTCTCACTTGAACAATAATAAAAACGTAACAACCAAAATTAGGGGAAGAGGTTTATAACAGTTTTGGAGTGAATGTTCTGGCTTTAAATCAGCCATCCATACATTTTTTTTGTGTGTATAGTAAAGAGCGGGAGAGTAAATATTTTAGGTTTTGCAGAACATAAAACCTTTATCACAAAACTCCTTTTTGATCTTCTAGCCCCAAAACAGCAATAGACAATATGAAAGCAAGTGGGCATGGCTGTATTCCAATAAAATTTTATTTACTAAAAGAAGTAACAGGAGGAATTTGGCCCATAGGCCATAGTTTGCTAATCTCTGCTTTGCATATAATTAATTATAAAAGAAAATAATTCTATAATCAATAACCTAAAGTTACCCTTAAAAACTAAAAAAATACAAATTTAATCCTAAGAAAGTAGAAATAAGCTAATAATAAAGATAAGAGCACAAAAACGAAAAAACTGAAAGCAGAGAGAAAAGTAACAAATTAAAAGACTATTTCTTTAAAAATACTGGACGATTTCCAAGCTAGGCTAATAGAAGAAAGAGATTGAAATAGAGAGACTACAAATTCTCAATATCAGAAATGAAAGAGGAACTGTTACTACCTATTGTGTAGACATTAAAAGGATAATGAAAGCAGACAATAAACCAATAAATTTAACAACTTACACAACCAAACACTTGGAAGTACTACTCAATAATACTGTCACAAGGAGAAACAGAAAACAGCCTCACATCTATTAAAAAACCGAAGTTGCCATTAAAAAAAAAAAAAAACTTTTTTAAAAAGCAAAATAAACAACGAAAAGTACCTCCAGGTCCAGATGATTTCACAAGTCACCTCTTTTAAACATTCAGAGCAATAATAATAACAAACACATACAAACCTTTTCAGAAAAATAGTAGGTATGGAAACACCGACAAATTCATTTTATAAGACCAGCCAAACACTTCATTATTTTTCAATGAAGATTTCTGATGAATATTAGTAAGAGAGAAGATTGTGAGGAAGCATATAAGTAGAATCCTTTTAATAGAAAAAAATAAGCATTTAATTAACATGTGCAACAGGTGGGGCAGTATTTTGACAGCTGATCAGAAGAGAATATACGGTATTGGCATGGAAAATAAAATAATAGGTGCATAAATTGTATACCTGTTAAAGGATGATGAAGATGTAGTTGCATCTATGCTTGGGAATAATTTATGTATCACATTTGGAAAAACTGGAAAGCATAAATTTATTTTGGTTAATACAACCTATGAAAATATTAGCTAGTTAAGGAATACTTTTTTTTTTTTTACTCTGAGTACTTCAGTCATCTTTAGCTATTTCCTCTTTATCACCTTCACATTTTCTGTTATCAGAATCATTTCACTAGCTCTTTTCAGTGTTTTGCACATACACATTCTTCTTTATATTCAATTAATTGTCTCACATTTAGAATACTGCTATGATATAATGTATTAACTTATTTCTGTCTTCAGTTTCTACCCATTTCCTCTTACTCTTCTGGGAAATGTCTCCTGCCACTGCAGCCTGAACAAATTTATTTTCTTCCTATAGATTTTTTAACCTAAACTTTTCATTTGGCAACAATCCAGTATGACAATATCATATATTTTTATCATTGTCCTATGTATTATTTTGATTTCTATTGTATTTAACTTTGTGGGCTTATTTATTCTATCTAGGTTGTTAGGACTTTGAGGAATAGAACCAGGTCATACATTTCTCTTTGTCCTCTACAGTGCATCCACTACACTGTTCAGAATCTTGTAAGCAATAAAAAAATTGTGCAGTGTACCTACTTACTGATTAATTAATGGCATATTAGTGTTTAAGACGATTGAAGCACTGTTCACTACAGATAGGGGATAATTCTATATAGTTGAATTACCCAGAATAAATTTCCCAGTGCCATAAGTTTATGTAGATAAAAACAACTGTGCACAGTCCAATTCTCTAGAGTAGAGCTTCTGCTGTACTTGTTCTATTAGTACTGGACAATTATTTTACTTACAGAAGTGAATATGCTTTTTTCTTAAGCTGTACAAAGAACCCTATAACTTTATCATTGGGTTTTTAGTTCCAGAAGAGCTTTTAATGTTGAGAAGATTAAAGGAAGAACAAAAGGTTTCACCTGCATTAATGCAACTCACATTTGATTGGCTTTGCCTCTTTTATTTAACTGTCTTCATTGTATTTGTCTTAATACAATAGCAGAGACCATAGCAGAGATTGTTAGCTGTTTTGATGTCACGTAATTAAAAATTCCCTGTAAGTACAGTTCACTTCTGTTCTAACTAGTGAATTGTGTTTATGTGAGACCTTTCAAAAATTATTCACACTTTATATATTAACTTTAAACATTAGAGTTTTTAAAATATTCTTGATTTTATTAGAGATTAATTAAAAATCTATTACAGTGTTTCTGTTAGTAGTCCTGCATAATACAATTCTAGTTTATTTTATTTTAGTGTGGGGGCAGAATCTTATATAGAAATATGGCAACGATGACATCCACAGGCACAAGCTGTATGTGAAACAACAGTTGAAAATATGGGTTCAAATTTCATATTGATTGTTTCAAAAACAGCAGTAAAACCACAAACAAATCAATTAGAACAGGCAAAAGATACAGATATTTCACTAGAGGACATACAAGCAGCAACTAAGCACACAAAAAGATATTCAACATCATTAGCCATTAGGGAAATGCAAATGAAAACCACAGGGAGATATCACTGCACACCTATCAGAATGGCTGAAATTTTAAAAACAGAGTGGCGACATCAAATGCTGGCAAAGATGCGGAGAAACTGAATCACTCGTGTATTGTTGATGGCACTGTAAAAAGGAACAGCCACTCTGGAACAGAGCTGGGCAATTTCTTAATAAACCAGGGCTTGTGGAGGGAAATGGGAAATGGGTTTAACTCTAAAGGACAACAGAAAGATTCATGTGGTGATGGATTTATTCTGTATCTTAACTGTGTCAGCGTCAATATCCTGGTTGTGATATTGCACCTTAGTTTTGTAAGATGTTGGTATTGAGAGAAGTGGATGAAAGCTTAAAGGGGCCTAGTGCAGTGGCTCACGCCTGTAATCCCAGCACTTTGGGAGGTCGAGGAGGGCGGATCATTTGAGGTCAGGAGTTCAAGACCAGCCTGGCCAACATGCTGAAACCTCATATCCACCAAAAATAGAAAATTAGCTGGGCATAGTGACAGTAACCTGCAATCCCAGCTACTCTGGAGGCTGAAGCAGGAGAATCGCTTGAACCCGGGAGGCAGATATTGCAGTGAGCAAGGATCTTGCCACTGCACTCCAGCCTGGGCGACAGAGCGAGACTCCGTCTCAAAAAAAAAAAACAAAAAAAAAAACAAAAAAAAGCTTAAAAGCCTAAAGGGAGCTTTATGTGAATCTATAATTATTTCA
Organism: Homo sapiens; assembly: GCF_000001405.40. Taxonomy (NCBI): domain Eukaryota; kingdom Metazoa; phylum Chordata; class Mammalia; order Primates; family Hominidae; genus Homo; species Homo sapiens. The sequence goes on along the minus strand of NC_000012.12, from coordinate 9,766,718 downwards.
AAATTTTAAAAACAATAAGTAAAAAATATTTCGACCCTTCTCCCCAATCATTATATATTTTTTTTATTTATTTATTTAACTTTACTGCATGTTACATCAAGAAATATTATCTTTAAAATGGGGATACTGGGCATCTAATCTCATTTCTGATTTCACAAGAAGCATTCTCAATTGGTCATCATTAAGTATGATGTATTTTATGGATACCCTTTTCTATAATCTATAACCTATAGAGTAATGCAGTTCATTGATTCTTAGTGTGCTATAGACTTTTATTATTGATTCATGATTAAAGTTATAAAATATTATTTATCTTCTGAGGTATCATTTCCTCTTAATTTGTCAATGTGGCAAGTTGTGTTGATTGGTTTTCAAATGAGAAATCAACATTAGATTCCTGCAATAAACCAAGTTTTGCTGTGGTGTATTATTTTTTATATATTGCTGAGTACAATTTTTTAAATTTATTTTTAATTTGTTTGCCATCTGTTCTTATAAGTAAGAATAGGTCAAGTTTTGATTGCAGTGTTTTCTTGATCTGATCTTATAGTCTTTCAAATAAATTGTAATTTGCTATTTCTTTTTTAAATGTTCGTTATTTTAGAACATAAAACCATCTAGACATGGGGTTTTTGTTGTTTCTGTTGTTGTTTTGTTTTATTCTTTCCCAAAAAGAGCGTATTTAATTATGGATTCAATTAACTTAATAGTTACAGAATATTTAATTCTTTATTTTTGTCTTGCTTCAGTTTTGGAAGAGACGTCTGTCTAGAATATGTTCATTTTACTTATGTTGTCAAATATATTATAGCCAAAAAATATTCATAATATACTATTATAATTTTTCATGCCTACTTTCACCTCTCTCATACTTTCTTGTGAATTCCCTTTTAAGATAAAAGTCCCAGAATGTCATCCACCTGGAGGCATTTCCTAGGTATGTTAGGTGCACACAGATCCACAGGAAGTGGGATAAGCAGTTCTGTTCAAATTCATTATGCATCTATCAAACAAGATCCAAGTACAATTGGATACATTTTATGATAGCATAGTAGCCCAGACCCCGGCCTACCTTAAAATTCTATATGGTACATTTGCTATTTTCACACCATTATCTTTGAGAGTAGTCTCCAAAAATGTTGTATATGGATAAGTCTGGAATTAATTTAGGTAAAGTACTCAGACATGGTTAAGCGTTATATCTCATCTTTAATATAGCTCTTCTTTTATTCTCTTATGTATTTTACTTTCAGAAACAGTCAGGTTTTTCAGAGTCCAAGCTTGTGTGTACACAAGCACTATCTTTTACCTTCACTGTCTCAAGTCAAAAAGAAGAAAATGCCAGCTCACACTTTCCAAGCTCATTTTTTGTGTTTCAGATGTTCCATTGAAGAGGAAAGTTAGAAAGTTCAAAGACTTGAAGAGGACAGAAGGTTGGAAAGTGTTTAAAACTGGAAATCCCCCGTTTACTCATGGTTACCTTCATTGACCCTTTACGGTAAACAATTCAAAAACACAAAGGCACCTGCAGGTTAAAAATAAATTTTACCAATTTGTGTAATTTGCATTAATTTGAGAGAGGATGATGTATTCTAAATTGAAGTTTTGATTCACAAGAAGATTAAAAGCCATTCAGAAACCTAATTCACCCACTGAAAGGAAAAAAAAAAAAAGAGAGATGAGCAGTTTGTCTCCGGAAATTGTCTTAGGTCGGAAGTCTGTGGTCCCTGTTCACATGTACCCAAAAGCATCCTGCTGCTGCAGCTGTCTGATAAGCACAGAGTACCCCACCTTCTCTGCACACTTTGCATCTAGCTCATATTACCTCATCTTTACTTCCTTTCTGACGTCTCACCCTGGATTCTACATATAAGGTCACACAGGAAGGAAAGCTGCATTGAGTTTTGGTGTCCTGAAAGACTTTTGCCAACCTTGTCCCCGCACTAATTTCTCTAAGCCTCGGCTATACTATTTTCTCAGCTACACGATGAAATGTGAATGATAATTTCTGCCCTAAAAATATCACTTAATTTTTTAACATATCATTTATGAAAGAAGACACATAAAATGTCTCCCTAAAATGGAAAGTTACATATTATTGCCATCTGTGTTTTATAAAGAGGTTGAAAGGGGTTTGCTTGCACAAGGTTTGTTTCTTTATGTGTGTTTTTTTTTTAAGAGAACTAAACCCATCAGGGCTAACCACAATAAGTTTGCTTCCATGTTTTGATTAAAAAAAAGGGGGTACTGAAGAACTCTCTGACCCCCAAATCTCTCCCACACTGCATCTTGACCCTCTACACTTTCCTTTGTTTTTCTCTGGAATTTCACGTGTAGAGATATGTTTCTTTGGCTTAACAAGTATTGATTAGTACCGTGGGCATATAGTTTATTGTACCTAAGAGGACATTGTCACAAGTGAAATAGCATACTCTTAATAATCACTGAAATAGCGTGGTGTTAATAATTACATGTTGTTAATAATTAACAGCATGTGTCAGCTAGGACAGTGCCAAGCAACCATTATTCACTGTGAGTTTAAATTGATTGCTTTCTCAAATTAAAAGAGATTTCTCACACTTAAGAAAAATAGAAAGAATTATGGAAGGGAGGGAAGATAAATGAAGAAAAAGTTAATTTTTCAACAAGTTCAGGCTCTTGCAGAAGACCTTGAGCAGCATGGGGCCCAGTGGATATCCAGGAGGCCACTGACAACCATGTGCTTGGTACGTTGGCTACTTTTTTCTTGCAGTGGCTGCCTCCTCCCACGCACCCAAGTACTGATTTCAACAAAATACTTGGGCTATCCCCATAAAAAAAAGCAGAGAAGGGCCAGGAGCAGTGGCTTATGCCTGTAATCCCAGCACTTTGGGAGGCGGAGGCAAGAGGATCATCTGAGGTCAGGAGTTCGAGACCAGCCTGGCCAACATAGTGAAACTCCGTCTCTACTAAAAAAAAAAAAAAAAATACAAAAATTAGCCGGGCGTGGTGGTGGGTGCCTGTAATCCCAGATCCTCAGGAGGTTGAGGCAGGAGAATCGCTTGAATCCAGGAGGTGGAGGTTGCAGTGAGCAGAGATCGCACCACTGCATTCCAGCCTGGGCAACAAGAGTAAAACTCTGTCTCGAAAAAAAAAAAAAAAAAAAAAAAGCAGAGAAAAATGACTGCAAAATAAAGTTAATAGATTTTGATCAATGTCATAATGTTTAAAAATATTTCCTCAAAATAAGATTTCTAGGTATCATTTTTCTGTGGCTTAGGGCATATATGTAAATATATATTATACGTAACATATATATAAAAACCTGTGCACACTAGATGTGTGTGTGTATACACACATCCATTAACTTGATTATGGTTGAAGAAGCAAGAAACCTTGAGCAAATGAGTCTTAGTACCATGAAAACTGCTAGAGGTGGTTGTAGGAGACTGCAGTTTCCTCTGTCTCTTTCTCAGACGGAGAAGAGACACATTACATTACATCAGCAATTATGCTGTGACTTCTCAGTTATTATCTCTGAATGCCTTACATCAAATGAGGAACTTTCTCTTTTCATGACGTGTACCAAACTGTCACTCCCTTCCATATAATTGAAGGCATAATATGTACCAAATACTATATTAAAAAAATTTAGAATTCATAATTTTTCTTCATAGAAACATTATAAATTGGATGTTATATTTTTAGTTTACAGATAACAAAGCCAAAGCTCAGTGGACTTGTATGGTCAATTTCCTGAAGCACTACTGGCTTACTGCACTTACCTTCATTCTTTTCCTTAAAGAAGCTAAACTTCTTTTTATTTTATAGAGTGTGTTCTTGTTCTTGTTCTTTCTGTTCTCAAATTTTCAATGGTTAACTCTTTCCTCCCATTTTTATTTAATTCCACATATGACCTCCTCAACAAGACCATGCCTGATGACCTATATAAATGACCTCACATCCATTCCTATGTATTACCTGGTTCTTTGCATGTAGCAGCCTAAGGTCATACACTTCTCAACCAAACAATCCTACGAACCCCAATAAATAGCACTCCATATTTTAGAACTTTTAGAGTTTTATACATATTTTTCATTCATTCACGCATTCAGTAAGGGCATGGAATACATACTAGATTCCAGTTACTACGGCAGGTGTTAGAGGCACAGAGGAGACAAGTCAAAGCCCTTGCCCTCAAGCAGCTTACAGTCTAGTAAGGGAAACAGATAATAAACCATGATATAATATCAGATATTGACAGCAATCTGTACAGGCACAGAGTGTGAGGTTCTATTTTACATATAATAGCAACTGACAATTTCTCTGAGCAGGTGGCAGCTGAAGAGTGAGTCGGTTAAAGGGAGAGCGAGACATGCAGGGAGATGGAAAAAGAATCTTTTAGAGAAAAAGTAAAAGCCCTGTAGTGGTAGGATGCTTGGCATTTTTAAGGAGGAGGTTTCTGTCAGAGAGGATACTGAATAATAGGAAAAATGATAAGAGAGGTAACCAGGGGCCATATTATGTATAAAGCATTCTCAACTATTAGGTCTTTGGATTTTACGGTACATTTGATAGGAAGCCTTTCAAAGTGCAGTGGGGGGAGGAGTTAAACACTTCACCAAAATCATATGAATTAATTATAAAACAATGGTTCTAGCTGCTATGTGGAAAAGGGACTAAGAAATTGACTGAAAAATAGGATGGAAGCAAAGGGAGCTTTTAGGGCCAACATGTACCTCTTTGTGTCTTAGGTAGACAAATGCATCTAATGGTCCAACTAACTTCTCTAGATGATAACTTCCAACCCACCTATGCATAAAATTTAACGTCTTTATTCTAAATAAGTGATATTAATAATAAAATTTGGGGCACCAAGATTATTAATCAGAGTGGTATTTTGATTTCCCTCCTTAAATCACCATACATAGCTTTCTGCATTCATCTTGCGTTGACTGTCATTACTTGTCTGAGTGAGACTGATACCACAGCGATGTTTTAAATAATAATCATACCTCAAAAGACTGAAGTCTCAGAGGTATCTGAAGAGAATAACCTAGAGCACAGGGGGAGAATTGAAGGAGCTGTTACTGAGGTGACATAAAAGCAGTCTAAATGACAGTAAAATGTGACAAGAAAATTAGCAGGAAACAAATGAAACAGATAATTTAAGATAAACAATTTTAGAGCATAGCAAGGAAGTTCCAGACCACAAGCTTTCTGTTTCCTGCATTCTTACTTCTTACTACGTGATACATCTAGTCACCAGGGAAGAAGCGAATGACACACTTCCAAAAACCAATTCGTAGCTTTCTAAATAAAACCCTTTCAAGCTGGAGAGAGATCCATGAGCATAGAGATCTTAAAATTCATGTTCAGCAATAAATCCTGGGGCCCCAGACAGTGTCAGGTGCATAGGGGGTGTTCAGTAAATATCAGTTAAATGTATGCATAAATCGATAAACGGGATTCCTGGAAAATACTACACTCTCCTTCTCCAAATTATCTTCATCTCAAAGACAGGAACCTCTAACTTTTAATTCTTTACTTAGATTATGCTGTCTCCTAAACTGTTTATGTTTTCTAGAAATTTAAGGCAGGATGTCTCAGAGTCTGGGAAAATCCCACTTTCCTCCTGCTACACCTTACAGTTGTGAGAAAGCACATTTCAGACAACAGGGAAAACCCATACTTCACCACAACAACACACTATACATTGTCTGGTCCACTGGAGCATAAATTAAAGAGAAACAATGTAGTCAAGCAAGTAGGCGGCAAGAGGAAGGGGGCGGAGACATCATCAGGGAGTATAAACTCTGAGATGCCTCAGAGCCTCACAGACTCAACAAGAGCTCCAGCAAAGACTTTCACTGTAGCTTGACTTGACCTGAGATTAACTAGGGAATCTTGAGAATAAAGATGAGCTCTGAAAATTGTTTCGTAGCAGAGAACAGCTCTTTGCATCCGGAGAGTGGACAAGAAAGTAAGTCAGATCTGATTGCCTATTTACTCTCTGGTATCTCTATATATGACATTAATAGTAGTTATACAAGATATACTGGTAATCTCTCTATATATGATATATAATCTTAGAGAAATATACTGCTAATCTCTATGTATGTGATATCTAATGGTTGTTAGGGAAGGAAGTGAGGCTTTGTCTTTTAGAGAAGACAGGTTCTTCTTCAGGGAAGAGGTAAACCCCTTTTTATCTATAAGAAGATAGAATACCTGAGATGAGAGAAAGCCGCAAAAATGAATTTCAGAAGATCTTTAAAGATCTTTCTCTTTGCTTTAGTTTATATCATCTCAGTGTTTAGATTTAATTAGAAAACTTTCTGCTCTAGCCCAGTTATTCTCCATCATTTTTTTCATATCCATCTGTACATTCTCCAGGAAGTGTTGTCTCTCTTTATGAAAAATTCTGTTTTCCACATAAGCAATTACATTGTTTGCCTTCCTTTGCATTCAGTGTCTGCTTTCAGTGTACCTTATCCTGTGTTCTCATGACAGCATCCTCTAGTTGCTGGAAATGGGCAAGTTTGCCATCTTTGAGAGAATAGCTATATCAGCAGATGAAAATTTACAGTGTCCATTTGTAATTTGCTAAAAAAAAAAGTCACAAAAGAATTCCCGAAAATGCAATCTCCTGCTTTGGTATTCTTTATAGGACTCTTTTCCTCTATTTCATCCTTCTATTTAACCTTTCCAATCTCTGGCTTCAAAGACTATGTAACTTAGAATTTGTTCTTCCTTTCCTTTGTCTCTCAGCAAAATATAATCATCTTAGAAATTTTCCTCTCTTCTATTTGTCTATTCTATCCACATATCTAGCTTATTTCCTGTTACTGGGATTTTGCCTATTGTTTTTCTATACCTTACTTCTGTAAAATTTGTTGAGTTTTTCTATTTATCCCTCTTTCTCCTTAGTTAATGAGGTACCCTAAAGCACTAGCACTTAGGAATTAGTCTACTTGTCAGCAAGAGCGATCTATTAACAAAGGGATATGTAAGAAACAGGAGAACTAAAACAATCTTGTGGAAAGGGATTATTTTCTAAGCGTGTGTCTACTATATTAGTTTACTTCCGAAAAACATCAGTTACTTCTCATAAATCCATCCTGTGTTTAAGAACATAAAATATAGTGTGGATTACAAATGCAAAGCATGCAAATTTTCAGGTAATCAGGCGAGCCATTACTTACGGCACAGGTGTGCCGCCAAAAAGAAATAATAATAATAATAATAATAATAACTACTCAATAAATAGAGAGCATAGGTGAAAGAAGGACCTAATACAGAAATTTTTAACTTTTCCTGATACTGTTTCAACTTTCTTTTGAATGTCTGATTTAGGCTGCCCTAGTCATCCTTGGACGTTATCCTTGGGTGATTCAATTAGTAGCAAATTGAGTTGATTTTCAACTTCTCCATTAATGTGCAGGACCTGAAATCAAAGCAAAAGTGTGCTGTTGAGGGAAATGTTTTGTCACCTAGGAGATAAGTCAAGCTGTGGGTAACAATAGCCCTCAATTGTAATCCCAGCACTTTGGGAGGCCGAGGTGGGCGGATCACGAGGTCAGGAGATGGAGACCATCCTGGCTAACACGATGAAACCCCGTCTGTACTAAAAATACAAAAAGTTAGCCGGGCGTGGGGGCGGGCGCCTGTAGTCCCAGCTACTTAGGAGGCTGAGGCAGGAGAATGGCGTGAACCCGGGAGGCGGAGCTTGCAGTGAGCCGAGATCACGCAACTGCACTCCAGCCTGGACGACAGAGCGAGACTCCGTCTCAAAAAATAAATAAATAAAACAGTAGCCCTCATTAATGGGAATAAAGTATCATCTGAGAGTCATCCCAAAGCTTACTCCCTCGTTGAGCCGATGGGCTGACTGAGACTCTGGAACCCACGGGTCACTGGGGTGTGTTAGTGCTCACTGAGGAGACAGAGCTGTTGCAATACTGAGTTCAAGCAGCACGACTGACTCACATAATGTGAAGTGAAACCAGACAGAGCTCCGAACTTGGTACCTTGGGTAGCAAAGGCGGCTTCCAATGATGATTCTATACCGGTGAACAAAGAAAAATTTGCTTTGAGAAGCTGAGAAAATCGAGCTAGACGGCAGTGAAGTAAAGGCTTCTCTTGCAAAATCTGAGTGCCGATCTGTGATGGGAAAAATAACTTCCAGATAAAGCAAAAGTTGATGTGGACACCAGTACCCAGTAAATTACTGTGAAAAAAAGGCAACTTCTCTTGGTCCAGTTTACCTTTAGATAAATGTTTTAAGGGTAAAAATATGTGTATTTCAAGATATGTCTTATGTAAACTTTTTTAAGTTATGAAAATCATCCATATTGAAAAATAGAATGTTTTCTATTTTGAAACTGTTTTGCATTGTCAGTTACTTAAGCAGCCATTTTACATTTTGGTTTTTGAGAACATAATAGGGACCTGTATACTCCTTGTGGGGCCGCATTTTAAGACTCCTGACAGCTCATCCTGCAAAATTAAAATCCAAAATCTAAGTCGCAAAATTCTCTTTTCTCCTTCCTCAGTTATTTACTTAGAGTGTAGAACAGACATCCTCTTAGAGTTTTTTGTAACTATCAGTTATCGTTAACATCATATTTTTATTCTAAATCCTTCCATAGAAACACTGCTTGTTGGGAAAAAAAAAGGCTTTTACTTTGTTTCACCATTGTACAGAGGGTAAATGAAATAACTTTCGCTGAATATTTGGTCTATAATACTGTTACATTTCCTCTATTATTTTAACATCTTTTGAAAAATTCAAATTTTTACTGTTCATTCACATATCATTTTAAATTGAGGTTTAGTTCACATACGATGAATGCACAGCTCGTAGGTATACAGTTTAACGACTTATGACAGTGGTATAACCACAAGACCAGCAACATTTGAATCTTTCCATCACCCTAGACAGTTTGCCCTGTGTCCCATTCCAGTTAAATTACCTTTCCTACACACACAAAGGCAACTACTGTTCTGATTTTTGACACCAGAGCTTAGACCAACTATTATTTAAAGTCATGTAAATGCAAATATGTAGTATACAATCTTCTGTGGCTGGATTTTTTTTCACTCAACATTTTTTTTGGAGATTCCTTCATTTTGTTGCATGTATCAGTTGTCTTATTTTGAATTGCTGAGCGGAATTCCCTTGTATGGATATACCATAATTTGTTCACTTATTTTCCTGTTGGTGGATATTTGGATTATTTCTGGAATTTGGCTCTTAAGAATAAAGCTGCTAGGAGCATTCTTGCACAAGGCATTTTGAGAACATATTTTCATTTTTCTTGAGGATATACATAGGAGTAGGTTTGTTGGGCCATAGAAAAGGCATATATTTAATTTTATAAGAAACAGTTTCCAAAGTGTTTTTCCAATTTACTCTCCCACCAATAATATCTGAAAATTCCAGTTGCTCCACATCTGCAGCAACTTCACCAAAAAATACTGTCACGTTTAAAATTTTGTTCAGTCATTTTAATGTCAGATATTTATATAGCAATTCAATATTTTACTTTATGATATTATCCATATTTATCCCATTCACATCATTTCTCTCAAACAGTAACTACAAGGAGATTAAGGAATTATGCTAGAATTTTTTATTTATTTATTTATTTATTTTTTTAGACAAGGTCTCACTCTGTCACTCAGGTTAGAGTGCAGTGGTGCAATCTCCGCTCACAGCAACCTCTGCCTCCCAGGCTAAAGCGATCCTCCCACTTCAGACTCCCAAGTAGCTGGGAACACAAGTGCGTGCCACCATGACCAGCTAATTTTTTGTATTTTTGGTGGAGACAGGGTTTCACCATGTTGCTCATGATGGTCTTGAACTCCTGAGCTCAGGTGATCAATCCACTCACCTCGGCCTCCCAAAATGCTGAGATTACAGGTGTGAGCCACCATGCCCTAGAATTTTTTTATGTGTCTTCTGGGGCATGTGCATATTTAATAAACGTTCTTATCATCATTAAAACAAACTGATTATATACTTAGAATTTTCATAGTTACTAAGTGTATAAATCATATGTGTCAGGTAAATATTTTGGGGAGACACTTTATAATCTCATCATTATGCTTGAATTGTTTCATTTCAAGCCAACAATAAACTATTCAAATTCACTCAAAATTGGGGGTAAATTAACTTAGAAATTTCTATAAAGAGACGGGGAAATTTCATATAATGAGATAGGAAATATTAAGTTTAAATGCCTCAAAAGAATGTTGCATATTCCTATAGTACTTCTATAGTCTGCCTGAACTCATCATCAACTTTCTCCCTTCCAGATGATGCCACCAGTCCCCATTTCTCAACACGTCATGAAGGGTCCTTCCAAGTTCCTGTCCTGTGTGCTGTAATGAATGTGGTCTTCATCACCATTTTAATCATAGCTCTCATTGCCTTATCAGGTGGGTCTACACTTCATCAATTCTTTCAAAGCCTCCTAGCTGTAAGCATTCATGCCCAGCTGAAATCAATATTAGTTTAGTCTAGTTAATCAGAAACTAGCTAATTCAGAATCATCCCATGTACCATATATGGCCAATTTCCTAATCAATACTAAACATAATTCCACAATCCTTGAATAATTAATGTAATACTTTTATAAGTATTAAAAGTATCTATGATTTATATATTACTGTAGAATAAAATTGCATTTGAAAAGATGTTTACATCTAGAATGAAGGGAGCTGATTTGAATTCTGAATAAATACCTATTTAGCTAGAAAAAAATGTGAACTTCACATTCATTGATTATGGAAAAAAATCGTATCTAAAGCCATAGATTAATCAGGAAGTGGCCAGTCTTTTGTGTTTTATCTCAAAGGACACAGAATGGTAGTTCTGAATAATTAAGATTATATTTAAAAGTTCCCAGAGAGTCAGTAGTGATTTGGTATTCAATACCTCCAGCTGTACCAAGATATATTTGTATCTTTTACAAATGGGAATGTTTACCATTGTTTTGAGATATTCTGAGTCATATGTCTTTCTGTATTTTGAATTGGTTCCCTAAAAGTTAGTTACTCTCTCCATCTTTCCAGCCTAGTGCTATAAATACTGCATCTTCAAATTCTTCCGCCTCTGCATTCAGATTCAAAACCTTATTTGAAATGTATAATGCACTTTATCCTTTCTAGTCCAAAGAAATATCTAGTCCAAATTTTCAGAATTGTTCTATATTTCTGTCATTTTCTGACATTATGACCAAAAGTACATCCCCTCATCCTCATATCTCCATCCAATGATGATTAGGCACAATGGAAGATCAGATATGGTCCTGAGAACTTTCTTTCTTCATACCCTTTTCAGAATTCTACTTTTTAGCTTTTATCCTTTACTTTATCACCACCTAGCACAACATAGCATCCTAAGGCTAGTTTTGCATGCTGTGGGTATTTGGTTTCTTTTGTTACTAAAACAAAGCATTTTTCTGTTCACAGTGGGCCAATACAATTGTCCAGGCCAATACACATTCTCAATGCCATCAGACAGCCATGTTTCTTCATGCTCTGAGGACTGGGTTGGCTACCAGAGGAAATGCTACTTTATTTCTACTGTGAAGAGGAGCTGGACTTCAGCCCAAAATGCTTGTTCTGAACATGGTGCTACTCTTGCTGTCATTGATTCTGAAAAGGACATGGTAAGAATAAAAAAAAGATAAAATACTACTATTTTAATTCATATGGCTAATCAGTGCTTTCCTTCCGTTTCTAAGTGGAGAAAACAAACAAACAAACAAACATTGTACCTATTTCAGATGTAGGAAAATGTCATCCCAGAGAACCATATGATCAGCCTGAGGTCAAAATGAGATTTAATTTAATCTTTTAAATTTGATTTGATTGCTTAGCTTCAAAGACCAGAAATCCAAATATGCTGATCCTATATAGAATGAGTACATGGTCAGATAAGCTGTCATGCCTCAAGTTGCAGCTTTTGAGAAACAGGATTTACTATCTACTTCCCCAGAAGGGTGTTTAATGTAACAAACTCCTTTGTGCTTTCTTTAAGAACTTTCTAAAACGATACGCAGGTAGAGAGGAACACTGGGTTGGACTGAAAAAGGAACCTGGTCACCCATGGAAGTGGTCAAATGGCAAAGAATTTAACAACTGGTAAGTCTCCAGAAGTCTCTTTATATTCCCCAGGGTGGCATCTCAGGAAAATCACTTTCCTTTTCTCCTTTCAAAGCACTTTAAATATAAAGGCTGAGCTCTTCAAGAGCTCTAACAATCTCTTCTGAATGCGTATACTCTGGAATTCTTTAATAACAGGCTTTATTATTATTCTTTTTCTTTATCCACACTTATAATACATAAAATAAATGCTTATAGTAATTTTTCTCAGCAAACTCTAATGTGAGTAGTAGATCTGGTTAATTTGGAAATATTTCAATAATAATTATGATGATGCAACAAAAACCCATTTTCAATGTCACATTTAGTCTTTACTAATAAGACAGTTGCTGGAAAATAAATCCTTCTTACTATTTCTCAGTTTTCATCTCCACAGAATAAAGAATAGTTTCAATGCCTAATTATGAGTTTCTATACACCTGAAAGAAAATTTGCCCCAGAATTAGATACTCTATTTTCATTACCTTTAGTTAAAATACATTTAATGTTTGAAGATCATTTTATAAGTTTGCTGTTGATCATAATACTGATAAAGTATCGAGATTAAAATTCAGGTTTCTAGAAAAGGGATTCCTAATATTTGTCCTATGGCTCCATATCCACAGATGGGCTTCAGGAGCCATAAACCCCTTAAAGCTGTATGCACTAGTATGCATGGCTGTTGAATGCATACAATTTTGTGAAATTATTTATTGAAAAATCTATGAACTCAGAAATGACCAAGAATCACTTATCTGGTGCCATGCCAACCAAATGAATGGCGTGCTTTCCTCTTACTTCCATATTTTTTCTCCACATCCTATTTTTTTTTCAATTCTTGTCCATTGTCTCTACAGATTAGTCTATGATTATTTGACTTGTGTATCCCACTAAGAATTTAAAAGAAGCAGAGGTCACCATCTCCGAGTTCATTCTCATGTAACTGAATGAAAACAATGAGCTGAAAATAATTCTAAGTTTTTTTATTGTTTGACAGGTTCAACGTTACAGGGTCTGACAAGTGTGTTTTTCTGAAAAACACAGAGGTCAGCAGCATGGAATGTGAGAAGAATTTATACTGGATATGTAACAAACCTTACAAATAATAAGGAAACATGTTCACTTATTGACTATTATAGAATGGAACTCAAGGAAATCTGTGTCAGTGGATGCTGCTCTGTGGTCCGAAGTCTTCCATAGAGACTTTGTGAAAAAAAATTTTATAGTGTCTTGGGAATTTTCTTCCAAACAGAACTATGGAAAAAAAGGAAGAAATTCCAGGAAAATCTGCACTGTGGGCTTTTATTGCCATGAGCTAGAAGCATCACAGGTTGACCAATAACCATGCCCAAGAATGAGAAGAATGACTATGCAACCTTTGGATGCACTTTATATTATTTTGAATCCAGAAATAATGAAATAACTAGGCGTGGACTTACTATTTATTGCTGAATGACTACCAACAGTGAGAGCCCTTCATGCATTTGCACTATTGGAAGGAGTTAGATGTTGGTACTAGATACTGAATGTAAACAAAGGAATTATGGCTGGTAACATAGGTTTTTAGTCTAATTGAATCCCTTAAACTCAGGGAGCATTTATAAATGGACAAATGCTTATGAAACTAAGATTTGTAATATTTCTCTCTTTTTAGAGAAATTTGCCAATTTACTTTGTTATTTTTCCCCAAAAAGAATGGGATGATCATGTATTTATTTTTTTACTTCCTCAGCTGTAGACAGGTCCTTTTCGATGGTACATATTTCTTTGCCTTTATAATCTTTTATACAGTGTCTTACAGAGAAAAGACATAAGCAAAGACTATGAGGAATATTTGCAAGACATAGAATAGTGTTGGAAAATGTGCAATATGTGATGTGGCAAATCTCTATTAGGAAATATTCTGTAATCTTCAGACCTAGAATAATACTAGTCTTATAATAGGTTTGTGACTTTCCTAAATCAATTCTATTACGTGCAATACTTCAATACTTCATTTAAAATATTTTTATGTGCAATAAAATGTATTTGTTTGTATTTTGTGTTCAGTACAATTATAAGCTGTTTTTATATATGTGAAATAAAAGTAGAATAAACACAATGGTTTCCAAGAAAGTTCATTCCTTCAAAATACATTAAAAAGTATATACTATATGAGAAAGCAGAAAACAGTTACTATAACTTAGGAAAAAATCCCATGTAGAGTAAAACCCTTAGTTTTATAATAGCTTATACATATCAAATTGTTTTCATATGCTTATATGCTAAAGGGTGTATGTATCCATATCCATTTTTCTGTATATAGCAGATGCTCTGTAATAATTACTCCTCATAGTCAATGCTCTGAAAGTATCTTGTTCAATTCTGAGGTGCTACATACACTTTAGTTATTTATGTAAAATAATTCAATATATAGAAAAGAGGCATAATCTTCATGGGATATTTCAATCAGCAAAAAACTCAATGATGTAGTTTGGATGTGTGTCCCTGCCCAAATCTCATGTCGCATTGTAATCCCCTTTGTTGGAGGTGGGGCCTGGTGGGAGGTGATTACATCATGGGAGCGAATCTCTCATGAATGGTTTAGCATCATCCTCTTGATGGTCTCCTTGCACCTGAGTGAGTTCTCAGGAGATCTGGTCTTTTCAAAGTGTGCAGCACTTTCTCTCTCTCTCTCTCTCTTTCTCTCTCTCTTTCCTGCTTTCTCCATGTGACATGCCTGCTCCCACTCCACTTCACCTTCCAACATACATAAAAGCTCCCTAAGCTTCCGCGGAAGCTGAGCAGTGTCAGCATTATGCTTGTAAAAACTGCAGAACCGTAAGCCAATTAAGCCTTTTTTCTTTATAAATTACCCAGTCTCAGATATTTTTATAGCAATGCAAGAATAGCCTAATACATTTGATTACCTTCAAAATTGTTTTATAAATGTAATTTGCAATATTCTTCTCTGCTTGTTGGAAATGTATGATGTGTATGGTATCTCTAAACTATTGGCAAACGGCAAACAGAAATGTGGATTTCAGACACTGCTTAGTGAAAAATAATGACCTCTGTGCTCCTGAGTTCCCACAGCTGTGGGAAAAAAGAAACAAGCAGCCTCCTAGCGGTAATATTCTATCATTACCAACAATCTACTCCCGAGTCATCTTAGAAAACAATGTCTTGCGATTAATATTTTAGTTATAACATATTTTTATGTGCATAAATCTAATCAAATTATGAAAATTGAGAGCAAGCTTAAAAATATTTCTATATTAGTATGACACAATTTTTAAGTCATTGAATACTGACTGTATCACCTAACAATTCAATGAATTTTATCATTTTTACAAATAATTTTATTGAATCCCTATAATTATGTGAAATGAGCAGCTGATGTATTTCCCTTTCCAGAGGAAGAAGTTGAAATTATGTTGAAAAAGCGACGCAAAACACGGATAACAGAGTTATTTTTTACACATAATTTGAAGTCATTTTATTCATAAGGACAACTGTTTTCTTTAAATAGATAAAAAATATACAATTCTTAAAGGGAATAATGTTATTATTTAAAGTATGACTCTACTTGCAAGTGACCAATGACAAATATAAAAAATGGGTTTGTCTCAAGAACCCCTCCTGCCCCCGGCTAAGTCCCCTGTTACAAAAGTTGCAGTGCCATCTAGTGGTTATACGAGATTACTGCACTTCTGTTTTAAGGATCCTACAAAACATCTATGTGGAGCGTGGAGCTGCTGAGACCCAAAGCACGGGGGCCAGACCGCCCGAGTTTCATCTCTGCCACGCGCGGGCTGACTAGCTATTTTATCAGAACTCGTTCAAAATTCAGCTAAAATTAGTTAGATGTTAAATTAGTTAGTACATGAAAACAAACTTAAAACATTATCTGGCTCCCTAGTACACCATAGGCATGTATTAAATACTCATGATGATTATTAGAACTAGAAACACTATGTCTTCAAACTTCCAGTATTGGCATAAAGCCGCGTTTCTACACGACATGTCTATTTCTACGTAATATATCTTATTTGTATTTGTTTTTGGAAAGCCTTTTAAAAATTTCATTTCACAAGTTATAAGTAAGCACCTACTACTATGGTGGACACCAGAGTTAAAATACTCAGCAAATTCCGCATGGCAACTGGCCTTGTGGAATTCGTGGTCTATTTGTAAAACAAACAACAAGATGAATTGACATGGTGTGATGAATGTTATAATAGGAAAAACGTAGGGTGCTATGGAAGCATATTAAAGATATACTCCTGTATTCAAACCTTTAGCTAATTATCAAAATTTTAACTCTGTAGGCTACATTCATCTTGGATAGTTACATAAATATGTGTAAAATAAAACTATCAGTTATCCGTGTTTTGCGTTGCTTTTTCAACATAATTTCAATTTCTTCCTCTGGAAAGGGGAATACATCAGCTGCACATTTCACATAATTGTAGGGATTGGATAAAACTTTTTAAAAAGGCTAAAATGCCATTGAACTGTTAGGTGCTATAGTCAGTATTCAACTACTTAAAAATTGTATGATACTAATATAGAAATGATATTTTTAAGCTTGCTGTCAATTTTCATAATTTGATTAGATTTTGCACATGAAAATGTATTATAACTGAAATTAAAATGTAAATGATTTTTCAGGGAAAAATATTGGGAAATATATGACCAGAACGACTGCTGGTGATGGTGTAAACTGGTTTCCTTTACCCTTTGGAAAGCAGCTTGACAATACTTACTGGGGAGGGAGGGAGATTTTAAAGAAATAATCTTGGATGTGCAAGACATAACCACAAAAATGTTTATCAAAGGGATATTTCTAGTAGTGAAAAATCAGAAGCTACCTAATTGTCCAAAACCAAAGATTTAGTTAAATAAATATAATGCTCCTACATGATGAAATGCTATCCCAACATTAAAAAATAATGAAGAACATTTATGTATATGAAAGAATACTCAAACTATTATTGCTGCTAGTTTAAAATAATATATACAATAGGATTATTTCCTGTTCAATATTAAATATACAAAACATGTTTTATATTTCTATATGCTGACAGAAAGTAAAACTACTAAAGTAAACACAGTGGTTTTCCCTGAGGAGGAGGAATATAGGAAGTATTTATTTTCTTTATGTTTTTCTATAATTTTGGATCTCTTTCTTTCTTTCCTTTCTTTTTCTTTTCTCTTTTTTCTTTCTTTCTTTCTTCTTTTTTTCCTTTTTTTTTTTTTTCCGAGTCTCACTCTGTCGCCCAGGCTGGAATGCTGTGGCTCGATCTCCGCTCACTGCAGCTTCTGCCTCCCGGGTTCAAGCAATTCTCCTGCCTCAGCGTCCCGGGTAGCTGGGATTACAGGCGCGCACCACCACGCCCGGCTAATTTTTGTATTTTTAGTAGAGACGGGGTTTCACCATGTTGGCCAAGCTGGTCTCGAACGCCTGACGTCAAGTGATCCGCCGGCTTCAGACTCTCAAAGTGCCGGGATTACCCGCGTGAGCCACCGCGCCCGGCCAATTTTGAATTTTCCTATAATGAAATTATTTTATTCTTAAGAAAAAGTGTTTTCTTTAAATAGATACAAATATATAATTCTTAAAGGGAATAGTTTTATTATTTAAAGCATGACTCTACTGTCTGGTGACCAATTACAAATACGAAAAATGAGTTTATTTCAAGAACCCCTCCTGCCTGTCTTAAAGATCTCTGTTGCAAAAGCTGCAGTGCCATCTAGTGACTGTATGAGATTACTGCACTTCTGTGTTAAGTCATTGTCAAAGGACATTAAAAAATAATTTCTTGCTGGCTATAATTAACAATAATATATTGCACATTTCAAAATCGCGAAGCAAATAAATTTCAAATGTTCTCACAATGAAAAATTATAAGTATTTGATGGTGATTGATATGGTAATTAGCTTGACTGAATCATTCCACATTGTGTACAAATAACACTACATTATACCCCACAAATAGATACAATTATAATTTGTCAATTTACAATAAATTTTTAAAATATATCTTGGTTATTTTTTACACTCAAGTGGCTTGTGTGTGTGTGGATGATGATTCTTGGTTTCTTTTGTGGAAAGATGTGGCAGTCACCACTCTCTCAACACTACATTTTGTATTTTTTCTAGTTATAAAGGAAATGGCATAATCTAGAAAAGTAAAACTTAACCTTTGATAATGCTGCACCCCATTCATATTTCTCAATATTTGTAATGCCAAATTTAAAATGTAATTAAAATAATGCATGTAAAAGTGTTTCGTCTATGCTAAAGAACTACATTACCATAAGTTGACTTGCTTCCAAATTTCTAGGTTCTGAGACCTGAAGTTCACATTATTTTCTCCTTATTTTACATATACTTACCAATAACTTGAAACCAACAAACAAAAATCTGCACATTATAAACTTAAAATTACAGATTTCTAGTTTTCAAAAGACATCATGGACAGAATGACAAGTCGTCACAGAGTGGAAGACATTCTAACACGTATAATTGATAAAGGAATCTGTCTCTCCCCACCCCCATCATCTATCTATCTATCTATCTATCTATCTATCTATCTATCTATCTATCAATCATCTATCTATCTATCTATCATCTATCATGTACCTAGACAACAAATCAATAATACAATGACTGTTGATCTTAAGAAGCTAAGAGAGGCTCTCAGTCCTCAGCCAAGAAGAAAAGGAAACTTCAGCACTATAGTCGAATAAACTGGTTTTGCTAACAACCTGAAGAAGCTTTGTATTACACTTTTTTTGCATTGCTATAAAGAATTCCCTGTCCAGGTGCAGTGTATCATGCCTGTTATCCCAGGACTTTGGGAGGCCGAGGTGGGTGGATCCCTTGAGCTCAGGAGTTCGAGACCAGCCTGGACAACATGATGAAACCCAGTCTCTACTAAAAATACAAAAATTAGCCGGGCATGGTGGCATGTGCCTATCATCCCAGATACATAGGAGTTTGAGGTGGAAGGACCACCTGAGCCTGGGAGGTAGAGGTTGCAGTGGACTGGGATTGCCACTGCACTAGAGCCAGGGCAACAGAGTGAGGATGCTGTAAAAAAGAAGAAAGAAAGAAAAAGAAGGAAGAGAAGGAAGGAAGGAAGGAAGGAAGGAAGGAAGGAAGGAAGGAAGGAAGGAAGGAAAGGAGGGAGGCAGGGAAAAAAGGAGGAAGAAAGGGAGGGAAGGAAGGAAGACCTGAGGATGGGTAATTCATAAAGAAAAGAGGTTTAATTGGTTCATGGTTCTGCAGGCTGCACAGTCATGACTCTAGCACTTGCTCTTGGTGAGGCCTCAGGAACCTTACAATTATGGCAATGCGGAGCCACCATGTGAAGAGAGCCGGGGGGAAAGTGCCACATGCTCTCACCAGATCTTGCCTGAACTCACAGTGAGATCTCATTTATTACCAAGGGGATAGCACTAAGCCATCATGAGGGATCTTCCCCATGATCCAAAGACATCCCCCAAGGCTCCTCTCCAACACTGGGATTACATTTCAACATGAGATTTGGAGAGGACAAACATCCAAACTATTTCAAGCTTAAAAGCAGATTTTTCCCCAGAGCTTCCAGAAAACAACCAGGTCCTCGAATTTGGCCTTATAGGACCCTAAACAGAAAACCAACTGTGCCTGGACTTCTGAGCTATAGAAACCGCAAGATAATCATGTGCCGTTTTAAGCTGCTAAATTTGTGGTAATTTGTTACAGCAGCAATATAAAAAAATAGTATCTTTAAAAATTTTTATTTTCAGTTTGTTTCTGAGAAACAGAAATACAATTGATTCTTTTATATTGAATTTGTATCCAGCTGCCTTATAAACTCCTTTATTACTTCTAATAATTTATCGATAGATTTTCTTGGATTTTCTATAAACAGAATCATATCCATGGTAAATGTGTGCTGTATTTTTCTTTCCAAAGTTTTATAACCTAAAAATCATATTGTATCTGTTAACATCGTGAACAATGATGTTAAGTGGAAATGATAACAGTGAGTACCTTGTCTTGTTCCCAATGTCAAAGGCAAAGTTTTTAATATGCTACCATTAACTGTAATGTTTGTTCTAGCTTTGTTTACTTGTTAGGTTGACTGGTTGTTTTGGGGGGAGATGCTGAGAATAGATATTATTAGATTAAGAATTATTTCTTCTGTGAAATTAATTTTAGTTACTGTGGATTTTAGTTCTAGAGTTTCCATCTTCTCCTTTTTCAAACTTTCCAAGTTTCAGTCCAAATTCTAATATATTCATTTTATTTCCAGGAGTTCATTTTAAATATATTAGTATTTTAAAAATATTTTATGTTGTTACATTTTAAATACTATATAGGTATGTAAATTTAAGAAATGATTTATTTAAAATTTAAATATGTATTGACTTAAATCTGATTTTTTGAAATAATATTTGAACATGCTTACTTTAAAGTCTGTGTGTGATACTGCATTTTCTAGAGCCCTTGGAATTTCTTAACCACTGCCTGTTATTTCTATTTGTAACTTTTAATGTCATCTTTTCTATTTATGTACCCAGTTATTTATTTCGTGTTGTTGTTGAGTGCTGGACTTTTGTCTTAAAAAAAAGAAAAAAAGAAAAAAACTGAGGCTAGGCACAGTGGCTCACACCTGTAATCCCAGCACTTTGGGAGGCCGAGTCAGGCGGATCACCTGAGATCAGGAGTTCAAGACCAGCCTTGCCATAATGGTGAAACCCTGTCTCTACTAAAAAAACAAAACTTAGCCAGGCATGGTGGCATAAACCCGTAATCCCAGCTACTCAGGAGGCTGAGACACCGGAATCCCTTAAACCTGGGAGGTGGAGGTTGCAGTGAGCTGGGATCACGCCACTGCATTCCAGCCTGGGCAACAGAGCAAGACTCCATCTCAAAACAAAAGAAAAAAATATAGTAATTATTTGAAAACTAGAATCATGTTATATTCTTTGACCAAGATGGCCTTAATGTTTCCCTCAGACTTCTTTTTGTCTGTGAATCCATGATTTTTCTTTTCTTGGATCATTTAGGAAAGTAATTACAAATTCTTTCTCTGCTTCTTTGAAACATAAATCTTCTCCCAGCCTCTTTCCAGTTTTACAGCCCAGGAATGTCTTTCTCAAAGACCTGGGAGCCAGGCTTTTGGAATGTAACCATCAAGCGAGACAGTGCCCCTACTTCCGGCTTCTGTGGAAGCACAGGAACCTCACTTCAATGAGCTTCAATTAACAACTACCGATGACCTAATCACATTGACCAGAGTCCCCTCAACATGCTCTGGTCCTTTTCCACCAGCTCACTCCAGTATTTAAACATCTTCCCACTTCAGCATAATTGGATTCAATTACTCTCTTCTATTACAATGGTCTTGAATAAAATCTTTCTTCCCTGTTTAGTTTGTATGATGCAATTTTTCTTTGACAAAAAAAGTACCTGCAGGAAGAACGTAAATGTGCTTCTAGAAAATCATCACAGCCATTAGCAATCTACGATCAACTTTCCTTCAGTTTTAGTAATGGAAAGGATTTGAAGGTGAGTTTCACCTCCTTCAAGAGCCAATCTACTCTTAGATTAGTCTTATTCCTAGGGCAGTGTTTTTCTACCTGGGATGGGGTAATTTTATCCCTCAAAGGGTATTTAGCAATGTCTAGACATATTTGTGATTGTTCGACTTGGTGAAGGGTCAGTGTCAGGGTAGGTGAGATGGGGGAAGAGGCTGGCTACTGGCATCTACGGGATGAAAGTAAAGGATGCTGCCAAACATCTTACGATGCGCTGCACAGCCCCTGCAAGAAAGAATAATATGACTCAAAGTGCCAATGATGTCAAGATCGGAAGATTTTGTCTGGGGTGCAGCTTTTGGTGAACTAACTAGAACTATTAATTTTTTCATCCCACCCCTACTTGGAGACTGGAGTTACTCTAGCACCGAAGACTGCCAAGAGCCCTGCTTGACTCCTTAGCTTTTTCATCTGTAAGATTTTCTGTTGGAAAAGCAGCTCTTATTTCTGGGTTTCAGTTATCTCTTGGATTAGTATTGTTTTATTTTTCAATAGCATGTAATTTCATTGATGCCTTTATGATGGTTTGAGGCTGAGTGCAGTGGCTCGTGCCTGTAATCCCAGCACTTTGGGAGGCCAAGGTGGGAGGATTGCTTGAGCCCAGGAGTTTGAGGCTGCAGTGAGCTGTGATTGCACCACTGTACTTGAGCCTGCGTGACAGAGTGGGACCCAGTCTAAAAAATTAAATTAAATTAAATTAACGATTTGAAACATTTTGTCTAGACTCTCCAATTGTCCTCAGTGGAAAGAGGGTTGGTAATACCCTTTTTGTAATAAAAAAGCTATCCACACTTTTTGTAATAGCCAAATAAAATAACTTGAAGTCTCATTCTGCCTTTAAAAATATATTTTTCTGAGTAATCCTGAGAATTCTCAGAGGGTACTTAAAAACTTGTTTGTTGCTTATTAATTCTCTCTCTTAACTGTTGCTCCAGTCTGCTCCACTGGTCATATCTTGTTGATTTATCGCTGGTTCTGTATGATGTGGTCTTCAACCCACACTACTTTGCTAAGTTTTAGCACTCTTGCTCCCTGTATTATCCAAAGCACCAAAATAATAAAAGTAACAAAGTGTGTACCAGATGGCGGTAATTACAATAAGGATGATTAAAATACGACAATAATTATAACATCTCTATAGTGTTTCTATATGCCAGACACTAAATGTTTTACATATAATTCATGTAATCTCCAAAACGGCCCTGTGACTTAGATCTAATATCTCATTTAATATGTAACAAAACCAAGTCACAAATAATTGCTTTACCGGAAGTCTTTAAATTTCAGATCTACGCTTCACAGCCAGGCAATCTGACACTTTGGAAAAACATGACGTATTTTGACACTCAAAAATATAGGACGTTGGATGGGAATGGTGGCTCATGCCTGTAATCCCAGCACTTTGGGAGGCCAAGGCGAGTGGATCACCTGAAGTCAGGAGTTTGAGACCAACCTGGCCAACATGGTGAAAACCCACCTCTACTAAAAATACAAAAATTAGCCAGGCGTGGTGGCAGGTGCTTATAATCCCAGCTACTCGGGAGGCTGAGGCAAGAGAATCACTTCAACCTGGCAGGGGGAGGTTGCAGCGAGCTGAGATCCTGCCACTGCACTCCAGCCTGGGTGACAGAGAGAGACTCTGTCTCAAATTATATATATATTTAAAGCTGAATGCCTGGTTTCATTTTTGTCAAAGTTTATGGCAACTTCAATCACACAGGGCCCCCTACTGGCAGAACACCTCCTTTTCTTCCAGCTTGCACTGTTGCTGAAGCTTGCCTACTCACTTCCAGACTATTTAAATTCGTCTACTCTTTCCATAATTTCTGAGGGTGTTTGTCAAAAACACCAGGGATAATTGTTTAACTTCCGGAGGCAGCAATATAATAAAAACTGAGACAAAGAGCTGATGAAAACTTAAAAAAAAAAAAACTGGAAATGAGATGTCTATAGTAGGCTTCAAAATCTCCAACATATTTCTTGGAATCTTGAAGGTTGTGCAAAAGCACAGGGCAGTGTGAATGTCCAGGGCTGTATACAGGTTCAGGAGTTACCTGACAAGAACCTAAGCTCTCACCTCTGGCTGACCTCGAAGCTCAGCCTGTGCAGTGTGAATGTACAGGGCTGTAAACAGGTTCAGGAGTTACCTGAGAAGAACCTAAGCTCTCACCTCTGGCTGACCTCGAAGCTCAGCCTGTGCAGGAAGTGAAGGAACAGCACAGCGAACTGCTTGCTGAGGGTCCAGGGTGTGCCCCCAAGTGCACGCAAAGTCTCTCAGCAAAGAATGGGAGAGTGAGAGTTTTCAAACTCATGAATCGGTTTAAAAAGACAGGCAACAACAAATGTTTAAGTGAGAAAAAGACTACAGAAGTGATTTCCCAGAAAAAGGACACCAAAATGGCAAAAAAGCTTATCAAAACACTCAAATTCGTCATCAGAGAAATGAAAAAACTTAAAGGAGTCACTACACACCAACTAGAATATCTAAAATTTTTAAAGAAATAAACAGAAATAAAATCTGAGAATACCAAAGGTTGGTGAGAATTTAGATCAACTGAAATGTTCATAAACCTGAAGGAAGTTCAAATTAATAACCATCTTAATTTGGTCATCTCTACTAAAGCTGCACATCAGCATACTCTGTGAACCAGGAATTCCACTCACTCGTTAATAGAAACAAACATGTATGTGCACCCAAAGACAGGAATCAATATTCATAGCAGTTTTATTCATAATAGCCCTGAATTGGAATCAGATGTCCATCAACTATAAAATAGATAAATGTTGCAGCATCCATACAAGAAGCACTATACCCGTTACACATGCAAAAACACAAACAAATATCAGAAACCTACTGATAAGCAAAGAAGCCAAACATAAATGATCACGAGATTGTGTGATTCCATTTGTATGAAGTTTTTTAAAACCCTAGAATGACAAAGACAAACCAGCCTAACACAAATTGCTGCAAAACCTGAAAATGCTTCTTCACCGCCCATTTCAGTGTGGTTAGACCACTGATTCATCATCTCTGTTTCTTAGTAAAACTAAATGCTTATTTATGTCAATGTAACATCTTATTTCAAGTGGCACTTCCTCTCTGATGCACCTGTGGGCTGCGGTAAAATCTCATGCGTGCTCTGTTGGGGCATTTTTGTTTTGTATATCAATTGTCAGTAAATTACTTACTTATTGACATACTAGAAAATCAGCTCCCTGAAGGGAGGACATCATTTTTAATCTCAACTTCCAGTTTCAGGGAAAGCAATATAGTTTAACCATTGTATTTATAGGCTTTGGTGTCAAGTAATCTGGTTTCAAATTTCTGCTCAACTCCTATCCTTCTGTGTGACTTTGAGTGAAGTACCTTGTTTTCCTCATCAGCACTTAAATGGGATAATAAAGGTGCCTAGCTCCTACAGTTGTGATACCAGAAGACTTAAATGAGCCAATACCTGACACACACAATGTTCTTAGTAAATGTTAGCTTTTAGCTAATCAAATCATCAAACTGTATTTATAAGTTTAGTGTAAATTAAGATTGCTACTTTCATATGAATATTTCCACATAAATTAACACATTCAATATAAATCTTATAAATTTTGTATGAAATTTCATAAAAATTAATCTATTAATACAAATCTAACCCGATGTTTCTCTGAATGGAAACTTTTTGGCATGTATATATCAAGTGGCCTTGAAAACTCATTGATTAATATTCTAAATTAGGTTGCTCTTTAAGAAAACTCAATAAAACATTAAAAGTAATATATCTGATTTTTTTTCTCATAGATGTGAAGTTTTTTTGTTTTAATTCTCAAACTAACAAAGGCTACCTAAAAATTCAATAGGGTACTTTCAGGTACATTTGTAATATTCAACAGATGTATTTGTTTCTGCTTTCTCTAAAGTCTCAGTAAAAATTATATTAATAAAAACATTTAATAGAATAAAAAATGATTGGGAGCAACTAGGCATAGATGAGAAATGTCTACAAAGTTTGGACTATGTTCAGTAACTTAGGCCATAGTTCCCTGGACGCTAAAGCATCAGAGACCCTATGCACCACAGACTCTATGGTGGCTCCCATCATCCCCGTGTTCTGGTCTTCAAGCTCTTGTGTGATCTCCTCTCTTTGAATGTGGATAGGACTTGTGATTTGCCTCTAATCAATACAATACAGCAAAGGTAATGGTATATGCATGATTACATGAATGGAATGGAATGTGCCTAAGATTATAATAACTGTCTGCCAGAGGGGACTCTTTTCATGGCTGGCTTTGAGAAAGCAAGGTGCCATGTCGGGAAAGTCCTTACAGCAAGAAACTGAGGGCTACCTCTGGCTAGTAGCCATCAAGAAACTCAGGCCCTCAGTTGATGGCCCACAAGGAAGTGAATGCTGCCAGCAACCATGTGAGCCTAGAAGCAGATCCTTCCCCAGATGAGCCTCAGAGGAGATGAGAGCCACAGCCAACACCTTCACTGCAGCCTTGTGAGTCTCTGAAGCGTAGCACCTACCCAAGCCATGCCTACACTCCTGGCATACAGAAATTATGAGATAACAAATGTGCATTGTTTTAAACCACAAAGCTTAAGGTAATTTGTTATTTAGCAATAAAAAACTAATACCGTATGGGTTCAATATGGGGGAAAACTGGGGAATTAGTAGAAAATATATACAAGGAGCCCCTTGAACAACCAAACGGCAACCCTGTATGTCTACTGAAGATTGGAAGTTTATTGCCTGGCATTACTGAACCAAAAGGAGCCTGAATTCAGAGTAAGAGTCTCTAGGCAAGGCTAAGGGAGGACGTGCTTTACTAAAGACAGAGGAATTAATTGAAATTCTGAATAACAGACTTGCTTTTGAGAGGTGACAGCGTGCTGGCAGTCGTCACAGCCCTCGCTCGCTCTCGGCGCCTCCTCTGCCGGGGCTCCCACTTTGGTGGCACTTGAGGAGCACTTCAGCCCACCGCTGCACTGTGGGAGCCCCTTGCTGGGCTGGCCAAGGCCGGAGCCGGCTCCCTCAGCTTGCAGGGAGGTGTGGGAGGGAGGGGCGCGGGCGGGAACCGGGGCTGCGCGCGGCGCTTGCGGGCCAGCTGGAGTTCCGGGTAGGCGTGGGCTTGGCGGGCTCCGCACTCGGAGCAGCCGGCAGGCCCTGCCGGCCCGGGGCAATGAGGGGCTTAGCACCCGGGCCAGCGGCTGCGGAGGGTGTACTGGGCCCCCCAGCAGTGCCAGCCCACCGGCGCTGCGCTCGATTTCTCGCCGGGCCTTAGCTGCCTTCCCGCGGGGCAGGGCTCGGGACCTGCAGCCCGCCATGCCTGAGCCTCCCACCCTCTCCGTGGGCTCCTGTGCGGCCGGAGCCTCCCCGATGAGCGCCGCCCCCTGCTTCACGGCGCCCAGTCCCATCGACCACTGAGGACGACTCGCTGAGGAGTGCGGGCGCAGAGCATGGGACTGGCAGGCAGCTCTACCTGCAGCCCCGGTGTGGGATCCACCGGGTGAAGCCAGCTGGGCTCCTGAGTCTGGTGGGGACGTGGAGAACCTTTATGTCTAGCTCAGGGATTGTAAATACACCAATAGGCACTCTGTATCTAGCTCAGGGTTTGTGAATGCACCAATCGACACTCTGTATCTAGCTACTCTGGTGGGGCCTTGGAGAACGTTTGTGTGGACACTCCGTATCTAGCTAATCTGGTGGGGATGTGGAGAACCTTTGTGTCTAGCTCAGGGATTGTAAACGCACCAATCAGCACCCTGTCAAAACAGACCACTGGGCTCTACCAATCAGCAGGATGTGGGTGGGGGCCAGATAAGAGAATAAAAGCAGGCTGCCCAAGCCAGCAGTGGCAGCCCGCTCGGTCACGCTGTGGAAGCTTTGTTCTTCTGTTCTGTGCAATAAATCTTGCTACCGCTCACTCTTTGGGTCCGCACTGCTTATGTGAGCTGTAACACTCACCGCGAACATCTGCAGCTTCACTCCTGAAGCCAGCGAGACCAGGAGCCCACCGGGAGGAACTAACAACTCCAGACGCGCTGCCTTAGGAGCTGTAACACTCACCTTGAGGTTCTGCAGCTTCACTCCTGAGCCAGCGAGACCCCGAACCCACCAGAAGAAAGAAACTCCGAACACATCCGAACGCCAGAAGGAACAAACTCCAGAGGCGCCACCTTAACAGCTGTAACACTCACTGCGAGGGTCCACGGCTTCGTTCTTGAAGTCAGTGAGACCAAGAACCCACCAAGTCCGGACACAGTTTGACATCTCCTAATTGACTTCAATATCCTCGACAATCAGGCTTAAGGCACCCAAGAAGAAAATTGGAGAATTTCTCTTTGAAAAAACTGACCTGCTTCATAATAAAGACCTACAAATATTGAGATTAAGAAGAAATAAATAACTTCTGCCTGAACATCCAGTGATGTCCACTGATCCCAGACACAGAAATTCCCTTCGCTTATTTAGTAC
Source organism: Homo sapiens (assembly GCF_000001405.40). Lineage (NCBI taxonomy): Eukaryota > Metazoa > Chordata > Mammalia > Primates > Hominidae > Homo > Homo sapiens. Next base: position 9,738,540 of record NC_000012.12, on the reverse strand, counting down.
CTCAGTCTTGCATGCTGTTAGACACTTAAGGACTACTAGATATTTAGAAAAGTCTCCAATAAAAGTAAGAGATCAGGCCGGGCCCGATGGCTCACACCTGAATCCCAGCACTTTGGGGGGCTGAGGCAGGCGGATCACCTGAGGCCAGGAGTTCGAGACCAGCCTGGCCAAGATGGTGAAACCCCATCTCCACTAAACATACAAAGAAATTAGCTGGGTGTGGTGGCACGTGCTTGTAATCCCAGCTACTTGGGAGGCTGAGGCAGGAGAATCGCTTGACTTGAACCTGGGAGGTGGAGGTTGCAGTGAGCCGAGATTTTGTCACTGCACTTCACCCTGGGCAACACAGCAGAACTCCGTCTCAAAAAAAAAAAAAAAAAGATCAAAACAAGTACACATAAGATGAAGTTCAAATTAGAATTGATCGTAAAAATGAAAGAAAGACTTAAAATATTCTTATAATTCATAATCTCAGGTGTGGGGAAAGAAAATAGTATATCACTTAAACAAAAAGAGTAAACTATAAAAAAGATCACAACAAGAAATAATCCTTGAAAATTAAAATTATAAGAAAATAAAAAAACAAATTCTATAAAATGGGTGGAGGAAAAACTTGAGAAATTTCCTAGGTAATAAAATCTAAAGAGGAAGAGATAAAAGAAAAAGTATAATAATAGTAGAATATCAACCCAAGAGCACTAATATTTCACTAAAAGGAATGCTAGAAAAAAGACATTAGAATAAAGATACGAGGAAAATTAGGAAATAAGTATAAAAAAATTTCTCAGAAGCTAAGGGTGTGAGTTTCCTGTTTAAAGCTTCACATTGAATGCCCCATGGAAAGGACAAAAATAGACTTAAAAGACACCTCACTGCAGAATTTCAGAATTGTAGGAATAAATACAAGATTCTGAAAGTCTCCAGATAGAAAAGTTAGGCCTCAGACACAGGATCAGAAATCAAAATCATATTGTGTTTTTTAACAATTATGTCATCTGGCAGAAAGTGCAACTAAAATTCAGAGGAAATCTGATAACAGATCTCAACTTTTGTATTCAGTCCAACTATACTTCAGGTACATAAGAACAATAAAACTCTTTCCAGCCAAATTACTGAAAACTGTTCTCTCTCTTTTGCTCTCTCCCATGTAACTTGTCTTTGTTAACAAAACTCTCTTAAGCAAATTTATGTGCTTACAACTAAATGTCTCTGAGTTACCTTTGATATCATTTACTAGCTAGAGAATACTGGTACCTCCACTTTTGTGTAAACCTCAATGTTTTAAATCTACATTTGAAGTTACTGATTTCTTTTAAGTTAATATTTTACTCTTTATTTTAGAACATATTTCCTCTTTTTGGAACTGCACAACTTCCTTTTTCTTAGCCTCCCCCAAAATGTCGTTAATTTTTTAGTACACTGTACTGTCTGTTCCGCATCTTTGACATTTTAATGCTGTTAACACTTAATCTCTTATTGTGCTGTCATCAGTAATCACCAGGGCCATTCAGAAAGATCAGACCTTGGTAGCAGGAATAAACTATCCCTGAAGAGGAGGTGAGATGAGTTCATACGTAGCAAAAATTAAAAACAGGTTTCAAAATTATGAAACTTATCTCCATGTAAGGTAAATTAACTGCCTGATAGTCTTTAAATGAAGACAACCAACATAACATGCTTTAAGCGAAGACCACAACATCAAGGCATCTGTAAACATAAATCATAATATCCAGCATCTAATCAGGAATTATTCAACATGCCAAGAAACAGAAGATATGAACAATAACAAGTAACTGTGTAAATTTTTAAAAAGTACCATGAAGTGACAGAAATGAAGAAACAAACATACAAAGATGTTAAAACACTTTTATGACTGCATTTAGTATTGGCTATGTAAGCACATTCTTCTTTTCAAACTAAATATAAAAAAAACCTTCCTTTTCAAAAACTTAATGACACAAACCACTACTGAAAACATATACATAAATAAACATGAAGCCCCTCCATTAAGAGAAATATACTTCTGTGCAATTATTGTCTTTATCTTCACCTCCAGGATCTCACAATTATGTGTCTGTGTCTAAGTCAGATTTGGATATGACCTGTGGTCCATCAATACACATGTAAATTTTAATTTAAGCACGTCTAACACAGAGAGAAAATATAATAGGATAACCTTTGTTAAAAAAAAATATAACATATAGGCCAGGCACGGTGGCTCAACGCCTGTAATCCCAGCACTTTGGGAGTCCGAGGCGGGTGGATCACGATGTCAGGAGATCGAGACCATCCTGGCTGACATGGTGAAAACCTGTCTCTATTAAAAATACAAAAAATTAGCCAGGCGTGGTGGCGGGCACCTGTAATCCCAGCTGCTCGGGAGGCTGAGGCAGGAGAATGGCGTGAACCTGGGAGGCGGAGCTTGCAGTGAGCTGAGATCGCGCCACTGCACTCCAGGCTGGGCGACAGAGGGAGACTCCGTCTAAACTATTAAAATATATATATATATATATATATATATCGCATATGAAAGAACTGTGTAAAAATAAACATTAGTGATTTTGAATTCATTAACTAAGTCTTTGCGCTGTACATAACAAGGACTCGTTGCCCTGATGCTGCAAAGCCAGTCCTTGATAACCCAACCTGGGGATGATATTGGTGAAAATGATGGAGTAGATCTGCTTTCACCTCTTCTATTCAGCATCATGCTGGAGTTTCTTGCCAAGGGAATAAAACAAGAATACGAAAGGAAGAAGTGAAACTGTCTTTATTTGCAGATAACATGATCTTGCATATCATGTCATCCTAAAACATTCACAACAGCAATAAAAATTAGAGGTAATAAACAAGTTCAGCAAGATTACAGGATAAAAATCAATATAAAATAGTAATAGTGCTTTTACAGACTAGCAATGAACAATCCAAAAATGAAATTTAGAAAAATCTTTGTTTACAATAACATCAAAAATAATAAAATAAAGAATAAGTTTAATAACAGAAGTGTAAGAGTTATTCTGTGAACAATGCAAACCATTTCTGAAATAGATTAAGGAATATCTAAATAAAGGAGAGATTCTGTATTTATGGATTGAAAAAATGAATATTACTCAGTTTGCACTATTCCCAAAATTGATCTGCTGAATCCCAGCTGCCTTTTTCATGGCAGAAATTGACATACTTACCCTAATTTTTTAACACTCTTTTAATACTCTACATGCTAGTAATTTTTTTACTTTTATATGACTAGATCATCAGTCATATTTTTCTTTTTTGAGACGGAGTCTTGCACTGTCTCCAGGGCTGGAGTGCAATGGCGCGACCTCAGCTCACTGCAACCTCTGCCTCCTAAGTTCAACCCATTCTTCTGCCTCAGCCTCCCAGGTAGCTGGGATTACAGGCGTACGCCACCACGCCCGACTAATTTTTTATATTTTTAGCAGATATGGGATTTCACTATGTTGGCCAGGCTGGTCTCGAGCTCCTGACTTCATGATCCGCCCGTCTCGGCCTCCCAAAGTGCTGGGATTACAGGCATGAGCCAGGGCACCCGGCCCATCAGTCATATTTTTCATATGAATAAAAGTCTACTTTTTAGTGAAAAATGATTATTCTCATTCTGGAAAACTGTTATAGCCTAATTATAACATTCAGCATAGCATAACTGATTTGGTAATTCAACACATAATTACTGAGCGGCTGTTATGTTTCACACAAAACTAAGTGATGAAAATAAAAATAATAAAATGTGAGTCTTACCCTCAAAATCTAGACAGCATAGTTGAATTATGGCATGGACTTAGAACTCAGTTATCACTCTTAAAATGTACTGGTTATGCCTTTGGGAGGCTGAGGCGGGCAGATCACGAGGTCAGGAGATCGAGACCACCGTGAAACTCGTCTCTACTAAAAATACAAAATATTAGCCGGGCGTGGTGGCGGGCGCCTGTAGTCCCAGCTACTCGGGAGGCTGAGGCAGGAGAATGGCATGAACCCGGGAGGCAGAGCTTGCAGTGAGCCGAGATCGCGCCACTGCACTCCAGCCTGGGTGACAGAGTGAGACTCCGTCTCAAAAAAAAAAAAATTATTGGTTATGCAACCACCTGCAGATAATAAAACCTCTAAAAGTCAGTTTTTCATGTATGTAGTAGGTATTGTCTAGTCACATACAAACAGTTGGAACAGCCCAGAAAAGGGAGAGAGTGTCATGCAGTCTTAAGAGACAGAGGTCGGTGCTCAAGCCTCATCCAGGGTCAGAAGTTGGTCTTTATAGGAGGGATCCCTAAATGCCACAAAGCCAGGATCTGTTCTCTAGTTATTTAATTAACCTAAGTTAAATTTCTTGGATGAGGGGTAGGGATGGGGTGACTGCAGTTTAGATTAATTCTGCAGAATGCACTTGAGTGGGTATTGAAAAAACCAGTTTTTCCATATGCAGATTTCCAGTTAATCTACTAGTCATAAGCTAATGGATCCTGCCATTTTTCATATCTGACATTTCTATGTCCTATGACGGTTTCACAGGTAGCTAGGCTCTCCTCCATTATTTCCCTCTGTATGGTGTTGGCTGCATTTTTCTCTGATTTTACTTCTTCATCAATGATCACATCTCCATCTACTCTCCATTTTCCAGGAATTAGTTGAAATTTTTCATCAACTAATAGGACCCTGAGCCTTTGTGTTATTGTTTTAGACTAACAAATTTTTATTCACTTAATTCAATTTTAGTGGAATTTTAGAAGAAATAGGAGATAAAATCTATGTTTGCTATGTTGTATTCGATAGTAAATTTCTGAACACCTCATTTTAAAATTAGATTTTTTTCTTTTATGTCATTACCTTGAATTATTTTAACAGAGTTATTTCTGTTTCTTAAATATATATTTTTTAGTTCAGAAGTCCTCTGCATAATTCATGTTTTACCTCAGTTTAATGTTAATATTATAAAGCATACAGGAAAGCAAATAGCTTTCAGAATTTTTAAGGTATTATCTAGACAATACAATGCATTTAGAGAGGAGGATAAAAGACATAGGGCCCCTTTCTGTAACTTTCGTAATAAAATCCCTTCTTTTTCTTGTTCTGTTTCCCAAATAGCTATCCTACTTTGGAGAAGATGCTGGAAATTCAGAGTTTCCGCCAGAGAATATATGCCTGAACTAAAAGAGGAAGTGGTCTATAGGAGAAAATGGTGAGATATCTTCTGTGGTATTAATAAAAGTTAAAAGCATTTCAAGTTTAGGCAGAAAACTAACTGAAAAACGAGAACCTACTGTATGGTTAGTAATTTCTTCCATGTCATACAAGTATTCGAGAAATCTGCTACCTTGATTAGTAAGACTGAACACATTGGTTTTGTCATTTATTCATGGAGGAAGTCCACCACCCACTTGGGGAGCAGAAGGAAATTTGCCATCTCAATTTACTTATCAGAAGTTTCTTTGCAGAAATATGATTGTCCCTTCAGTGGGACATCATTTGTGGTCTTCTCTCTCTTTTTGATCTGTGCAATGGCTGGAGATGTAGTCTACGCTGACATCAAAACTGTTCGGACTTCCCCGTTAGAACTCGCGTTTCCACTTCAGAGATCTGGTAAGCTGGATTTAGGGTGCCTTTGAGAATTAAGATTTTACTAGTTATCTCCTTTATTTCTTTCTTATGTATCTAATTGCCAAACTGAAAAGAGGAGATTGGATTCAAAGCAAAATTCATTGAATGCTAAGAATAAGAGCGAATGTTTTTAATGAAGCAAAATGTCTGTTCATAAAATAAATTGCCACTTTGGTTTTAATATGTAGAACTTTGCTTCTGTTTTCATAGCCTTTCTATTTCTTGATTTCTCGTGATGAATGTTTATATTCACACAGCAACTTCTAGCGGGATCACGCCTTTCTGCTCCACAGCTTTGCTCACTCTCAATCAAATCTGACCTTTTAACATAATGTGATAAATTCATCTCCACTGGGAAAAATACCTGTGGCAATTTACTCATATTGTTATTTATTCTTTTACAATATCAATAGGATAAAAATGTAAACTTAAGAAAACATGAAACGTTAGATTTAATTTTATAAAGTCTAGAATTAATGACTAGGTAATTGAATATTTCTGGAATCAGAGGCGATAAGCATATGCCTAAACTTAACATGGTGCCTTCATCACCAAACCCCCTCAAAAATTATAGATTTTCATAGCCAGTGTCTTTTCTATTCTTTGAAGTATTAAGGAAATTTCTCTGTCTTGTTACATTTCCATTCTCTGCTCTAGGGTAAGAATTTTTGTAGCATAGAGTTTATGTAGGTGTTTTAAATAATTTAAAGTTCCTCCTTTGTATTTGCCCTTGTGGAATGAATCTGCTACTTTGTTCGTATTTCCAAGGAATGTATTTCTTCTTTATATTTTCAAAAGTTTATAGTTATCAAAGGAATCTAGTGTGTGTCCTTTTCTGGTTGTAAAAGCATCTTGTTTCTTATTTTAAACCTTACCTCTCTATTTTACCCAGCAGAGGCTAACTTGCTTTCTTTTCTTCCAGCTTAGGCACTTTCACTTCCTATGAAATAGTGAAACATAATTTGAAAAATAACATGGACTAGAACTGCACTGTCATTCCCCTATGCTTCAAAAATGTCCTGTAGTTAGTTTCTTTTTCTAGAGGTTATTTTACTCAGTTTAAGCAACAAAACCAATATTTTTGATTCCGCATTCCAGGGTTTAATTGCCTTTCTGTCTATGGTTTGAACTTTTATAAATAAAACCTTATTCTTTTCCCAGTTTAGGGATGTGGGGCAACATCTTTTAATGTGATCTAGTTCAATCTTAGAATGCTAAAAATGAGAAAACGAACTATATGAAGATTAAATTACCTACCTATAGTCATGCTTATGACCAGAAGTCAAATATCATATTGTTCTTGTGCTGTATACGTGTGGTGTTAGATAAACGCAACTTTTGTTCTCATGCGTCACTTCGCCATCAAGCGAAAGAGCTGTTGGATAGATTAGATTTTTGTTGTCTTACATACAGAGTCCTACACAATTGTTCCTGATCTCTTCTAACCTCATACCTTTCACTGATTTTGCTCTGGCTATTGGCCTTTTCTTTTCTCCTAAAGGTTGTCATATTCCTTACCATTTCAGAGCCTCATAAAATGCTGAATCTTTCTACATAATCTATTAATCTTTGTGTTTCTAGCACCTCACACCGTACTAAATATAGAGCAGGAAATTAATAGATGCTTGATAAGTAAAATAATTTATAAATGGCTGAATAAATAAATGAATCGCATTAGACGATGAATGTATATATGTATGCTCATTGGTTCTCCAAGATGTAAAGCATAAAGGAATGTCATCAGGAAGCTTAGCAGGACATCAGTGAGAGTGTGTGTTTGAACTGAGAATATCCCAGAAATTTATGCTTTGCTTAAATCTTACTTAGGAGGCCTAAAAGAATGATCAATATCTTTTATGTTAGTCTTTTTATGAAATCTGAAATTTTATTCTACTAAACTTAGGGATCCATAATTTCAGTTCGTCATATTAGTAACATGTGTAGTGGCCAGGCACAATGGCTGACGCCTGTAATCCCAACACTTTGGGATGCCGAGGAAGGAGGATCGCTTGAGCCCATGAGATTGGTACCAGCCTGGACAACACAGAGAGACCTCATGCCTACCAAAAATTTTAAAAACGAGCATGGTGACACGTGCCTGTATTCACAGCTACTCAGGAGGCTGAGGCAGTAAGATTGCTTGAACCTGGGAGGTGGAGGTTGCAGTGAGCAGTGATCATGCCACTGCACTCTAGCCTGGGCAACAGAACAAAAGCCTATCCAAAAAAAAAAGAAAAGAAAAAAAGAAAGAAAAAGAAACGTGTAGTGACATCACCACATTCTTTCTGTGACTGACTTGACTCCCACAATTTTGACTGTTTTGTCTGATGAGTGAAAATATGTGGACTTCTTTTAATGTTTTGAAAATTAACAAATTCCTATTAAAGATGTTTTAATTAATAGCAATAATAATCAGCACATAAAACAATGCACTCAATAATAATCTACCAAATAAACATTCCATTTAGTCTTGATATGATTATATTTCAATATCAGCTATTTTCAGTACTTTCTCAGTGTATTGTGTGTTTAGGTCACATATCTAGTGGAAACAATGTACTGTAACTTTTATGTACCAGAGACTGTTGTTTTAAACTTTCAGCCTAAAGCTAAAAGTACAACTTCTTTTATTTGGTTTATTTATTATCTTTTGAGTACTTCAAATGCAATGAGAAGTGTGGATACCGAAGGCAGCACTAGTCTGGTAGTCAAGAGACCTGAGGTTAGATATCAGCTCTGCTCTCAAGTAACTGTGTGACTGTGAACTTGAATATCCCCATTTTAACACGTGGGTATTGCGTTAAAATAATCTCTAACATTTCTTTTATGTTTAAATGTATGGTTTTATGGAATTACAATGCTATATCACAGGAAATGGATACATTATATAAGAGGAGAAACAGAAAAGATCAGCTCAAATAAATGGGTGTTGTCAATAAGCTTATTAGAGAATCTTGAGGGTTTCACAGTCTTATATAAAAACCCAGAGACACAGACAGTGATCATAAGTAAGATCAATACTGGGGAATATAAACAGTGAAACCAAAAGGAAAAATTCATATTTATTCAAACCAGAGAATACTCGCATATGTGTGTTTTGTGTGGAAAAAAAAAAAGAAGCTGGGTCTACATATTTCGAAGGAAAGTAACTCAGGAACATGATAGGTGAGAAAGTTTATTTGGCCCTCTCCTACCTCTCACCATCTAAGGAGCTACCTGCTGGGTTTACTAGTGAAATCTATTCAATTTTGTAGATTCTCACCACCATGGAATTGTTCTTAACGTTGGATGTGCAATAATATTATCCTTCTGGTAATAGTAATTGTACTGAATATTTTGGGTAAGTAATTAGTAATATTATTTATTCATCTCAGGGTATTATTTTTCTCCTAACTTGTTGTAACTGTGTTTGCTATTTAAATGGTTCCTAAACAATATGGTACAACTTCACAAAAAGTGTAAAATTTGATACACAACTAAAATTAGAGATTTTCTATAGAATTTCACCATGTGATAAAATATACATTATAAATTCATCTCAATGATAAAGAAAAGAGATGGCAAGATTAGTTGCTTATTTTATGATCAAGATCATGCAGTGAATTGCCTGGTGCAGTTTGATGTTGGGATATACACAGATGTCTCTGAAACCATGTTCAGAAGGAAGCAAATTAAATTATGACTTGTGTTTCTGTGTATGCTTATTCATATCTGCTACTCCTAAGTATCATCAATCTTGTGTCAACAGGTGAGAAATTTGTCTAAAATAAATCAATTCCATTGAGCATTATAAATTTATACTAATGTACTTTGGACATAGCCAAACATAGTCCAATTTTTCATATGGCCATTATTTTAATGTTTTATTGAATAAACGCTTGGGGAAAAGTTCCTTACAAATATCTGTAGAACAGAGATGATATACAGATTATATATATTCCAAGTAATTCAGGCTTCCAGATTAAACTAAACCCTAGAAAAGTCAATGCAGTGTCTATGTCACTGAATCTTAGAGAATTATGTTAGTAATTATGAATGGCATTATCTATTACAAATAAATAAGCAGAGTTGTAGAACTTTAGAACTAGAAGGGACTCCAGAAATCAGCAAAGTCTAGTTTAGATGAGCAGTCTGAAGCCCAGAGGGATAAGTGGTTTAACTACTTTAATGTAACTAGCCAATGGCATAATTAGGGCTATAAAATGGGGTTGGGGGAGCAATAATAATTAGCATTAAAAATCCCTACTATACTACTTTTCATTATGTTTTAGAAGGCAATAGATTTTCTTGTTACTAAAATAGTTTTTTAGTAAAATAGATTTTTTTGCTACTAAAATTGATGTGTTACTAATAGATTTCAAAGATAAAATGTCTTCTTAAAAAGTTTCTCTAGAAGGCAACGATGTTCACGGATACTCTAGAGACCCAGGACCTGTTTTCAAATCCCAGCTACATCACTAATAAAATTCTTGCATTGGATGCACTATATTATGATGTATATATGTTGAAGGATTAAAAGTATGATGTATCAACATAAGAATTAGAGATTATATATTTAATACATTAAATGAATTAAATATATTCTGAATATGGTATCTTGTGTTAATGCCTGGCAAATGACAAGCACTATTAAATATTTACTTTTATTACTTTCAGATGTGTTTATGTGGTTTTAGATGGTCAATACTAATAACCTAATATACATTGTTCTGAGACTATAAATTATCAAAGATAATTTCAGTTAAATGGCCAGCAGAAAGACAAATATTTTCTTCGTTGCAGAAAAAAACTACTCTGGGCTAACTCTATCTCATATATGCAGCATTTATATGCAGAATCTCAAAGGAACAAATCATTAACCAAAACCAAAACATACAAAACATCAACCAGGTGACACCTGATATAATTAATAGGAACTCACTAAACACAAATGATCTAAATATGAGTCATATCCAGAGCTGGACATTTTGTCCTTATTAAAGTAATTATGACAGCTCCAGGAAAAAATTCAAGTGCTTATTCTTCTGGTCATATTTTTTCCAATTCTTTTAAAGTTAACATTGCTAAGGTTAATAAGAGTGCAAAAGAGACTCTAAATCTAGGAAAGAGTAGTTATGTTTTTCTCTTAAATTTTTAATCATTTAACTTTTGATATGGAATTTCCATATCATTGGACTTCATGGAATAACTACAGACTAATGGTTTTGGGCTTTGTATCTAATTAGAAAAACATGTTTCTTCTTTCATTAGTTGTCTAGTTCAACACTGCATGACATACTATTCATTATCCAATACTAAATTGTATAATGAGCCAAAAGAGAAAAACTGTACTGGGGAAAATAAATCTGGAACAATCACCTCAGTAGGTAATATTAGTTTGTATTGCCAAATTCCTGAGTAACCAAGCATGAATAGTAGCCTTGATTTTCTTTGACGATATCTGAATAGAGGAGAAACTTCTCTATCACAATAGACAGATGGTTTAGATCATTGCTTTTCATGGACTCATTACAATTCTGATAAAAATATTAACATGTAAAGGGCCAAGGCAAAATGAGACAAATGAGCTTATACAATGAGTTTTAAATGAATTTAAAAGTATTTCATTGAAATAATTGTATTTTATTTTGTTTTTTATTGGGGTATGTGCAAGCACAGGTTGGGGTTAAAATTTCTTTCCTCTTAAAATTCATGGTCATTGCAGATGGTTTTTCAATTTTTTAACGTTATTACATATTTAAAAATGTAAATGCTAATTTTGTTAGTCTTTCTTTTGCTCTCTCGTATGAATGTATTTGCATATTTTAAAAGTCAGTAGATGGCCTTTGAATTTTCTTAGGTTATTTGATTTTAATTTTTTAATTTACATTTTAATTCTGTATTAAAATATTATATATCTTTTTATAACATCCAGAAACAATTATATTAGAATGACTTACCATGTCCAAATTATAAACTAGATTCAAATTCTGGGGATTAATTAAGATTTTACATTGGTGTTTAAAGTCTTTGGGAACTTTGATGTTCCCAAGCTCCCTCAACCACAATCTAAAGACTATCTCGTACAATGTAAGTTAATATTTTTCTTAACTTTGTGAGACATTATCCCCAAAGCAAAAACACTTTCTTGTAATCCTTATACCTGTGACACAGGGAGACAATAAATAAAGCTCTGGCTTTAAATGCTTCCAAATCTGTTTTCTTACCCTTATTCTATTGTTATAGAGGTGTAAGTTACCTCTCCTAAGGTTCTACTTTCAATTGATTAGGAAAGTACACCAAATCTAAATGAGTTTATCTTAAAATAACAAAATGGACTTAAAATATGTAAAGTAAAACGTAGTTGATCTATTCAACCACCATTCCAAATTCTTTCTCTAATTTCTCTTTGTTTCCTTCTGGGACTCAAATTAGATGTGCAGTGGGCCTTTGCTTTCTAGCCCCCATTTCACCTAACTTCACATTTTGTCCCTGTCAATTTGTGCTGAATTCTTAGCAATATTTTCAGATATATCTTTAAATTCACTAATTATCCCTTTTCCTGCTGCTTTCCTCATCTGCTCTCATTCACTGAGTTTTTAATTTCAGTGATAACAGTTTTTGATTCTAGGGATGTATTTTCAAACTTATTGGCTTTTGATGTTTTTTGTTGTTGTGATGTGATGTTTTTATTTCTTCTTTTATTTCTTAAAACCATTTAAACATTATTTTTTATAATACATAGGATTATTTAAATATCTAAAGTCCTTGGTGACCAAATTCATTCTTTGTATTTCCTATTGATATGTTGGCTTGTTTCCTGAAATATTTGATGATTTTTAAAAATTTGGTTGACCTCAATAACGGGATTCATAAGGAAAAATTAAAGATTGTTTCTTCCAGAGATTAACTGCATTTTCATCTGTAAGAGGGCAGGGTGTAGCTAATGATTTGGATGTCTTGAAGCCCTTTTTAAGGTTTCAGACTGATGAAAGGCTCACTGATTTATCCCATCACCTTTCAGTAAACCAAGAGCTTATTCTTAGAATCTCAGCACCAATATATAGATTATTACCATGAAGGGCCACCTTGCCCTTTGAATTCATTTACCAAATGCTGCTCCCCATTCTGCTTCTAACTAAGTGCCTTCCTTTAGTGATTTCCTCATTTCTTACAAAGAAAGCAATATGTTTAACCTAATTATCTCAGGTTATAATGGTCTTGTAGTGAAAACATCTTCAAAGAAACAACAGTGTTGTTTCTCCTAAAGTTGTTTCTTTGCATGCCCTGACACGTTTTATGCATTGAAGTTCCTGAGCTATACAAATCCAAGTTGCTATTTGACAGACTATAAATAAACTATTATTTATCTATCTTGTTCTACTTTAGAAATCTATTTTTTTATATTCTATGATATCAAAATGGGTGTGAAACACTGCTTCCAGGTATCTAGTCTATCAGAGAAGTGAAACTGTAGTTTTTATAGTTTTCATTAAATGTGTCCTAAAATTTTTCAGCTACATAGTTGCTCTATCTTTCGCAATAATTATACACTTACTCAGAAAGGGTTTGATTTAGGTGCATTATATCAGTCTGAGAAAGAACTTTATAAGCTAGGCAACAGTATGAACTTAATTTGTAAGCAAGACCAAATGTTTTTTGAAGATATGTTGATTACCTTATACTTTTATGCTTATCCAGATGTTTGCCATTTTTTATGTTCTCCCTTGAATAATATTCAAGTTCTCATTTAGAAACATTGCGCATCAGCCTGAAAAACTTCCTTTAACATTAGCTATAGTGATTATCTGTTGTCAAGGGGTTCTTTTCATTTTCTGAAAATGCCTTAAATTTGCCACAATTTTTGGAAGATTTTTCACTGGATATAGAATACTTTGTTGACAGTTACTTTTTCCTTTGACAATTTAAAGATATCTTTTACTGTATTCTAGCCCCCATAGTTTATAATGAGGATGAGGGATTTTTGTATAATTGTTTTCTTGCAGGTAATGCACAAAAACTGTTTTCAAGATTTTTATCTTTGGCTTTTAAGTTTGACTAACTTATTCATACATATGAATTTCTTAATATTTACCTGCTTAGGCTTTGCTGAGCTTCTTGAAAGTGTAAATTTATGGATTTAAGCAATTTGGAAAAAATTTCAATTATTGTATCTTCAACTTGTTTTGCCCTAATCTTTCTCTTCTCTTAAGTTTTGGGACTTCAATTCTAAATATGTCATATGTTTCAATATTATTCCACAAGTCCTTGAGGATCTGAAAATTATCCAACATTTTTCTTCATATTGGACAATTTCAAGTTCGCTAACTTGTTTTCCTGTTAAATCTTGCCTTTAAGTATGTCCAGAGATGGTTTTTATATAAAATGTTTTACTATATTTCTCAATTCTAAATTTCATTTGGCTTTTTTCCTACTGTCCTTCTTTGCTGAGGTATCCTATTTTTTCATCGTTTGAAAGCATATTTTCTATTATGTCATTAAGCACAGTTACAACAGCTGCTTTAAAATATTTGCCTGATACTTCTAACTTCCACATCATCCTTATATTGAGCTGCATTGATTGTCCTTTTCCTTTAGAATTGGTCATATTTTTCTGGTTTTTCATGTAAGGCATTTGAGATTATATACTATACATTGTGAAAGTTATATGGAGAAGTCTGTGTTTTCTCACATATTCCTCCAAAAAAAGTGAAAGTGTTTATTTTCCTTTCTTTTTTTTTCTTTTTCTTTTTCTTTTTTTTTTTTTCATGGAGTTGCTTTGTCACCCTGGCTGGAGTGCAGTGTGACATGATCTGGGCTCATTGCAACCTTTACCTCCCAGACTCAAGCAAGTCTCTTGCCTCAGCCTCCCGAGTAGCTGGGGTTACAGGCACACACCACCATGACTGGCTAATTTTTTTTTATTTTTTGTAGAAATGGGATTTTGCCGTGTTGGCCAGATTGGTCTCAAACTGACCTCAAGCAATCTGCTTGCCTCAGCCTCCCATAGTGTTGGGATCACAGACGTGAGCCATTGCACCTGGCCAATTTTCCTTCCTTAGCAAGCAATTGGTGTAGTTGGACTTAAATTTAAATCTCTATCTTTGGGGCAGCAGGTCAAGTCTCAGTTCGGTTGTCTTGTTCTTACCATAACCTGGCTTGTGCTTGCATCAGTCAGAGATTTGGGGAAAAAAATTGTACACACAAGTTAGAGCACCCCCTCTATGTTTTTGATTTTATGGAATTGATTCTTCATTTTCAGCATCTGTGGTTTCTCTTAACTCTGTTCTCTGGTTATTCAGGTGAGAAAGGCTGCAGGTTTTTTAATGATGTTTTACTCACTCTACATGGGACTACAATTGGCCTAAGGCTAACAATTGTAAAAATGATAAACTTTTGCCCTGCCATACCTTCTTTGAAGTGTCATCTCCCCTCTAGAATCTGTCTGGCTTTGTTCACTCTTCAATGGCTTCAGGTCATGTGTGTGCGTGCGTGTGTGTGTGTGTGTGTCTGTCTGTCTCTGTGTGTAAAGAATATTTATTTACAGGAATACTAAATTATTGGTATATCTAGAATACCCTGTATCATCATCTAAATTTGCTGGGAAATATTATAAATTAGAACTAGCTGTTAAGAGCACATTTTTAGATGTCAAGATCGTTTTGTGTGATAATAGAGATGAACCTATTTGATTTTGGGGGACTGCCTATAGCACAAATTTTGCTTGTGAATAACTATACTAGTGTGATATAAACTCCCAACATTTCTGATGTGTTAGTAGACAACTAATTAAAATTTCTAATTTCTATTCTTCCTTTAAAGTTTTTAGTTCCTTGAAGCTTGGATGTTCATTGTTTTATCCTAGTGTCTGGTGCATTTCCTGGCTTATAGAAAACATGATATATTTTTAAAAGGATAAATTAAATGGAAAAAGGATGGATGAGTGAATGAATTAATGAATATACACATGACTTCAATTCTTTTAATTTTTTTTCAAATGTACCCTGGAACAAAGCACATACTTTTTTCAAAGAAAGCTTAGCACATAATATAACCAAATTTGAGACCCTTCAATTAGTATACATTATTAGGATACAGTTTTACATTGATTTTAATTGCTTATCTTCCTTTCTTCCAGTTTCTTTCAACTTTTCTACTGTCCATAAATCATGTCCTGCCAAAGACTGGAAGGTGCATAAGGGAAAATGTTACTGGATTGCTGAAACTAAGAAATCTTGGAACAAAAGTCAAAATGACTGTGCCATAAACAATTCATATCTCATGGTGATTCAAGACATTACTGCTATGGTGAGATTTAACATTTAGAGGTGACAGCATCCCCCACACTGGCAGTGAATTTTTTGTGCTACAAACTTGGCAAAAGTCTGTGAAAAGAAGTTTCAACTTCATGTGTTATTAACTATACAAATATTAGTTGAATGAATTGTTGAATTACATGATTACCTTTGAGGTTTTTTTTTTTTCCGGCTAGGAGGAGGGGAAATTCATTTTATGTTTTATACCAAGCTCTTCTCTCCAAGGGACCATTGCTTCTTAGCAGATTTCATTTTAAAACTTAAGAAATTGAGTATATGATCTCAGCACACATGTTTATTGCAATGCTCATAAAGGCTGTAGCCAGGTATCACAGCAGCTGAAATTAAGGAAGATTTTGTGAGAAAGGGAAGGCAGAACAGTATCTCTTACTTAGATTTAGTATTTCCAGAGGATAGCTAACATTTAGCTAACTCTGCCTTAATTTAAATTGAAGTTTTGCTGAATGGAGGTTGGACACTATTTTAAACCTTCTCAGTGATAAGGTCAATGTACATGTTAAATTACAAATATTAAATAAGGGTTCTCATGGGGCTCAGTATGTTAGAATCACAAGCTATGTCAGTAGCTCAGTTTCTGCAAACCCTGTGGCTAGCAGTGCTTTACAAACCTGGTTGAACATGCGCCATCTGAAAGAACTTAGAAAAGGGCAGCTGTTGAGACATCTGAGGGAAAAAGTCCCTCTTGAGTGTCACAGAAATCCACACCAAGAAAAACTAAAAGAGAAGTAAACTATTAATATCTTCAGTGAAACTAGTGTTACCCCAAATGTCAAACTGTAAGGCTCTGTCAGGCGCAGCAAACTATGAGCCAAATCAAGGATGGAATTAGGAATTGATAAGAGACCTTTGTTTGTTCTTCTAGAGCAAATTTTAATGAACAAGAAAGAGGAAGCAGGGAGTAACTAAAAAGCATCTAAAAAGAGTGTTGTCTAAAGAATCAACAATAAATAATAGCTTGGAGCCATTGCGCAATGAATGACTTCACTAAGAATCTCATATATCTCCTGCTCACAGTCAAAGGGAAAAATGTGAAAATGCAGAAAAACATGTCTCTCAGCAAACAGTAAACCAGATTTAGGAGAACGGTGATCTAAGACAACACATTTTAACGGAAACTTACTTCCTCCAGTTTAAGCTTTACCTCTTCACATCATTCCTAAGTAAATATATGAGTCAGACACAATTGTTCCCTTTCAAGAATAAACAAGACTCTAAAAGGAATTAGTGTATGATTTATGCATAAGCATGTCCCTTTCTAAACATCTCCCAAAAAAGAAAAGTAAAAAACAGATAAAATATGTTACAGAAGAACATTTACTCCAATAAATATAAAATCATTTTCTAGCGATTATTCTCAAGTTCTCAAGTAAGTTAAAGTTAAAATGGAAAAAAAAAAGGATTATTAGTCCATCTAGGGTATCCAAGTGTCATCATATGGCAAATAAAATAAGAAGTATGAAGGAAAAAGGAGAAGGAGGGCAGAGGGGCAGGGAAAGAGGCATAAAAAGAAGTAAGGGAGATGTGTGGCTTTCATTTCCATGTTGCAGATATCTCAAAGAAATGCTGCTACCCCTTCTATAATGGAAAATAGCCAAATTAACTTCTCAACATTTTCAAATCCATTGAAGAATGAACTCTGTAGAACAACCAGCTGGCCAAAATCTATGGTGACAGGCACATGCGAGAGAGAGGAAACACATCCTTGCTTATTTAGGATAGACAAATCCAACACCAGATACCAGTAAGAATTCAGCCAGGATAATTGAAAGATGGATTAGGGATAAGTGTAGGGTGGCAGAACAGTGTGAAGCTCCTGGGGTCTGCAGAAATTAGAAAATCCCACCACCTCTCCCAGGCTATTTCTCTACAAACTCCACCAGACTCTCACAGAAATGACTGGAGAGAAGCAGAAATTCTTCATGTCCATTGTGATGCAGACCTGGAGAGAGAAAACAGTGATAATACAGAGGTGGCGGCTGGGCGCGGTGGCTCACACCTGTAATCCCAGCACTTGGGGGGCCAACGTGGTCAGATGACCTGAGGTCGGGAGTTCGAGACCAGCCTGACCAACATGGAGAAACCCCGTCTCTACTAAAAAATACAAAATTAGCCGGGTGTGGTGGTGATGCCTGTAATCCCAGCTACTCGGGAGGCTAAGGCAGGAGAATCGCTTGAACCTGGGAGGCGGAGGTTGCAGTGAGCCATAATCGCAGCCACCGCACTCCAGCCTGGGCAACAAGAGCGAAACTCCATCTCAAAAAAAAAAAAAAAAATACAGAGGTGGCATGAAATTCCACAGAGTACCTTCTCCCCTATCTGCTATCTACACAATAAACTAAAAGACCTACTGTGTGTGCTGGGGAGAAGGGCAACAAACATCTCTGCCCTTAGGGAACTGGGGGAACATCGTTGCAGGTGGGAGAAAGTGCCAAGACACAAAATCTGCTCCTGTAAGAGGGGCAGGAATACACACTGGACCAACGACTATATCCAGGGTAGGGGCAGAGACCTGAGCAGGCCAGGCACTAACATTACAGGCACTCACTCAGTGCCTAAGACTGAGTCATAGTGAGAACAGCCATCACCCCTTCCACTCACTGCCTTGCACTACCAAGATAACATTTTCAGAAAAGGAGTAAAAGAGAATGCTGCTGGAAGAGAGACAGAAGAGAAATAAGAATGTGCCAAGTAATCTTCTCCAAGGCACTGTGAAAATGGAAACTAAAATGCCCAGGATGAAGAAGACATTTTTCTGGCAAACAAATCTCCAGATTAAACACCAGCTGTCATTACAGGAATTTAAAGTGTGTGAAACAATGAGGATAATCACAGCAAGAACAAATCACAAACCCAAACCAACTCTTTTTAGTTTGGTTGTATTTTTAGAGACAGGATCTCACTCTTTCTCACCCAGGCTGTCTGCAGTGATGTGATTATAGCCCACTTGAACTCCTGGGCTCAAGGGATCCACCCCTCCAGCCTCCAGAAGGCCATGCACCACCACGCTCTGCTTATTTATTTATTTAGAGATGGGCATCTTGCTATGTTGCCCAGGCTGTTCTCTTTCTTTTTGTTTTGTTTTTGTTTTTGAGACAAAGTCTCGCTCTTTCGCCCAGGCTGGAGTGCAGTGATGCAATCTCGGCTCACTGCAAGCTCCACTTCCCGGGTTCACGCCATTCTCCTGCCTCAGCCTCCCCAGTAGCTGGGACTACAGGCGCCCGCCACCACGCCCAGCTAATTTTTTGTATTTTTAGTAGAGACGGGGTTTCTCCATGTTAGCCAGGATGGTCTCGATCTCCTGACCTTGTGATCTGCCCGCCTCAGCCTCCCAAAGTACTGGGATTACAAGCGTGAGCCAACACGCCCAGCCTAGGCTGTTCTCAAACTCCTGGTCTCAAGGGTTCCTCCCACGGCACCCTCATGAACAGTTGCTATTACAGGCATGAGCCACCGCACCTGGCTCTAACTCTTAATGATTAACTCAAAGCCCACATTAAAGACCTAGGAGAAGGACCTGTGTGCACATTTCCAAGTACAAAAGCATTTTAACTCAATTCCCACTGTCCTACACAAGATGAAGATGTACAACTTTCAACAAACATGTAAGAGGTATATGAAAAGACACACACAAAAAAACCCAAGACACTCTTGAGAACAAGGAGGGACATTCCATAATAATAAAGGAGTTGTATTAATATGCTAGGGCTGTTTCAATAAAGTATCACAGACTAGGTAGCTAAAGCAACAGAAACTTATTTTTCACAGCTAAAGCCTAGAAGTCCAAGATCAAGGTTGTTGGCAGGTTTGGTTTCTTCTGAGGCATCTCTCCTTGGTTTTCAGCTGATCACCTTTTTGCTGTACCTTCAAATGGCATTTCTTCAATGTGTGTACATCTCTGATGTCTCTGTGTATCCAAATTTCTTCTTGTAAGGACATTATCAGATTGGATTAGGGCCCACCGCAATGGCCTCACTGTAAGTTAATTACATCTTTAAAGGTTGTGTCTCCATATACAGTCACATTCTGAGATAGTGGCGATTAGGACTTCAAAATATGAATTTTGGAGTAGTACAATTCAGCCCATAATATTCCACTCTCTGGGCCCCACAGCCCATAACAAGGGTCAATTATAAACGTGCATGCACCAAGGGAAAGACTGCAGAACTGAAAGGGGAAATGGACAAACTCACAAATGTAGCTGGAGATGTAAACACCTCTTTAAGTAACTAATTAAACTAATAGACAAAAAAAAAATAGTAAGGAAACAGAAGAACTAAACAACAATAACAACCAACTAGATTTAATTGACATTATTGGAAACTCTATACGACAGGGAATGTACATTCTTTCCAAGTGCACATGAATGTTCATGTGGATCATATTTGGGGACATAAAAATCTGAAAATATTTACAAATGTGGAAAATATAAATATCATACAAAATGTATATCTCAAATCATAATAAAATTAAACTAGAAATTAATAAAAGAAAGATACTTGGAAAATGCCTAAATATTTAGAAGTTAAACAACAGACTTTTAAATAATGTATAGGCCAAAGAGGAAGAATCAGGGGAAATTTTTAAAACGTATTCTGAGTTGAATAAAAATAACAATATAAAGCATCAAAACTAATGGATTTTAGCTTAAGCAGAGTTTAGAGGGAAATGTATAATATTGAATGCTTATATTTGAAAAGGAGATAATGTAGAATTTATAATGCAAGCATCTACTTAAAGAAAAAAAAACAGAAAAAGAAGAGCAAGCTAAACCCAAAGCAAGCAGAATGGAAGACTTACACTATTCAATTTCAGGTCTTACTGTAAAGCTAAGTTCGTTAAGATTGGGTAGAATTGTCAAAGGAGAGATATATAGATGAGTGAAACTGAAAAGAAGGCTCAAAATAGACCCAGGCAAATATAGTCAACTGATTGTTTTTAACATAGTACAAAGGTAATTCATGCAAGAAAGCTATTATCTCACTTGTATGCCTAATTACTATTTTCCAGCAAACAGCTATATAACTTAATATGCTAAGTGAATTCAGCTGTAGGTGACTGAGAAGCAAAACTAGCTTAAACAAGATAAATATTTACTTCTTTTATTGAATCTAAGGTCCTTTCAATTATAAGGTGTAAGATTAATATCAATTAGAAAGCAAAAATAAAGTTGCCAATTAAACTACTGCAAGTCATTGATAAGACGTTTCCAATTCCAAAACGTTAGCACTGGGGGAAAACCTGTCTTAGAACATATGCAGTAGGTTGTCTCTCTGACATAATTGCCTGGACTACTACGGGGTTTCTGCTCATTACGGCCATCATCATTATAGGTGCGTGCCACAACGCCCAGCTAAGTTTTTGTATTTTTAGTACAGACGGGGTTTCACCGTGTTAGCCAGGAGGGTCTCAGTCTCCCGACCTCGTGATCTGCCCGCCTCCGCCTCCCAAAGCGCTAGGATTACAGGCATGAGCCACCGCACCCAGTCTTGTTGAACTAATTTTCAAACTAAGCTATTTTAAAACACAGAAATACTTCCAGGAACAATAATCCTCCAGGACTTGCTGGGTAGAGGGATGGACACTAGAATACTTGACATCGTTCATGCTGCTAATGGTTCACCAAGTTCTTAGGATTCAGACCCTGCTGGAGCTGTGTCAGTGCTCTGGTTTACATCCCGTTCACAGAAGGACGTGGGGGTGTGGTTTACTTCTCATGTGATTCTAAGATGGAGTCTAGCAAGTGATTCTAGGATGGTCCCATAATAATCCATTCAGTAGTTTTGCCTCAAATGTTTTGGGAATGATATCTCATTATTTTCTTTCTCCTCTCAAATCTAGAAATCCAATCTTTTTTGACATATGCATATAGAAGTTCCTAGACTTCAGTGCTGAGGAGACAGAGGCTACAGGCATCCATATGTCTGTCTCTGGGGTCTTCTTAGGAAGAGGCCTCTGATGAAGAGAACAAAGCTCTTGTTTGATATCCCAGCTTGAGCAAGAGGAATGGGACAAGTTCGTGGCAGCCACCAGCCGCCAGGAGATGGCTGAAGTAGACAATCAATTTCCAGGTTATTGGGAAATTCAAGACCAATCAATAGAATTATCTGGAGATAAACTCTCTGGGACAGTGTTCATCAAGTTGCAGTGCCCTGTTTGAGTCCGAGTTAGTGTTAGTCGGAGATACAGTGAAGTCTAAGGAGGATGAGGAAGAGTGATTGGTGATAGCAGATAAAAGAAAAATGAATCAGTGGGATAAATGGAGATGACCAAGTTTGGCGAGAAGACAATACTATGAGAGAAGGTGTCCAGAGACAGAGTGAGACACAGATATAGGAACAGGATCCTGGGCCTTCCTGCTCCAGGAAAAGCATGGAAAAGGCAAGTTGTGAGGGCAGAAGACAGTCCCACAAGAACATGAAATTCAGTCATGCAAAGGGCTGGGAAGGCAGAAACACAGTGGTGAGAGTGAGCCAGAAAGGAGATGTGGGGAGCAAGGACTCATGGCAGAGAAGGCCCTGGTAACCAAGATAAGAAAGTCAACTGTGAAGGTGAACTAAGAACACATGATGGATGAGTGGAAACCAGGGGCCAGAAAGTCTTTGAAGGCAGAAGATACAAGGCAATTTGTGGGCAGGAGGGAAAAAAGTAGTGAAAATGTGCAGGCCAATGTGAGAGGGGCCTGTGATGGCAGAGAGGAGGCCAATGATGTGAGTAAAAGGAGCACTGCAGGAACCGGACCCAGTGTGACGTTATGAGAAAATGAGAAAAACTGAGATGGTGAGGGAGAGTCAGAGCCAATATCGGAACCAATGATGAAAGGCCTCCAAAGAGAGGTCAGGATAAGAAGACAGAATAAAGGCGAGAACTGGAGAGAGCTCAGCAGTGGGTGGGGATGGCAACTGGACCTCTGGAGTGTCAGCTGGGAGAGTGGATGCTGGAGGTAGAGGAGGAAAAACCCAAAAATTTGTGAATGAGAGCTAGACCTGTGTGGTAAAAGCTTCCAATACTTCTTCCCACACAGAGGGCTGCCTTCAGTGCATACATCAGGTCACTGAGGTAGGACAAGTTAAGACAATCTTTTTATTTTATAGCTATTATGAATGCCTAGGGACTCCAAAGAGAAACTTTGTATAGTAACACCCAGTACAAAGTATGTAATCCAGGAAGTGACCAGCCCGATGTGTGCTATGACCCCTTTGAACCTCCCATGATCACAGTCCTTGAAGTAAGACTAAGAACTAGTCGTTCTCTAAGTGACGCAAGTAAAGTAATAGCTAGAACAGAAGAAAAGGGGTCCCCAAAAATGTAACCTTAAAATTTGATGCCTGTGCTGCTATTAATAGTAAACAGCATAGGTTAAGATGCGGTTCTCTAGATTAGAAAAAAAGTTACGCAGCAGAAAATAAGTACATCTGTCAAGAATCATATTTATGTGAGATGTGTCAATACTGGTCTTGTGTCATTCATTTAGGCTACTTAGAAAGAAGATAAAAAAGATCCTGTTTGGCTCCAAAAAAGGAAAAGTCAGCCCCTCCTGCATGAGGAGGAGCTGCAGCCCTTTAGAATTGATAATCACAAATCCCTCAGACCCAAAGTAGAATAAAGGAAAATATGTAACATTAGACATTGATAGAAAAGGACTAGATCCTAGTGTAAATATCCTAATAGAAGGAGAGGTTCAAAGATGCTCTCCAGAACCAGTATTTCAGACTTTCTATGATAAACTAAATGTGCCAGTACCAGAGACTCCAGGAAAAACCGGAAATTTGTTTTTGCAGTTAGCCAAGCATGTAGCCCAGTCTCTAAATGTCACTTCATGTTATGTTTGTAGAAAAACTGTAATAAGAGATCAATGGCCATAAGTAGCCCGAGAATTAGTTCCTACAGACCCAGTTCCTGATGAATTTCCAGCCCAAAAGAACCACCCTGACAATTTTTAAGTTCTAAAAGTCTCAATTATTAGACAGTATTGTATAGCTAGAGAAGGAAAAGGATTCACTCATCCTGTAAGGCAGCTTAGTTGTCTTAGGCAAAAGCTGTATAATGATACCACAAAAACAGTTACATGGTGGAGTTCCAATTACACAGAAAGAAATCCATTCAGTAAATTTCCAAAGCTGCAGGCTGTTTAGGCCCACCCAGAATTCCACCAGGACTGGATGGCCCCCACTGGGTTATACTGGATATGTGGACACAGAGCTTATGCTAAGCTGCCTGATCAGTGGACAGGTAGCTGTGTAATTGGCACCATTAAGCCATCTTTCTTCTTACTGCCCATAAAAACAGGTGAACTTCTGGGCTTCCCAGTCTGTGCTTCCCGTGAAAAAAGAAGCATAGCCATAGGTGATTAGAAAGATAATGAATGGCCTCCTGAAAAAATCATACAATACTATGGACCCACCACTTATGCACAAGATGGCTCATGAAGATATCAAACCCCCATCTACATGCTCAACCGAATCATACAGTTACAAGCTGTTTTAGAAATTATTACTAATAAAACCAGTTGAGCTTTGACTGTTTTTGCCTGGCAAGAGACTCTTATGAAGAAATGCTATCTATCAAATAGATTGGCTCTCGACTACTTGCTAGCAGCTAAAAGAGAGGTCTATAAGAAATTTAACCTTACTAATTACTGTCTACACATAGATAATCAAAGGCAAGTAGTTAAAGACATAGTTAAAGATATAACAAAACTGGCACATGTACCCGTGCAAGTGTGGCACGGACTCAATCCAAGAGCCATGTTTGGAAATTGGTTCCCAGCAATAAGAAGATTTAAAACTCTTCCAATAAGAGTAATAATAGTAATAGGAACTTGCTTACTGCTCCCTTGTCTGACACCTGTATTTCTCCAAATGGTAAAAAACTTTGTCGCTACCTTAGTTCACCAAAATGCTTCAGCACAAGCATACTATATAAATCACTATCGATCTATTGCACAAAAAGACATAAGTAGCAAAAATAAGAGTGAGAACTTCCCCTAATAAAAAGTGAGAGTCTCAAATGGGGGAAATGAGGGAAGAGAGAGACCCTCTCATATTGTTTTATATTGTTTTATACTCAGTACCTGTTTTAAGAAAAAAACAACAAGAAAGTAAAACCAAAGACAGGCAGCCCAGCACCAGGCCCGAAACCAGGCCTGGGCCTGCCTGGCCTAAACCAGATTTCATTTGTAGATTGCATTGTTCATGCTTGGCTAAAGCAGAACAGTATTATGGTGCAACAGGCACTAAAAAGAACTATAGGAAGATGTGAGTTTGGAGGAGTACATGGGAGCCTCATCATATAGTAACTTGTGAACCACAGGGAAACCTTCACGTTTTACTGAGTGAGATAGGTAGTTGAAAATTAGTTAAAAATCAACTCATAACTTAGAAACCGATGTTATTCATAGATTCCAGACATTGTATAGAAGAACATTGTGAAACTCCCTGCCCTGTTCTGTTTCTCTCTGACCACCGGTGCATGCAGTCCCTATCATGTACCACCTGCTTGCTCAAATCAATCACGACCCTTTCATGTGAAATCTTTAGTGTTGTGAGCCCTTAAAAGGAACAGAAATTGTGCATTCGGGGAGCTCAGATTTTGAGGCAGTAGCTTGCCGATGCTCCCAGATGAATAAAGTCCTTCCTTCTCCAACTTGGTGTCTGAGAGGTTTTGTCTGCGGCTCATCCTGCTACAATATAGTTTTTGTTTCTCATATAGTTATTAATTTGTCTAAACATTTCAATAGATGGCAGGGTCCTTTTTAGTCTTCTGATTCTGGGTTTTATTAATAGTTGTACTTACATAAAAAAGCTTTATGTAATTCTATCAATCGATTAAAAAAAGAAGTTGGCAAAATTCAGCAAACATTTATGATTAAAACTCTTGGAAGCCTAGGAATAAAAGAGAAATTACCTTAATTTGTTAAAGACTATCTGTAATAAACTACAGATAACCTCATATTTAATGGGGAAAGATTTGAATGCTTTCTCCCTAAGATTAGAAAAAAGGCAAGGTGGCCACTCTTGCCACTTTTATTGAATATCACAATAGAAGTTTTATTTAGTGCAATAAAACATGAAAAATAAATAAAAGGCATACGGATTGTAAAGAAAGAAATAAAAAGATTTCATTTGTAGATTGCATTGTTCATGCTTGGCTAAAGCAGAACAGTATTATGGTGCAACAGGCACTAAAAAGAACTATAGGAAGATGTGAGTTTGGAGGAGTACATGGGAGCCTCATCATATAGTAACTTGTGAACCACAGGGAAACCTTCACGTTTTACTGAGTGAGATAGGTAGTTGAAAATTTGCCATAAAGACTTACATCGTTAGACTTACATTTTTATAAATTCATTCTAAATAATGTGTGCAGAATAGACTATGGGGATGAGGAGACAAGTACAAGGACACTGGTCAAGAGCCTATCACAATAATCAGGTGAGAAATGAAAATGGCTTAGTTTGGGTTGGCAGCTATTTTTAAGGTAGATATATCTTTACCTTAAAAGTAAGCTATAGGGTCTTGCTATGTTGCCCAAGCTGGTCTTAAACTGGCCTCAAAAGGTAGAGAATATCTGGATATACTCTAAATTTATCTAGATGTATTGGATAGGTAATATGAAATGAAAATCAACTAGTAAGATGTATTCGATAATGATAATACTGAGGGAGAAGCTTGCATGAAGTAAAGACTAGGCTTTCAGCTTGAGTCATGTTAAGTGTAAAGTGCCTATTAACTATCATTGTAGGAATGTCAGGAATCCAGTTAGATACTTTAGGCTGGAAGTCAGGGGAGAGGCTAGGTCTAGAGAAATAAATGTGATTGTAAGCAGCCCATAGATGAGACCAGAAGACATTGCCTAGGAAGTAAGCACAGATAAGAAGAGGTACAAGGACTGGGGTATTCCAAACTTTAGGGGGTGGAAAAAGGAAAAGGAACCACAAAAGAAAGCTGAGAAGGACCACTGCAAAAAAAAAAAATAATAATAATCTGGGGTGGGGAGAGGGTTTCTTTTAAAGAAAGAATATCAGGGAGGAAGCAATCAAGTATGTGAAATTCTACTGATAGTTGAGTACGGTGAAAACTAAGAAGAGATTTTTTTTTTTTTTTAAATAACTTACTCTCTGAAACCAGGCAAAAGCAAAATTTTCACAGAAGCTTAATAATATGAAGTGGAAAAGCTCTAAGTAGCTTTAATGAAGAGCAGTTAACTCCACAATCAGCTTGTTTGACCAAAGCTTTTAGATTAAGTAGCCAATGCAATTCTGAAGGTAGAAACAGAACACCAACCTTCTCTGGAACCCAGAATAAGTATAAGCCAGAAAATTACCCATTGTTTCTCTTAACAGTTCTGGCTTGAATGTGAAATGGGAAAAGTTCCCTTATCCCCTTGCAGGGTGTGAGATGGGGGTGTGGCTGGCTTCTTCAGTGCCTCCCTGCTCAAACCTCTAGGGGAGCTTACAGGCGGGCAGGCTGTGGGGTTCAGATCCCACAGCAATGTCTAGGGGTGAATGTTTGCAGCTGAAGCCCCAGTAGGCATGTGTTACAGTGTGCTCTTTTAGTTTTGCTCTTCTAGTTTAGCCGCTCTAGGTGCCTTGTGTTAGTCAACTCAATTAGACCCCTGCCTTATCACAAGGACAGTGGACTTTCTGTATCCTGAGGTTCTTGCCTTGGTGTACTGGAAGAATCAGATCACATATGGGCTTGGAGAATGAGTGCAAGGTTTTATTGAGTGGAAATAGCTACCAGCAGATGGGAGAGTCAGAAGGGAGATGGTTTTCCCCTGAAGTCAGGCTGCTCAGTGGCCCAGACTGTCCTCCAGCTGCCCCAGCCAAACTCTGCATTGTTCTGTCAGTCAGTGGCCTACCAGCATGCTGGTGCCTGTCAGTGTGTTCCTCTCAATGTCCAGCCACCTATGTGTTCCTCTCCCTGTGTGTTCCTCCGCTGATGTGCTCCTCTTGATGTCCAGTTGCTTCTGTATCTGCCTTGCTAGGGTCTCAGGTTTTTGCAGGCACAGGATGGGGGCATGGCAGGCCAGGGTGGTCTTGGGAAATGCAACATTTGGGCGGGAAATACCTGTTCTCAGTTAGGTCCGTGAGTGTGGAGCCCTAGCCAGGACTAGCCAGGGTATGGAGCCCTAGCCAGCCATGTTCTTCCCTTCCTAGCACTCCCATATTATTTCCCCTCTCTGAAGAGGTGTATCTAACTGCCATGAGAATATGGACAATGACTGGTCTTAGCTGCTTCCCACTGACAGGGGGCATTCTTTTGGGGTAAACTGCTGTCGGATGCTTCCGAGAGGTCTACCTGGGGGTTCCTAGCAAAGCGGAGCCATCATCTGAGGCTCTGGTTGCCTGAACATTTGGAGTTTGATGGCTTCCAGGCATGAGAGAAAAAACAAGTTTTATAAGGTTAAGTATGCATGGGTTAAACATGTGTATTATTAAAGGAAAGAATTTAGTGCCAAATATTACAGACATAAGAAGAAAATATACTAACAATAACATTGTACCCCAAGTTGTTTCACTCTGTTGAAAGAAATGAAACCTTGCACAGGAGCAAATAAACTTTACCAGAGAGATAACTGTTCTTGAAATATCTTTAGCAACTAACAGGTGTACCCTGGGAATTCTAGGGTTTGTGGGGTTGCATGGTGGCCATTAAAGCTTTTGCTCTTTTGCGTATTTCCTCTCTCTTCCTGGGCCTCCCTGTCTGTATTATAAAAGACCAAGGTAGCCACTTTCAGGAGGTCCTCTAATGTACTAGCTGATCCCAGGGATCGTTTCTGCAACTTCCTCCTGATATCAGGAGCTGCCTGAGTAATAAATTTATACTAGCCTTCCACTATGCACACCTGAAAGTGTGTGCTTCTCCAGTCTTCCATCTCATCATTGGGATGCCATTTAGGGTCATTCACTGGTACTGCTTCTCTTCCAGTTGGAGAATATTCGTCCCCTTCCCTGACGCTATATGTGATACAAAGCTCATTCCTAAATCTCTCTGCTGCTTGCAGAGTGGACTGTTTCTCAGTGTCCATCAGGGTCTGATTCAAAAGTAACATAATGTCTTTTCAAGAGAGTTCAAATATTTGGGTGAAATTCTGGAGAGCCTCTATCTATAAGGGTCATCTGAAAACCTGTCAATATCCTCCTTAATTTGCTTTAAGTCCTGTAGGGAGAAGGAGACCTGGACCTTACTGGGCCCAAATTCACTGGGCATCTGTTGGAGGGGCAGGAGTGAGACTGGGGCTTGTTTAGAGTGAGGATTTCTAGGAGGGGGCAAGTGAGAGGCTGAAGCTGGATAGGGAGGTTGGGATAGACCTGGAGGAGCAGGGCTTGAGGGAGCTGGCTCCCCTGTTGGGGGTGCCTCTGGGACTCATATCTTTAATTCTCTAGGCTTGCCCCTTGCAGCCTTCCCTAAGATGGCAAACAGGAGGGCTAGATCTATCTTACATTGTTAGCCAAGGTCTCGATTGCCTTGCAAGATATAGAAAGCCTGCATATATGTGGCCTCAGACCATCTGTCCTCATGTCTGCAGAAAAGTTCCAACTGCCAAGTGGTATTGAAATGAATGGTTCCTTCCTGAGGCCAACTCAGTCCTTCCTGTAAATCATAATTTGGCCAACCCTTTGTGCGTAGGGCTATGAGGTGTTTTTCCTCCAGATTCTGAGGGTCAAAGCCGTCCCAATGGTTCAGGATACACTCCAGAGGAGTATAAGCTGGAAGTGGTGAAGAGAACTGGTTGCCCATTCTGAAAGACAGGGAACAGAGGTGTCCATCATTCTCTTCTTTCAGCAAATACTCAGGGTGTGATGGAGAGAGAAAGCCAGTGTCCCCCTTCACTTTCCACCTTTTGTCCCTGAGACCCAGTGACCTTGACCTTGGCAAGTGACATAGGTACCAATGCGGTAGGTACCCATGAAGTAGAGAAAATCCGGAGAATAGGAGTTAACTGCCCTTATCTATGCCTTCTTTTCTCCCTGCTGTTGGCAAACTTTGAGTTCCCTGGGCCTGTTTATGTCACGAAGCAAGGCCTCCTTCCATGGGGTGGAGGTTTCAATTGGCAGAAATTGGCTGCCCATTTATATTGTGCCCGTTGCCTGGCTTTGGATCCCTCAGACCTGGTTTTCCTTTTTAGGACCTCAGCCTGAAGCTTGGAATCAAGTTTGGGACTGAAAAGGCGTTTCAGAAGCTGTTTGTGTCCATTTAGAGAGTCTCAAGTATGCCCTGCTGAATTTGCAGTTCTCAGCCAGCAGGGGTCGTTTCACCGTTAACTTCCCTATCAGAAACAGTGTTAGAATGGGGAGCCCTCTCACTTAAAAAACAGAAAAATAGCTTAAGGGGCAAAAATGGGAGAGATTCTGAGGGAAGAACCACTTGCTTAGTGCAAGTGGGCCCTCCTAATCCTTATAACTTTCCCATTCTTCCCCCAGTTCAGACCAGATTTAATTCCTTGGCCAGGGGAGGGAATGTTCCATTGGCACGGCAGGTAAGAAGCACCTTGTACAGTCCTGGTTACTGCCCCAGCTTCCTCCCACCCTCCTCGTGGCTGCTGAACTTGGCCTTTGCCTGCTGTGGGCACACCCAGGCACCCGAAGTGGGAGGAAAAAGGGTAACGGGAGGTGCCCTGAGCCATGTGTACCTGTGGCTGTCGACATGGAGGCATACATGGCACCTCCAGGAACAATTGGTCTGACTTGCATCTTTGTTGACTGAGCCAAATGCTCATTTTACTTAGTAAAATTGCTGCAGCCTGTAACAAAACTCTTAACACTATAAAGAAAGAGATAGCCATTTTGAACCATGTGAGAGAGAAAAGAGACAAAGAGAAAACAGAGCATCTTACCCACAGAAAGAGAAGTGGCAGGGTTTTGGAAGAAAAGCAGACCCCATAGTTTTGTATTTGCTCATACTCAACTTCTGAGATCCTGGAAAAGCCCCCATTTGAAATGGGAAAAGTTCCCTTGCCCCCTTGCAGGGCATGTGATGGGGGTGTGGCTTGCTTCTTCAGTGCCCCACTGCTCAAATCTCTAGGGGAGCATACACAGACAGGCAGGCTGGGGAGCTCCAACCTCATGGCAGTAGGGCAGAAGTGGAGCCCTAGCCAGAGACCACACCCTCATCTACCTAGCACTTCCCTTCCCCCACTGCATATCATTTAAAGGGACCATGTTCTTCCCTTCCCAGCACTCCCATATCAAATGTATGTGTAAACATTTAAGAAATCTTGGCTTTAATTCTAATAAAATGATAAAATTACTATGTAATTTTAGATGCTAATACTTCTAATTTTGTATAAAACTTTTATAATCTTTATCCTTCATAATTTTTAGATTGGTGAGATTTGCCAGAACTTTAAACTGGTATCTACTGCATGCCTACATCGTAATTTTATTTAGTCATTTTACTAGAATTAAAACTAAAATTTCTGGTACTCCAATTAACCCTTCAGCTTTTTCAAATGAACATAAAATACATCTATGCACATAAATTAGAAAATCTAGAAGAAATGGATAAATTTCTGGACAAATACACCTTCCCAAGACGGAACCAGGGGAGAAATTGAATCCCTGAAAGACCAACCATGAGTTCTGAAATTGAGCCAGTAATAAATAGCCTACCAACCTCCCCAGAAAAGCCCAGGACCAGATGGATTCACAGCTGAATTCAACCAGATGTATAAAGAAAAGCTGGTACCATTCCTACTGAAACTATTTCAGAAACTTGAAAGAAGTGACTTCTCCCTAACTCATTCTATGAGGGCAGCACCATCCTGATACCAAAACCTGGCAGAAATACAAACAAAAAGACAACTTCAGGCCAATATCCTTGATGATCATATGCAAAAATTCTCAACAAAATACTGACAAACTGAATCCAGCAGCACATTGAAAAGCTTATTCACCACGATCAAGTCGGCTTCATCTTTGGGATGCAAGGTTGGTTCAACATACACCAACCAATAAATGTAATTCATCAGATAAATAAAACTAAAGACAAAAACCACATGCTTATCTCAGTAAATGCAGAAAAGGCTTTCAATAAAATTCAATATCCCTTCATGTTAAAAACTCTCAATCTACCTGGTGTTTAAGGAACAGGCATCAAAATAATGAGTCATATATGACAAATCTACAGTCAATATCATATTAAATGGGCAAAAGCTCAAAGAATTCCCCTTGAAGACTGACACAAGACAAGGATAACCTCTCTCACTACACCTTTTCAACATAGTATTAGAAGTTTTGGCCTGGGCAATCAGGCAAGGGAAAGAAATAAAGCATATTCAAAGAGGAAGAGAGGAAGTAAAATTGTCTTTGTTTGCAGATGACATGATTCTATATTTGGAAAGTCCCATCATCTCAGCCCAAAAGCTTCTTAAGCTGAGAAGCAACTTCAGCAAAGTCTCAGGTTACAAAATCAATTTGCAAAAATCACTAGCATTCCTACACACCAGCAACAGGCAAGCAGAGAGCCAAATCACAATTGCTACAAAGAGAACAAAATACCTAGGAATACAGCTAACAAGAAAAGTGAAGGGCTTCCTCAAGGAGAAGTACAAACCACTGCTCAAAGAAATCAGAGAAGACACAAACAAATGGAAAAACATTCCATGCTTATGCATAGGAAGAATCAAGATCTTGAAAATGGCCGTACTTCCCAATGCAACTTACAGATTCAATAGAAAAATACCTATTTTAAAATTTATATGGAATAAAATTTATATGGAATAAAAAAGAGCCTGAATAGCCTGAATAATATTAAGCAAAAACAGCAAAGCCAGAGGCATCACACTACCCAATTTCAAACTATACTACAAGGCTACAGTAACCAAAACAGCATGGTACCAGTGCAACAACAGACACATAGACCAATGGAACAGATTAGAGAATTCAGAAATAAGACCACACACCTACAACCATCTGATCTTTGACAAACCTGACAAAAATGAGCAATGGGAAAGGATTCCCCTGTAAATAGTGCTGGGAGAACTGGCTAGCCATATGCAGAAAATTGAAACTGGGACCCTTCCTTATATCATATACAAAAATCAACTCAAGATGGATTAAAGACTTTAGTGTAAAACCCAAAACTATAAAAACCATAGAAGAAAACCTAAGCAATAACATTCAGGATATAGACACAGGCAAATATTTCATGACGAAGATGCCAAAAGCAATTGTAAGAAAAGGAAAGATTGACAAATGGGATCTAATTAAACTAAAGATCTTCTGCACAGCAAGAGAAACTATCAACAGAGTAAACAACCTACAGAATGGGATAAAATTTTTGTAATTCATGCATCTGATAATGATCTAATATCCAGCACTTATAAGGAACTTAAACAAATTTACAAAAAAAAAAGACCTCATTAAAAAGTAAGCAAAGGACATGAAAAGACATTTCTCAAAAGAAGACATACATGTGGCCAACAATTATATGAAAAAAAGCTCAATATCACTGATCATTAGAGAAATGCAGATCAAAACCACAATGAGACACCATCCCACACCAGTCAGATGGCTATTATTAAAAAGTCAAAAAATAATAGATGTTGGCAAGGTTGTGTTGAAAAAGGAATGCTTTTACGTTGTTGGTGGGAGTGTAAATTAGGTCAACCATTGTGGAAGACAGTATGGCAATTTCTCAAAGACCTAGAGACAGCACTACTATTCGACCCAGCAATCCAATTACTGGGCGTATACCCAAAGCAATATAAATTGTTCTATAATAACTACACACGCACACATATGTTCATTGCAGCACTATTCACAATAGCAAAGACACAAAATCAACCTAAATGCCCATCAACGATAGACTGGATAAAGAAAATGTGGTACATATACACCATGGAATACTATGCAGCCATAAAAAGGAACAAGATCATGTCCTTTGCAGAGACATATATGGAACTAGATGCCATTATTCTTACCAAACTATCACAGGAATGGAAAATCAAATACCACATGTTCTCACTTGTAAGTGAGAGCTAAATGATGAGAACACATAGATACCTAGAGGGAAATAACAAAAACGGGGGCCTACCAAACAGCAGAGGGTGAAAGGAGGGAGAGAATTTAAAAAATAATGGATACTAGGCATAATACTTGAGTGATAAAATAATCTGTACAATAAATCTCCATGACATGTGTTTACCTATGTAACAAATCTACAAATCCTGCACATGTATCTCTGAACTTAAAAGTTAAAAAAAGCAAATGAACATAACTTAATCCCTATTCCTCTCTATATGAAAATTGTGAAATAACTGTGACAATGCAGCAACATTTTCACAAGAAATTGTTCAAGGCCTTGGAGCATAGAATATGTAATATTTGTGAAGAAAGTGTCATAATTATATACAGAAAATATTTATTGGAAGTTCTCCTTGTGCAATTAAAATTCTAAAGATGTAAAAATCAAGTATTTCATATTAATAAAATATTAAAGTACTATGAACTTACCATAAATTTGACTCTGATTTGGCAATTACCTAAAGAAAATACAAGATATGTCTTGTAAACTAAATGATTCATCATTGAAAATAAATGTTAACACATTGTTTAACATCACTAGTTTTCTAGCTCCTTCTTTCAACATAAAATAAGCTTTAATGTAACTTATAAATGTATTCAATTAAAGAGTAACATTAAGGTGGAAAATATCATACATATGTTCACCTTGCTACTAAAACACAATACATAGAATATGTTGAGGTCTCCACTGTAGAATACGCAAGTCAATAAAATCAGCAAATAAAATTGACAAAAGGTGACTATTTCTCATTAAAAAAAGAAAATCATTTACACTTTGTCTTAAAGTTTTAAAGCAGGATATTCCAGTTTTAAGACAAAGAAATGACAAATATGTATACATATATATATATATGCGGGCAAGTGTTCTTTTGACATTAAAAGACCTAGGACAGGCTGAGCTCAGTGGCTCACAACTATAATCCAAGCACTTTGAAAGACCAAGGCAGGTAGATTGTTTGACCCCAAAATTTTGAGACCAGCCTTGGCAACACGGTGTAACTCTGTCTCTACAAAAAATTCAAAAATTAGTCAGGTATAATGGCACATGCCTGTGGTCCCAGCTGCTTGGGAGGCTGATGTGAGAGGATCGCCAGAGTTTGGGAAGCTGAGGCTGCAGTGAGCTATGATCATGCCACTGCACTCCAGCCTGAGCAACAGAGTGAGACCTTGTCTCAATAAATAAATAAATAAATAAATAAATAAATAAATAACCTAGCACAAATTATTTTAAGAGTGTGTGTGTATGTGTGTATATATAAATATTTTTTACAAATATCCTCCAGTAGTATGAAGTTGATTAGTACAATGGAGGAACAACATTTAACAGCTGTCTTATGCCTTAAGGGACATAAATCTTGATTGTCCATTCATAGATATTGTATTTAAAGGAACAATAACTTTACTCTATTCAATTTAGTAGCAACTTCTCCAGAATGGATTGCAGTCAGAAACTGTCAGATCTCTTTTGGGTGAGAACTTTGGAACGTTAAAAATTCTGTCTCTTAAAAATGAATGATGGTCAGGTAGTTGGATGCAGTAATTAGGATTTCTGTTTATTATAAGTAGAGATAATTTTTCTGGGTTGTCTACTAGTTTAGTTATAGAACAAGTCTTCTCTTCCTCTGTGTTGATTGGAACCTTGGCAGATACACCTTCACTGATTTTACTGAAATTTACTGTTCCACTAAAGTAAGGGTAAAAAGAGAAGGAACAGAATAGAAAACTTTCAGTCTTCAGATTTAATGCTACCAACTCATTAGCAGACCCAGTTTTCAGAGTTACTAGAGGAGTAGAGATGTCTACAGATTTCTGACTAATGTCATCATTAGTTTTCTTTTTAAATTATGCTGTGGAGGAAAGTTAGTTATTTTACATAAGAGAGAAAGGGTTTGCTCTGAGAGAAGCAGCATATAACTTTCCACCTCTATATTTTAATGTACCTTTTGAGTAGGGTTAGGAGCAGTGTTGGTGATATGGGTGGGAAGCAGGGAAATACTGGGCAGAAGAGGGCTGTCCCAAGCAAGAGCCACACATCCTCAAGCCTGGGATCACAGACCAAAATGAGAACATGCATTTCCTGCTTTCCCACTCACATGTTGCTTTTTGGCCCACCCCACACCCCATCCTCTACCCATAAAAACCACAGGCCCCATCACCAGAGTGGCAGAGCAGCAGAGCAGCGGAATAGCAGAGTGACAGAGAAAGAAAGAAAAGAAGAAGCAGCCGGATGTCAGAGAGAAGCAGTTTGAGCTCAGAGGGACAGCTTGATGGTGGGACCTCGGAGAAGAGTTTGTCTGAACTCCAGGGGAATACCACCTTCCCATTCCATCCACTTTCCAGCTCCCTATCCCGCTGAGAGCCACTTCCATCCCTCAATAAAATCCTCCACATTCACTACCCTTCAATTTGTTTGCATGACCTGATTCTTCCTGGACGCTAAACAAGAACTGAGGTACCAAGAAGGCAGGTCCAAAAGGCTGTCACCCTGACCCTCCACTGAGCTGTTAAATACTTGTCATCTGTGGATAGAAAAGCTAAAAGAGCACACTGTAACACTCACCCTCTGGGGCTTGAGGGGTCATGGGAACTCCCCTAGATGTTGCCATGGGGCAGCACAGAGTTCTACTCCTGCTGGCACACAGAAGCCCTCATCCTGATCCCTACACCCACTCACCTGTGAGTTTCCCCTCCCATGAGGGGTTGAGAGCTGTGGGCTGAGTAAACAAGCCAACCCCTTTGCAACTCCTGCAAAGAGGCCAGGGAAGTACCCCATTTCATCAACACTCTTGGCAGGTGCCAATGTCCTCTCATCTTTTCTGCTTTTGCAAGAAAAAAAAGAAATTGATTTTTTATGTAGATTTGAAAACTTCTAGGTTTTAACTCCAAAATATTGTTTATATCTCCAAATTTAGCACAAATGGAGTTGTACCAGTCTCTCTCATTCTGGAGTAGGTTTTAGAAGATTAGTCAATGCACCTTCAGCCATGCTCAGTGCACTGTGTGCCTGATGCTTCATTCCTAGGTGAGACTTTGGCCTAGGTGAGTAGTCATTCCAGCTCTCAGTACATACTTTCTTTTCATTGTATTTGAAGGTTTAGGATTGAATTTGTAGTCATCTATAAAATGGATGATTCTTTATACAAGAAGTAGTTGCAATTTTATCAATCCCTTCCAAAGGAGTAAAGAGAGCATCATTACACTGTGCCTTTTGCCTTTTTTTTTTTCCTTTTCTATGTTTGGGTTGATTTAATTTTGGGTTCAATATTGATGAAACAATTAGAGTAATTTCCTTGGAACACCTTCATGATCAGTTTTACATACCTGATAATTTGATCATCTGCCAACTTCCATGACAACATCATTACTTTTGGAAACATCTCTTACATTGATCTCTGTTCTCCTAACCCCATTGTTCATATTATTTCCTGTGTTAATTGGATACTTATTTCATTTCATAATTCTCTTTATTTGAACCCAACAACTTCGAGATTCTTACACAATTGACTACCATCTCTTCGTTGTTTATATGATGTACCATAACATGTGGTTCTCCATCTGTCTTTATAGTTTCTTGTTTTACTCCTTGGAGTTTTGTGAGAAATCTCTAGCACCACTGTCATGGACTTAGGATCTTTTTTTGGAGGGGGCCATATTTATCCTATCTCTTGGCATTGCACTCAGTTCATTTTTATCTATATCTCTTCAATTCTGGATTAAGTGTCTATTCCAAATTGTAGTGATGCTATAGCTTCATTAGACATTTTTGGGCAATCAGAGATAGAGGTTTCACTTGTCAGTATGAGGCAGAGCACTGTTCATAATTTCAGCAACACTTTGGGAATTCACTACGTAAGAAGGTCCTACCCCTTGGATGTAGGCAAGTTCATGTTGCACGCTTTGGGAATGTAGGTTCAAAGGCAATAGATCTTTTGTCTTCTTAGGTGAATCTGATGGCAAGAGTTTGAAATATGCAGTTTGGGCATTATACCGAACCTCATAAAAGTCAGATAAGGCTTTCTTGTTAGATGTGTTGCAGGAGCACTTGCAGTTTGCTCCTGCTTTTTGTCATTTGGAAAAAACAACCTAATTTTAAAACTGTCAAGTGAAGTGTGATGGCTAATTTTATATGTCAACTTGATTGAGATAAGGTATACTCAGCAGGGAAAGCATTATCTCTGGATGTGTCTATGAGGGCCAGTGTGACAGAGCTCATATTTTATAAAAATATGTTTTTTCTGTGATCTGATATTTCATGCAAATGAATCAACATTATTTTAACAAAGCTGTATTTTAGTTCTATTCTCTTTTGTTTGCAGAAAACTGATAAGAGAAGTACAATCATATTGGGCTTTAGATCTTAGCCTCCTGCCAAGGAAATTATGGAATCTTTGTGAATTGTGGTTGGTTACATAGTTTCTAAGCCAGAGATTGTTTCCTCTTCTTACCTATGTAGGAAGTACAAGCTTCCTAGTATTCTCTTCTGCAAGCTAGAGAACCAGGAAAGCCAGTGTTGTAATCTAGTCTGAGTCGAAAGCCTTAGAACCAGGAAATGTCTTCCTGACCAATACATGAAGTATTATTAAAATATGCCTAAATAAAACAAAGCATAATTCTCAGTGTAAGGCCAAAGGTCTGGGAAACTGGGGAACTCCAATGTCTGAGAGTAGAAAGAAATGGATGCCCTAGCTTTAGAAGAGAATAAATTTACCCTACCTGACTTTTTGCTCTGTTTGGGTAAGACCTGCACGGATTGGATGATGCCTGCCAACATTGGTGAAGGTAGATCATCTTTACACAGCTTAGTGATTCCAACATCAATCTCTTTCAGAAAAGCCCTCATAGACACATCCAGAGATAATGCTTTCCCTGCTGAGTATACCTTATCTCAGTCAAGTTGACATATAAAATTAGCCATCACACTTCACTTGACAGTTTTAAAGTGTTTTCAAAATGACTATTACTTAAAACAGAAAGCCAATCATCTTTTACATAATTGAGACCCACCCTGAAGAATAAGAGATAGCTGTAATATATTTACAGTTCACTGCCTTTCAAAGTGTTTATTCAGAATTATACTAGAAGTAATTTCATGAAAATAATATTGTGCAACCTTTTCATTCTATTTCAATGAAAAGCAGGCATGAACATTACTCAAGCTTGAAATTTTACTGAAAAGTAAACATTTCAATTAAGCTTAAGGAAAAAAGAAATTTCCTGAGATTTCCAGTGTATACAGAAGTGTCTTTCCATTAAGAATAATTAAAAGTTAAAAAATATGCTGATAACTTGCCACAATTGACAGAATGCAGATTAATAGGATAAATGGCAAACAAATCTATAAAAATGCATGCAGAGAATCAGAGTGATCACCCCACCAAGCAATGGGGTATAGATGGTGATATACCCTTGTCCTTAGGGGAGAGGGAGATGGGGAAGTGTGGGTGATTTTGGGGGAAGAGTAAATAATTTGGGGAGAACTTAATGGGGTGAAGATCACATAAATGGCCTGGGACAAAGTCTACTGGGCTTGCAGAGAAGACAATGGTTTGTGAGAAAAATCTATCCAGGTGGGTTAAGAGACTTCATTCTTTTTCCTACAATATGACTTCAGTTAATGAAAACCCATGGAAGGCACCAGAATTAACTGTTTTCTTATTTGGTGAGTCTGAACTTAAAGCAGATAAAGGAACTTCAGAGAACTTCCTCCTGTGCTCTGGGAAAACAGAGGATTAAGAAACAGAGGTTGAGGAGGAGGTCAGAGAGACCTCGAGTCTTCTTTAGTTCCACCTGTCAAATCACTATATGTTAGGGTATCCGTTTCTGAGCCCCAACAATAGTTTGGAAATATATTCTCCCAATCTGTAAGTTGTCTCTTTACTCCATTAATTATTTCCTTTGCTGTGCAGAAACATTTTTTATTTTATGCAATTTCATTTGTTTATTTTCACTGTGGTTGCATCTACTTTTGAGGTCAAATCCAAAAATTATTGCCCAGACCAACGTTGTGAAGCTTTCTCCCTATATTTTCTTTTAGTAGTTTTACAGTTTAAGTCTTTAATCGATTTTCAGTTGGTTTTTATATATGGTAGGAGGTAAGGGTCCAATTTTATTCTTCTGCATGTGGATATACAATTTTCCCACCACCATTCATTGAAGACTATTTTTTCCCCATTGTGTATTCAACATTTAGGGACTGGGGCTGGGGAATAGAGAGATGTTCCCCACATGTCACAGGGTAGTAGGTTTCAGTTAAGAGGAATAAGCTTTTGAGATCTATTGCACAGCATAGTGACTATAGTTAATAATAGTGTATTGGATCTTTCAAAATTGTCAAGAGAATAAATTTCAAATGTTCTCACCACAGAAAATGATAAGTATGTGAGATGATGAAATGTTAGTTTGATTTAATCATTCCATAGTGTACACATATATCAGAACATCACATTGTATTCCATAATTATACAGTTGTCAGCTAAAAATTTAAAAAATAAAAATATCCTTTAAAAATGCAAATAGCAACTGCAGATAGAAATTTATCATGTATCTCCCAATGTGCTTTTTTATTGTATATATTTGATGTGTATAATGTGATGTTTTTATGTACATACACTTAATCTAATTAACATAAGCTTCATCTCACATACTTACATTTCTTTTTGTCTGTGTGGTAAGAATATCTAAAATCTGTCATCAAGTTTTCAGTACACAGTGCAATACTATTATAGTCCTCATACTGTATGTTAGATATCTAGACATACTCACCCTTTGTAACTGCAACTCTGTATCTTTTGACCTGTGTCTCTGTATTTTCCTCATCTCTGGTAACCACCATTCTACTCTATTTCTATGTATTTGGGTTTTTTTTTTAAGTTTCACTATAAGTGAGATCATGCAACATTTTTTTTCTGTGTCTGGCTTATTTCACTTAGTATATATAATAAACCCTATAGGTTTATTTACATTGTTTCAAATAACAGTGCTGAGACCAGCTCAGTCGGGTAGATCCTAACCCAGCAGCGCCAGAGGAACTAAAGACACACACACAGAAATATAGAGGTGTGAAGTGGGAAATCAGGGGTCTCACAGCCTTCAGAGCTGAGAGCCCAGAACAGAGATTTACCCATGTATTTATTAACAGCAAGCCAGTCATTAGCATTGTTTCTATAGATATTAAATTAACTAAAAGTATCCCTTATGGGAAATGAAGGGATGGGCCGAATTAAAGGAATAGATTGGGCTAGTTAACTGCAGCAGGAACATGTCCTTAAGGCACAGATCGCTCATGCTATTGTTTGTAGCTTAAGAACGCCTTTAAGTGGTTTTCCACCCTGGGCAGGCCAGGTGTTCCTTGCCCTCATTCCCATAAACCCACAACCTTCCAGCGTGGGTGTTATGGCCATCACTAACATGTCACAGTGCTGCAGAGATTTTGTTTATGGCCAGTTTTGGGGTGAGTTTATGGCCAGATTTTGGGGGGCTTGTTCCCAACATAACAGGATTTCTTTTTACAAGGCTGAATAATATTCTATTTTTTATATATATATATATATGTATGTATGTATATAATGTGTGTGTTTTATATATATGACAATTTCTTTATCCATTCATCTGTTAATGGTCACTTCAGTTAGTTCCGTATCTTGGCTATTATGAATAAAGATGTGTTATAATAAACAGGAAAGCAGATATCTTTATGAGGTGGTGATTTCATTTCCTTTGGGTGTATATCTGGAAAAGGGATTGCTGGCTCATATGGTAGTTCTCTTTTTAATTTCTTTAGGAACCTCCATGACGTTTTCTATAATGGCTGCACCAAACTGTGTTCCCACCAACTGTGTACAAGGGTTCCGTCTTCTCCACACTCTCACCAATGCTTGTTATTTCTTGTCTTTTTGATATAGCCATCTGATATGGTTTGGTTGTGTCTCCACCCAAATTTCACCT
The DNA here is from genome assembly GCF_000001405.40 of Homo sapiens. Lineage (NCBI taxonomy): Eukaryota > Metazoa > Chordata > Mammalia > Primates > Hominidae > Homo > Homo sapiens. The sequence continues at coordinate 9,696,642 of NC_000012.12, read as the reverse complement.
TGAATTGTAATAATCTCCACATGCAAAGGGCAGGGCCAGGTGGAGACAATTGCTTTATGGGGGCAGTTTTCCCCATACCTTTTTTTTTTTTTTTACTTTATTAAAATACTGAGTTTTATTTCACGTGTATACTTTTGTCTCCCCACCATTTCCATGTCTGACCACTGCTACTACTATGTCCTATCATAGCATCCCATACATACTTAAAACCAAGCAAAGGGTGGAGTTCCATCTTTAAAAACTAAACAGGCATTTTGGACAACACATTCTTGGCAATAGAACCTGGACAACATTTATCAAACATGGTAGGGAAAGTTCTCACTCTGCACTATAAAAAGGACAGCCAGATATCAACTGTTACAGAAATGAAATAAGATGGAAAATTTTTAACAAATTGTTTAAACTATTTTCTTAAAGAGACTTCCTCCACTGCCAGAGATCTTGAATAGCCTCTTGGTCAGTCATCCAGAAGAAATTCTTCACATAATTGATGAACTTGGTTTCCACTTTGGGAAGAGAACCACGTTTTTCTATACTTGCTTGCATTTTTGCTTTAATGTCTTCTACAGAACTAGATCCTTTTGGTGTTTTAGGAGATTTTTCCTGTTTTTTGAAGGATTCTTGTCCTTTTGATCTTGGTGTTGATGATGGTTTTGAGTCTTTTCCATTCTGATTTGACTTTTGTGCATTTTTGGCTGGAGTATCTCGTATAGATTTCTTCACTGGCGCTTTTTCTTCAGCTTCCTCGTCATCATCATCATCATCATCTTCATCATCATCATCATCAGCAGCAGCAGCAAGTTTTACTTTTTTCTGCCCACCTCCAGGGGCAGACTGCTTTCCAGATATACTTAAGAGTTTCACATCCTCCTCTTCTTCATCTTCTGACTCTGCACCTTCCTTCACAGCTACTAAGTGCTGTCCACTAATATGCACTGGCCCTGAACCACACTTCAACCTTAAGTCCACTGGTGGTGTTATTTCAAAGCCCCCAAGAGAAACCGTTGGCTGTACAGACATTTTCAAAGTTGCCAGTGTTACTTTAATTGGACTGCCTTCGTCATTCATGGCCTCTGCTTCAACAATGTGCAGTTCATCCTTTGCACCAGCCCCTGAGCTGACCGTTCTTAAAGATAACTGGTCTCATTTTCATCATTATCCACCTTAAAGTGATCATCTTTGTCGGCCTTTAGTTCACAACTGAAAAGATAGTTCTGGGGCCTCAGGGGGCTCATGTCCATGTCCATCGAATCTTCCATCGGGTGGCGACACACACTTAGGTAGGAGACAAGGCAGACGAAGATAAATGAATGCTGCTCCAGAGAACAGCCGCGCAGGACGGAATCACACCAGGGAGCCCCATACTGTTCTTGTCTCAAGATATCTGATGGTTGTATAAATAGGAGTTCCTGTGCACAAGTCCCCCTGCCTGCCACCACATAAGACATGACTTTGCTTCCCATTTGCCTTCTGTCATGATTGCAAGACCTCCCCAGCCATGTGGAACTATGAGTCAATTAAATCTCTTTTATTTATAAATTACTCAGTCTCGGGTATGTCATTAGCAGTGGGAGAACAGGTAATATTAGCACCATGAAAACAGGTAATATTTTACTATGATTTTGATTTGTATTTTCCCAGTTATTAGTGATATTGAGCATATTTTCATATACCTGTTGGTATAAGAAATAAATTCTTTGCTCATTTTAAAATGGAGTTATCAGTTCCAATATGCTTCTAAAGATTAGTTGGGGCTTTGCTGTAACATCTAGACATGTATATCTGATTTGGAACAAATCCACTTCCTCTCTGTGTAGTGCCTGGCACTACTGGCACCTTTGTCATTCAAATAGGCACACTCTCCTGCTCCCAGGATAGGAAACCTGCAAGAGAAGAAGCAGAATCAGTTGGCCACTGAACATTTCTTCAACAGCAGAGAGAATGAAGATGAGAAAATGAGAAAACTAACATTAATTCAGCCTCTAAAAATAATGCTGTTTTTCCTTGTGTAGTGGTGACTAATTAGTCAGTGGGCTTTGCTTAGCAGGAGATGTTATAAATCAACTATAGGAATACTGCAAAGTCCTGAATCAAACCTATTTCATGTCTGTAAGCATAATATTCTTTCAAGTACATCCAAAGCCTTAGCTGGCTGATGGGAGAAGTCTGACACGTTTTCTTTACACAGTTTCCCAATATTTTGCTTCCTTAAATAACTGAAGACTCAGCAGCTATTTCTAAAAACCATGCTTGATTTTATTCCTCCTACTTCCCTGGTGGTTTTAGTACTGAAACTGCAGTGCTATTTAGCTGAGTTTAGATGGCTTGGCACAGATATTTTAGGTCAGCATTTGGATTATAAATTTTTCCTCTTTGCTCATTGGAATCACTATCATCTATGATATAATTTGCTAATTGTTGAAACTTGTTAGACCTTAATCATATAATATTTTACATTTCTTTAAGTGATGAGCAGTTTCCAAAAACTGGTTAGTTAATAATATATTTGATCCTTAAAATATTTTGAGAGGCCAGGCATGGTGGCTCACACCTGTAATTCCAACATTTTGGGAGGCCGAGGTGGGAGGATTGCTTGAGCTCAGGAGTTCAAGATCAGCCCAGGCAACATAGTGAGACCCCATCGCTGAAAAAAAAAAAAAAAAAAAAAAAAAAGCCAAGCAAGGTGGCACACACCTGTAGTCCCAGCTACTCAGGAGGCTGAGATGGGAGGCTCACTTGAGCCAGGGAAGTCAAGGCTGCAGTGAGCCACGATGGTACTACTGCACTCCAGCCTGGGTAACAGAGTAAGACCCTGTCTCTCAAAAATACAAACAAACAAAAAACCATTTTAAGAATTAGGTAGAGAAAATTTACTACTTCCGTATTGTAAAATAAGAAATAAAAGTTAATTCTAGATATTTATGAAGCAGTCACAATGTGCAAGGCAGTGTAGATACAACAATGTATAAATGTACATGTTCTCTGATTTCTAAAACTTACCATCCCATCCAAGGTCAAAAGCTAATGAGAAAAAACTCATTTCAAACCTGCCAATGTCCAGTCTGGGGCTCTTTTTATTAAATAAAGTTATATTTCCAATATTGATGAATGTATTACAATAAAGTAGCTTTTCAAAACTGTCTCATCTCTCAGACAAACATTGAGTGAAATTGTGTGAATCCAATTTTTCCAGCATTATCTCAAATCTTTTTAGTAATCTGAAGATCCTATAAATATACAATTGAGATTAAATTTTCTAGTGCCAAACTTTACCCATTTTAAAATTTTAAAACTATTGTCTTATTTTAAATAATAGGTATAATTGCTGTCACTCATAATCTTTCCCTGATACATCAAAACCTCTGTTCCTCACATCAACCCTGTGAAATCAGGAGGACAAGTGCAATTTAATTTTGTTGTGGAGGTAAGGAACAGACTTAAAGATATTGTATGGTTTGCTTAAAATGAAAGTGTTTGAAAATGACATAGATAAGCCTGGAGCCAAGTTCACAGTCAGTCTACCTCACCATGACAGGTCTTGGATTCATTCGAGGAACTTGTGAAACCTTTGCAACATACAAGTTGGCACCATCTTCTTTCATGACTAACCTTAAAATGAGAATTTTTTAAAGCATGTAACTAGAGAACACTTCAGATTTAATGCAAAGTAAATTCAAATACAAATATTACTGCCAGATTTTTAGAACTTACTGTCTTGTCCATTCAGTACCATTTATCCATTTCCATGGTTGGCCTTGTTCTCTGCTCAGCCCAATCCAGTGATCAGATGGGCCTTTATATCTCAACAGGAAATTCTTTCAGAAAACACAGAGATGATATTCATTAATCTAACATAACCCATCCTCTCCCAGAAATGTTGCTGCTATGCTATATTCTTAACTACTCATAATTTTCTTCCTTTTGATTTTGTATTGTTTAGTAATACATACAGAATAGGTGTGCTATATTATCATACATATCAAAAGAAGATAATTTAAAACTGAGAGAAATTGTTGATAATTTGGTTACTTTTGTTTCTGTATTGTACTCCTTTGTATGACTCTTCTCCAATTTATCTATTATACTATCGGTTGACACCAGGGTTTTATCAAGTTTGGAATGTATGCTACTATGACATTCTTGGCACCTGTCCTAGAATAGAATTTTTAGGCCCCAGGATATGCTTTTTGTCAACTTTAAGAAATGACACCACCAGGCCAAGCACCTGTAATCCCAGTACTTTGGGAGGCCGAGGCAGGCGGATCACCTGAGGCCAAGAGTTTGAGACTAGGCTTGGCCAACATGATGAAGCCCCCTCTCTATTAAAAAAAATACAAAAATTAGCTGGGCGTGATGGCATGCACCTGTAATCCCAGCTATTTGGGAGGCTGAGGCATGAGAATCATTTGAACCTGGGAGACAAAAGTTGTAGTGAGCCAAGATCACGCCACTGCACTCCAGCCTGGGCAATAGAGTGAGATTCTGTCTCAAAAAGAAACGAACGAACGAACGAACGAAAGAAAGAGAAAGAAAGAAAGAAAGAAAGAGAAAGAAAAGACACCAAACTAATGTAAGTGTACCAAATTATCCTCACAACAGCAGCAGCATAGGCTGGTTTCCTTTGCTGTGTTTCCTTGTCAATGTGTACTGTCCTTTTTATGATTACAAGTTCTGAATTTTAACGCAATTAAATATATAAACAATTTTCTTTATTATTAGTAAATTTAGGGACTTATTAGGTAAATCTTTTACTCTTTCAAATCATAAAGATGACTTCTATTTTTGTTTTACTTTTTTTAGTTCCTTACAGTGTACAGTTAGGCTATGGATTTGAGATCTTTCTTCTTTTTTAGTTAACTGCTCACAGCTATAAATTTCCCTCTTAGAACTATGTTCAGTGTATACCATAAACGTGCTATTTGTATTTTTACTTCATTTGTCTCAAGGTATTTTCTAATGTCCCTTGTGATTTCTTCTTTGACCAATGGCTGTTGAAGAGCGGGTTTTTAAATTTCTACATATGCGTGACTTTTCTGGTTTTTCTAGTTATTGATTTCTAGCTTCATTCCATTGTAATTGCAAAAGATACTTTTTATGACTTCAAATTTTCACACTTACTAACACTTGTTTTGTGGCCTAACATATGGTTTAAGAATGTTCCATGTGCATTTGAGAAGAATTAATATTCTGCTCTTGTTGGGTAGATTCTTCTGTATATGCCTGTTAGGGATAATTGGTTTATAGTGTTGTTCAAATTTTCTATTTCCTTATTGATCTTATGTCTAGTTGTTTAATCTCATGTTGAAAGTGGAATATTTCATTCTCTAACTTTTCATAGAACTGTTCTTTTCTCCCTTAAATTATAGCAATTATTGCTTCATATATTTTGAGGCTGTATTATTAAGTACATATATTTTATAACATAATTATTTGGCTATGTCAAAATTTTTGTCAATGCATAATGCCCTTCTTTTTCTCTTGTAAATTTTACTTTAGTTTATTTTGTTTGACAAAAATATAGCCACTCGGCACTATCTTGGTTACTACTGTTTGTATGGAATATCTTTTTCAGTCCTTTTACTTTCAACTTCTTTGTGTCCTTATATCTAAGGCAAGTCTCTTATAGACAGCATGTAGATGAGTCTTGTTTTTCTTTTTAATTTATTTTAGTTTTTAGCCAACTTGTCAGTCTCAGCCCTTTAATAGGATGGCTTCATCCTTTTCTATTTAATGTGATTACTAAAACAAGATTTACTTTTGCCATTTAATCATTTGTTTTCTCTATATCTTATATGTCTTTGTTTCTCAAGTTGTCTGTTACTGACTTTTTTTGTATTTAATTGGTTTTTTATAGTGTATTGTTTTTCTTTTTTCCTTTTCTGCATAATTTTGGTAATTTTATTAGTGGTTACCTTGAGAATTATAATTAGCATCTTAAACTTGTAACAATATAATTTCATAATATCAACATAGCTTCAATAACTATGCAAACATTTTGATCCTATATGTCTTCATCCCTGCTTCATAAGACTGTCACAGATTGCATCTTTATACATTATATGACCACTATCATATTTATAATTTTTATTCATTTGCCTATGAAGTTATAGATAAATATAAATATAGAAAGCTATAAATAGGAGAAGTTATAAACTATATGACACATGTAGTAATTCTGGGTTTTATATTTACCTCTATTGTTACTTTTATGAATATTCTTTATTTTGGAGGCTCTGAATTGCTGTCTAGTGTACTTTCAGTTCAGCCTAAAAGGTTTCCTTTAGCATTTTCTGTAGCACATGTCTACTGGTAATAAAATCCCTTAATTATTGGTTATCTGAAAATGTGTTACTTTTTCCTTCATTCTTGAAGGACAACTTTGCTATACATAGAATTCATGGTTGGCAGTTTTATTTTTTCTTTCAGACATTTAAATATGCCATTCCACTACCTTCTGATCTCCATGGTTTCTCAGAGAAAATCAGCTATTAATTTTATTCAGGGTCTTATGTAAATGATGAGTTGCTTCATTCTGGCTGCTTTCAAAATTCTCTCTGTGGATTTTGTCAACTTGACTATATTTTGTCTCAATGTAGATCTCTTTAAGTTTACCCTTTTGGAGTTCATTGAGCCTCTTGGATGTATATATTTATGTATTTCCTCAGATTTTGGAAAGTTTTGTTCATTATTTCTTTAAGTGTATTTCTCTGCTTCTCTTTCTCTTCTCTTTCCTGGATTTCTACAGTACATATGTTAGTATGTTTGCTGATGTCCTACAGGTTCCTTAGAATTTATTTATCTTCATTCTTTTTCTTTGTTTTTCTTAGTCTGGATTGTTTCAATTATCTTATTTTCAAGTTTTCTGATCTCTTACTTCTCAAATCTGCTGTTGAACTTCTTCATTGAGTTTTTAAAATTATTTTTAAATTTCAGTCATTGTACTTTTCAGCTCTGGAATTTTTGCTTGGTTCTTTTTTACAATTTCTACCTTTATATTGATATTCTAATTTTGTTCATTTATTATGTTTTCGGTTTCCTTTAGCTTTTTGTCTAGTTTCCTTTAACTCATTGGTTATACTTAAGACAGCTGATTTAACATTTTTGACTCATATTTTTAATATCTGAGCCTCTTCAGGGATAGTTTCTGTCAGATTACTTTTTCTTCCTGTGAATGAACCATACTTTTCTTTGCATGTTTTGTAATTTTTTTTTGAGAACTGGACATTATGAATACTATGTTGTGGTAACTCTGGTAACTTAATTATTTTGCTCTTCAGGGATTGTCAAATCTTGGTTGTTGTGGCTCAGAGTCATTTGGTCATGATTTTTTCCCAACTATTTTTATTCTCTGTTGTGCATGGTCATTGAAATCTCTGTTCTGTTATCTCTGCTGTCAGCCAGTTATCTAATAAAAATTGTCTTAAATGACTGCTTCCTAAAGGGAGGAAAAACACATACTATTTATTTAAATCCTTGGGAAGCCACTTCAGCTGATGAGGACTGATGCAATGATAGCCCACTTCTGTGTCTGCCCCTCAGCATTCAAAGGCAGAAATCAGCAATAACCCTGACATTTGGACAAAAAGGTGCTTATTGTTCACCCTGGCTGCAGGAATTCATTACAAGAACATGGGCAGCAGTTCCCATGGATCCCTGCAATAATGGGGTATGGAAAATAGTTATTATTGAGTGGAAAGGCTGAAATTCACCAACATTAACCAAAATTTATCATCCTCTTTATCAAACTCTTCCCTTGATGCTTCCAGTGTTTAACTAGACTCGAGAATTCCAAAATAGTTACTTCAGACAGTTTTTGACAGTTCAATAGTTTTCTCAGTGGAGGAACAGATTTCTGTAGCTTTTTAGTCTACCAACCTCTATGACATCATTCTTGCTTGACTTATTGTTTTTATTTTATTATTTTTTTGAGATAGAGTCTCACTCTGTTAGGCTGGAGTACAGTAGCATGATTTCAGCTAACTGTAGGCCTCCACCTCCCAGGTTCAAGCAATTCTGCTGCCTCAGCCTCCTGAGTAGCTGGAACTACAGGCGTATGCCACCATGCCCAGCTAATTTTTGTATTTTTTAGTTGAGATGGGGTTTCACCATGTTGGCCAGGCTGATCTCAAACTCCTGACCTCAAGTGATACACCCGCCTTGGCCTCCCAAAGTGCTGGGATTACAGGCATGTGCCACTGCTCTTGGCCTTGTTTGATTTATTTTGAAACAATGTTGCTAACTTCATACAAACTTAAAACTGGGTTTCTACCAATACTTTTCTAATCCTTATTTGCACAATTCTGGCTCACAAGTCAAAGAAGGCTCTGGCTTGCTTGCCCTCTGGGCCTGTTCCTGCCACGAATATTAAGGTAATTTTAGATGGTTCACTGTAAAATATAATACATGCTAGGTTACTCTTTCGTTATGCAAAAAAAAAAAAAAAAAAAAAAAATCAATGTAAAAGCAGATGTCTAAACCTACCTCTTAGATAATTTCACAGGAAAACATATCCTTGTAGGGCTGAATCTTTGATTCTGGCCAGAACTATTTTCTTACCAGTTCCTGGAAGCTTTCAACCTGAGCAAGATCAGCATCTTGTGAGTCACAAAACCTCTGACTTGATGTCCAGTTCTTGGTGTCATCAGAAAAATAGAAACACTTTCTTTGAAAACCAATCCAGCTTTCTGGGCATGCAGCTTGAAGACATACTGATGGCTCTTGATGGCAGTTAGCTCTTATTGCTGAAAATAAAATAAAAATAAATAAAATAAAAATTTCTTACTTTTATATTGTATTGTATAAATTACCAAGTGCTAATATACTTTCTGACACTCCTGTTAAGTATTAAATGTATTATTTTCATTTTTCAAGTGAGAAATATGATGCTAAATATAATTGCATACATTACACAGCAAATGGCAAAACTGAGATTCAAACTCATGCCTTCAGCAGGGGGTGAGCTGAAAAAGGAGTTATTAGTAACTTAAGCTTGCTCTGGGCCATGTATCTATTTGGCTCTCAACAGTGTTACCCTTTCTTAAAATATTAGATACATTAATGATAGCATTTGATCAGCTTTGGAGAACAGATAGTTCTCCAAGTGCTCTAGATTAGGGGTCCCCAACCCCTAGGCCATGGATCAGTACTGGTCCATGGATGAGTCAGGAAGCAGGCTGCACAGCAGGAGGTAAGCAGCGAATGAGTAAGTGAAGCTTCATCTGTATTTACAGCCACTCCCCATCACTCACATTACCTCATGAGCTCCACCTCCTGTCAGATCAGCAGTGGCATTAGATTCTCATAGGAGGGCAAACCCTATTGGGAACTTCTCATGTGAGGAATCTAGGTTGTGGGCTCCTTGTGAGAATCTAATACCTGATGAACTGTCACTGTCTCCCATCACTCACAGATGGTACCATCTACTTTCAGAAAAACTAGCTCAGGGTTCCCACTGATTCTACATTATGGTGAGTTGTATAATTATTTTATTATATATTATTACACAATGTAATAATAATGGAAATAAAGGGCACAATAAAAGTAATGCACTTAAATTATCCCCAAACCATTCCTTGACCCCAGTCCATGAAAACGTTGTCTTTCACAAAACTGGTCCCTCATGCCAACAAGGTTGGCGATTGCTGCTCCAGATGACTTGGTAAAATGAAGGGCAGGATAGAGATGCCTTATGTGAATAAGGTTTCTTGATGTGAAAAAGCCTTGTATATGTCTAAATACTATCATAAATATGAAATAAGTTGTTGTACAGTGAACTTCCTTCCACTAAGGAGATTTAGTGAGGTTTTCTACACTTTGAAGGCAGCAATACTTCACTGGACAGGCTTTTCTGACCCACTTCTTATATAATCAGGAGAAATGCTCTCTTCATGTGGGATCGAGATGAATGAATGTCTCTCCAGATAGTTGTCACTGAGCCCCTAGTAGCTACCAGTTCATCTTCTATTATATAACCACCTTCTACCTTCAACTCAATGGTTCTGAAAGTGTCTATGATAGACCAGAATGCTGGGTATTCATAGAATCATTACTATCAATTGGCACCATTATCCTTGGATTTGGCTCTTGTGAGATGAGAAATCACTCTTAGTTATGAATAATAACTGGTGTAATCTGAATAACAAATCATAACATGAGGCAAACGTGTATTGTATCTGGTTTGGTATCACAAACAAGGTGATACCAAATTATAACTATTAAAATGTAATTTCTTGAACCAGACCATAATGCAGGATGACTTTCCCCAAATCTGTGCATATTTGTTGTGCTATCACTGCTCCTGTATCAACCAATTTAAAGAAAACGACCAGACCAGAGAGGGCAAGATGGCTGATTAGAAACAGCTCTGGTCTGCAGTTCCCAGTGAGACCAATGCAGAAGGCAGGTGATTTCTGCATTTCCAACTGAGGTACCAGGATCATCTCACTGGGACTGGTTACACAAGTGGGTGCAGCCCACAGAGGGCAAGCAGAAGCAGGGTGGGGCGCTGCTTCACCCAGGAAGCACAAGGGGTGGGAGAACTCCCTCCCCTAGCCAAGGGAAGTTGTGAGGGACTGTGCTGTGAGGTGCTATCTGGCCCAGATACTACGCTTTTCCCACGGTTTTTGCAACCCACAGACCAGGAGATTCTCTGGAGTGCCAACACTACCAGAACCCTGGGTTTCAAGCACAAAACTGGGTGGCGATTTGGGCAGTCACCAAGATAACTGCAGGAGTTTTTTTCATACCCCAGTGGAGCCTGGAACCCACTGAGACAGAATCATTCACTCTGCTGGAAAGGGGGCTGAAGCCAGGGAGCCAAGTGGTCTTGCTCAGTGGGTCCAATCCCCACAGAGCCCAGCAAGCTAAGACCCACTGGCTGGAAATTCTTGCTGCCAGCACAGCAGTCTGAAGTGGACCCCAGATGCTCAAGCTTGGTGAGGGGAGGTGCATCCGCCATTACTGAGGCTTGAGTAGGTGATTTTCCCCTCACAGTGTAAACAAAGCCCTGGGGGAAGTTCGGACTGGGCGGAGCCCACCACAGTGCAGCAAAGCCAGTGCAGCAAAGCCACTGCAGCCGGACTGCCTCTCTAGATTCCTCCTCTCTGGGCAGGGCATCTCTGAAAGAAAGGCAGCAGCCCCAGTCAGGGGCTTATAGATAAAACTCTTATCTCCCTGGGACAGAGCACCTGGGGGAAAGGGTGGCTGTGGTCACGGCTTCAGGAGACTTAAACATTCCTGCCAGCCAGCTCTGAAAAGAGCAGTGGATCTCCCAGCACAGTGCTCGAGCTCTTCTGAGGGAAAGACTGCCTTTTCAAGTGGGTCCCTGACCCCCATGCCTCCTGACTGGGAGACAACTCCTAGCAGGGGTTGATAGGCACCTCATACAGGACAGCTCAGCTGGCATCTGGTGCGTGCCCCTCTGGGATGAAGCTTCCAGAGGAAGGAGCAGGCAGCAATCTTTGCTTTTCTTCAGCCTTTGCTGGTGATACCCAGGCAAGGAAGAAATGGATAAATTCCTGGACACATACACCCTCCCAAGACTAAACCAGGAAGAAATCAGATTCCTGAATAGACCAATAACAGGTTCTGAAACTGAGGCAGTAATTAATAGCCTACCCAACCAAAACAAGCCCATGTCCAGACAAATGCACTGCCGAATTCTACCAGAGGTACGAAGAGGAGCTGGTACCATTCCTTCTGAAATTATTCCAAACAATAGAAAAAGAAGGAATTCTCCCTAACTCATTATATGAGACCAGCATCATCCTGATACCAAAACCTAGCAGAGATACAACAAAAAAGAAAATTTCAGGCCAATATTCCTGATGAACATCAATGCAAAAATCCTCAATAAAATACTGGCCAGCCGAATCCAGCAGCACATCAAAAGCTTATCCACCACGATCAAGTCAGTTTCATCCCTGGGATGAAAGTCTGGTTCAATATATGTAAATTAATAAATGTAATCCATTACATAAGCAGAACCAATGACAAAAACCACATGATGATCTCAACAGATGCAGAAAAGGCCTTTGATAAAATTGAACACCCCTTCATGATAAAAACACACAATAGACTAGGTATTGATGGAACATACATTAAAATAATAAAAGCTATTTATGACAAACTCATAGCGAATATCATACTGAGTGGCCAAAAGCTGGAAGCATTCCCTTTGTAAACTGGCACAAGGCAAGGATGCCCTCTCTCACCACTCCTATTCAATATAGTATTGGAAGTTCTAGTCAGGGCAATCAGGTAAAAGAAAGAAAGAAAGAAAGTGTATTCAACAGGAAGAGAGGAAGTCAAATTATCTCTGTTTGCAGATGACAGAATTGTATATTTAGAAAACCCCATTGTCTCATCCCCTTAAAACTTATTAAGCTGATAAGCAACTTCAGCAAATTCTCAGGATACGAAATCAATGTGCAAAAATCACAAGCATTCCTATACACCAATAACAGACAAACAGAGAGCCAAATCATGAGTGAACTCCCATTCACAATTGCTACTAAGAGAATAAAATACCTAAGAATACAACTTACAAGAGATGTGAAGGACCTCTTCAAGGAGAACTACAAATCACTGCTCAAGGAAATAAGAGATGACACAAACAAATGGAAAATCATTCCATGCTCATAGATAGGAAGAATCAATATTATGAAAATAGTCATATAGCTCAAAGTAATTTATAGATTGAATGCTATTCCCATCAAGCTACCATTGACTTTCTTCACAGAATTAAAAAAAAAAAAACTTTAAATTTCATATGGAACCAAAAAAGAGCCTGTATAGCCAAGACAATCCTAAGCAAAAAGAACTAAGCTGGAGGCATCATGCTACCTGACTTCAAATTAAACTATAAGGCTACAGTAACCAAAACAGCATGGTGTTGGTACCAAAACAGATATATTGACCAATGGACAGAACAGAGGCCTCAGAAATAACACCCAACATCTACAACCATCTGATCTTTGACAAACCTGACAAAAACAAGCAATGGGGGAAAGGATTCCCTATTTAATAAATGGTGTTGAGAAAACTGGCTAGCCATATGCAGAAAACTGAAGCTGGACCCCTTCCTTACACCTTACACAAAAATTAGCTCAAGATGGATTAAAGACTTAAACATAAGACCTAAAACCATAAAAACCTGAGAACAAAACCTAGGCAATACCATTCAGGACACAGGCATGGGCAAAGGTTTTATGATTAAAACACCAAAAGCAATTGCAACAAAAGCAAAAATTGACAAGCGGGATCTAATTTAACTAAAGAGCTTCTGCACAAAAAAAAAAAAAAAAAAACAAACACAAAAAACAAACTATCATCAGAGTGAACAGGCAACCTACAGAATGGGAGACAAATTTTGCAATCTATCCGTTTGACAAACAGCTAATATCTAGAATCTACAAGGAACTTAAAAAAATTTACAAGAATAAAACAAAAAACCCTATCAAAAAATGGGCAAAAGATATGAACAGACACTTCACAAAAGAAGACATTTATGTGGCCAACAAATATATGATAAAAAGCTCATCATAACTGATCATTAGAGAAATTCAAATCAAAACAACAATGAGATACCATCTCATGCCAGTTACAATGACAATCATTAAAAAGTCAGGAAACAACAGACGCTGAAGAGGATGTAGAGAAATAGGAACACTTTTACACTGTTGGTGGGAGTGTAAATTAGTTCAACCATTTTGGAAAATACAGTGTGGCAATTCCTCAAGGATCTATAACCAGAAATACTGGGTCTATACCCAAAGGATTATAAATCATTCTACTATAAAGACACATGCACTCGTATGTTTATTGTGGCACTATTCACAATAGCAAAGACTTGGAACCAACCCAAATGCTCATCAATGATAGACTGGATAAAGAAAATGTGGCACATATACACCATGGAATACTATACAGCCATAAAGAAGAATGAGTTCATATTCTTTGCAGGGAGACAAATGAAACTGGAAACCATCATTCTCATCAAACTAACACAGGAACAGAAAACCAAATACTGCAGGTTCTCACTCATATGTGGGAGCTGAACAATGAGAACACATGGATGCAGGGAGCGGAACATCACACACTGAGGCGTGTTGAGGGTTGGGGGGCAACGGGAGGGATAGCATTAGGAGAAATACCTAATATAGATGATGGGTTGATAGGTGCATCAAACCACCATGGCACGTGTATACCTATGTAACGAACCTGCGGGTTCTGCACATTTATCCCAGAACTTAAAGTATAATTTAAAAAAAAAGTTAGGGACCAGAGCTATAACTACAAAGCTCTATTAGGAATTTTTATAACTAAAGCCAATCTAAATAACTCGATTTAAATGGGGAAATACCACACTTGAATAGTTAACTAACAATCTAAATGTTAAATAAAACATAAAAATGATATAAAGTAATACATAATAACACATTTAAAAAAAGAAAGAAAGAAAATGACCAGATTAGAAGATGGCTCCAGCTATTGGCTCCACACAAGAAATCATTTCCAAAGTGCTAGCTGAAAGGAAGAGAAACACATAATGGATAATAAAGGAAAACAGTCATAAGTGTCAATTTCATATGCTTACTGTAAAAAAAAGAGCTATAAATTTAAATTATATTTCAGAATACATTCCCTTGATTAATACTGAGGTACTTACAGAGTACAGAAATTGTCTCTTTCCAATTTTTTCTTTCTTAAATAGTTACAATTAGTTGACTTAAATCTCTGAAATAAAAAAATTATTTTTGCTTCATAAATGTATAAAGTATATTATCTGTGGTTTCAAAATGCCAAAAGATAATAAGCAAAAGATTTGCAAATGAATAGAAATTATTTAGAGTGTTATATGGAGTGCTCCAAGTATTGCTGACTCTTAAGTTACGTAAGCAGTATTTGAAGGGTCTCTCTGAAATTACTTCAGAATGTAGTAACAGGGGGTAGATTTTAGGTTGATATCCAGATTGGCATGAGGTTTGGGGGAAGTGCTTTTGTAGTTTTCTATGTCTTCGCTTGGTCTATATTAGATGCACTGCAAGCATGTTTTGAAGTACAAGATAATTTTTATAGCTAATTGCTTTTAGGGTACAATCACTAAACGGAGTTTGTTTTCTAGGAAGATGGGCTACATATGCTAAAAAAAACAAGGGCCAGAACATGCTCAAATAGCTAGGAAGAAAGAACAGGCTGCCTGTGATGTTATACAGCCACTTAGTAGTTTTGTGTACTTTAAACCATCTGTTTTGCTATTTTTCATGAAACAAGGTTGTTGTGGAGGTAAAATTAACCATGTTCCTAGATCGGACAAGAGACTATTTTTCAGTTTACTATTTTTTTTAATTTTTGCATCAATATTCTTAAGGAATAGTGGTCTGTCTTCTACCTTCTGAAGACTCTGATCATCTCACTAAACTTGGAATAATGTGAACCCTATTTACATAATTAAAATTTTTGGTGCCACTTAAAAAGTTATTGGAGTGTAACTCAGTTAGTGAGACAATATATTAAAAGCTGTAAAGAATAACAAAATTATTCAGATTCTTCCTCTTCTTTTTACAAGTATAATTCTCTCTAGATGAATAAAGATTACAGTTCACTTACCGCTTAAAGCAGCAACCATTCCACACACTATGATTGTCAGAAACATGATTAAGAAAAATAAGCGCCAAATTAAGGTAGCTTTAATAGAATGCTCTTTTGAATGCAGACAACCTGGAAAAAATTATTGAAAAACATTTTAACAATTAAATACAGACATAATACTGCCAGAAACATTAAGCATCAAAATGTTATTTTTATTTAATTCCTTCGCTTTTCACTAGAGGATGCAAATGACCTGTCATCTTATGAACTTACTATTCTATCTCCAGAATTTAATCATTTTCCAAAGTTAAAAGAATTGATTTTAACTTTCCAGCTACCATATTCAAGTTACCCTTTCAATTGGAGAGATTCATGTCAACTAAACCACAGGAATGAAATCAACAAAATCCAAGTAACTGGAAATTCAACATAGCAAATTATTCTGATTCCTGTCTAAAAATGTAAAGAAATATTTTTAAATGATATTAAGAGGAAATCTATCGATTAAAATAGACTTAAAAGGCATTGTTTTGGAGGAAAAAAGGCAAAACTGGAGTGATAAAGTGATTATTGTAGAGGTCAAATTAGTGTTATTCTTGGAAGGATAGGAGAGTGAATAGTTAAGAATACATGGAGGGCCTCTGAGCCACATAACAAGGATCTTTCTTAGACAATGTTAGCAGTTGTATTAGTCCATCCTCACTGCTATGAAGAACTGCCCAAGACTGGATAATTTAAAAAGGAAAGAAGTTTAACTGACTCACAATTCTACATGGCTGGGGAGGCCTCAGGAAACTTACAATAATGGTGGAAGAGGAAGCAAACGTGTTCTTCTTCACATGGCAGCAGGAGACAGAAGTGCCTAACAAAGGGGTAAAAGCCCCTTATAAAACCATCAGATATCATGAAAACTCACTCGCTATCACAAGAACAGCACGAGGGTAACCAACTCCATGATTCAGTTATCTCCCACTGGGTCCCTCCCATGACAAGTGGGGATTATGAGAACTACAATTCAAGATGAGATTTGGGTAAAGACACAGCTAGGCCATATCAGGAGTCAACAAAGGTGTTTATCTTATAATAATTAATCAAGCTACATATTTGTATTGTATAATTTCCTGTAGTTGTGTTATATTTCAAAATGTCTTAGGTTATCTAAAACCTCTTATGAAGTTCATTATTGGAACCCTGTTCTGACACAATCTCTTGCATACAATTCACACCTCTAGTTAATTTATCTAGGTTTGTCCTTAGCTAAATAGGCATATTTTTCTCCAACATTCCCCCCAACACTAGAGAGATCAGCAAGCTTTACATTGATGTTTCCCAAGATATTTGTCTTAATCAATAGATTTTAGTTTTTATCAGTTTAAGTTGACAGAAATACTGAATTAAAAATATAGAGTTCACATATGCCCCTGTACCCCCTTTATCAAAGATTTAAGAAATCATAAGAGAATCCAGAGGAAAATAAATTCTACATGTAGAGAAACAAAGATAAAAATGACATTTACATTCTTCTCAAAAACCATGCAAGCAAGAAGACAGTGGAAACAAATATTTAAAGTATTAAGAGAAAAAACCTTATCAACTTAGAATTCTTTAGCCAAAAAAATTCTTCAAAGTGAATGAGAAACAACCACTATTTTGGAGAAACATTGAGATAACTTGTTGCCAGTAGACTTGTCTTATATCAAAAAACAAAAAAGTTAAATGCAATTATTTTAAAAGGAAAGAGAATTATACAGGTTAGAAACCTAAATTATATGAAAAAGGAACAATATAAAAAATAAGTGAAGGTAAAATAAAACTATTTTTCTTATTCTTAATTGATCTAACAAATGGCAGTTTGTTCAAAATAACAATAGTAGCAATATATTTAATTATGTGTGCTTATGTATACATCTTTTATATATATTTATATGCTTATGTATTCTTACATGTAAATAAAATAAATAACAGAAATGACACATGGGATAAAAGCAGAGAATTAGATTTTTTTATTATAAGGTACTCACAGTACCTGTGAAATGGTATAGTATTATTTGAAAGCAAACTTATGTTAGTTGTGAGTGTATATTGCAAACACTAGGGTAACCACTAAAATCACATTTTTAAAGTATAATTGATATACTAAGAATGAGAAAATATGGAACTTTATAAATGCTAAGTTAAAAACTAAAAATGCAGGAAAAAAATGGAAGACATGGCTGGGTGTTGTAGCTTACACTTATAATCCCAACCCTTTGAGACACTGAGGCAGGAGGATCATTTGAGGCCAGAAGTTCAAGACCAGCCTGGGCAACGTAGCAAAGACTCTGTCGCTACAAAAATTAAATAAAAATTAGCCAGGCTTTGTGGCACATGCCCGTAATACCAGGTACTCAGGGCTCAGGTAGGAGAATCACTTGAGCCTAGGATTTCAAGGGTACAGGGAGCTATGATTATACCACCACACTCTAGCCTAATGAACAGAATGAGACTCAGTCTCTGAAAAGAAGAGAATGAAAAACAAAAATAGAAACAAAGAACAAAGGCAACAAATAGAAAACAGAAAGAAATATGGTAGATATTTAATCCACCTATATTAATAATCATTTTAATATCAATGATCTAAATGCACCAATTAAAAATCAGAGATTAAACTATATGATGTCTGCAGGAAATGCACTTTAAATATAAAGACACACAAATTAAAAGTAAATGGATCATGAATATATATATGTATTATATCATACTGGCACAAACAAAAGAAAGCAGGAGAAGCTATACAAATTTCAAACAGAACAAACCTCAAAGCAAGGAAATTTATCAGGAATGAAGAAAAGCATTGCATAATGGTATAAGAATTAGCTTTCCAAGAAACTATGTTATGTTTCCGCATAACAAACCTAAATGTGCACGCACCTAACAAGAGAGTATTTAACTACGTGAGGCAAAAATTAACAGAACTGCAAGGAGAAATCGATGAATTCATTATCATAGTTGGAGATTTCAACAACACTCTATTGGAAATGCACAGATCCAGCAGGGTATATTGGCTCATGACTGTAATCTCAGCACTTTGGGAGGCCCAAAAGGCTGGATTATTTGATCTCAGGAGTTCAAGACCAACCTGAGCAATGTGGTAAAATCTGTCTCTACAAAAAGACAAAAATGAGCCAAGTGTGGTGGTATTTGCCGGTATTCCCAGCTACTCAGGAGACTGAGGTGGGAGGATTGCTTGAACTCGGGAAGCAGTGGTTGAAATGAGATGAGATTGCATTACTGCACTCCAGTCTGGGTGACAGAGCGAGACTCTGTCTCAAAAACAACAAAATAAAAAAAAAAAAAAAAAAAAAGAAAGAAAGAAATGCCCAGATCCAGCAGGCAGAAAATCAGTAGAACTTAGGTGAACTCAGCAACATCATCAATTAACCGAATATAATTGACATCTATAGACTACTTTGTCAAACAACAGCAGAATACACACTCTCAAGATTACATGGAATAATCACCATAATAGACCACCTTCTGGGCCAAAACATATCCTAACAAATTTAACAAAATAGAAATCATACAGCGTCTGCTCTCAGACCACAATGTAAATAAACTAGAGTCAATAACAGAAAGAAAATTTTAAAATCCCACTAATCTCCACAAACATGTGGAGATTAAACAATACGTTTCTAAACAACATATGGGTCAAGGAAGAAATCACAATAGAAGTTTTAAAATACTTCAACTAAATGAAAATGAAAATACAGCTTAACAAAATTTGTGGGATGCAGTAAAAGCATTGTTTAAAGAGAAATTGATAGTATTGAATGCATCTATTAGAAAAAAATAAAGATCTAAAATTAATGATCTAAGTTTACACCTTAGGAAACTAGAAATAGAAGAGCAAATCAGGTACAAATTAAACAGAAGAAAAGAAATAATTAGAGCAGAAATAAAAAATGGGACACTGATAGAAAAAAGTTATCAAAACCAAAAACTAGGTTTGAAAGATTAAAAAAAAAAAAATGGATAAGGCTCTAGCCAGGCTAATTAAGAAGAAAAGAGGAAGGACACAAATTATCTATATCAGAAATAAATAAGGAGTTGTTACTACAGATCCCATGGATGCTAAAATGGACAGTTCTATGTCCACACAGAGGATCAATCACTTGAGAGACATAATTTGTCTAAACTCATACATGGAGAAATAGATGACCTAAATATGTTTACATTTATTACAGAAGTTGACCTTCCAAAACAGAAAGCACCATGTCAAGATGGACTCACTGGTGAATTCAACCAAATATTTAAGGAAAAAATTATACCAATTGTCTATAATTTGTTTTAGAAGTTAGAGCCGAGAGAATACTTCTTAACTCATTCTATGAGGCCAGCTTTATCCTAATAGGAAAATCAGATTAAGACATCACAAGAAAAGAAAACTATGGACCAATATACCTCATGAACATAGATGCAAAACCTTAACAAAACATCAGCAAATCCAATCCAATGATGTATAAAAAGAATTATATACTGTGATGAAGTTAAATTTATTTCAGCTATTTAAGGCAGGTTCAACATTCAAAAATCAATTAATGTTATCCATAACATTAACAAGCTAAAAAAAATCACTTGATTATATCAATATATACAAAAAAATTAACAAAATTCAACGCCCATTTGTGATAACTTTCAGTAAACAAAATTCAACACAGATTTGTGACAAAAACTCCCAGTAAACTAGAAATAGGGAAGAACTTCTTCACCTTAATAAAGAATATCTACAATAACCTACAGCTAACATCCTCAAGTATGGTGAGAAACTTGAAGTTTTCCCACTAAGATCAAGGACAAGGCAAAGATGTCCCTCTCGCCAATACTTTACAACATTGTTCTGGAAGTACCAGATAATGCAGTAAGACAAGAAAAGGAAATAAAGGAAATAAAAGGTATACAGATGAGAAAGTAAGAAATAAAACTGTATTTCTCTGCAGATGACATAATCATCTATGTAGAAAATCCAAAATAATTGACAATTTTGGGAACTGACATGCAAGGTTACTGATATGTAAGGTTGCAGAATGCATGGCTAATACACAAAAGTCAATCACTTTTCTATATGCCAGAAATAAACAAATGGACTTTTAATTGAGAACACAGTGCCATATACATTATCATTCAAAAAATAAAATACTTAGGTATAAATCTAACAAAATATATACAAAATCTATATGTGGAAAACTACAAACTGATGAATGAAATCAATGAAGAACTAAATAAATGGAGAAGTATTTTATGTTCATGGAGAGAAAGACTCAACATTGCCAAGATATCAATTCTTCCCAGCTTAATCTACAGATTAAATGCAATGATAATAATAATCTCAGCAAGTTATTGTATAAATATCAACAAACTGATTCTAAAGTTTATATAGATAGGCAAAAGACCCAGAAAAGCAAACACATTATTGAAGGAGATGAGCAAAGTTAAACAACTGATACTACCTGACTTCATGATTTACTCTAAAACTACAGTAATCAAGACAGTGTGGTATTTGTTAAAGAACAGACAAATAAGGCTGGGCGCGGTGGCTCACGCCTGTAATCCTAGCACTTTGGGAGGCCAAGGCAGGTGGATCATGAGGTCAGGAGATCTATACCATCCTGGCTAACACGGTGAAACCCCGTCTCTACTAAAAATACAAAAATTAGCCGGGCGTGGTGGCAGGTGTCTGTAGTCCCAGCTACTCAGGAGGCTGAGGCAGGAGAATGGTGGGTGAACCCAGGAGGCGGAGCTTGCAGTGAGCCGAGATTGCGCCACTGCACTCCGGCCTGGGCAAGAGAGTGAGACTCCGTCTCTTAAAAAAAAAAAAAAAAAAGGAATAGACAAATAAATTAATGAAAAAGGATAGAAAGCAGAGTAGCAGACTAAAAAGAAATAGACCCAGATAAATATAGTCAACTGATCTTTCATAAACAAGCAAAGCAATACAATTAAGAAAAGACAGTCTTTTCAACTAACGATGCTGAATAACTAGACACCCACATACAAATAAATGAATCTAGGCCCAGATTTTACATTTTTCCCCAAAATGACTCAAAATGTATCATAGTCCTAAAGGTAAAACACAAAACTGTAAAACTCGTAGAAGATAATATAAGAGAAAGCCTAGATAACTTTGGGTATGGTGATGACTTTTTAAATATAATACCAAAGGCACAATCCATGAAAGAAAGAACTGATAAACTGGACTTCATTAAAACTAAAAACTTTCAACCTGCAAAAGACATAATCAAAATAATGAAAAGACAAATTATTAATATCATATGTCTTTTGAGAATTGCAAGTTAAAATAATGAGATATCATTACATATTACTTAAGTGTTACATTAAAACATTAACAATATCAAATACTAGCAAGGATGTGGAGCAACCAGAAGTCTCATGCATTACTGGTAAGAAAGCGAAATGCTACAGCCACTTTGGCAGTTTCTTACAAAAGAAAACATACTTGAAGGGAGGGGCCAAAATGGCCAAACAGAAACAGCTCTGGTCTGAAGCTCCCAGTGAGATGAATGCGGAAGGCAGGTGAATTCTGCATCTCCATCTGAGGTACCAAGTTCATCTCATTGGGCAGCTGGTGCAACCCACAGGAAGCAGGAAGAAAGCAGGTGGGGTGTCATTTCACCCAGGAGCTGCACAGGGTGGGGAGACTTGCCTCCCTGAGGTAAGGGAAGTGGCGAGGGTCTGTCCTACCCACCAGGTGTACTATGCTTCTCCCACAGATTTTTGCAATCTGCAGATCAGAAGATTCCCTCATGAGCCTACACCACCAGGGCCCTGGGTCTCAAGCACAAACCTGGGCAAACCAATGACAGCCACTCCCATTGGTGGCTGTTTAGGCAGGCACTGAGCTGCAGGAGTTTTTACATACTCCAGTGGTGCCTGGAACTCCAGTGAGGCACGAGAACCATCCAGTCCCATGGAAAGGGGGCTGAAGCCAAGGAGGAGAGCCCAGCAGTCTCAATCAGTAGGTTCTACTCCCATGGATCCCTGCAAGCTAAGACCCACTGGCTTGAGATCCCTGCTGCCAGCAGAGTAGTCTGGAGTGTGCCTGGAATGACTAAGTTCCTGGGGGGAGGGGTGACCACCATTAGTTGGCGGTTTGCCCCTGACAGTGCAAAGGAGCCTGAGAGGTTTGGACTGGGCCAGATTTCCCACAGTGCAGCAAACTGGCTGTGGCAGGTTGTGGCCAGACTGCCTCTTTAGGTGGGACCCTGAGCCATCCCTCCTCACCAGGCAGGTCATCCCTGCAAGAATTCCAGCAGCTCTGGTCAGGGGCTTACAGACAGAACTCTCATCTCGCTGAGTCAGAGAACCTGAGGGGAGAGGCAGTTTCAGGTTCAGCAGACTTATCTTTTCTGCCTGCTGGCTCTGAAGAGACCAGATGAACCCGATGAGTGGGATTCCCCCAGCACAGCACACCAGCTCTGCTAAGGGAATGTCAGATTCTCTACATAAGCGGGTCCTTGATCCCATGCCTCCTGACTGGGTGAGACTTCCCAACAAGGGTCACCAGACACCTCATACAGAAGAGTTCCGGCTGGCATCAGGCCAGTGCCCCTCTGGGGCAAAACTTCTGAAGGAAGAAGCAGGCAGCAATCTGCTGTTCTGCAGCCTCCACTGGTGATACCCACGTGAACAGGGTCTGGAGTGGATCCCCAGCAAACTGCAGCAGACTTGCCTCAGAAAGGCTGACTGTTAGAAGATAAACAAACAAACAGAAAGTAACAACAACAACATCTACAAAAAAGACTCCACAAAAACCCCATTCAAAGGTCATCAGTCTCAAAGATCAAAGGTGGATAAATCCACGAAGATGAGGAAAAAACAATGAAAAAACGGTGAAAATTCCAAAAGCCAGAGTGCCTCTTCTCCTCCAAATGATCGCAACAGTTCTCCTGTGAGGGCACAGAACAAGGCTGAAGCTGAGATGGATAAACTGACAGAAGTAGGCTTCAGAAAGTTGGTAATAACGAATTTCGCTGAGCTAAAGCATTATGTTCTAACCCAATGCAAAGAAGCTAAGAAGCATGATAAAAGATTACAGGAGCTGTTAACCAGAATAACCAGTTCAGAGAGGAACATAAATGACCTGATGGAGCTGAAAAACACAGCACGAGAACATCATGTTGCAAACACAAGTATCAATAGCTGAATTGACCAAGCAGAAGAGAAAATATCAGAGCTTGAAGACTCTCTTGCTGAAATAAGGCAGACAGACAAGATTAGAGAAAAAAGAATGAAAAGAAATGAACAAAACTTCCAAGAACTATGGGACTATGTAAAAAGACCGAACCTACCACTGACTGGAGTACCTGAAAGAGACAGGGAGGATGGAACCAAGTTGGAAAACACACTTCAGGATATAATCCAGGAGAACTTCCCCAACCTAGCAAGACAGGCCAATATTCAAATTCAGGAAATCCAGAGAACCCCAATAAGATACTTCATGAGTAGATCAACCCCAAGACACATACTCCAAGGTCGAAATGGAAGAAAAAATATTAAGGGCAGCCAGGGAGAAAGGTCAGGTCACTGACAAAGGGAAGTCCATCAGATTATGAATTTTGAGTGCTACAATATGCCAATGTAGGTTATTAATTGTAATAAATGTACTGCTGGTGAAGAATGTTGATGTTAGAGACTGCTATGGTTTGAATGTGTCTCCAAAGTTCATGTGTTAGATACTTAATCCCCAATGCAATAGTGTTGAGAGGCAGGTCCTTTAAGAGGTAATCAGGTCATAATGTCCTTATAATGGGAGTGGGTTTACTATCACGAAAGTGGATTTGTTATAAAAGCAAGTTTGGTGCCTCTTGCTCTCTCTCTTTCTTATGCATGTGCTCTCTTGCCCTTCCAAATTTTGCCATGGGATGATGGAGCAAGATGTGTTTCTCAGTCTTGAACTTTCCAGCCTCCAGAACTATGAGCCAATAGATTTTGTTCATTATAAATTACCCAGTCTTGGGTATTCTGTAATAGCAGCACAAAACAGACTAAGACAGAGTCTATATATGTGTGGCAACAAGGAGAAAATGAAAAAAAAAACTACCTTTCTCACAATTTTGCTGTGATCCCAAAATGGCTCTAAAAATATGGTCTTTAAACAAAACAAAAAAGAGCAAAAGGAAAAAGGATATACTAGCAGCAGATCTTACAAGAATATCCAAATTTAAAGAGCCATCAAACCAGTGGTGAATTTAAATTTCCCTCCTCTAGTATCACTGCCCCGAACTTAATACAGCCAGAAACATGGAATTGAGCCTCTGTCAGCATAAAGAGAGGGCTCCAGGAGAAGCACTAGAGGTATGGTCTGAGGAACAGAAAAGCAAACTCCTATCTCAAATAGAGTGTGAAAATACCACGTTTATTTTTTCTCCCCCTCTTGTCTACATTCTCATGTGCCTCAAACCTCAGGCAATCTGATGATGGTAGGGGAAACTACAGCAACATGCAATAGCCAAAACCTTGAGAAAGGTTAATCCTCGGCCGGGCGCGGTGGCTCACGCCTGTAATCCCAGCAGTTTGGGAGGCCGAGGCGGGCGGATCACAAAGTCAGGAGATCGAGACCATCCTGGCTAACACGGTGAAACCCCGTCTCTACTAAAAATACAAAAAAGTAGCCGGGCGTGGTGGCGGGCGCCTGTAGTCCCAGCTACTCAGGAGGCTGAGGCAGAATGGCGTGAACCCAGGAGGCGGGGCTTGCAGTGAGCCGAGATCGCGCCACTGCACTCCAGCCTGGGGGACAGAGTGAGACTCCACCTCAAAAAAAGAAAAGAAATCTAAAGTCAATCCTTTCCATTCAGTTGAGCTGTAGCTCCATGAGAGTGGGGCCAAACCTCTTGCTTTTTTTTTCTTCTTTCTCACTGTCCGTCTGCCACATGAGCTTAAAGATGCAGCTATAATTGCAGAAGTATATGGTTCATCAGAATAAAAGGAGGCCCGCATTTCTAGCTGGAGGATGGAAAGGAGAAGCCCCTGGGAACCTGAAAGTACGGGTCAGATGGTGAAGAGGAAGAAACTTTAGAAAGAGACCCATGAACATTATTCATAAACTCCTGGATTCACCTGCCCCTCAACTTATGCATGCCTAGATATGGTTCTAATTGGCACACTAAAGATGCTAAGACCTGAACTAATGAGTAGAGCATTGCACAGTTCCCAATTTCACCCCTGGTTGATGCACATGTCTGAATAGCACTACAAAGGCTTTCAGAATGGAACTGACATTGGAACCAGATCCCACAGATTGTCTTCATCTCACCAGGGTGATTGCTTGCTAAAACAATAGTATCAATATACTCCAAAATTTAAATAAGATCCAGTCTAACTAAATATTTGTTCAAAATGTTCAAATTACAATCCAAAATTACACAGTATATGAAGAACCACGAAAATGTCAACTTCCATGGGGAAAGAAAACACAAGCCAAGGAGGACATGACAGAGATGTTGGAACTATCCGACAAACAGTTTAAAGCATTTGGTATAAAATGCTCAAAATACCCAATGAATGAAGAAATAAATGAAGTCATTTAACAACATTTAGAGTTCATCTTTTTCTGCCTCTGAATTACCTTTTCTCCAAATTGATTACCTTTTAAGTTGGGAGGAGAAAACTCCAAACTTTTAAGTCCTAAGTTATAAAACCTTGATATTCCCTAACTGTGGCAAAAGTCATTTTTTTCACTTACTAAAGCATCATATAAAGCTATATATATATATATTTCCAGTGCATCCAATGTAACATAATTCCATTAGAATGCCCTACTAAGTTTCTACTCAACCTTTGTTACTTTTTTGATTTGTAAATGTCCTTTACATACTATTTTCTACCTTTTCTCTCTTAAGAGCTTCCATGATAGGTTTTCTACCTATGTAATAATGATGGTATCTTGTATCTGAGTAACACTTTAGAGTTTGTATAGATTTTTTTTTAGTGAAATTAACTGTTATTTTCAATCCTAAACTTAACCTTATCTCATTGTCTTACATCTTTCTCTCATTGTTCCCTCTCCTTAGTTGTTAGAACTGGGAATATAAATATATGCATGTTTTACACAAATTATAAGCCAATTTATGGACTCCCACATTCCATCTCTTATCCTTGAAAACTTTTTACTAGATCAGCACCTTTCCTGTGTGAGCCCATCACTACCACTACCTTCCCATTCCAGTCCTCACACTTACTCTGTAGAGCCCAGCTTCTTACCTGGGTTTGCAGGCAATTCAGATGGTGTAATGTCTTTCTCCACATTGTTACTGTCATGCATTTTGCCTCCAGTTTCTATGAGTGATCTAAACCACAGTCTCTACGTTTTCAACCCCAAGAATGATTCAAAACAAAACAAAAAAAAAGCCCAACGACTAAAACGTGTAAGTGTGTAACCGCCCCAGTAACTCAAAATGTCAAGCCTTTAAGTTAAATATAGCTAGAGGAACAAATGAAGCATAAATTGTTTCAAAAATCAGCTCATCACAACAGAATAAACTGGTGTTTGTAAGAATTTTAAAAAGTTGAAGCTACTTCTCTAACAGTATTTTGGTTACGAAAGAAACTAATGTTTGATAACTTAAAATTTCTTTGACTATTAAAAATTATAATTGTATTTTGTGCGGTACAAAGCAATATTATGATAGAAAATAAGAATTTATTGAAAGGAAGGAGTTGGCTCTCAGAGGAAATGAATGTTAGGTAAGTAAAGACAACAGCAATTTTAATCTCAAATTAAAATTCATTCCCAAGAGTTTACGCTCATTCAAAAAATATCTTGTTTTCAATTTCTTCAAGATATTTTGGGAATTTGCTGCTATGGCTGCTACAACAACTTTTCAAAAATGGGCTTGAACGGTGTGCAGCTTCTGTGCTCCCTCTGGCATGATCCAGGAGCACAGAGGCTCTTTAGCAGCAAGAGCTTCTTGTCAGATGTGTTGATTTCTTGTATATAAATGCCAGTAAGGGCACCTTTTACTAAAATATAATTTATAGTAATGTGCACAAATCATAAGCATACAACTAAACACATTCATTAAAAATATAACATGTAACAAGTGCCTAGATGAAGTATATCTTAAAACCACGTAAAACAATACCAACACGCTATGTGCCCTACTCATGTCCTGCAACGCTCATTACCCCAAATACAATCTCTATCTTAACTCTGACAACATATTTTCCCTGCTTTTGAATTCTATACAGTAGCCCCCCTTACCTGTAAGAAATAAGTTCCAGATTGGACAGCTATTGCCTTTATCAAATAGAAATGAAGTTGCATTAGGACTGAGTTCCAGTTTCTGTAAGATTTTATATATCTTTTTCTTTACTATTTCATCATTTCTAGTTTGTCCTAGGACCTATGATAAAGCCTTCTAGTAATTCCATCTGAGAACCTGCTTTTTATCAAAGCTGCTTCTCTTTCTTGGAAGTTGAATTTGGTTTTGTCTCCTGAACAACATGTGATTGCCAAAAGTTCAAGTCTGTTTTTCACATAGTTCTTCCTAACCTCCTTTCCTGTGAAATTTAATAATTTGAAAATTGCTTGAGAGAAAAATTTTTCTCATTTCTTTGGCCCTCTCTCCTCTCTGGGGGTTTTGGTCCTTCAAGTGCTTTAGGAAGAGATTTTTCTCTCCCCCAAAAAAATGCCTGGTATCCACAGCCCTCTCCCCAGAATCTCAGCATCTGACCCACTGCCAAGATGCCCCTAAGAGAAGGGTGGCTCCTGGAATGCTGACTCACTTCTCTGTGGCCCCTTTCCAGAATCTTCGTTCTGCCTCCAGTTGCCTTGAACACTCTCTAATATCTTAATGAAATCCTTTTTCTTCAATTCTAACTCTTCTAGTTGTTCTCAGCATGAGTTTGATGTCTCTCCAGTTATATTATCATACACAGAAGTGGATATGAACTGTCAGGCTTATCCCTTTTATATCCTTTTATAATTTCATTGTTAGCTTAAAGGGGACAAAAGGTAAACCCTGATAAATTGAGATTTCCACACTTATCTTGGAATTTCCACACTAATCATCTTGGAATTTCCACACTAATCTTGGACCTTCCAGTGAAACTACTATTACTTTTACTGTTACTAGCCTGGCATGACAACATGCCAGGTTATTACTGCTTACTATGCTCCATACACATTAATATGAGATTTAAATATGTGTTCTTATTTAATTGGCATAACTAACTAATGAGGCTGATATTACCTTTATTTTTCAGATGATTTTGGGTGAGGGACTAACTAATATGTCTAAGTTCACAGTAAGCTATAGAACCCATGACTGACAGATCTGATATGAAAACTACTTTAAAGGTCAAATATCAAATGACATGGTATTTGTGAGTTAGTCACATCATTTATTCATATCAATCTCTTGGTTTCTACGTTGCTGTAAGTTTCTCCTTATGTGGAAACTAAACTGAAAGTAAGTTCATGAAGTCCTAAAGATGTACATAATCATTTACCCTTTAACAAATATTTTCAAACTTAACATCTTTCAGCCAGCACGCCAGGTGGACTTTGAGGGTAATGTCCCTTTCTTTAAGGAAGTTAATATGAAACTGAAAAATAAGTAGGTATACATGACTTATTGTAACAAGATGTGAATGGCAGTAGAATAATTTATTAGGAGAGCAGTTAATGAGGGCACTTAACCCAGAAGAAGTTTTCCCAAGAAAGTACCAATCAAATGAGCTGGAGTTAGTTAAATAAAGTGAGGCATTTAGGCCAGGCATGGTGGCTTATACCTGCAATCCCAGCACTTTGGGAGGCCAAGGCGGGTGGATCACCTGAGGTCAGGAGTTCAAGATCAGCCTGACCAACATGGTGAAATCCTATCTCTACTAAAAATACAAAAATTAGCTGGGCATGGTGGCTTGCACCTGTAGTCCTAGCTACTTGGGAGGCTGAGGCAGGAGAATTGCTTGAATCCTAGAGGCAGAGGTTGCAGTGAGCCAAGGTTGCACCACGTGGGCGACAGAATGAGACTCTGTCTCAAAATAAATAAATACATACATCCTGGCTAACACAGTGAAACCCTGTCTCTACTAAAAATACAAAAAATTAGCCGGGCACGGTGGCAGGCGCCTGTGGTCCCAGCTATTCGGGAGGCTGAGGCAGGAGAATGGCATGAACCCAGGAGGCAGAGCTTGCAGTGAGCCGAGATAGTGCCATTGCAGTCCAGCCTGGGCGAAACAGCGAGACTCCGTCTCAAAACAATAAATAAATAAATAAATTAATTAATTAAAAAAAATAAAGTGAGGCATTTGAGGTGGAGGAAGAAGTCTTCCAGTTGAAGAAAGTCTTCTAGTTTCTTTAGTTAGGCCCAGAGAGAAGAGAATATATCTCAGAGTTGGGAAAACACCTGAAATCTGAGAGAGCTGGAGCATAAATTATGAAAGGAGAAATGTGACAAAATAACTCTCCAATTATCACAAGAGCTTTATATTAAACTATGTGAATCTCATGACTTCTAAGCCATATCGTCGTGCTTACTTTCTTATGCAACCTTGTGTTAAATAGCTGATACCACACATAAGATACCACACATAAGATACAGTGATGTGCATTTACACTGTCCTTAGAGAATTCCAGTGTGAGGAAAAGAAGTACACATACAGAGTAATTTTAATTTCATTTAGAAAATAAATTTTTTTCAAAATATAATTTTTTAGTTGAGTCTATATTAGAAGGCAGAAATTAATGACTAATTGACCGGATATAAAAGGAAAGAAAAAAGCCCCTTCAAAGTGCCCATTACTCTTCAATAGATGTGAGTGTCTCAACTAAGTAGTATAAAAGCAATATATTATCAGATTTTGCTTCATTGGAATAGCTGACTGATAAAAAGTTACAAGAAAGAACAAAAGTTTATAAAAATTATTTATTCTCAATGACCTGTATCCCACTTTTCTTGGGTTTTTGTGTTTGTGACAGCATGATGGATGGTAATGATATTGAATAAGTGAGGGATATAAAAGGCAGTGTATTATGATGTAAAAGAACACAGCTGGCAGGGTGTGGTGGCTCACACCTATAATCCCAGCACTTTGGGAGGCCGAGGCAGGTGGATCACCTCAGGTCCGGAGTTGGAGACCAGCCTGGCCAACATGGCAAAACCTTGTCTCTACTAAAAATACAAAAACTAGCTGGGCGTGGTGGTGCGCACCTGTAATCCCAACTACTTGGGAGGCTGAGGCTGGAGAATCACTTGAACCCAGGAGGCGGAGGTTGCAGTGAGCCGAGATTGTGCCACTGCACTCCTGCCTGGGCAACAGTGAGAGTCCATCTCAAAAAATAAAAATAAAAAAAATAAAAAAAGAACACAGCCTTTGGGGCAAAACAAGCTCAATTCATATATGACTTTTGTAGCCTGATAGTTAATTTTAAATGTATGTGGAAAGCAGAATAATGACCCCCTAAAGACATTAATAAGCTAATTCCCAAAACCTTGAGGTAAGGATGTTATTTTACATGACAAAAGACATTTTGCACATATGGTTAAGGGTCTAAAGACAGAGGGATTATTTTGGATAATCCAGGTGGGCCTAATCTAATCACATGGGTCTTTATTAGGGGAAGGCAGGAATGTCACTGTCAGAGAGAGATTTGAAGGTGCTGTGCTGCTGGCTTTAAAGCTGTAGCAAGGGACCATAAGCTAAGGAATGCAGGTGGCCTCTGGAAGCTGAAAAAGGCAAGGAAACGGCTTCTTCCCTAGAGCCTCCAAAAGAAATGCAGCCCTATCAGTGGCACCCTGACTTTAGCCATTTTGAACCTCTCATTTCTAGACAGTAAAATAATAATTTGTGTTGTTTTTAATCCACTTGTCTTAGTTCATGTGCCTGTAACAAAATACCATAAAATGGGTAACTTATAAACAACAGAAATTTATTTCTCACAGTTCAGGAGGCTGGAAGTCCAAGATCAGAGTGCTGGCAGATTTGGTGCCTGGTAAGGGCCCACTTTCTGGTTCATTGATGGTAACTTCTAGATGTGTCCTCACATAGTAGAAGGAACAAGGCAGCTTTGGTGGGCCCCTTTTGTAAGGGCACTAATCCCATTCATCGGTATTCTACCCTCATGACTTAATGACCTCACAAAGGTTTCATCTCCTAATGCCATCACCTTGGGAGTCAGGATTTCAACATGTGAATTTGGGAGTGGGAGATACAAATATTGAGATCATAGCACCCCTAGTTTATGGTAATTTATTATTACACAATAATTATAGCATATTGATTAAACTGTCTCAGCCTCAAGATCTATATGAATAAAAGGAGTATAATAGCACCTTCCTTGACTGGTTTGTTCTGAGAAATGAAAACTTCATCAGTTAATATACCTATTAAGTTACTAGTAATTCATACCTGCTTTAGGAAATATTACGAACTTCAACATCTAAAATCTTCCTGTCGATGCTTTGATCTGGAGAATATCTACAACGTTTTTCTTCAGGGCTCAGATAATGTCATTTCCCTCAAGTGTGGAACGTTGGCCAGAAACTCTTCTGATTGGTCAGTGCCTGCGTTTAAATATTCTGAATATCGACGTTTCCTCAAGACTAGGAGAAAGGGTGTGCTTCATCCTAGTGCATCATGAAAATAATCTGAGAGAAATGGATGGATGAAGCCCATTAGGCAGGGCAACTACTGTTAAACAGCTTAGCAGAGAAAGAAGAGAAAATTACCCTCCTGAAGAAGCAAATTCACTGAGCCCAAAGAGGCCATGGTGAATTGATCATGGGCAAAAATCATTCCATTTGCAGGGCCAGATACGTGAATGTGCAATCTGTGTGGTAGCACAGTTTATCATGCTTAAAGGGCCCCACAGGCGGCTTAATGCTTTATCAATGTCTCAAAATTATTAATAATTTTTTAACAAGATGTTTTACATTTGTATTCTGCTCTAGATCCTGCAAATTATGTTACAGTCTCTGACTCTGTGTGCGTGACAAGGGTGAATTATTTTTTGCTTCATTTCATGTAGCTTTTATTTTATAATTAAACTTTTTATTTTGAGCTAGTTGTAGATTCACATGCAGTTCTAAGAAATACTAAAGAAAGATCCCACATCTTCTTTACTCAGTTTCTCCCAATGGTAACATCTAAAAAACTACACTATAATATCACGACTAAGATAATGCCATTGATACAATGAGGAAACGAAACTCTTCCATCACGACGGAGAGCCACACCACCCTTTCTCCATACTGCCCCTTCTTCTCCACTCACCCATCCATAACCCTCATTCTCTATCTATACCATTTTGTCATTTCAATAATGTTACGTAAATTAAATCACACAGAATGCGATCTTCAGTAATTGGCTTTTCTTACTTAGCCTAAGTACTTTGAGATTCAAGGAAGTTGTTATATGTATCAATAGCCCATTCCTTTTTATTGCTGAGTAGTAATCCACTGTATGCCTATAACAGAATTTACTTAATTTTTCACCCATTGTGAGACATACAGTTGTTTACAAGTTTTGACTATTATGAATAAAGCTGTTATGCACATTTTATATACAGGCTTTTGTGTAAATATAAGTTGTCATTTGTGCGAGAGAAATGTCTACAAATGTAGTAACTAGACTGTATGATAGTTTAACATTAAAAGAAACTGTCAGAGTCACAGATGGCAGAATAGAAGGCCCTAAACTCTCCTTCCCCACCATCAATTCAACAGCAACACAGAGGCAAATTCCCATCATTGGAAATCCAGAAACTGACTGAGCCACTCCTGTACCCTAGGTGAGTGTGAAACTATCCACATCAAAACTGATAGGAAAAAACTTGCACACACTGTGATCATAACCCCCAACCCTAATACAATGCCATATGATCGGGAAGGAACTCCCATCTCTTAGTCTATCCCTGAGGAGTGAAGGGTTTGGACCACCTATCTGGTATCACAACTTCTCTAGATACTACCAGATAGACTGGTTTCTAATTTCCCTGTTTTGGTGAGCTGACAGGGCCCAGCATCTGCTAAACCTCTGGGGCTACACAAACCAAAACAGCAGTTGCTTTTAAAATAATAATTGTTATAGCCCTGTTACTTCAAATATTTTCAGAGCGGTTTTTAATAAGCATGTGGGCACTTCCCCCTGCTCCCCACTTTGGCTCAGTGCAGTGATAAAGCCTGGCTTCCAGCTTCTCTCTGAAAAGCAAAGGAGACAGACCAAATAACTAGCACCCCAGCTTTTCTGGCTGCTACCTGAGGAACTGGATTTTATCTCATGTATCTGAGAGCACTGGAAGGGCCTGGCATACTCTAGATGCCTGAGGACCATTAAGAACAAACATTGTGGTTTCAACTACCAGGAAGGTTTAAGTGGCACCCAGAACCTCTGTCTGGACTGATTGGTAAAGGTGTTGTCCTATCTGAGACCTGTCTGTGAAGACTGGAAAGGAAGCTGTTTTATCTGGTGCACAGACACCAATGCAGACAGTCAAGGAAAATAAAGAAATGGAAAATATGTTCTAAATGTTACCCACACAACAGGTGGGTTCAGTCACTTGGCAGGTATCAACCCAATGACCACCGACAAGGTGGATTTAGCAAGGAGATTTTGTTCTTACAGAAAGTAAAGAGAACACTGGACAAAGCTCCCAAAGTAGTACCTCGCCAAGCTGGGAGGTGGGTCAGGTTTTATAAGCATAGGGTAGTGAGGAATAATCTGATTGGATCTTGCAATGAGGTGATGCTGGGAGGCAAGATCTGACTGGATCCTGCCATGAAGTGATGCCTGAGTTCTATCCAGTTGGATCCTGGATCCTGCCATCCTGTGTCCACCTCTTAATTCGGTCCCTGTACCTCAGTCTGAATGATTAGGTTTCCCTTGTGGTTGCACACTTGTTTCACCTGTCCATGCTCAGGTTACATGACCTGAGTGAGGGTCCATGACAACTGAAGAACAACTCACAGCTTTGTTACCATAAAAGTTGAACCATGCATGTTTATTGCTGCACTATTCACAATAGCCAAGACATGGAATCAATGTAGATGCCTATCAACAGTGTTCTGGATAAAGAAAATGTGGTACATATACACCATGGAATACTACACAGTCATAAAAAAGAACAAAGTCATGTCCTTTGCAACAAAAGATGCAGCTGGAAGCCATCATCCTAAGTAAATTAATGCAGACACAGAAAAACAAATACCACATACTCTCACGTATAAGTGGGAGCTAAATGCTGGAAACATGTGGACATAAAGATAGGAAAAATAGGCTTCGAATTAAGAGAGCAGGGAGAGAGGGAAGATAAGGCAAGTTCTGAAAAACTACCTATTGGATATTATGCTCACTACCTGAGTGATGGGATCATTGGTATTGTAAGATCAGCGTCATGCAATACACCCATGTTAACAAACCTGCACACGTACTTCCTAAATCTAAAATAAAATTTGAAATATAAAGAAAACAAAAAACAAACCCAAACATCTTGCTGGTAATACAGAAAATATGGCTCATGGTAGTGGAAGCCCCCATAAAGCATGTGTGATTCAAAAAAATAAGAATCAAAGCTGAAAAATGAAACATACAGACCAACCATATCTATAGGAAGCACTCTGTAAATGAGGTAGCATGGAAAAAAAAGATTATGTTGAATAAAAAAAAAAAAAGTTGAACCAGATTTGTTAGGAAAGCAGGAGCATAGGAAAGCCAGAGTGACACTATTTTAAAATCAACTCCATCTAAAAACTAGCAAGGCACTTCCTTGACAGTTATGACCTACGATTATAAGATGTTTACAGCTAAGGAAGCGATTTAGTAATGCTGCAAGGACAAACTCCTACGACAGCAGAATGTCCAGATGTCCCAATATCACATAACAATACATGCTTTTAAGGTAGCTAAAGTCATACTTTGATGTACTTATGCACTAAGATGACAAGGATAAGTTTCTTTATATCAACAAAATACTAAATTTTGTCACACTGACAGCCTACCCACATGTAGACATAGCTTAGGTTTTACATAGATTAAACCCCTATAAAAGAAGAGTTTAAAACAAAGACAGCACATTCCTCCTCCTGCTTTTGGAGGATGCCCTACTCTGTAACTGAGTAGCTTTCAATAAACTGTCTATTCTCTCTACACTCTGTGACTCTCCTTGAATTCCTTCCTGCAGGAGATCCAAGAACCCTCTTTCATGGTCTGGTTCAAGAGCCCCTTTCTGACAACAGATCAGTCTGGAGCAGTTACAAATCCCCTCCTTTTTATGTCCATTCCTCAATCTTGAGGGAAAGGGATGATGACCATTCTAACTACTTCTTGCTGATTAGGGACATAAACGTTGGTTAGAGTAATAAAGTTGTTTAGCGCTTTACTGTAGGAGTTCCCTGGTATTAGGGCTGCATTTCAGATGGAGTTGTTTCCATCCAGTTCTAGAGAAAGGTACAGAGAGTTAACAACTTAACATTGTTTGCTCCAGAGAACAAAGGGAATGCTCAGATTTTATAGCAAGTATTCATACCCAGGCTCCCAATCAAGTCTTCTACACAAATAAATGGTTAAAATTTGAAACTCGCTTAGTTTTCATTAGTCAATACAGCTGATCCCTGATTAGCTGACACAAGTGAGCTTTAATTGATTGATTTAGGTGAGTCTTGAAAGTCCCAAAGTTAAGGAGTGTGGGTTTTCCAGGAACTCAGAGCATTTGTATGAAATCTAGTTAGCAAATGGCTGCTTTGTGCTATTTAAATTTAGGTCCAGTTAGTCACTCAGAATCCATCTTGAAGGACTGGCTCAAACATGCTGGCAAACAGCATTGCATTCCATCCAACAGAGAAGTGGTTGGCTACCTGCTCTGGGCCCATCGGATCCCTTGCAGGAATCCTAGTGGCAGTGCAGTGGCCAATAGAGAAACTAGAGCCATTTACTTAGGAGAGGCATTCAGGAAAGTACTGGTTAAATGTGAACCAAAGTCTCTTGGGTTAAGTTGGTTCCTATTTCCAGCTGGAGTGAGTTTAAAGTCTCAAAGATTGCATGGGCAGGATCCTGGTGGGAATCTCTTGTAGACATCTGTTAAAAACAAGTTAGAACAATTCTAAAGGGGAGTCAAATGCTTAGCCAAAATATGAGGGTTATCATTAAGATGTGCAGGGTAGAATGCAGAAGAAATCCTATACCAAGGAGAAACCAGCTGAAAATATCTGGACATTGGAAACTTTATCCACTAAGTCCAGCATGGAGGCTTTCCGAAGATGTCTCTCTCAGAGATTTTGCCAACTCCAAGCCCGCTTAAATATGACTGGAAGTATTTACCCAGGTACAGCAGCAATGTTAGAAGTCACTGAGCAGGCCAGGTGCAGTGGCTCATGCCTGTAATCTCAACACTTTGGGAGGCCGAGGCAGGTGGATCACCTGAGGTCAGGAGTTCGAGGCCAGAGGCCAGTCTGGCCCACACGGCAAAACCCAATCTCTACTAAAAATACAAAAATTAGCCAGGTGTGGTGGCACATGCCTGTAACCCCAGCTAATTGAGGGGCTGAGGCATGAGAATCACTTGAACTCGGGAGATGGGAGGTTGTAGCGAGCTGAGATCATGCCACTGCACTCCACTCTGGGTGACAGAGTGAGACTCCATTTAAAAAAAAAAAAAAAGTCACTGACCAATAAGATCTCATTACTGACCATAGTATCTTATGGATCTAGTTTGTTCCCAATTCTGGTATCTAATGTCCCTAGCTGGTCAGATTTTTAAGAAGGGGAAGTCACCTGAATGTCCCTGGAGCATCCCTAGTCAGGATCGAGGCAAGAGGGTTGGGGGACTCCATCAGGACTGTTATAACCTAATATTGGAGGAACTTAGGAGAATTCAGGATCTAGTTCAGTCCACAGGCAGATAACAAGGACTTGAAGACAATGTACAGGGTTAAAATCTAAAAACAGGTGTAACTTTGCTTTCCTTAGAAGCATAATTTTTCTCTCCCGTTGATGATGTAGGAGATCTTAGATTTTAGAACCTCTTGAGGCTAGGAAACCAAACCAAAGCAGCCTTTGGATTTTGCTTATAATAAGGTTCTTGAACCTGCCAGAAAGTGACAATTTTTACTCATTCCCTGTAAAGCTGGGAACTCATGAAGCAAGGCATTTTACGCACTTTTTTTTTTTTTCTGAGACACAGTGTCATGCTGTCGCCCAGGCTGGAGTGCAGTGGTGGGATTTCCACTCACTGCAACCTCCACCTCCTGGGTTCAAGCAATTCTCATGCCTCAGCCTCTCGAGTAGCTGGGACTACAGGCGTGTGCCACGATGCCTGGCTAATTTTGTGTTTTTAGAAGAGATGAGGTTTCACCATTTTGACCAGGCTGATCTCAAACTCCTGGCCTCAAGTGATCCACCCACCTCAGCCTGCCAACATGCTGGGATTACAGGTGTGATCCACCACCCCTGGCCTCTATGCACATTCTGAAATATGACATTTCAAGCCAAACCTTAGCAATATAAATAATGTTTCCAACTGGATCCTGCTTATAAAGAGAGAGTGGATTTTTACTGAAGTTGTATAAATAAAACTAAAAATATCCACAAATAGTTTCTGAATTTTGAAGGAATCAAGTAGAGAGAAAAAGCAAATGCTTCCATATTTGTTCACAAAGGATTATTTATCAAATTATTGCAAACGGTAGATAGCTTGTGACAGAAAATTTCCTTGGCTCTGGAAAATAAAACATTTACGTCATAAAAACATCCTTATAAATTAATTTTACGTAATTAATTTTGTTTTGCTTGATCTTAATTAGCAATTTTGGACTATAGCTGATTGCGAACGCTTCCAAAGAAGAAATTAAAATAATAACTGTGAATGACAAAAACCCAGAACAGCCATAGGTAAAGATCTGATTAACGTTACCAATTAACCAGGAAATTTAAGTGCTTCTGTGGCATACAATCATCCAACATAAAAATTGCAATTATTACAGGTATCTCAGCATGTCAGTATCTTAGGAATCTCATAAAATTTCACATTTCTATAAATGATGAACTTACACAAACACAGCTTAAAGAAAGGTAAAACACCATTTCTTATTTGACAATGCTTCTAGCAGTATTTGCCAAATAAGCCTAATCATTTAATAACTCTACAAGAAAGACAAGCCTTTGGAGGAGCATATCTAGGGGGTCCACCTGGAAAAATCCCAGTCATTTTTAGGCCAAAAGGCTTAATTTAGGATTTGGATTCTAGAGAAACCTGCCAAAGATGTCAAAAAGCTTAAAATACTTCCTTCAACAGATAATAAGTCACTGCTAAGAATACTACTCATTTAATCAGAGTGACAACCTAAAGACCTCAGAAAGTTACATGGATGGAAAAACTTTTACCCTTTTAAGGCTCAGTTTCCCTAAGCAGTCAAAGCCTAATAAAGACACCATGAAGCACTGGGAATTATCTTGGTAAAACACAGAATCTTTGTTTTCTAGGCCAGTGACCTTGATCAGGGGAATACATTTAATAACAACATAGGAAATCCTAGTAACAAAACAATTTTGACACATTAAGAAAAAACAACAATATAGAATCAAGTTTTGCTGAAGTAAAATGTTGCCTTTCTAGACCTTTAAGATAAATCCCAAACCAGGACTAGACAGTTCTCAGGAAGGAATGTGGCAGAAATAGGAATTAGTTTGTAATTCAGAATGGCTGTTAAGGAAACATTGCAGAATTAAAAATCAAAGCCTCTTGTAATCTTACTAAGAACAAATCAATATTTTAAGAGACTCATATTGTTTTAATGTAGGAGACCAAAATTTAAGTTTTGTATCAGTGCATCTTAACATCAAAGTTCCATTTTTTCCAACTTTTATTTTAGATGTAGGGGATACATGTGCAGGTCTGTTACTTGCAGTTTTTCCAGGGGCATGGTGGAAGCTGCTGCTGATTCCACCATTCTGGAGTCTGGAGGATGGTGGCCCTCTTCTCACAGCTCTACTAGGTAGTATCCCAGTGGGGACATAACTGGCAACTGTAGACATAATTGTTTGGCTTGCTACAAATCCATTTTCTGTTCATGTAGATTCTGCCACTGTTGACTCCATTGTCATTCAGGAAGGCACATTCTCCACTTCCTCTGATAGCAAGCCTAAATCCAAACACAAAAATATTAAATATTTGTAAGTTAGACACCTGCATTTGTTCCTCCCCATCATCTTCTGCAACCCCTCCATATTTCAATGTGAATAAGAGAAAAGCAAAAGTCTGTCATTAATATTGCTTCATAGTAATATAAACCATTTCTGTATTTAGTGTCCTTTATGTCCTCAAGGTCCTTGCTTGAAAATCACAAGCTTATCATTCATCCATACCAAGCCCAGCTATGTTGATAGGTATTTAACTGATGCTTGCTGCTGTACCCAAATGAACTGCTGCCATTGGTGGTCTTCAGTCAAGATGATTTCCAGCCTCCTCCCAAATTGTTTTGTAAATGTGTGAAAACTAAAAAAAAAAAAAAAACTAGTAAATTCCTGAAAGGGCTTAGCTTTGATTAATGGATATGACTGGGTTCCTACATTTTATCTGCTGCAATGTAATGATTATATTCAAAATACCCCTTTGAAATGTTCACAGTCCAAGGAACTGTTACTAGTTTCCTTCTGGTGATAAAGCTTTAGGAGGGAGAGATTCCCATGAGTTCCCTGGATGCTTTCCTATTGTAAATGGATGCAACACCTGCAAGAGTGGGCTTAACAGCCTTGTGGATATCAGCTCCTCAGTGGCTTCCTATGATTGTAGAACCTTTGTTGCACATCAGCTATAAGTAGGGATTTCAGCAGTTTTAAATCAGTGGATGAAAGTGTAAAATTGTGAGAAATGTCACTGTCACATTAAAGACTTCAACTGAAATCACAGGTAAAGCTTTCCCAAAGACACAGCTAACCAACTGAAGAGCATAAAAAGGGTTTAGATTTCTTACCTCATATTGCAGTAAGTTTTCCATGATACTACATTTCTTATCTCATAAACACAACTCACACACATAACCATACATAAACACAGCAAAAGATGAGAAGTCTCAAAACATACATGTTATTATATTCCATGTTGTCTGTCCATTTCCAAATGCGATGGGATGATTCTCTTCTAAGGCCAATCCAATGGTCAGAAGGGCCTTTGTATCTTTTCAGGAAATTCTATAATAAAACAGAAACTAACACCATGAGCCCCTTTCTTTCATATTACTCTGGAGTCTCTCTTCCCTATCCCTTCTCTTTTTCACTGGCAGCGTGGTATAATTAAGCAGCATAAATTCTGGAGTGAGACTAATTCCCAGTTCTCAGTTTAAGTCATTTAACGTCTCTGATCCTAAATTACTTTATTTAAAGTGAGCATAAATCCCAGTTTCATTGGGAAATTCTCAGTTTATGCTTGTCATTCCACCAATGTATTAATGATCACTTTTAATGCCCTATATGTCTTAATCTAGATGACAAATTATATAATTACCTTACTTCTTAATAGAATGAGAACAATACATCTCATCTTACCAGCTCACCATGAGCATTACATGGGGAAATATATCTAAAATGTCTCACAGGGTTCCAGGCAGAGAACACACCCTCAACAAATGTTAGACATGAAAACACATCTCATGCCCCTGGAATGGGATCCTTCTTAGTATTTCAGCTTTAACCCTATGTAGCCGACCTGCCTCAGGGGGCTAAGTATTTAACAGAAAACATGATCCAAAAATATCTCTTACCAGTTCCTCCATAGTTGCAAACTGAGCAAGGCTGGCTTCTAATGAGACACAGAACGTTTGACTCAATGTCTAATTTCTTATGCCTTCAGAAAAATAAAAACATTTACTCCTAAATCTAATTCAGCTTTTTGGGCAAGCAGCGTATTTAGATGACTCTACCACTGGCTTTTCCTTTCTTGCTAAAAGTGAGACAATCACAATGAAACATAATAAAGAAATTTTCTCACCCATTTTATCTATTTTTCTGCTTACCTTCCTGAGGTCAATTTTGAAGTGTACATATCTGATTGTTGTTTTCCTAACTCATCACAAAGTGCCTTATCCTAAGCACAACAATCGTCAGTCCGGTGGTTTCCAGCTGGGTATCTGCACCCTTGACTTTCTGAAATTTACACTGACACTAACAGTTTCAAGGAAATCAATTTCTATAGCATCGACTTCCATAGTACTGTACTTTCACAGGGTCATACGGATGATTTTTCCATATCCTCCCTCATATTAGCCCTTCTTTCTCTTGACAAAGCAATGCTGAGGACCTATTACCTCTATACAAGAGATGATTTTTTTATGTATACAGTTCTCTGTACTTTCGTGCATTCTCAATCTGCTTAAGTAGAAGATACCAGCTCTTAAGGCCAGGTGATTTGCCTGAAAACATTTCAAGTAGAGATCTTACTTTATTTTTAATAAAAAATGACAATTCTGAGAGGAACTTGTCAGGAAATAGTTCCGTAAGCGGAATTCCTATACCCATAGCCTTTCTCATATCAATGGACGGCAAATGCATTCTTGCCAAGGCTCAAAAGAAGACAGGCTTACCTTTGACATTCCTCTGAGACGTTTTATCCAATTTGACATAAAATACTGTTGGCTCAGCTTTCAAAATATCCAGAGTCTGACCACCCTCCCCTACCTAGTCTCAATATAGCAATTAAATGATTATTCTACAATGAAAGTCACATCAAGACATTCCTCTCGTACAACTTCCCTCATCTAGTCTCCCTATTGCACTGAAGGTCAAAGCCAAAGTCTTTAACTGACCCTCAAGGTTCCTCCGTTCCTGATTCCCCATGGTATCACTCTTCTTCTCCATCTTCACTTTGCTTCACCTACAGCAGCCTCCTTGCTCTTCCTCAAATAAGCCAGGAAGAGTCCTCCTTCAGGCTTTGGTCTACTTGTTCTCTGCCTGGAATAGGTTCCTTCACATGGTTCCTCCATCTCTTTCAAAAGGTTGCTGAAATGTCACCTTCCTAAGAAGGCTTAGTTTTGTCAACCTATTGCAACCTGTTATACCTCCACCCTTATTTATTTTTACTTGTGTTTTTCTGCTGGAATATAAGTTCCAAAGGGCAGGAATTCTTTTGTGTGTATTTTGTTTGCTGATGTAATTCAAGCATTTCACACAGTGACAGGCACATAATGGAGCTTAATAAATATTTATTGACAACAAAAACATATGGAGAATATTGTACAGTTTGGAGAACAAGTAACTTACCTGACAAAACAATAGAAAGTGCAATCACACTTGTAGTCAGGACTGCAATGATGAACAAGCAACAATAAACCTTGACAGGAGTTACTGGAGATATAAGTGCTAGACATTGTCTTTGCAGAGTTTTATCTGTAAAATAGAAACATCAGAATCTCAATCTCAGGAATATCGTAGGGAGAAAAAATTTATCATAGAATCAACACTAAGATCAGATGTACTTCAATTCTCCTACTGCCAACTCCTTTCACAAAAGGGCTTGGTTCATAAATGAGAATAATGGCCCAAAGAGGGCTAGAGATAAAAATCGAATTCTCCCCACCCCCAGGGAATCTTCCAGTTACTGGAAAAAGAGTAGAAATTGGGATGAAAAAGAAACATACACAATCCAGATTTAGCCCCATAGTAAAGCAGCTGGTTAGAAGCAACAAGGGAAGCAGAAAATAAATCAATGTAATTCACCATATTGACAGAATGAGACAAGGGACAACATATGAGCATCTGAATAAATGCAGCAAGAGGATGTGAAAAGCTTAATATTCATCCACGATAGTAAGACTCAACAAATTAGAAATTGAAGAACTTTCTTCAACCTGATAAAGGGCATCTACAGAAAAACTACAACTAGCAACAACCTTAACGATGAAAGAATAAATGCTTTCCCCCAGTGACATAGAACAAGGCAAGGATGTCTGATCTCTCTCACCAATCCAATTTAACATTTTACTGGATGTCCTATTAGGGGCAAAAAGGCAAGAAAAAAGAAATAAATGTCATACAGATTGGAAAGAAATAAAAGCATTGCTATTCACAGACAACACAGTTGTCTGCATGTAAAATTCTAAGGAATCTACCAAATGGCTA
This sequence comes from Homo sapiens, assembly GCF_000001405.40. Classification (NCBI taxonomy): domain Eukaryota; kingdom Metazoa; phylum Chordata; class Mammalia; order Primates; family Hominidae; genus Homo; species Homo sapiens. The sequence continues at coordinate 9,652,950 of NC_000012.12, read as the reverse complement.
TGAGAATAAATGAATTTGGCAAAGCTACAGGATTACCTATGTTCATATATAAAAATCACTTATATTTCCATATTCATAATTATGAAGTGGAAATTTAAATATAAAAACAGTATCATTTATAATAACATGAAAGATATCAAATAAATATATCAAAATATGTTTAGGATCAGTATGATGAAAGCTGGAAACCAAAGGGACAAAGAAATCAAAGCAGACTTGAATCAACAGAGAGATATAAGATATTCATAGATTGGAATATGCAATATTGCTGGATGTCAATTATACCCAAACAGGTTTAGAGATTCAGTGCAATACTGATAAACATTGCAGTATGAATTTTTTGTAGAAATAAGCAAGGTAATTTTAAAATTATATGAAAAAGCAAAGAACTAGAATAGCCAAACAATTTTGAAGGAAAAAAAAATGGCCAAATTTGGAAATCAGGGAACCTGCTTTCGTAATTTACAAAGTAATAGAAACAAAGACAGTATGATATTGACAAAAGAACAGACACATAAATCAATGGAACAGAAAAAAGGTTTCAGAAACAAATCTAAACGTGTATCATCAATTGACATTTGACAGACGTGGAAAGTAATCAGGTAGGTAAGGGGTAATATTTTCTGAACATGTAGTGCTGGAACAATTGAGTGTCCTAATGCAAAACAGTGAACCTCAGCTCACACCTAATACCTTATAAGAAAATTAACTCAAAATAAATTTTAGACTCATATATAAAGCCTCAAACCCTAAAACTATTAGAAGAGGAAAATTACATTTTTGTGAACTTGAATTAGGCAAAAATTTCTTACATACAACACCAAAAGCATTATCAATATTTTAAAAATTGATAAATTGAACTTTAACGTAATTAAAACTCTCTGCTAGAAAAAAAACCCTGAAAAGGGAATAAAAAGACAAGCAAAGGCAGAAAAACATCTCTCTAAAAAGCGACTTGTATCTAGAATATATTAAGAACTCAAAACTCAACAATAAGAAAACGAAAACTAGATTAAAAAGTGGGCCAATGATTTGGAGATATACTTGATTAAAGAGGATATATGAATAGCAAACAAGTGCATAAAAACATGCTTGAAATAACCAGCCATTTGAGAAATACAAATTAAAACCATGAGTGACTACTACATGGTTATTAGAGTGGCAAACAAAACAGAAAAAGAAACAACTGCTGGTGAGGAAGGGATGTGATATGGTTTGGATCTTTGTCCCCACCCAAATCTTATGTTGAATTGTAATCTCCAGCGTTGGAGGTGGGGTCTGGTGGAAGGAGATTGGATCATGGGGGCAGATTTCCCCCTTGGCACTGTGTCATGATAAGAGTGAGTTCTCGTGAGATCTGGCGGTTGAAAACTGTGTGGTGCCCTCCCTCACTTCCTCTCTTCCTCCTGCTCTGGCCAAGTGAAGTATGGACTCCCCCTTTGCCTTCTGCCATGAATTGTAAGTTTCCTGAGGCATCCCCAGAAGCTGAGCAGATGCCAGAATCATGCTTCCTGGCCAGCCTGTGGAATGGTCAGCCAATTAAACCTCTTTTCTTTACAAATTACTCAGTCTCAGGCTATTTCTTTATAGCAGTGAGAGAATGGACAGGATGCAACTGGAATTTTCATGCATCATCACTGGAAATGCAAAATGTTATGGGCATTTTGGAAAACAGTTAAGCAGTTTGTTATGGTAAATGTAAATTCACCACATGCCCTAGCCATCCTATCCCTAGGTATTTAAACAAGGGAAGTGAAAACTTGTGTTTACCCAAAAACCTGTAAGGAATATTTTACACCAGGTTTATTCATTATCACAAAAAACTAGCAACAACTCAAATATGCTTCAGCTGCTGAAGAGGTAAACAACTATTCCTCAGCCCTAATAAAAGAAAAAACTCGATCACACATTCACAATTGTCAATTTCTTACTGTGTGTTAGCTGGCCAAACTTTTGTCAGGTTTTTCTCCTCCCCACAGGCCCTACACGTGTTTGCCCGCAAGTTTGCCTAAATGCCTCAAAGCACAGACTTGCAAAAAACATCCTGCCTTAACCTGACCACAGACCACATTGCACCATTTCCTGCTGAAACGCCTAGACTTTGCCTGCTCTCTCCCACACCACTAACTTTTTTTTTTTTTTTAAGACAGAGTCTCTGTCGCCCACGCTGGAGTGCAGGAGCATGATCTCGGCCCACTGTAAGCTTCCACCTCCCGGGTTCATGCCATTCTCCTGCCTCAGCCTCCCGAGTAGCTGGGACCACAGATGCCCACCACCATGCCCGGCTAATTTTTTGTATTTTGTTTAGTAGAGACGGGGTTTCAGCAGGTTAGCCAGGATGGTCTCAATCTCCTGACCTCGTGATCCACCCGCCTCAGCCTCCCAAATTGCTGGGATTATAGGCATAAGCCACCGCACCTGGCCTAACATATTTTTGAAATCAGTGTTATTCCTATTGCAACAGTCCTTTTGAATAAAGTTTCTCCCTAAGTCCAGACTTGTTTTTCTTTGACAAATGATACATACTATAATACAGATGACTTGAAAATGCATTATTGCTAAGTGAATGAAGTCAGATTCTACATTTACCTACTGCAAGATTCCATCGATGTGACATTCTGGAAAAGCAAAAGTGCAAGATCAGAAAACAGATGAGTGGTTGCCAAGGGCTAGCGGTAGAGGAAGAGACATTCTACAAAGGGACATGAGGGAATTTCGAGTGGGTGGGTATGGCTCTATATCTTGACTTTTATGGTAGTAACATGAGTATATATGTTTACCATAGAAATCTACACCAAAAGAGTGAATTTTACTGAATATAAATTATAATACTTTAAAAGTCCCTGCCAACTTTCGTCCGTTTAATATACATCTACAAGAATAACAGGGAGCTTCAGCTTAAATTCTAGACAGGGGGAAAGATGGGTAAGATTGGATGATCTTAAGCAGTAAATATCGTTTGGATTTTGGCTCATATAAAAATATCAACCTTTATTCTTTCTGGTTCTACACTAACGCAAAATTGTCTTAAAGGTTCAGAATACTAAGACTTCCGTAATTCTTTTTCATTGCTACTAGGGTAATGTGTAACTCTCCCCTTAAAACTTCCCCCAAATCTCCCATTTGCCTCTCTTAATAATCTTCTAAATGTGCCTGCTTTCTCTTCTTCTTTTTTACATCTCTAGCCCCTCCTACTAATACTGAGACAGCCAGGTGGGAAGGGGTCCCTGGAGAAACTCCAATTAGCCTGCCCACTGAGGTGGAGCCTTGGGAAGTTCACAAGGTTTGCAGCAGAGAGAAGCCTGAGCCTGGCCCCAGTTTTTCATTTGTAGAACCTGGGATTCAAACTGTCAGGTGGGAAGCGCTCCGGCGGAAGGACTCTGGCCCTGCAAGAGTACCTGTTTCCCCCTTTTTTTCCCTTTTTCACCCAATAAAACTCTGCTTCACACACCCTTTAAACCATCTGCGAGCCTGAATTTCCGTGGCCGTGGGACAAAGAATCCCATTTTTAGCTGAAATAAGGAAAAGTCCTGCAGCAATATTCCCACATGCATCTTGTTCCACTTCTCTCTTGCTCACTTATTTCTCTTCTACCTTTCTTACAGTGTGTCCTGACTCCCGCAAATTCATACCACTCTTAAGGTACACACTGAACACAATAACTCTTCAGACTTCTAGTTGGAAAAACAACATTAGGAATTATCTCTCAGAAGAACAGAGAAATAAAGCATTATTACTGATCAAATTTTAACTCAGTTTCAGGATCTGAAAAACTTAAATCACAGGATGCATTTTAAAAAACAAGTTTCACAACTGTACCAGGTAACAAATATTTAGTTTCGGTTCTGTAAACATTCTTTAGAATATAACATTTGGCTTAGTTAGTAAGAATATAACTTAGTAGGAATGTAACTTAGCCAAAAGTTACATTTGTAACATCTAAAAAATGTTAGAACGTACTGCTCCGGGACACAAATTTAAGAAGACCGATTTGAGTAATAATAAAACTCCCATCACCTGCAAAGCCGGCTCTGCGTGAATTACTCTTTCTCCATTGTAATCCCCGTCTTGATAAATCGGCTCTATCTAGCAGACAAAGTGAACCCACTGGACGGTTACAACAGTACCATGAATGCTAAGAGCTAGGAGCAACATGTTACAAAAACAGTGGCATCCCTTAAAAACAAGTTTCCCCAAGAAAGGTGGGAGGAAAATAGGGGCTCAGGACAGTTGCAAATAGATGTCTATCTTCCAAATAAAATGCCAAGTCTTCTTGAGGTCACAGCATCCACAAGTTTCCAACTAGGCTGGAAAAACAAGTTGGATCAGAGAGAGGTTGGGGGAGGGCCCGTGGGTGGCCCTGAAGCAGGCCACTAGGACGCCGTTTCCCTCTCTCCGCCCTTCCAAAAGCCCTTAAGCCACAGACAGCCGTGGCCCGTCCAGGGGGCACTCCCCTCTCAGGTCCCCCAAAGTTCTGCAAACTCTGACGACAAAGGCAAGTCAGAGTCCCGTGACATGTGGGGAGGCATCGCACAGATTTTTCTTTTCATGGCCTGGTCAGAGAGAGTGCTCACCCAACCGAGAAGGCCCTGGCGGGGTCACACTGGCTAAATAAAAAGCGCCTTCTTCTGCTTTTTTCGGAGCTCCAGGTGACGGCTCCTCCTTCACTCCAGGGCGGAGCTCTGCAGAAAAGGCGGGGAGGCACGGAGGGAGGTGTACTGGGGCTGCGGGATTCGCGGCTACATGGGCTTCTAGGCTCTCTCGCGCCCACCCTGCCCCGAGCTACGGAGCCCCTTCCGGTCCCGCGGACTCCAAGCCTCAAGTTTCCGCCACACCCTCCAGAGAAGCGTCCCCGCCGCAGCCCCGGGGGGCGGGAGGCGCGAGGCGCGGCTGCGCCCAGCACTGGCCCCACCTCCCACGCGCCCGCGGGAGATTTGCTTGGGGCTGGATCCCCCGCCTACCGTTTCCCCGCAGCCGCCGGCGCTTCTGGCGCTTGTGACCCGAGCAGGAAGCCCAGAGAGAAACCAGAAAGACAGGAAGGGGATTCCTGGACTTCCTTTCCACATCCGGCAGGAACGCGACCCTCCTCCAGCTAGGAGCGCTTGTCCGGGTCTGGTGGACCCCTTACCCTGTGATAAGGACCCAGAGGATGCCCTTGTCCCCGGGATTAGGGGGAACCCAATGGAGGCCTCCACCCGGGGCCGATTCCCACCCTGGGCCACAGGAGCTTTTTAGGCAGTGAAACTATTCTATGTGTAATGGTGGATATGTTATAGGAGGCAGAAACGAATTATTTGGGTAGACAGGGTAAAGCCAGTCCCCGGTAGAAAACTTTGCTTTTAACAAAAAGCAGCTCAAAAATAGCTCCCTTGCTAACCTCATGCAGTTCAAAGAAATCACTTTTCTAACAAGAGGCCTGAAAGAGCAGACAGTAAAACACAGAAAAGACAGCTGGGACACAGAAGGACTGGGGTGGACAGCCGAGAGTCTCCCGGGTAATCACCAAGCTTCACACTTACACGATGGGCCCCAGTAAAACAGTGGGCCTTAATAAGCACATTCCTTTCTCTTTAGGCGCACCAAGATGCCTGCAGCTTCAAGAAGATGTATGGGAACAGACACAGAAACTTTCCCTACCAGATAAGCAGGACAAAGAAACACAGACTAAGAGTTGGCCTGTGTGGTCACGGAGTGGGTTAAGAGATGATAAAAAAATCTGCTCTGTACAGATGGCACACCTGGTCCCAACTAAACCCTGGGGCCCTAGAAAGATAAGACATCCCCTCCTCACAAGCCCCTCCTCAAGAGCCCCCTCCTCAAGAGCCCATTTATAAAAACTCTGACATTCTTAACTACAACTTGGCAATCTTCTCAGGATCCCTCTCTAACAGAGACCTGTTCTTTCCTTTTGCCTATTAAACTCCTGCTCCAAACTCACTCTGTCTGTGTGTGTGTCCGAGACCTCGATCTCCTTGGCCATGAGACTAAGAATCTTGGTATTTACCCCAGACAACGAGGCTGCTGCAGATATATCTCACATGTTTGTCAAACCCACAGAATGTACAACAGAAAGAGGGAACCCTAAACGATGGACTTACTTACAATGTATCAATATTTGTTCATCAAGACAAATTGTACAACACTAATGGGCAATGTTAATAATAAGGGAAATTGTGAGGGAGGAAGAAGTGATAAATCAGAAATCTACACTTGCCACTCAATTTTTCCACAACCCTAAAACTATTCTAAAATAACATGTATTAATTATTTTTAAAAAGCAGATGACTTTTTGTCAGTTATGATTGTTTTTAGCTATGACATAGAAAGCTATAATCATCCTTCAATTTAACTTATAATTTGTTGATATATATATATCATATATATGTATGTGTATATATATATATTATATATGTATACACACACACATACTTTGCACCACAGGATACAGTAAGATTATAATTTTCTTACATGATAATGAAACAACCTCGATCACATTTCAGAAGTAGTGCCTTAATAGTCCTTCCACCTTTTGACTCTCTCTGAGGAAGTATGGAAAAGGAGATATGATGTTAATATCTAAGTTTATTGCTTGTGTAACAAATATTTTGCTATGTATGCATACGGATAATAAAAATAATAAAACTATATAGCCATAACTATCCTAATATAACCCTTATAAAGAAAAGTGTCTATGAAAAATGAGTGAGTTTCAGTGCATCACGGTGGTTTAAATTTTTTTTTCTTCCTTTATTTTTTCAAACTCTAAAAGACAGGCATAAAAGGATCTGATTGCAGGGCCTTAAATTTGACTAGGTTTCTTAAATGTGTCATCACAGTAAATGAAATGTAAGCCCATGTCTATTATATATGAAAAAAAGTTAATACATAAGCACAAGACTGTTAATTTCTGGAATTGCATTCAGAATTCTCCTGTCCTCAGAAGAAAGGAAATGTTCTGCCTCATGCATTATTGTCCTTTGTATATAAAGGACAATAAATAAAGGTTATGTAAATAAGTACACAGCCAGGATTCTTTTAGGACACACACATAGAATGTAAGTTATTTGGCTTTTGAATAAAATGATTACTTGCAAAGTCTGTTGCAGTTAGAAATGCTTACTGAAGCTGACTCAAATCTTTCCTCCTTATTATTACCTAGTTAAATAAACAAATGGCAAACATTTGTGTGGAGAGTCATATATTACGTGAAGTGCTAGATGGTGGCATGTTAATAAAAGGCCCTACTAGTAAAAAATGTAGAGTTTTTAAAATTGAAGTGAAAAAACCTTTATTGGATTTTTTAGATCTGCCTATAGTAACATCCCCAGTTCCCCTGCTAACATCATCATCATAGCAGTTACAATATATCTATCTCTTATTTTGCCTTAGAGTGGTATTACTCAAAGTGTATATCATGGATCAGTGGCAGTTCATGAACTATGTGTTATCAGTCCATGGTGAGGTAAACACAGACTTTATTAGTCTGTTTTCATGCTGCTGATAAAGACACACCCAAGACTGGGCAATTTACAGATAAAGAGGTTTAATTGGACTTACAGTTCCATGTGGCTGGGGAAGCCTCACAATCATGGCAGAAGGCAAGGAGGAGCAAGTCATGTCTTACATGGATGGCAGCAAGCAGAGAGAGCTTGTGCAGGAAAATTTCCCCTTATAATAAACATTAAACCTCATGAGACTTACTCACTATCACAAGAACAGCTCGGGAAAGACCTGCCCCATGATGCAATTACCTCTCACTGGGTGCCTCCCACAACACATGGGAATTCAAGATGAGATTTGGGTGGTGACACAGCCAAACCATATCACAGACATTGAGAGTAAGCATTTAAAAACTCATATAGCAATTTGACATTTCCTTAATAACCAAGTGGGTGAATCCACCTTGTTGGACAGGAAATAGACAAGTGTGGTACCATCAGACTCAGTGGTGGGTCACTTCTGACATGAGTGTGTATGAGTCACAACATTAAGAAGTTTGGGATCTTAAGGTTATTTTCTCAACTACAATCCAACTGTGCATAAAAATCTGAAATTCACATATTACCTTCTTGCAAAATAATAACAAATAATTGTGAAATTTACAGGATAACTTGTTGGAAATAGTTATTGATGATTTACTGAAAATAAAATTTGAAAACACGGCATCATTTGCATTATTTGGGGTAAGATTTAAAAACAAATAACCTTAACTTGCAGAAATTATCTTAAAATTTCTTTCTCTGTTCTCTTGAATATAGATCTTTGAAATCAGTTCTACTTTTAATGGTAAATAGAAATACTTGAGGTACTCTTTCTCTTCAGTGAACAGAATCTTGTCATAAATGCAACCTCGTAAGCTCATTTCTCACATTACAACTTTACATATTAATATAAATAAAATTTATTCACAGTGTGGGTGTAGGCATTTAATATAGGAAATACAATTTCATACTTAAACGGGATTAGTTACAGTTTTTTTTTCCTTTCTTCCATTTTGTTTCTTAATTGACAAATAGTAACTACATATTCATAAAGTATGTAGTGATGTTTTGATAGATATGATGTACAACAATTCTATTAGGGTAATTAGCATATCTATCATCTCAAACATTTATCATTTCTTTATGTTGGAAACATTTAATATCCTCTTTCTAGCTTTCTGAAACAATATAACATATTATTGTTAACTGTAGTAATCCTACAGTGCTATGGAATGCTAGGAGGTATTCCACTTATCTCGTGCACAGTGGAGAAACAGAAAATGGTTTTTTTTCTATCACATCATCAGGCTGAACATTTTCTAAACTTTTATCCTCTGTTTCCCTTTTAAAACTGAATATTTTAACAGCACCCAAGTCACCTCTTAACTGCTTCAATGCTTAGAAGTTTCTTCTGCCAGATACCCTAAATCATCTCCCTCAAGTTTGAAGTTCCACAAATCTGTAGGCTGCAATAAGTCTACATGGTTTCCAGGAGGTGAAGCCTGAACCCAACTGGCAGCACACAAAGCCTAGAATATCCTCTTTCCTGGTACCACCCTGTGCCACTGGACTCACGGTGTGAGATGAGTGACTGCACAACCACATTCAACAAAGGAGGAGGTACAACTGGGCAGAGACAACATCACAACTAGAGAAGATTACAAAATCATTCAAGAGGATGCTGAGATAAAGTACAGTTACCTACTCTCCATTATTCTTTGCTGAGAAAAGTGAGGGTATGGCATCAGCAGAAAATTATGTTTATTCTTAAATAAATCCCAATAGGATGGGGTTGATAGTCAGGCAGTAGAATGAGATAAAAATCTGCATTCATTAAAAATCTTTGTGCATAAGGAAAAGAACAGCAATGGCAAAGGAGAAAAGAGAGCCTTCTCTTTTTCTTAAATAAGACAGGAAACTGCATTCCTTTCCTTGCTGTAGTGGCAGCAGACTTACTGGTTTTCATAAAACATAATTTCTGCAATGTGGTCTGTTGATAAGGCTGCTCCATGATGGGAGGACAGACATGAGGCCAAGTGTTCATGACAGAACTAGGTCTTCTCTCAAAGCCTCTAATGTGTGCTATTTCTCATGAGGAACCTGACACTATATGACACTTCAGTTAAAGCTTCTGAAATATTGCAATGGCATAATTGACAGGTTTTTTGGTGTGGTGACTTTCTTGTACATGTAAACTCTTTGAGAAAAGTTGGGGATAAAAGGACAGGGGAGCATTTGGTTTAGAGCCACAATGTTCCAGACGCCAGCCACGGATCCCTCTGCCCTGTGTCACTACACGTTCTTTTCTGAGAAACATTCAATTGCTGAGTGTTACACACCGTGGTTGAAGAAAATGATCCACTCACCACCATCCGCTCTCTCTCATCCTCTGTGTGAAGCTCCCAATAGCAGAGGCTGAAGACAGAAAGGTCGTCTCTGTTTCCTTGCACCAGGTACATTACTTGGTGACCTGGTGAATGGCATGGGCAAGGTAGCCCACGTTGCCGGAGGTGACCCCTGCCACAGAAATGCGGCCGTCCTTTGTCATATAGATGGAGAACTCCTTGGTTAGCCACTCCACCTGTTCAGGCTTTAGCCCTGTGAAACAAAACATGCCAGTTTGGGCAGTGCTATGTGGCCAGTTGTGGGTGGAACCCTTCTTCTTGAGGTTGGAGACAAGCTGAGTCCGCATGCTAATGATGTGGTCGGCCATGCCTTTCACTTCTTGCAACCATTGTTTTCATGAATCTGGGGTGTTCAGAATGGTAGAAGCAATCTGGGCCCCATTGTGGGGACGGTTGGCATACGTGGAATGGATCAAGATCTTCAACTGTGACTCTACCCTTTTGGTTTCATCGCATCTTTGCATACTACAGTGAAGGCTCCTACACGCTCACAATATAAGCCCATGTTCTTGGCATATGATTGGCAGAGACAAACATTAATGCCCTGTTCAAAGAAGTGGTGCACAGCCCGGGCATCCTTATCACCATCACCACTGGTAAAGCCTTGGTAGGCTATGTCAAAGAAGGCAAAGAGACTCTTCTTCTTCACCATTGTTGCTGTATCCTTCCACTGTTCCAGACCTGGGTCCACTCCCGTGGGATTGTGGGTGCAGGCATGCAGAAGAACAACATTTTGCTCTGGTATTTTTGAAAGGCCCTCCACAGCGCCTGTGAAGTCAAAATCGCAAGTCTTGGGGTCATAAAGCCGATAACCTTGTAGCTGCATGCCAGTGTCCCTGAAGATGGGCGTGTGATTTCCCCAGCTTGGTTTGGGCAGAAAGACATCTCAGCTGAACTTAAAAAATCTTTGCAGAAAGCTGGCTCCAATCCTTAAGGCTCCAGTTCCAGAAATGGTCTGCACAATGACAAACCGGCCACTTTTCAAGACTTCGCTGTTCTCACCAAGGGCTAGTTCTGCAGATGCCTTGCAAAATTCAGCCAGTCCCCCAGTGGACAGGTATTCCTTGTCCAAACTTTTTGTGGCAATCTGGGCCTCTGCCTTGGGGACGCTAGGCAGCACGTCCAAGGCTTTCCGTTATCATCCCGGTAGGCACCAACTCCCAGATTCATCTTTTTGCTATTGGTGTCCCTCTTAAAGTCTTCAATGACTGCCAGGATGATATCTGGAGGTCCCATTTCCACATGGGTCCATCAGGAGCTGGCTCTGGCAGAGGCCGCAGCTGCGAGGCCCAGGTGGAAGGTGGCAGCGATCCCAGAGAGGACGCAGCCAGAGTGCAGCAGGGCCACGGTGGACAGTAGGAGGGCAGTGGGCAGCTGCAGGACTGAGCAGAGGGCTCTCTGTAGTGTTTTAATTGCGAGAGACGATTTGTGAGGCTGATCTGAAGCTGTAGCCAATCTGGTCTGCTTTGCATGTCTTTCTGTATGGTCCATAGCAAATTTGCTGAGGACCTCCATCTTGTTTAACATCCTTGGGAGCAAGACCTGTAACCACTTGGCAAGGTTTTGTGTAGCCTCTGTGTAGCTTGGATTCAATCCTGGCTTAGGGAATGAGTCTTACCTGGTTTGATATCTGCATGACCTTTTGCTATTTGTTGATTCCATTTCTCTCCATGAACTGCCTTGGATTTTCCTTTCTCTGAGCCTTTAGTAAAGTTTGAAAGCCAGAAATATTGGCCACTTGGTGTGGCTAAATTCAGATAATAAGGGAGTTAAGAGGAATTTCTTAAGGAGTGCTCAGCTTAACTAAAAGTGGATATCCAAGTTAGAGTCATATTTAAAAGGTTTCCCTTTTCTTGGACCTTGTTTTGCTGGGAAAAGGTTTTTCTTGGTCAACTGAATTATTTTTTCTTCATTTTGCTTTGCCACTTTTTTAATGCACGCACAAGAGAGGAGAGACCTCTTTTTTTTCTCATGGACTCCAGAAATTAAAAGCACCCAGAGGCCAATAATCCAATTAGGAGATTGGCAAATGAAAGATCTTATGGGGACCGGGTTATCTTCTACCTGTCTGTGTAATTCTATATGTGTTGTGTGTGTGATGTTTACATAAAAAAAAGAGCTCTAATTAATTTTGCCTAAAGGAAGACAAGCACTTGGATCAAATATTTTATGAAAGAGAAGATAAAAAGCTGTGGTACCTTTCAGTTCACGTGACTTTAATCTTGGAGAAATAAAAACAGCCTTAAAGATTATTGGTAAAAAGCAGATGTCATAAAAATGTAAATAGGTGGACTAAATTATGCAGGTCAGATACTAGGTTGGCAAAATATTTTAAGGTCATAAACTGCTTTTTTGGTTTTTGAGAACTTTTCAATTTGCTGGCTTCACAATTGGCAAGGCCTGGGGACACATGGAACTAAACACTCCCTTAATTATGTTGGAAGGAGTCAAACCTTGGCTGCATCTAGCACATAATCAAAACAACTTACCAGGTTTTACATTAAAGTTAAAAACTGCTAAAAGTTACCATTATGACATGTAATTGAGACTATTGGAAATAGATTTACATGCAAGGTGCATAAGGACAGTGAAATGTGTTTTTAATAAAGATTATAAGAAATCATAAAAATGTAAATTCCTGCCTAGGGTTGAAGATTTGTTTTAAATTAGATAAGATAAAGCTAAAAGTTCAAACAACTGGTGGAAGGATTGTAAAAATTAATCTTGCAACAAATTCTCTGTGTGAACATATTGACTAACTTCAAAAAGTATTGTATGATTTTTCTGTAAATTGAGCATTCAAATAAAAGCACAGCAAGGTATCCTTAAGGCACTAATCTGCTCGTCAGCAAAATTTGTATGAAAGGGCTGTACAAGGTTTTTTCTTTAAAAAAATTTCTTAGTTGTTATTTCAGCAAAATAAATAACTTATGGTAATCCGGAATTCTATTTCATAACAGCAAGTATTTTAAGCCTCTAATATATTTAATAGGCTTTCCAAAATCAAACTTCAGTTTCAAAATTGTCTTTTCTGACACCTGGCTTTTCAGATACTTCAGAGGGCCCCTGGAGTGTTCAGAAAAGAAAGGTAAACAGGATTATGTGACACGTTTAGGTACATGGGATTGCCAAAATGGTATTCAGTCTTCTTTAGGTCATATTTTGGTGAATAATACTAATATGTGTTCCAAAATTGTATGGAATTTCTAAAATTCTAATGTCTAAAGAATATCCTATCAATCATAATTAAAGTTGTTAAGTTATTGTAAACTACAGAGATAACAAAACTTTGTCAATTGTGTTTCTAACTGTAACTACCCTGGACATATTGTTATTCACAGACAATTGTTGTTTTAATCTTTTTCAAAAGATGGTTTATAATAAGCTAGAGAACTTTTACAAGTGCTCTCAGATACAGGTTTCTCATACCTTTGGGGATTGTGACATTGGAATAAAGGAAAAATGTACAGAACTCATGAAGAGCTAAAATGTTCATAAATATCAAGCAAAATAAGGGTTAACTGGGTGAACTCAAAAAAATGAAGCAATCTTTCTCAATTTTGCTTGGATATTGCTGATCCTTGTTTTGTTTTTTAGAGTCAAGAAAACATATTTTGAACTATTTATAGCCTTTAATCATTGAGTAGAGTATACTCCTGTGAACAAAATTTGGAGTATATTTGCTTCTCTCTGCCTGGTTCCTGTAGAATTTGGAAATTATCTGTGAGTATTCTTAACTTACAGCAATATACTTGTTTGCATCAGTGCAGTAAAAATCCATTTTCTTTTGCAACAGGATGCAATTGGAGTAACTGGTTGTTTTACCAAGGCTTTGACTGGAAGGGTATGCTTCTCTTTAAGGAGTCAAGCTCAACTTGCAGAGCCAATAAAAGTCCCTTGGGGAAGGCCGGGCGTGGTGGCTCACACCTGTAATCCCAGCACTCTGGGAGGCCAAGGCGGGCGGATCACCTGAGGTTGGGAGTTTGAGACCAGCCTGACAAACATGGAGAAACCCCATCTCCACTAAAAATACAAAATTGGCCATGTATGGTGACACATGCCTGTAGTCCCAGCTACTCGGGAGACTGAGGCAAGAGAATTGCTTGAAGCCGGGAGGCAGCGGTTGCGGTGAGCCAAGATTGTGCCATTGCACTCCAGCCTGGACAACAAGAGTGAGACTCTCTCAAAAAAAAAAAAAAAAAAAAAAAAAAAAAAAAGTCCCTTGAGGAAACTGGTCTCAGAGCCTTGTCTATGCAGTTCCTGTACAGGGTTCATGACCTGTGATCAGTAAAGAATGTCACTTTCTAACAGGCCCAGGAGCTCCAAGTTTATCTTGGAACCTTAAGACAAGAGGATTACCCAACTCACAGGTATTTGAGGATACAAATACATGTCTGGGCGTGGCTTTAAAAGATCTTATTTGAGATTACTTGTGGAACAGCATTCCATCAAAGCCAATCAAAAGGCCTATGTAGAAATAATTATTTTTGCTGCACTTTATGCAAATAATCAGGCCAAGTATAAGACTAAATTCAATTTTGCAAACAACTGAGTCCTATCATGATTTGTGTTTTTAACAAAAATGAGGACTGGAGAGAGAGAAATTATGTTTCAAAATTTATCATACATTTGTCTTAAAATTCTAAACTCATTAGTTGTTTTTCAGTTTTTGCCTACATTTTCAGACTAACCCTGCTTGTTCCTGTGAACCAACCAGTGATCTCTGTGTGCAGCTCAGAAAGAACAAACAGGATGGGTAATGTAGAAATCTGGATCAATATTCTAGTTCTGAGCAATTATCCTGCAAATCCTACCAGGTGATGGGAATAAATAGGTTGCCCATCACTCAGAGGGTTTTTCTGGGGGGGAGGTGGGGGAAAGTAAGACCAAGGGAGCTAACCAAAGCCAAGCAACATGCACCCAAATCCTAGGAAGCATAACTATAGCCACCAGTTATCTAGGCATGTCACTGGACATCCTTTTCTCTCCCTTGTTGGAAGAGGACTCAATTCCACAGCTTCACTTTAGCATTTGGTTTATGATAAGGAGTCCATGCAACCCACTCCAAGATGCATTTTTGTCCCAAACTTAATTCCAAGTTTTGAGTCAAAGGCCTAGGAAAGAAAACTGGATCTGAGGGATCCAGAGGCAGATGATAACGGAAGTCAAAAGACATAGTGCAGGTGAGTGTGGCTGATTCCTGCCAATTAAGCCAAGCTTCCAGTTTCATGGATAAAGGCTACGCTAGTATCCATGGCATAAATGAGGTCTAGGGAATCCAAAGGCTACTGACAGAAGGGGAGATAGGGCATACATGGGTGAGAATGGATACTCCCACCTCTTAGGCCCTCACTGTTAACATGGGCGAAAGCCACTTTAACACCCATGGCCACTGGTCACAGTCACCAAGACTCAGGGATAAAAGGATGGAGGAAAGAAAGAGGAACACCTCACTTTTCCTCCCTCATGTATCCTGTGTATTTGCTAGGAAGAGAAAGGAATCAGAGGCACTGGCTCCCCTCTTTCTAGATGAGTAGCCATTCATCTTCAGTCTGTACCCCTTTCAAATGCATCTTGAATCCCTGGGACTCCTTGAAAAAACACCTTCCTTTTTCCTCCTCTGTCATCTCTTTAATGATAAGTAATTGTGTCTCCGTACTATGGAACACTCCCCTCAGATGCATCCTCCAAACTGGGAAGAGTTAATTTCCCAAACCTTAGACTGGTTGGCTTCAGACTGGGCTCAGGAGAAGGAGGCCCAGAACTATGACATGCCTGCACAAAAGTAAGTTTCCTTACCAGTCCAGCTTTTGTCCCCCACCCCCTCCATCTCCCTGTGTGAACTGGTAAAAGGCCTCAGGATTTTTGAGCTGTCTTCACCCACCCCCTTGTTTGGTTTTGATACATGTTTTCTATTAACCTGGTTTGTTTCTTCTCTCCTTCAGGCAATCAAACTCCAAATAGTCATGCAACTGGAGCCTTGGACAATGGCGCCTTCTGCTAGGGACACTTAGAGAGGCCTTTGAGGGAGATCTGACTGCCATTTCCCCAAAACAGCGCCCCTGTCGGCAGGAGGCAGTTAGGATTGGTCTTCTTTATCCTTATCCTTATTCTAACGGCAGTTAGATGTACTTCAGAGTGGGGAATGAGACAGCCACCTCAAAAGGGGTCTCCTGAGAACCTCTGACCGTCCTGTGCACTGGGAGGATGGGGTGGAGCCGTGGGACGTTAGCACTGTTTACAAGGGGGAGTAGCCTAGCCTCTCCTGTTCCTGGGTGATAACCAAGGATTCAATCTGCAAGGTGGGAAACTTCGTAGCAGGACTGTCACTTTGCTGAGAGTCCCTTTTTCCCACTTTTTTTTCTTTTTCACCCAATAAACTCTGCCCTACTCACCCTACAATGAGTCCTCATGCCTAAATTATCTTAGTCATGTGACAAGAACCTGGATTTTCCTACAACATAGAGATCTTTCACTTCCTTGGTTAAATTTATTCCTAGGTTTTTTTGTGTGTGTAGCTATTGCAAATGGGATTGCCTTCTTGATTTTGTTTTCAGCTAGTTCATTGTGTGTGTATAGAAATATTACAGATTTTTTCTGTCTTAACTTTGTGTCTTGAAAATTTACTAAGTTCTTGTATCCTTTCTGAGAGTTTTTTGGTGGACTTTCCAGTTTTCTATATATAAGATTATGTCATCGGAAAACAGGAACAATTTGACTTCCTCCTTTCTAATTTAGATTTTCTGTATTTTTCCCTCTTGTCTAATTGCTTGGGCTGGGCTTCTAGTACTATGCTGAATAAGAGTGATGAGAGTAGCCATCCATGTTTTGTTCCAGATCTTTGGGAAAAAGCTTTCAGCTGTCATAACCAAAATAGATCTGAGGAATGAGCATTCCTTACCTTGGGAACAGCAGGAGCAAAGGGCCTAAGGAAGGGGAACCTGGCATGTGCTAGGAATGGAAAGAAGTTCTTGTGGATCTAATATGATCAACATGGCAGTGGAGGCAGAAGTGGAGAAGGATGAGTGGTGAAGGTTGAGGCTGAGGACATGTAAAGATGCTAGATTGTATTGGACCTTGTTAAACAGCGAGAAGGATTTGGGTATCATTTTTTTCTCTAACTGCAAAAAGGAGCTATTGAAGGACTTCAAGCAGAGAAAAGATACTTTTGCATTTTTATATTTTAGAAGATACCTCTGACTGCTAGGTGGAACAGGTTTGCAGAAGGGTAACTGTGGAAGCGACAACTAGATCTGTTAATCTACACATCTGTACCTGTGTAAATACAGAAGTGAAGTGAGCCAAGAATAAAATCTTAATTTTGCATTTAGAGGAAAACACAGGAAAAGTCAGCAAATGAGAAACTGTGGCCCTTGAAGTGGGAAGAACAGTAGAATAATGTGTTTTAGGAAGATATAAGGGAAAGACATTGGACAGGGGCTACTTTGTTTATAGGATTACTTTTCAGTGGTTTCAATTGTAGAGGAAAAATACCCATATTCCTCAATTGCACTTATTATTTTCTAATAATGAGTCATAAAGAATGCTAGTAGTATGCAAGTAGCTAATACAATAACCTTATTGTATTTGAATCTCTGTAGGCTATTCTCAAAGAAAAATTGCATTGGACAAAGTTAAATAGGCAAGGAAGACTTTATTCAAAATTGTTGCAATAGGTGTCAAGCCTGTTCCAATAAGAAAGAGAGACTGTATTCAAATCTGTTGAACAAAAAGCAGGAGAGATTGTAAAGGCTGGAGTATGCTAGTGAAAAAGTTCTGGAGAATATTAGTGGGGAAGGTGGGTCAACATGATTAGGCCATCTGTATTTGCTAACTGGCACATATGGAAGTTAGAGTACTACCCTCCCACAGAGATGGGAAGATAAGGGAACTATTTTTCTTGATGATTATTTTTCAAAGAAATGGCTCCCAGGTCTTTGAGAAAGATATTCCTGGGTTGCAAAACCGATAAAAGGCTAGAGAAAAATTTAAATCTCAAATAAGAAGACAGAAAGAATTTATAGTGGGAAGTTTTCTAAAGTAAACAATCTAAGAAAAGAGAAGTAAAGGAGTGATACGTCAGGGAGAAATCTGTCTAAAGTTTAGTCAAGTTGAGGGGAACATCAAGGCAGTCCCGTTCATCCTATACATGTATAAAATCTTGTTCAGAGGTACCTTGACATTAACTCACCCTCAAAATTCTTGCAAAACTCATAACAGAATATTTTATTTACGTTTGCAAAGTCTAAGCAATATGGATAACATTTTGTGTTGAAAGCAGCTAAAAGGCTTTTAGCAAAGCAACACAATAAACACTGGTTTAATCTGCTTGAATTTAGCCAGACCACTCAACTAAGAGCAGAGCTACCTTTTTAAGAATTAAGCCCAGCCTTAGGCAAAACTGTGAAGTAGACACGATTTTGCTTTAGTTCTTCACCTCCATGTGTCCTGGTATAACAGCCCCCAATGATACTGTAGATTTTGAAAGAAGCCTGAATTTGGGAGTTGAGAAACAGTTCAGTCTTCCTGTTTACTCATCTACAAAGTAAAGAAAAGAATATCTACTTAGCAAATACAAGTATTGGTACCTCCAATGAAATAATGTGGATTTAAACATTTCATCAATTAGTTTCTGACTTCAGTACACAGGTGTAAGGACAGAAAAAGAAAGGCATTGCAGCGCCCTCTTCTGGGAACTGTTGGTAAACTAACTCAGATAGTTGAAATGGATTTTCTAGGTGAATACAAAAGTTTCACTCTAGGAATAACTGCTCCACTTTTTAAAATATACAGATACATTGAAGTGTGCAAACAAACATCAAATTCAAACTCTTGAAGAGAAACACCAATGTTCATCCTTTTCCTCAACCCCTATCCACACATCCATGCAGGCAGCCCAGGGGACCTCAGATTGAAAATCGGAAAATAACTTATCAAGAAGCCATGTCACTTATAGCATTAGCTCTAAAACTTTAATTCATCTATGTATTACCTGGAGATCTTTTAAAACTGCAGATTCATATTCACTGGGTCCAGGATTCTACATTTCTAACAATCTCCCAGGTGAGACCTACACTGATGGTGGCATGACTGAAATCACCTTTGAAAAATTATAACAGTGAGAATGTAACCACCCAACAGGTTCACCTTGCCCAAGGCCTAGACAGAGCCAATATATCAAGACAGGGAAATTGCAATAGAGAAAGAGTAACTCATGCAGAGGCAGCTGTGTGGGAGTCCAGAGTTTTATTCAAAACTCAAATCAGTCTCTTAGAGCATTCAGGGAGCAGTTTTTAAGAACAACTTGGTAGGTGGGGGGAATCCAGTGATACAGGACATAGAAATAAATTATTTAGGCAGATAGTAAGGACAACAGAGTCATAGGCAGAATTTTCCATTTTAACAAAAAGCAGCCCAAAAAATCATTTCTTTTCTAACAAAGAGCAGCCTGAGAAATCGAGCTGCAGACATACATGAGCAAGCTGGAAGCTTGCACAGATGAATGCCAGCAGCTGTGCCAATAGAAAAGGGCTACCTGAGGGCCAGGCATGTTCAACATGGAGGGTCCATCTTCTTTTCTTGTCATCACATGTACAGTAAAGGAACAGGCAACAAGGCACAGGCCAGGTAGAGAACCCATCTGCATAATAAAAGATTAGGGAGGACAGTTGGCATGAGGTTCTAAGATGGCCAAATAAGAACAGCTCCAGTCCACAGCTTCCAGTGTGAGCAATGCAGAAGATGGGCGATTTCTGCATTTCCAACTTAGGTAATGGGTTCATCTCACTGGGGCTTGTCGGACAGTGGGTACAGCCCACAGAGCAGGGCGGGGCATCACCTCACCCAGGAAGCGCAAGGGGTCAGGGAATTCCCTTTCCTAGCCAAGGGAAGCCGTGACAGATGGTACCTGGAAAATCGGGGCACTCCCACCTTAATACTGCACTTTTCCAATGGTCTAAGCAAATGGCACACCAGGAGATTATATCCCGCGCCTGGCTCGGAGGGTCCCATGCCCAAGGAGCCTCGCTCGCTGAGAGCACAGCAGTCTGAGATCGAACTGCAAGGCGGCAGTGAGGCTGGGGAAGGGGCGTACGCAATTGCTGAGGCTTGAGTAGATAAACAAAGCAGCCGGGAAGCTTGCACTGGGTGGAGCCCACCGCAGCTCAAGGAGGCCTGCCTGCCTCTGTCGACTCCACCTCTAAGGGCAGGGCATAGCTGAACAAAAGGCAGCAGAAACTTCTGCAGACTTCAAAGCTGTCTGACAGATTTGAAGACAGTAGTGGTTCTCCCAGCACAGAGTTTGAGATCTGAGAATGGACAGACTGCCTCCTCTAGTGGGTCTCTGATCCCCAAGTAGCCTAACTGGGAGACACCTCCAAGTAGGGGCCGACTGACACCTCATACAGCCAGGTGTCCCTCTGAGACGCAGCTTCCAGAGGAAGGATCAGGCAGCAACATTTGCTGTTCTGCAATATTTGCTGTTCAGCAGCCCCTGCTGGTGATACCCAGGCAAACAGGGTCTGGAGTGGACCTCCAGCAAACTCCAACAGACCTGCAGCTGAGGGTCATGACTGTTAGAAGGAAAACTAACAAACAGAAAGGACATCCACACCAAAACCCCATCTGTGTGTCCCCATCATCAAAGACCAAAGGTAGATAAAATCACAAAGATGGGGAGAAACAAGAGCAGAAAAGCCGAAAATTCTAAAAATCAGAGTGCCTCTTCTCCTCCAAAGGGATGCAGCTCCTCTCCAGCAATAGAACAAAGCTGGATGGAGAATTACTTTGACAAGTTGAGAGAAGAAGGCTTCAGACGATTGGTAATAACAAACTTCTCTAAGCTAAAGGAGGATGTTCGAACCCATTGCAGAGAAGCTAAAAACCTTGAAAAAAGATTAGATGAATGGCTAACTAGAATAAACAGTGTAAAGAAGACCTTAAATGACCCAATGGAGCTGAAAACCATACCACGAGAACTACATGATGCATGCACCAGCTTCAGTAGCCGATTTGATCAAGTGGAAGAAAGGGTGTCAGGGATTGAAGAGCAAATGAATGAAATGAAACAAAAAGAGAAGTTTAGAGAAAAAAGAGTAAAAAAAAATGAACAAAGCCTCCAAGAAATATGGGACTATGTGAAAAGACCAAATCTACGTCCGATTGGTATACCTGAAAGTGACGAGGAGAATGGAACCAAGTTGGAAAACACTCTTCAGGATATTATCCAGGAGAACTTCCCCAACATAGCAAGGCAGGCCAACATTCAAATTCAGGAAATACAGAGAATACCACTAAGATGCTCCTCGAGAAGAGCAACTCCAAGACACATAATTGTCAGATTCACCAAAGTTGAAATGGAGGAAAAAATGTAAGGGCAGCCAGAGAGAAAGGTCGGGTTACCCACAAAGGGAAGCCCATCAGGCTAACAGCGGATCTCTCAGCAGAAACTCTACAAGCCAGAAGACAGTGGGGGCCAATATTCAACGCTCTTAAAGAAAAGAATTTCATATCAACCCAGAATTTCAATTCCAGCGAAACTAAGCTTCATAAGTGAAGGAGAAATAAAATCCTTTACAGACAAACAAATGCTGAAAGATTTTGTCACCACCAGGCCTGTCTTACAAGAAGAGCTCCTAAAAGAAGCACTAACCATGGAAAGAAACAACCGGTACAAGCCACTGCAAAAACATGCCAAATTGTAAAGAACATCGATGCTAGGAAGAAACTGCATCAACTAACGAGCAAAATAACCAGCTAACATCATAATGACAGGATCAATTTCACACGTAACAATATTAACCTTAAACGTAAATGGGCTAAGTGCTCCAATTAAAAGACACAGACTGGCAAATTGGATAAAGAGTCAAGACCCACCAGTGTGCTGTATTCAGGTGATCCATCTCAAGTGCAGAGACACACATAGGCTCAAAATAAAGGGATGGAGGAAGATCTACCAAGGAAATGGAAAACAATTAAAAAAAGCAGGGGTTGCAATCCTAGTCTCTGATAAAGCATACTTCAAACCAACAAAGGTCAGAAGAGACAAAGAAGGCCATTACATAAAGGTAAAGCGATCAATTCAACAAGAAGAGCTAACTATCATAAATATATATGCACCCAATACAGGAGCACCCAGATTCATAAAGCAAGTCCTTAGAGACTTAAAAACAGACCTAGACTCCCACGCAATAATAATGGGAGACTTTAACACCCCACTGTCAACATTAGACAGATCAATGAGACAGAAAGTTAACAAGGATATCCAGGAATTGAACTCAGCTCTGCACCAAGCAGAACTAATAGACATCTACAGAACTCTCTACCCCAAATCAACAGAATATACATTCTTCTCAGCACCACATCACACTTATTCCAAAATTGGCCACATAGTTGGAAGTAAAGCACCCCTCAGCAAATGTAAAAGAACAGAAATTATAACAAACTGTCTCTCAGACCACAGTGCAAACTAGAACTCAGGATTAAGACACTCGCTCAACTACATGGAAACTGAACGACCTGCTCCTGAATGACTACTGGGTACACAACGAAATGAAGGCAGAAATAAAGATGTTCTTTGAAACCAATGAGAACAAAGACACAACATACCAGAATCTCTGGGACACATTTAAAGCAATGTGTAGAGGGAAATTTATAGCACTAAATGCCCACAAGAGAAAGCAGGAAAGATCTAAAACCGACACCCTAACATCACAATTAAAAGAATTAGAGAAGCAAGAGCAAACACATTCAAAAGCTAGCAGAAGGCAAGAAATAATTAAGATCAGAGCAGAACTGAAGGAGATAGAGACACAACAAAACCCTTCAAAAAATCAATGAATCCTGCAGCTGGTTTTTGAAAAGATCAACAAAATTGATAGACAGCTAGCAAGACTAATAAAGAAGAAAAGAGAGAAGAATCAAATAGATGCAATAAAAAATAATAAAGGGGATATCACCACCAAGCCCACAGAAATACAAACTACCATCAGAGAATACTATAAACACCTCTGTGCAAATAAACTAGAAAATCTAGAAGAAATGGATAAATTCCTGGACACATACACCCTCCCAAGACTAAACCAGAAAGAAGTTGAATCCATGAATAGACCAATAACAGGCTTTGAAATTGAGGCAATAATTAATAGCCTACCAACTAAAAAAACTCCAGGACCAGACGGATTCACAGCCACATTCTACCAGAGGTAAAAGAGGAGTTGGTATCATTCCTCCTGGAACTATTCCAATCAATAGAAAAAGAGAGAATCCTCCCTAACTCATTTCAGGAGGCCAGCATCATCCTGATACCAAAATCTGGCAGAGACACAACAAAAAAAGAGAATTTTAGACCAATATCCCTGATGAACATCAATGCAAAAATCCTCAATAAAATACTGGCACACCAAATCCAGCAGCACATCAAAAAGCTTATCCACCATGATCAAGTTGGCTTCATCCCCGGGATGCAGAGCTGGTTCAACATATGCAAATCGATAAACGTAATCCATCATATAAACAGAACCAAAGACAAAAACCACATGATTATCTCATTAGATGCAGAAAAGGCCTTTGACAAAATTCAACAGCCCTTCATGATAAAAACTCTCAACAAACTAGGTATTGATGGGACGTACCTCAAAATAATAAGAGCTATTTATGACAAACCCACAGCCAATATCATACTGAATGGGCAAAAACTGGAAGCATTCCCTTTGAAAACTGCCACAAGACAGGGATGCCCTCTCTCACCACTCCTATTCAACACAGTTTTGGAAGTTCTGGCCAGGGCAGTCAGGCAGGAGAAAGAAATAAAGGGTATTCAATTAGGAAAAGAGGAAGTCAAATTGTACTGGTTTGCAGATAACATGATTGTATATTTAGAAAAGCCCATTGTCTCAGCCCAAAATCTCCTTAAGCTGATAAGCAACTTCAGCAAAGTCTCAGCATACAAAATCAATGTGCAAAAATCACAAGCATTCCTATACACCAATAACAGACAAACAGAGAGCCAAATCATGATTGAACTCCCATTCAAAATTGCTTCAAAGAGAATAAAATACCCAGGAATCCAACTTACAAGGAATGTGAAGGACCTCTTCAAGGAGAACTACAAACCACTGCTCGACGAAATAAAAGAGGACGCAAACAAATGGAAGAACATTCCATGCTCAGGGATAGGAAGAATCAATATTGTGAAAATGGCCATACTGCCCAAGGTAATTTATAGATTCAATGCCATCCCCATCAAGCTACCAATGACTTTCTTCACAGAATTGGAAAAAACTACTTTAAAGTCCATATGGAACAAAGAAAGAGCCTGCATTGCCAAGTCAATCCTAACCCAAAAGAACAAAGCTGGAGGCATCACACTACCTGACTTCAAACAATACTACAAGGCAACAGTAACCAAAACAGCATGGCACTGGTACCAAAACAGAGATATGGACCAATGGAACAGAACAGAGCCCTCAGAAATAATATCACACATCTACAACCATCTGATCTTTGACAAACCTGACAAAAACAAGAAATGGTTGCCTATTTAATAAATGGTGCTGGGAAAACTGGCTAGCCATATATAGAAAGCTGAAACTGGATCCCTTCCTTACACCTTATACAAAAATTAATTCAAGATGGATTAAAGACTTAAATGTTAGACCTAAAACCATAAAATCCCTAGAAGAAAACCTAGGCAATACCATTCAGGACATAGGCATGGGCAAGGACTTCATGACTAAAACACCAAAAGCAATGGCAACAAAAGCCAAAATTGACAAATGGGATCTAATTAAACTAAAGAGCTTCTGCACAGCAAAAGAAACTACCATCAGAGTGAACAGGCAACCTACAGAATGGGAGAAAAGTTTTATAATCTACCCATCTGACAAAGGGTTAATATCCAGAATCTACAAAGAACTTAAACAAATTTACAAGAAAAAATCAAACAACCCCATCAAAAAGTGGGCAAAGGATATGAACAGACAGTTCTCAAAGGAAGACATTTATGCAGCCAACAGACACATGAAAAAATGCTCATCATCACTAGCCATCAGAGAAATGCAAATCAAAACCACAATGAGGTACCATGTCACGCCAGTTAGAATGGCGATCATTAAAAAGTCAGGAAACAACAGGTGCTGGAGAGGATGTGGAGAAATAGGAACAACTTTTACACTGTTGGTGGGACTGTAAACTAGTTCAACCATTGTGGAAGACAGTGTGGCGATTCCTCAGGGATCTAGAACTAGAATGCCATCCCATTACTCAGCATATACCCAAAGGATTATAAATCGTGCTGCTATAAAGACACATGCACACGCATGTTTATTGCGGCACTATTCACAACAGCAAAGACTTGGAACCAACCCAAATGTCCATCAATGATAGACCGGATTAAGAAAATGTGGCACATATTCACCTTGGAATACTATGCAGCCATAAAAAAGGATGAGTTCATGTCCTTTGTAGGGACATGGATGAAGCTGGAAACCATCATTCTCAGCAAACTATTGCAAGGACAGAAAATCAAACATCGCATGTGCTCACTCATAGGTTGGAATTGAACAATGAGAACACTTGGACACAGGGTGGGGAACATCATACACCGGGGCCTGTTGTGGGGTGGGGGGAGTAGGGAGGGATAGCATTAGGAGATATACCTAATGTAAATGATGAGTAAACAGGTGCAGCACACCAACATGGCACATGTATACATATGTAACAAAACTGCATATTGTGCGCATGTACCCTAGAACTTAAAGTATAATAAATAAGTATATAAAATTAAAAAAAAAAAGAGCTTACGTGTCTCCAAGACTGACATTCTCCCATTACAGGTTAAAAAAACAGCAAAATCTGAGATTTCCTAAAAGTCACTTCCTATTATTGGAGCAGAATTATACCAGGTGCTCAAATTACTTGACAGTGGAAACAGTCTTCTGGCTTTGAACTCAGAAGACAGGAAGTGTTTATCCATCGAAGAACATTTTCATTATGTGTCTATCATGAGAGCACACACTTATTTCTTAAAGATCACCGATAATTATGAAGTGAGATGTAAGTGTGTGTGAGTTTCACAATCCACTCTTTAGTGATTCAGTGAAAATGTTCTTAACTATATGACTATTTGATAACTAACAGTCATTTTACTGGTACTAGGGTATTTGGTTCTGCCATACATCTTATCTAAATTTTTAGGATGCACAGAGTCTGCCACAATTATGGAAGTGTCTCCTGGGTCATTTGCATTGAACAATTCAATATATTTATAGCATTATTCTCAAGCTTTAGTATATAATGCTTTAGTGCATATAAAGATCTCAAACTATAGTATATATAAGAATAACTTGAAAACTTGTTAATAATGCAGATTCTTGCCACATAAACCCCTTTTTCTTCCCAAAGTACAGTTAGCTAGAATGGAGAATGTGCTAAAAATTATTTCAGGTGGTTCATGGACCACACTTAAAGAAACATTCATCAAGTAAATGAAAAGTGTTGGAATATCTTAGAAAGGTCAATAGAGTGACTAGAAGTCTGATGATGTAATTAGGGGATTAAAATTGTGGTTTAGTGCACTCAAGTATAACTTCAAGTTCTGAAGCATGACTGTGACTACTAGGAATCTACAATGGCCATACCAAAAACAACTGATTTGAGGTAAGCCATTCTCTTCAAACAGATGCTTGCAAAAGCCTATAAGGTGCAAAAGTATAAACTAGTTAGAAATATCAACCAAAGAAGAGGCTTCACTTGTCCATACATGGCATGAAACATATTGATTGATCATTTTGCTTGTTACAGAGTATGAAGAGCAACAACCAATCACCTGCGCAATTTTCTTCTATCACAACAGATTCTTGTTATACAATTTTTAATGTGTGTATATACTGTATATACATATGTAATATATAATATATTATTACAATGTGCCTATAAACATATATGTTCTATCTCTCTCTATATATATACACATACATAAAACCCTCATGAAAATTCAGACCTATAATTTTTTTCTATTTATGCTAGTGAATCCATTTGATGATCTAATTATGCAAATTACACTTTACAGCAAAGCATATCAGAATTTATGAATATCTTATCATGAGAAAATATAAATAGAGAGAGAATTGTCAAAACACCCACACACATACACACACAATATAATATGAAAGCTAAAAAATTCAAAGAATTAATGAGTATATGTGATCCTAAGATTTATAATGTAGTAATAGTAGAGGTAATAATTGAGCAGCTCGAGGAACAATAAAGACAAGTTTTTGACTAGATTACCTATTTTTGACATTGAACTTTGCCAGGTCAGCAGTGGGCACTGGGGTGGGTGGACAGGAAAATACAGTAAAATAAAAACAATGTAACTGTTGAAAATGAAGAGCCACAATAGAGCCCAGAAGGTGGCCACAAAAAGAAGTGATTAAGAGGATAATTTTGTGCAAGAAGGTAAAGATACAAAAGTCAGCAAGTGTTAATCATGAGCTAAGAGAATCTACTTTAGGCTTAAAAATGAAAAAAGGAAGGGATGACATTAGCAAGAGAGCAGAATAGGAAATTATGGGACTCTCTTCCCCACAGGCCCATTGCTGTGGCAACTTTAGAGACTACTGGAGAAGCTGAAGCACCAGCCCATTATAAAACCAAGAAAGGATTCCCCCCCAGAAAAAGGATAGAAAAAATTTGTGACATTCGACACGCCCATTCATGTCCCTCCTTTATGCAATATACTGTGAAGCAACTGGGAGGAACCACCCCATACAGCGGATTCTCTCTCCTGATGAAAACAAAAAAGTGGACCATGCATCTAATGCTCTGGCTTGTCTGAGGGCTGCCTGAGGAACTGGTTTCTGTCTTCCCTGACTCACAGTGCTGGTAGGACTGGTAGTAGAGTGTGGAAGGCACTGAAGGCAAAGGCAAGCAGCATGTTAGAGTTGCAGTTTTATAGGACAACACCAAGAAAAGTAAGACATGAGAAAAGGTTTCAAAGGTCCCAGAACCTCAAACTGGGTTGATTGGTAAAGCTAAGAGAGGTGGTTGTTTTTCCAAAGGCCCAAAACCCAGAAAAAAAGTATATATATATCTCACAAGGAATACAAAGAAACAGAGAAACATGGCCCAATCAAAGGACCAAAATAAAACCTGTCCTAAAACTAAAGCAACACAGATCTAAGAGCTGCTCGACAAGGAATTTTTTAAACTGTCATAAATACACTCAATGAGCTCAAAAAGGGCACAGGTATGCAGCTAAAGGAAATAAGAAAAATGGTGCATCAACACGATGAGGTTATTAACAAATATACAAAACACTATAACAAAGAACCAAATGGAAATTATAGAGTGAAAAATACAATAACTGAACTGAAAAGCTTATTAGAGGGGTTCAATAGCAGACTTGATCAAAAAGAAGAATCAAAGGTAAATTCATGGGCAAATAGAGTAACATGTACTATCTTAATTTTGGTGCATAGATTTTAAATGATAAAATTGCACAACAAATAAGCACAATTGCTTGTTTACTGGTATACAGTATATAAACATGTAACTTGTGACATCAATAACATAAAGTGTTGCGGGGGGGCAAAGCTGCAAAGTAGTACAGTGTTTGTGTATGATTGAAGTTGTTAACAGTTTAAAATAGACTACTATAACTTTAAGATGCTTTACATAATTACCATGGTGACCACAAAGAAAATATCTATAGAAGAGAGGAAAAAAGAAAATGCAAAAAGAATCAAAGTATGTCACTCCGAAAAATCAGTGTAATACAAAGGAAGGCAGAGAAAGTGAGGGATAAAAAACTCACAGGACATGCAAAAAAATTGACAGTGCTTGCTTCAGCAGTACATAAACTAAAGTCGGAACAAGACAGAGAAGACTTGTGCGGCCCTTGAGCAAGGATGACATGCAAATTTGTGAAGTGTTTTATTTCTTAACAAAAAGCAATTAAGAAAATTACAAAGTAAATCTTAATATCAGGACATATATAGGCTAAAAGTGAAAAAATGGAAAAAAACATATTCTGGGCAAATAATAACCAAAATAGAGCAAGAGTGGCTATACTAATAGCAAACAAATAGACTTTAAATGAAAAACTTACAGAAGACAAAGATGGACAACATATAATGAAAAACATTCAATTCACCATGAATATATTACAATTATGAATACTTATGCACCAAACCTAATAGCTCCTAAATATATAAATCAAGCTTTGAAAGAATTGAAGGGAGAAAAATACAGAAACACAATTGTAGTATACTTCAATAAGTTACATTTAATAGTTGACAGAAGAACCAGACAGAAGATTAATAAGGAAATAGAAAACTTGAACAACACTATAAACCAATCGGACCCAACAGATATATACAGAACATTCCAACCAACAGCACCAGGGTATGCATTCGTTTTGAGTGCACATGGAACATTCTCCAGGATACATCACATGTTAGGTCACAAAACATGTCTTAACAAATTCAAAAAACATTTAAATCATAGAAAGTATCTTTTCCAATCCCCATATAGTGAACTAGAAATCACTAACACAAGAGAAACTGAAAAATCTACAAATATTTAGAAATTAAACAACCCTTAAATGACCAATGGGGTCACAAAACAAGTCACAATGGAAATTAGGAAATACACTGAGACAAATGAGAGTGAAAACACAACATACCAAAACTTGTGGGATGGAGCAAAAGCAATGATAAAGAAATTTTCATGATCTAACTTTACACCTTAGGAAACCAAAAAATAAGAACAAACTAAACTCAAATTTAGCAGAAGGGAAATAATAAAGATTAGAGCAGCGATAAACAAAATAAAAACTAAAAATAATGGACAAAAAACCAATAAAATTCATAAACCCTTAGCTAGATTAAAAAAAAGAGAAGATGCAAATAAATAAAATCAGAAGTGAAAAAAGAGATATTACAATTGATACCACAGAAATAAAAAGGATCATGAGAATACTGTGAACAATGGCATGCCAACAAATTGAATAACCTAAAAGAAATGTACAAATCCCTAGAAACATACAATCTAGCAAGACTGAATCATGTAGATATAAAAAATCTGAAAAGATCAATAAATAGTATGAAGATTGAATTAGTAATCAAAAATCCCCCTAAAAAGAAATCCCAGATGGCTTCGCTGGAGAATTCTACTAAACATTTACAAAAGAATTAACACCAGTTTTCCTGAAACTCTTTCATAGAATTCAAGAGGAGGGAATGCTTCTAAGTTCCTTATATCAGGCCAAAATTGCCCTAATACCAAAGTGAGGCAAAGACACTGCAAGAAAAGAAAACTACAGACCAATATCTCCGATGAATGTGAATGCAAAAATCCTCAACAAAATACTAGCAAACCAAATTAAATAGCATATTAAAAGAATCATATATGATAACCAAATGGGATTTACTCCAGGAATGCAAGGAGAGTTTAGCATATGAAAATCAATCTATGGGTGCAATGGCTCATGCCTGTGATCCCAGCACTTTGTGAGGTGGAGGTGGGTGGATTGCTTGAGCTCAAGAGTTCAAGACCAGCCTGGGCAACATGGCAAAACCCCATATGTATAAAAAAATATGAAAACTAGCCAGGCGTGGTGGTACATACTTGTAGTCCCAGCTACTCAGGAGCCTGAGGTGAGAGGATTGCTTGAGCTCAGGAGATTAAGGCTGTAGTGAGTCAAGATAGTGCCATTCCACTCCAGCCTGGGTGACAGCGTGAGACCCTGTCTCATTAAAAAAAAAAAAAAAGTAAGAAAAAAAGAAAAAAACAATGTAATATAACACATTAACAGAATAAAGGACAAAAATCACGATTATCTCAATCAGTGGAGAAATATCATTTGACAAGATTAAACACTCTTTCATGTTAAAACACTTAATAAAATGGGAAGAGAAGGCCAGTCCATGAACACAATTAAGACCATTTATAAAGAGGCCACAGATAACATCATACACAAGGATAAAAGACTGAAAGCTTTTTCTCTAATATCAGAAACAAGGCAAAGATGCTCACTCTTACTACTTCTATTCAACATAGAACTGAAAATTATAGCCAGAACAATTAAGCAATAAAAAGAAATAAAAGGCATCCAGATGGGAAAAGAAGAAGTAAATAATCTCTGTTTACAGAGGACAAAATCGTATACATAGAAAACTCTAATGATTCCATACACAATAAAAATCTGTTAGAACTAATAAATGAATTAAGCAAAGTTGCAAGGTACAAAACCAACACACAGAAATCAGTTGCATTTCTATACATGAATAATGAACAATCCAAAAAGGAAATTAAGAAAACAAATCCATTTACAATTTCACTCAAAACAATAAAAAGCTTAGGAATAAACCTAACCAAGGAGATGAGAAGCTTGTACACTGCAAACCATAAAACGTTGCTGAATGAAATTAAAGCAGACACTAATAAATGAAAGATATCCTGTGTTCATGGATTAGATAACTTAATATTGTTACATTGTTCATAATGTCCGAAGTGACCTACAGAGTCAATGCAATCCTTATCAAAATCCTTATGGGATCTTTTGGAGAAATAGAAAAATGTATCCTGAAATTCATTTGGTATATAAAAGGACTCCGAATAGTCAAAACAATTTTGAAAAAGAACAAAGTTGGAGGACTTACATTTCCTGATTTCAAAACATATTACAAATCTATGATAATCAAAGTAGTGTGGTACTAGCACAAAAACAAATAGACCAGTTGAATAGAATACACAGCCTATAAATTAAATTTTCATGCATGTGGTCAAATGATCTTTGACAAGGATGCCAAGACCACTCAGTGGGGAAAAACAGTCTCTTCAACAACTGATATTGAAAAAACTGGATATCTACATGCAAAAGAATGAAGTTGGGCCTTTATTTTACACCATTAACTCAAAATATATTAATGACTTAAACATAAAACCTAAATTTATAAAATTCCTATAAGAAAACATATAGGGAAAGCTTCATGACACTGGACTTGACAATGATTTATTGGATATGACACTAAAAACACAGGTAATGAAAGCAAAAATAGGTAAATGAGACTATATGAATCTTAAAAACTTTTGTGCAACAAAGGACACAATCAACAGAGTGAAAAGAGGCCAGGTGCAGTGGCTCAGGCCTGTAATCCCAGCACTTTGGGAGGCCAAGGTGGGCAGATCACCTGAGGTCAGGAGTTGGAGACCAGCCTGGCCAACATGGTGAAACCCTGTCTCTACTAAAGATACAAAAAATTAGCCAGGTGTGGTGGCATGTGCTTGTAATCCCAGCTACTTGGGATGCTGAGGCAGGAGAATCGCTTGAATCCGGGAAGCAGAGATTGCAGTGAGCCAAGATGGCGCCATTGCACTCCAACCTGGATGACAGGGTGAGACTCCGTCCAAGAAAACAGAGCGAAAAGGCAATGTGTGGAATAGAAGAAAAGATTTTCATTTCTAAAATTTGATAAGAGATTAATATCCAGAATATACAAAGAACTCTTATGTCTCATAAGCAAAAATCAAATGGCCTGATTAAAAAATGGGCAAAGAAATTGAATAGATGTTTCTTTCATGTAAGTTTCTTTCATGTAAGATAACATGTAAGTGGCCAACAGGAATATAAAAAGTTGCTCAACTTCACTAATCATCAGGAAAATTTAAGTCAAAACCACAATGAGAAAAAACTTCCAGTTTCCAGTTCTGCCTATAAGGTGCTTGGAAGTTGCCACTTCAGATTAAATACGAGGAAAAGTTGAACAGACTGACAAATCAACAACTCTTCTAGGATATGTAAGAGCACTGAAGAAACAGCAAATGCCTGCACCCAGGTTTGAAGAGGCAGACGGGAAAATACAGGAAGAGAAACTATCATGAGAGCAAGAGCTGGGAGAGGAAAACACGGACTATAATGGATGAGGTGCTGGAGGCACAGTGCAGGCAACTTTGAGAGTTAAAAACTCCAGGGGGACCCAGTCATATGAGGATCCCACAATTTTGTGAGATTTACCTCTGGGAACTTGACCAGGTTCTCACAGAAAATATTAGAGAAAAACCCTCTCATGCTTCTAGTAGGGGGAGAAAGGAATAATTTTAAAATATGCCAGAGCACTGTGTTCTTCTTCTTTCTTCTTCTTCTTCTTCATTTTTTTTTCTTACACTGTGTTCTTCTTAAAAAGGTTCTGCCCTCAGGAGACAATAGTAAACCAGGACCTACATTGCTGGGGCATTATTAAGAGTCTAACTGACCTAGAAGAAGCGTTATACAACTCTAGTCAGCTCTAGCCTTCCACATGGGAGAAGAGAAATATCCAACTTCAGACCACTCTAGCCATCCTTTCCCGCCTAAGTGGGATGGAAAAGAAAATAGAAACATTTGTGAAGCTCGCAGTCCAGAGGCCTCACTACAAATCTGAGATCTAGTCTTACTTCCCTCTCCCCACACCTCACCGCAATACTAAAGATCAAATTGCAGCGGTTCCTTTTTTCTTGGTATATTATCAGGCTATCAAGGGGGAAAAAAAAGCCATCTTAAAAGGCAAAAAATCAATGAAAGGACAGAGCAAGCATCAGAACCAGGCATAGAAGGGATGTTAGAATTAAAAACAAGATGAGGTATCACTTCAAACCTATTAGGATGGCTACTGTTAAACAAAATGAAATAAAACAGAAAATAAGTGTTGGTAAGGAGGCGGAGAAATTGGAAACCTTATGCATTGTTGGTGGGATTGTAAAGTGGTGCCACCACTATGAAAAATAGTGTGATGATTCCTCAGAACACTAAAAATAGAATTACCATATAACCCAGTAATCCCCCTTCTAGGTATATTAAAAGAAAGAAAGAAGGAAAGAAAAGAAAGAAAGAAAGAAAGAGAGAGAGAGAGAAAGAGAGAGAGAGAGAGAAAGAAAGAGAAAGAAAAAGAAAGAAAGAGAGAGAGAGAGAAAGAAAGAGAGAGAGAAAGAGAGAAAAAGAAAGAAAGAAAGAAAGAAAGAGAAAGAAAAAGAAAGAGAAAGAAAGAGAGAGAGAGGAGAGAGAGAGAGAAAGAAAGGAAGAAAGAAAGAGTCTCTGCTACGGTTTGAATGTGCCCCCTCCAAATTCATGTTGAAACTATCTGCATTGTGGTGGTATTAAGAGGTGAGGTCTTTGGGGAAGTGTTTGAGTCATGAGGGTTCCAGCCTCATAAATGGATTAGTGCCTTTTATAAGGGATGGAGGGAACTAGCTTTAGACCCTTTTGCGCTCTTCTGGCTTTTGCCATGTGAAGACTCAGCATTCATGCTTTTTGCATTTTTCACCCCCTCCACCATGTAAGGATGCAGCAGGAATGTCCTTGCCAGACAGCAAGTGCCAGCACATTGATCGTGGACTTTCTAGCCTCCAGAACTGTAAAAATTAAGTTTCTATTCTTAAATTACCCAGTCTTGGTATTTTGTTATACCAGCACAAATGGACTAAACCAGTCTCAAGGAGATATTTTTACACCCATGTTCGCAGCAGTACTAGTTACAGAAGCCAGAAAGTAGAAGCATGTCAAGTGTCCACTAGCAGGTGAGGGACTAAGATGTGGTATATTCATACAGTGGAATATTATTCAGCCTTAAAAAGGAAGGAAATTCTGACACATATTGCAACATGGATGAACCTTGAGAACATTATGCCAAGTGAAATAAGCCAGTTATAAAAAAGACAAATAATGGGCCGGGTGCTGTGGCTCACACCTGTAATCCCAGCACTTTGGGAAGCCGAGGTGGGCAGATCACCTGAGGTCAGGAGTTCCAGACCAGCCTGACTAACATGGTGAAACCCTGTCTCTACTAAAATTACAAAAATTAGCTGGGTGTAGTGGTGGCGCCTGTAATCCCAGCTACTTGGGAGGCTGAGGCAGGAGAATCGCTTGAACCCGAGAGGCAGAGGTTGCAGTGAGCCTAGATTGCACCACTGCACTCCAGCCTGGGTGACAGAGCAAGACTCTGTCTCAAAAAAAAAAAAAACACACAGATAATGTATGATTCCACTTACATGAAGTACCTAGGGAAGTCAAATTCATAGAGAAAAAAAGTAAAGCGGTGATTTCCAGGAGCTGAGAGGAGCAAGGAATGAGGGGTTATTGTTTAAAGGGTACACTGATTCAGTTTTGTAAGATGAAAAAAGTTCTGAAGATCTGTTTCATAACAATGTCAATAACTTAACATTAGTGAACTCTACACTTAGAAACGATTATGCTGGCACATTTTATGTTGTGTGTTTTTTTTAACCATAGTAAAAAAATACACAAGAAAAGTTGTGTCATTGGGGGAGCTCTAGTGTTCAGTGATGACAAATAAGAGAAGCATATTCTCTGAGAAGACTGAGAATGTAAGGACAGTGTTTTCAATGAAATATCCTCTCTCCCTCCATCCACAGAATTGGAAGATGGTCAATCATATCGGAAGAGTGCAGTAAGACAATGAAGATGGGAGAGTGAGTGAAAGCCTCTAAGGATTAAAGACTGTGGCTCTATCACTCCATTTATCTTCTG
This sequence comes from Homo sapiens, assembly GCF_000001405.40. Lineage (NCBI taxonomy): Eukaryota > Metazoa > Chordata > Mammalia > Primates > Hominidae > Homo > Homo sapiens. The sequence continues at coordinate 9,617,539 of NC_000012.12, read as the reverse complement.
CCTCATCTGTTATTTACCGCCTGTGTGCACCGTAATTAGCCCATTCAAATTCAGAATTATAAACAAAATGTTTCCTGCTAAATTTAAACAGTTAAAAAGTGCTTATTGCCGCCTAAGAAAAATATTAACAAGATTAGGCGTGATTTCTGAGTTAAGACAGATGTGTTCTAACCATGGAAGGGACTCACCGTTTGGCTGTGGCTTTTCTATTTGCTTGGACTTCTCACTCATCAGAGTCCAGATGTACCAGTTAAGCTTCATTTAAGTCTCAGTTCTTCTTTCTTTCTTCTGTGTTCCTATAGATTTTACATATAAATACATTTATAATGTATTTGCAATGTGGTAATATAAATGTATGTCTATTTTTGCTAGGAAATGAAAATTTTCCCTTGAACTGTGACTTTTTGTAATGCCGGAGAACAACGACACAAATGTATATTGAAGGAAGAATGGATATGTGGTGTATTTATTGTGCTTATCCTATGCTTCCTATTTGTGCTGGAGTGTAGCTCTGGAAAACCTCCTATATTTGTTTTCTAGGGCTTCCATAATGAAATGCCACAGACTGGGTGGCTTAAATAAAAATAATTAAATAAAAAATAATTTTTTTTCAGAGTTCTAGAGTCTAGAAATCTGAGATCAGGGTGTTGGTTGAGTTAATTTCTTTTCTTTTCTTTTTTTTTTTTTTTTGATGGAGTCTCTCTCTGTCACCCATGCTGGAGTGCAGTGGCACAATCTCGGCTCACAGCAACCTCCGCCTCACAGGTTCAAGTGACTCTGCCTCAGCCTCCCAAATAGCTGGGACTATACAAGCGTGTGCCACCACGCCCGGCTAATTTTTGTATTTTTAGTAGAGACAGGGTTTCACCATGTTGGCCAGGCTTGTCTTGAACTCCCAAACTCATGATCCACCCACCTCGGCCTCCCAAAGTGCTGGGATTACAGGCATGAGCCAGGAGTTGATTTCTTTTAAGGCCTCTCTGCTTGGCTTGCAGATGGTCATCTTCTCTCTTTGTCTTCACCTGGTCTTACCTCTGTATGTATCTATGTCTTAATATCTTCTTAAGAGGAGTCCAGCCATATTTGATTAGGGCTCACCTTTAACTTATTTACCTCTTTAAGGACTCCATCTTCTAAGGGTTAAGATGTCAATATATGAATTCTGGGGAGAAGAGTAGGAACACAATTCAGCCCATAACACCTCCTAACAAATTTTCCACATTTAATCTAGGAGATTGGTAATATTTGTCCTCAAAAGATAATTTTGTGTGTGTGTGGTTGGGCATTATAACTGAATTTACCGTTACTAATGCAAGAAAATCATACAGCAAAATATATGATTTTAAAGTACCAACTGAACCTACTGATCAAGACTTGAAATACAAACTCTTTCCAATAATAAATGTACTTTCTATAACCTGTTCAATAATACATTATACTAGTATTCAGAACATTGTCAAAATTGTGATGAAAAAAGATATTGTATGAAAGTTTTTGATGTTCAAAGTTCAGAAATTTCCACTGCAAACAAAATTAGGTCAGTTGCACAGGAAATATTTACCACAAAAGTCTCTACAGAAAGATACTTTTATAAACTGTCATCAATCAGCATGTCAGCTATCAGTGGAGCTATAAGCATAAGCCTGAAGTCCATTCACTAAGATGGGGATACATATTGTTAAAGCTCAATTTTGTAATCTAAGAATTGTGTTTATTTTTAGAATAGCACAGTTCTCCCATCATTTTCGTGTTATCAAATACAAATACAAAGGTTAGGGATGGGGGATAAAGCAGCTGCTGGAAGTCAAATTCTCAGAGTATAAAGTAACATGATCTCCTTATTATGAGAGTCATGTGAGACTCTAATTCAGTCATTCAGTTACTGTTCAGAAAACATCTACTATGTTACGCTCCACATTATTTGTTGGGAGGGTTATACCAAAATGTTAAATATAAAATACAAACGCATAATAGAAACCTAGCAACGACAAAGGTAAGATACAAGCTGTGTCTTCAGAAAAAAAGGAAGTGGTAAATTCTTGCTGATTTTGCAAAGATGGTTGTGGTGTTCCGGATGGTGGTAAAAGTAAGAGAGTTTCTCTGAAGCAAATAACATTCTAAAACAAGTGGTCAAGGAGCTTGGATTTTGAATGCCATGAAAAGAAAAAAATTACATGAAATAGGTCTCATCTAGCAATAAATATTTATAATAAAAGCAGACAGAACATGCCTGCAAATACTCTGCACTAACTTCAGATTAGATGTTACCTCTGGTAAAAAGTAAAGGGAAAAATGCCATTAGTTGTGTCTGTAAATTTTATTTGTTCATTTTTTAACCTGATATGAAGAAAAGGTGGGCAAAAGTGATAGTAAAAACCACTTATTCATCCACAGCTTTGTTCTTTTGCCTTAGGACTGTCTTGGCAATGAGGGCTCTTTTTTGGTACCAGTACCATGTTATTTTGGTTACTGGAGTCTTGTAGTACAGTTTGAAGTCGGGTAGCGTGATGCCTCCAGCTTCATTCTTTTGGCTTAGGATTGACTTGGCAATGTGGGCTCTTTTTTGGTTCCATATGAACTTTAAAGTAGTTTTTTCCAATTTTGTGAAGAAAGTCATTGGTAGCTTGATGGGGATGGCACTGAATCTGTAAATTACCTTGGTCAGTATGGCCATTTTCACGATATTGATTATTCCTATCCATGAGCATGGAATGTTCTTCCATTTGTTTGTGTCCTCTTTTATTTCGTTGAGCAGTGGTTTGTAGTTCTCCTTGAAGAGGTCCTTCACATTCCTTGTAGGTTAGATTCCTAGGTATTTTATTCTCTTTGAAGTAATTGTGAATGGGAGTTCACTCATGATTTGGCTCTCTGTTTGTCTGTTATTGGTGTATAGGAATGCTTGTGATTTTTGCACATTGATTTTGTATGCTGAGACTTTGCTGAAGTTGCTTATCAGCTTAAGGAGATTTTGGGCTGAGACAATGGGCTTTTCTAAATATACAATCATGTCATCTGCAAACCAGTACAATTTGACTTCCTCTTTTCCTAATTGAATACCTTTTATTTCTTTCTCCTGCCTGATTGCCCTGGCCAGAACTTCCAACACTATGTTAAATAGGAGTGGTGAGAGAGGGCATCCCTGTCTTGTGCCAGTTTTCAAAGGGAATGCTTCCAGTTTTTGCCCATTCAGTATGATATTGGCTGTGGGTTTGTCATAGATAGCTCTTATTATTTTGAGGTACGTCCCATCAATACCTAGTTTATTGAGAGTTTTTAGCATGAAGGGCTGTTGAATTTTGTCAAAGGCCTTTTCTGCATCTATTGAGATAATCATGTGGTTTTTGTCTTTGGTTCTGTTTCTATGATGGATTACGTTTATCGATTTGTGTATGTTGGACCAGCCTTGCATCCCAGGGATGAGGCCAACTTGATCATGGTGGATAAGCTTTTTGATGTGCTGCTGGATTTGGTGTGCCAGTATTTTATAGAGAATTTTTGCATCGATGTTCATCAGGGATATTGGTCTAAAATTCTCTTTTTTTGTTGTGTCTCTGCCAGGCTTTGGTATCAGGATGATGCTGGCCTCCTGAAATGAGTTAGGGAGGATTCTCTCTTTTTCTATTGATTGGAATAGTTCCAGGAGGAATGGTACCAGCTCCTCTTTGTACCTCTGGTAGAATGTGACTGTGAATCTGTCTGGTCCTGGACTTTTTTCGGTTGGTAGGCTATTAATTATTGCCTCAATTTTAGAGCCTGTTATTGGTCTATTCATGGATTCAACTTCTTTCTGGTTTAGTCTTGGGAGGGTGTATGTGTCCAGGAATTTATCCATTTCTTCTAGATTTTCTAGTTTATTTGCATAGAGGTGTTTATAGTATTCTCTGATGGTAGTTTGTATTTCTGTGGGCTCAGTGGTGATATCCCCTTTATCATTTTTTATTGAGTCTATTTGATTCTTCTCTCTTTTCTTCTTTATTAGTCTTGCTAGCTGTCTATCAATTTTGTTGATCTTTTCAAAAAACCAGCTCCTGGATTCATTGATTTTTTGAAGGGTTTTGTTGTGTCTCTATCTCCTTCAGTTCTGCTCTGATCTTAGTTATTTCTTGCCTTCTGCTAGCTTTTGAATGTGTTTGCTCTTGCTTCTCTAGTTCTTCTAATTGTGATGTTAGGGTGTCGGTTTTAGATCTTTCCTGCTTTCTCTTGTGGGCATTTAGTGCTATAAATTTCCCTCTACACATTGCTTTAAATGTGTCCCAGAGATTCCGGTATGTTGTGTCTTTGTTCTCCTTGGTTTCAAAGAACATCTTTATTTCTGCCTTCATTTCGTTGTGTACCCAGTAGTCATTCAGGAGCAGGTCGTTCAGTTTCCATGTAGTTGAGCGAGTTTCTTAATCCTGAGTTCTAGTTTGCCCTGTGGTCTGAGAGACAGTTTGTTATAATTTCTGTTCTTTTACATTTGCTAAAGAGTGCTTTACTTCCAACTATGTGGTCAATTTTGGAATAAGTGCGATGTGGTGCTGAGAAGAATGTATATTCTGTTTATTTGAGGCGGAGAGTTCTGTAGATGTCTATTAGTTCTGCTTGGTGCAGAGCTGAGTTCAATTCCTGGATATCCTTGTTAACTTTCTGTCTCATTGATCTGTCTAATGTTGACAGTGGGGTGTTAAAGTCTCCCATTATTATTGTGTGGGAGTCTAAGTCTCTTTGTAGGTCTCTAAGGGCTTGCTTTATGAATCTGGGTGCTCCTGTTTTTGGGTGCATATATATTTATGATAGTTAGCTCTTCTTGTTGAATTGATCGCTTTACCATTATGTAATGGCCTTCTTTGTCTCTTTTGATCTTTGTTGGTTTAAAGTCTGTTTTATCAGAGACTAGGATTGCAACCCTTGCTTTTTTCTGTTTTCCATTTGATTGGTAGATCTTCCTCCATCCCTTTATTTTGAGCCTATGTGTGTCTCTGCAGGTAAATGGATCTCCTGAACACAGCACAATGATGGGTCTTGACTCTTTATCCAATTTGCCAGTCTGTGTCTTTTAATTGGAGCATTTAGCCCATTTACATTTAAGGTTAATACTGTTATGTGTGAATTTGATCCTGTCATTATGATGTTAGCTGGTTATTTTGCTCATTAGTTGATGCAGTTTCTTCCTAGCATTAACGGTCTTTACAACTTGGCATGTTTTTGCAGTGGCTGGTCCTGGTTGTTCCTTTCCATGTTTACGGCTTCCTTCAGGAGCTCTTGTAAGGCAGGCCTGGTGGTGACAAAATCTTTCAGCATTTGTTTGTCTGTAAAGGATTTTATTTCTCCTTCACTTATGAAGCTTAGTTTGGCTGGATATGAAATTCAGGGTTGATATGAAATTCTTTTCTTTAAGAATGTTGAATATTGGCCCCCACTCTCTTCTGGCTTGTAGAGTTTCTGCCGAGAGATCCGCTGTTAGTCTGATGGGCTTCCCTTTGTGGGTAACCTGACCTTTCTCTCTGGCTGCCCTTAACATTTTTTCCTTCATTTCAACTTTGATGAATCTGAAAATTATGTGTCTTAGAGTTGCTCTTCTTGACGATTATCTTTGTGGTATTCTCTGTATTTCCTGAATTTGAATGTTGGCCTGCCTTGCTATGTTGGGGAAGTTCTGGATAATATCCTGAAGAGTGTTTTCCAACTTGGTTCCATTCTTCCCATCACTTTCAGGTACACCAGTCAGACATAGATTTGGTCTTTTCACATAGTCCCACATTTCTTGGAGGCTTCATTCATTTCTTTTTACTCTTTTTTCTCTAAACTTCTCTTCTGGCTTCATTTCATTCATTTGATCTTCAATCCCTGACACCCTTTCTTCCACTTGATCAAATTGGCTACTGAATCTTGTGCATGCATCATGTAGTTCTCGTGCCATGGTTTTCAGCTCCATCAGGTCGTTTAAGGTCTTCTCTACACTGTTTATTCTAGTTAGCCATTTGTCTAATCTTTTTTCAAGGTTTTTAGCTTCTTTGCGATGGGTTCGAACTCCTCCTTTAGCTCGGAGAAGTTTGTTATTACCAATCGCCTGAAGCCATCTTCTCTCAACTCATCAAAGTCATTCTCCATGCAGCTTTGTTCTGTTGCTGGTGAGGAGCTGCATTCCTTTTGAGGAGAAGAGGCACTCTGATTTTTAGAATTTTTGGCTTTTCTGCTCTGGTTTCTCCCCATCTTTGTGATTTTATCTACCATTGGTCTTTGATGATGGTGACACACAGATGGTGTTTTGGTTTGGATGTCCTTTCTGTTTGTTCGTTTTCCTTCTTACAGTCAGGACCCTCAGCTGCAGGTCTGCTGGAGGCTGCTGGAGGTGCACTCCAGTCCCTGTTTGCCTGGGTATCACCAGTGGAGACTGCAGAACAGCAAATATTGCAGTACGGCAAATGTTGCTGCCTGATCCTTCCTCTGGAAGCTTCATCTCAGAGGGACACCTGGCTGTATGAGGTGTCAGTCAGCTCCTACTGGGAGGTGTCTCCCAGTTAGGCTACTCGGGCTCAGGGACCCACTAGAGGAGGCAGTCTGTCTGTTCTCAGATCTCAAACTCCATGCTCAGAGAACCACTACTCTCTCCCACGCTGTCAGACAGGGATGTTTAAGTCTGCAGAAGTTTCTTCTGCATTTTGTTCAGCTATGCCCTGCCCTCAGAGGTGGAGTCGACAGAGGCAGGCAGGCCTCCTTGAGCTGCAGTGGGCTCCACCCAGTTTGAGCTTCCTGGCAGCTTTGTTTACCTGCTCAAGCCTCAGCAATGGTGGATGCCCCTCCCGTAGCCTCGCTGCCACCTTGCAGTTTGATCTCAGACTGATGTGCTAGCAGTGAGCAAGGCTCTGTGGGCATGGGACCCTCCGAGCCAGGCATGGGATATAATCTCCTGGTGTGCCATTTGCTAAGACCATTGGAAAAGTGCAGTATTAGGGTGGGAGTGTCCTGATTTTCCAGGTACCGTCTGTCATAGCTTCCCTTGGCTAGGAAAGGGAATTCCCCAATCCCTTGCGCTTCCTTGGTGAGGCAATGCCCCACCCTGCACCATGGGCTGTCCCCACTGTCTGCCAAGCCCCAGTGAGATGAACCCAGTACCTCAGTTGGAAATGCAGAAATCACCAATCTTCTGTGTCGCTCACGCTGGGAGCTATAGACTGGAGCTGTTCCTATTTGGCCATCTTGGAACCCAATCCACCTAAGGTCTTGCTCTAAGGTTCTATGCCTGAAAATCTTTGAAAGAGGTGAAGGACCTCTTCAAGGAGAAATACAAACCACTGCTCAATGAAATAAAAGAGGACACAAATAAATGGAAGATCATTCTATGCTTACGGATAGGAAGAATCAGTATTGTGAATATGGCCATACTGCCCAAGGTAATTTATAGATTCAATGCCATCCCCATCAAGCTACCAATGACTTTCTTCACAGAATTGGAAAAAACTACTTTAAAGTTCATATGGAACCAAAAAAGGTCCCACATTGCCAAGACAAACCTAAGTCAAAAGAACAAAGCTGGAGGCATCACGCTACCTGACTTCAAACTATACTCCAAGGCAACAGCAACCAAAACAACATGGTACTGGTACCAAAACAGAGATATAGACCAATGGAACAGAACAGAGCCCCCGGAAATAATACCACATATCTACAACCATCTGATCTTTGACAAATCTGACAAAAACGAGAAATGGGGAAAGGATTCCCTATTTAATAAATGGTGCTGGGAAAACTGGCTAGCCATATATAGAAAGCTGAAACTGGATCCCTTCCTTACACCTTATAAAAAATTAATTCAAGATGGATTAAAAACTTAAATGTTAGATCTAAAACCATAAAAACCCTAGAAGAAAACCTAGGCAATACCATTCAGGCAACAGGCATGGGAAGGACTTCATGACTAAAACACCAATAACAATGGCAACAAAAGCCAAAATTGACCAATGGGATCTAACTAAATTAAAGAGCTTCTGCACAGCAAAAGAAACTACCATCAGAGTGAACAGACAACCTACAGAATGGGAGAAAATTTTTACAATCTACCCATCTGACAAACGGCTAATATCCAGAATCTACAAAGAACTTACATAAATTTACAAGAAAAAATCAACCAACCCCATCAAAAAATGGGCAAAGGATATGAACAGACACTTCTCAAAAGAAAACATTTATGCAGGCAACAGACACATGAAAAAATGCTCATCATCACTGGCCATCAGAGAAATGCAAATCTAAACCACAATGAGATACCATCTCACACCAGTTAGAATGACAGTCATTAAAAAGTCAGGAAAAAACAGGTGCTGGAGAGGATGTGGAGAAATAGGAACACTTTTACACTGTTGGTGGGACTCTAAACTAGTTCAACCATTGTGGAAGACAGTGTGGCGATTCCTCGAGGGACTAGAACTAGAATTTGACCCAGCCATCTCATTACTGGGTATATACCCAAAGGATTATAAATCACGCTGCTATAAAGACACATGCACACATATGTTTATTGTGGCACTATTCACAATAGCAAAGACTCGTGAACCATCCCAAATGTCTATCAATGATAGACTGGATTAAGAATATATGGCACATATGCACCATGGAATAGTATGCAGCCATAAAAAAGGATGAGTTCATGTCCTTTGTAGGGACATGGATGAAGCTGGAAACCATCATTCTGAGCAAACTATTGCAAGGACAGAAAACCAAACACCGCATGTTCTCACTCATAGGTTGGAATTGAACAATGAGAATATTTGGACACAGGGAGGGGAACACCACACACCGGGGCCTGTCGTGGGGTGGGGGGAGGGGGGAGGGATAGCATTAGGAGATATACCTAATGTAAATGACAAGTTAACGGGTGCAGCACACCAACATGGCACATGTATACATATGTAACAAACCTGTACATTGTGAACTTAAAGTATAATAATAATAAAAAAAGGTAAAAAAAAAAAAGTAGACACATACTATAATCACCTTGAAAAAAAAAGAAAGTCTTTCAAAGAGATAAAAAATTCCATATACTCCACTTCCTACAATTCTGGCAGTTTCCAAATACTTTTACTTATGTGAAAATGCTATCATATCCAAGAGTGCCTTTAGAGCTAAGCTAACAGTAGGCTACTGATCTTTAGCACATTGCTTTTTCTGTTGTGTTATTCAGGGGGCTTTCTCACATTTATGTTTCCATTTTTCACATTTCACAACTTTCTTTGGAGCACAGATATTTCAGGAAGATTTTAGAGCCTTTGAATAGCATTATGGACTTTTTTGCATTAATTTTTACTTTTACAAAATTGTGCTAAATATTATTTCTGTTAATTAGTGAGTTTTGTTGGGGGCCCCTTAAATTGGAACCCCAGGCTATGCCTCATTTGCTTCACTCTGGTCCTGGCCCTGAGAGAGGAACACAAAAGGGATGGTTAGAAAAACAAGAACAAATGAGCCTCCCAGAATTTTCTCAAACAACAGGCCAGTTAATTAAGGAAAGTAGATATTACATAGCTAGGTATAATGAACATGCAGTCAGTGGATTGTCTCAGTAATTTATGGAGATAACCACCAACAAAAAGTGTATGTGGGTGGGGACAAAAGAGAGACAACAAAGTACTGCAGGCAGAAAGCTTCCTTTTGCTGATTTTGCCTCACAGAATTGAGAGTTTGTTCTTACACACAAGTTTAATGCCACCTTCCTCTGTCTGCCATGGACCAACAAGCAATATATGCTGAGTTAAACTTACCCACAGACTCAGGCCCAGAAAGTTCTTCACCTTCATCTCTTCCTCGGGGTAAGTGGCTTTAATTTTCCTTTCGGCATTTGTATGTCTTCCAGAATTAGATCTTCCTGTTACATTTATGGCTTTAAATCATTGCTTTAAAGATGAGCAGTAGTTTTATATTAATGTTTAACGGGTGTTGCATGGCTTGCCTGTAGATAATCACAACTTTGGGAAAAAAAATTTAAACCTCATACATTTATTTTTTTCAATCAAGTTAGCATGAAAAGCAAACATCACTTGTCTTACTGAGCCTTGGTTAAAAGACTCTGAACACTTTAGGCTACCCTGGGCACACTGCCTATTGGTTACCCCTGCTCTACAGGGATGGAAAGAAGGAAGAAAGAAAGAAAGAAAGAAAAGAAAGAAAGAAAGAAAGAAAGAAAGAAAGAAAGAAAGAAAGAAAGAAAGGAAGAAAGAAAGAAAGAAAGGAAAGAAAGAGAAAGAAAAGAAGAAAGAAAGAAAGGAGAGAAAGAAAAAGAAAGAGAGAGAAAGGAAAGGAAAGAAAGAAAAAGAGAAGGAGGAAGGAAGGAAGGATGGAAGGAAGGAAGGAAAAATATTTTACATGTATGAACTAAGGAATATTTAAGACACATTGCAAACTTGCTGTAATAACAACCTACGTTATTCCAAATTCCTCTACAAAATATCAATACTATGATTAAGTCCCAGTGCATTTTCATCCATAATATTCCTTTCAGAATACAACGTGTAGGCCAGTTGCAGTGGCTCATGCCTGTAATCCCAACACTTTGGTAGGCTAAGGTGATTTGCTTGAGTCCAGGAGTTTAAGGCCAGCCTGGGCAATGTGGCAAAACCTCATCTCTACAAACAATACAAAAAAATAGCCAAGTGTGGGGCACGTGCCTGTGGTCCTAGCTACTCGGGAGGCTGAGGTGAGAGGATTGCTTGAGCCCAAGAGATCAAGGCTGCAGTGAGCTGTAATTGTGCCACTGTACTCCAGCCTGGGTGACACAGCAAGACTATCTCAAAAAAAAAAAAAAAATATATATATATATATATATATATATACTTTTTATACATATATTTTATATATTTTATATATATATATATACTTTTTATACATATATTTTATATATTTTATATATATATATATAAAGTGTAGGCTTAATGAGTAACATACTTCACTCTCTCAAGAGAGGGGAACACTTTCTGGAAAAAAAATCATATTCAAGATCAAAGATTTGAATATCATTACTACCTGATAGTTTCTAGTTTGAAAAGTATCACAGCTTAGAAAGAGACAAGCCACAAAAATACTCGAGCATATCAGTAACGAACCTACTTACCATTTGTTGAAACTGGCACTTTCCTGTGTCTCTGAAGAGTTAGCATTCTGAGTGAAAGAAGCGGGGAACACCAATGTGAGGTAACACATGATGGATAGCATGGCCTGTGGATGGATGGGAAGAAACTAGAAACTGAGGCAGAAAATCAGCATGAAATTATTATGACACATTATTATTTTCTGATATCTAACTGAATTTACTATCATTGATAATATTACAATTGTTTACCAATCTGATATTCATTCCATGTCATGCCAAGCATTTGACTTGTGCTGTTTTAAGACTGTTTAAGTTTTAAACTATTGAATTCTCAAAGTTTTAAGTCAAGAAGAAAGTCTTAGAGCCGTCAATTAAGTTTCAGTATAATTTTCACATAAGAGTAGAGGAAATCAGAGGGTTCTAATAACTATAGGGAGGATTTGGTTGAGTAACATTTTTTTTTAAAGAAAAGAGTAAGTCTTTCTTTTCCTCTATTCATATCTAGCAAAAGGTGGAAAGTGGGCTTTTGTCAGAAAATGAATATAGAGGTAGTGAGACTCTTCCCAAATGTTGCTATGATCCCAAACCAATGGATGCAGAAATTTTTTCTACTTGGATTGTAATAATTATCCTATAAAATGTCATTCTGAGAGTAAACCTGAAGAAAAAATAAGAGTAGAATAAAGCCAGAGCAAAATATGTGACTATAGAACACTGGTCTGATATTGAATGACAGTAAAACCACTATTGGTCTCTGGCTAAACTGCTGAGGCTGTGGTCACTCTGTAGCAAGCACGGTGATTGTGTCTAAGGCAGTCAACAAAACCAGAAGGAGAGATGTGAGTGATAACCGATCTTGCTTATGGCCAAATGGCCAAGGGTTTGGTCTGTTAGAAAAGTGGATAAGGTGTTTGCAAAAATGCCCCTAGAGTTTATTCATTCATTAAAAAATAAGCTCCTACTCTGCACCAGGCATGCTGTGAATACAGCAGTGAACAAAATAGAGAAAATTATTTTCCTTCATAGAGTTTATAGTAAAATAGAGGCACACTTGTGGAAGACAGTATGGCGATTCCTTAAGGATCTAGAGCTAGAAATACCATTTGACCCAGTGATCCCACTACTGGGTATATACTCAAAGGATAATAAATCATGCTGCTATAAAGACACATGCACACGTATGTTTATTGCGGCAGCATTCACAATAGCAAAGACTTGGAACCAACCCAAATGTCCATCATTGATAGACTGGATTGAGAAAATGTGGCACATATACACCATGGAATACTGTGCAGCCATAAAAAAGGATGATTTCATGTCCTTTGTAGGGACATGGATGAGGCTGGAAACCATCATTCTGAGCAAACTATCACAAGGACAGAAAGCCAAACACCGCATATTCTCACTCATAGTGGGAATTGAACAATGAGAACACATGGACACAGGGCAGGGAACATCACACACCAGGGCCTGTTGTGGGGTGGGGGTAGGGAGAAGGGATAGCACTAGGAGAAATACCTAATGTAAATGACGAGTTAACGGGTGCAACAAACCAACATGGCACATGTATACATATGTAACAAACCTGCACATTGTGCCCATGTACCCTAGAACTTAAAGTATAATAAAAAATAAAAATTAAAAAAATGGAGGCACACCATCAATAAAATAAACAAATAACTAAGTCAGTATAAAAGATGAGACGGTGTTAATGTTATTGAGAAAGATTTGAATATAGGATTTAACTTTCGGGGAGGGTAGCATATCAAACAGAATAATCAAGGAAGGCCTCCCTGAGAAGATGACATTGAGTCAAAACCTGACAGAAGTGAGGGACAAAGACATAAGCCCCTGAGAGAGAAGCCTTCTAGGAAGGTGACCAACAAGTGCAAACACATCGAAATGAAAACACGCCTGTGGTATTGTAGGAGGCATCTGCGTGGAGAGTGAGCGTATGGAGGCCAGATGGGGTGAGGGCAAAATGTGAAACCACTATTGGACTCTGGCTAAACTGTTGAGGCTATGGTCACTCTGTAGCATGGTGATTGTGTCTAAGGCAGTCAACAAAACCAGAGAGATGTGAGTGATAACATCCAACAGAAGTGGGCGCCAGCTTAAATAGGGACATATGAGCCATTCTACAGACTCAGATTTGCCTGATGAAAAGCCATTGGAAGGTTTAGAATAATGAAATGAGATGATTTCACATACTTTTTAAACTCAAATGGAGAACAGCCATAGGTAGGTATTTCCAGATAGCTAACGTCCGCCGGACCCCTGTAGTGATTCATTGTAACTTCATTAATTCTAATGTCACGTGGTGCCACAGAAACACAGTACAGGAGTACATTCCTCCCAGACACAGTACACTCCACTCAACTCCTTACATTTTAGCATGAATGAATAACGATTTTTAAAAGTCACCAAGTTGCCTTTTACCTATAGTTAAAAAAAAAAAACAACTTTTAGAAAAAAAGAACTGCTGTTCATTGAACAGTTACCATGTGCCAGACACTGTGCCCAGCATTTAGAAGAATTGTTTCATATAATCCTCTCCAAAATATTATGACATAGATAATATTCCACATTTCACAGATGAGGAAATCTGTGGGTTATGAAGGTTGAACGTATTTTCCAAAATAACATGTTCACATTCAGATTTGCTAGATCGGAAAGACTGTTCTTAATCAATGTTAGCCTTTAGTAATGAAAATTACTAAATTCATGTTAGTAATAGAATTAGGCTGGGTGCGGTGGCTCACGTATGTAATCCCAGCACTTTGGGAGGCTGAGGCGGGTGGATCACCTGAGGTTGGGAGTTCGAGACCAGCCTGACCAACATGGAGAAACCCGTCTCTACTAAAAAAAAAAAAAAAAAATACAAAATTAGCCGGGCATGGTGGCGCATGCCTGTAATCCCAGCTACTCGGGAGGTTGAGGCAAGAGAATTGCTTGAACCTGGGAGGCGGAGGTTGCGGTGAGCTGAGATTGCACCATGAGCCTGGGCAACAAGAGTGAAACTCCGTCTCAAAAATAAATAAATAAATAAATAGAATTAAGTTAACACTTAAAATAGTGACTATACAGAGCTTTCTCCACTAGACAAACAAACTTAGAGTTTCAAGGAAGAAAACGGTGGGGAAGAGAAGAGACAGAAAGGTGAAATAACGTACATATATAAAACTGGAAGGAAAGCCATGCCAGTGCTGTCTTGGGCTTATTGACTGCATGTAGACATTCTTGTATCACACCAGCTCTCATTAGAAGTTCTAGGCCAATATTACCAAGCTTGGTTTCCTCACATTCAGATATATCCCTGGGGCCTTGGAGTCTCCTCTAGGTATCTACTCCTCCCTGCCCCCCTCCACTGATACAGCATGTCCTAAATAGTACCAGACGATAATCCATATGTTACAACCCTGACCCCAGTGTATTATGGTTCCTCCCATAATCTTTGATCACATCTAACGCTACTAAATTCTATCTCCTCAGGGCCGTTTTAGAGAGAGCTGATTCACTTATATCAGTGTGAGCATCCTAATGTGAGAGATTATCAGGTCTGCAAACTGGACTGCACAACTTAATCCTCAAGGATACTGTACCATTAAAAGTAGAAATGGCTTCATGGCCGTTCTGAAACATATAAAGAGACTAAAGGATAATATTATAGTATATCTGATGCTAAATTTTTTAACATGTAACTCATAGCAAGTAATCACTTACATGGAATAATATTAGAAAAAATAAAAAGGAATAGACAATACAAATAAATCAATAGCTTCAGATAAATTAGAAAGCCTTTATTCATAAAAGCTCCTAGCTCTAATAATAGAATTTATAAAGTAATTTATAATTATAATATATCTAATATGTTAAAAACCAAATGAGAGCAGAGGGAGACTTACAATTAAATCAGAGATAGGGGAGCTATTTAGGCACAACTTCTAGCAGTGTAACTGAGCAATATACTACCAGAATAATTCCTTATCAGAGTTGATTTAATTTTGGAAGCTATATCCCAGTGTTTCTCCAAAATATTTTTATAAATCTCTCTTTATTTTTTTTCTATTAATTCATGTTTTCAAAGATACAGAGCAAAATACATTGATAAAGTTGCGATTAATTTATAACATTTCATCAATATAATCATAACTTTTGAAGAACATGGGAGATTCATTATATAGTAATTGATGTGATTACAGAGAAAAGCAGAGATATCTGACACTTGGTTTAGACTATGCGATGTTGTAGACATAAGCGCATGTTATGTTATACTAGTGATAATATTGAAAAAGGTATGCAGTCACAAAACCTTATCCCTTGATGGCTTGGGATCCCAAGTTGGCTTAGACCCAACTTGGAGATGATTGTTCTAGACAACAGCAAAGCAGAGGATTCCATGTCCAAGAATAGAATTTCTGTATACCACCAGCACCTAACATGGTACTTGGCACAAAATAGAGAGAGCCTCAAAAAATATCTTGACTAAATGAAGGTCTTCCTTCTTGGACAAAATGCTTTGACTTACTTCATACATTAAGACATGCACTTAATTTTTGTATAGCACTTGGCAATTTTCAAAACATCTTTCTATCTATCTCATTTGGTTCTTACACCAATCCTTTGTATACACACATGCATAAGCGTTCATATTTTATCAATGAGCAAACTCTGTTGGATCTGAGAACCCATCTTGCAGGACTCTACTTTTAGAATGATGGATAGAGGTTGTTCCCTGCCCCCATCCCCCAAGCTGAATCTAATTGTCCCTATGTTATCCCAAGTACATTTTTGTGCCAGATGTACTCCACTGAGTTAACCAAGGTTTTTTGTTTCGTTTGTTTGTTTGTTTTTGTGTTTTTCTTTTTAACTTTTCAGATGTCTGTCAGGGTTCACCTTGGCATCAATTTGCCCTGAAACTTAGCTGTGCTGGGATTATTCTCCTTGTCTTGGTTGTTACTGGGTTGAGTGTTTCAGGTAAGTGGGGCACCATCATCTGTTTCATAATACTTACTCTACTTCCATTACGTATCTTAGAGCATCTCTGTAGGGGTGGGTTGCCCCTACACACCTGTGGGTGTTTCTCGTAAGGTGGGACGAGAGATTTGGAAAAGAAAAAGACACAGAGACAAAGTATAGAGAAAGAAATAAGGGGACCCGGGGAACCAGCGTTCAGCATATGGAGGATCCCGCCAGCCTCTGAGTTCCCTTAGTATTTATTGATCATTTGTGGGTGTTTCTCGAGAGGGGGATGTGTCAGGGTCACAAGACAATTGTGGGGAGAGGGTCAGCAGACAAACACGTGAACAAAGGTCTTTGCATCATAGACAATGTAAAGGATTAAGTGCTGTGCTTTTAGATATGCATACACATAAACATCTCAATGCTTTACAAAGCAGTATTGCTGCCCGCAGGTCCTACCTCCAGCCCTAAGGCAGTTTTTCCCTATCTCAGTAGATGGAGCATACAATCGGGTTTTATACCGAGACATTCCATTGCCCAGGGACAGGCAGGAGACAGATGCCTTCCTCTTGTCTCAACTGAAAGAGGCATTCCTTCCTCTTTTACTAATCCTCCTCAGCACAGAACCTTTACGGGTGTCGGGCTGGGGGACGGTCAGGTCTTTCCCTTCCCACGAGGCCATATTTCAGACTATCACATGGGGAGAAACCTTGGACAATACCTGGCTTTCCTAGGCAGAGGTCCCTGCGGCCTTCCGCAGTTTTTGTGTCCCTGGGTACTTCAGATTAGGGAGTGGTGATGACTCTTAAGGAGCATGCTGCCTTCAAGCATCTGTTTAACAAAGCACATCTTGCACCGCCCTTAATCCATTCAACTCTTGAGTTGACACAGCACATGTTTCAGAGAGCAAGGGGTTGGGGGTAAGGTTATAGATTAACAGAATCTCAAGGCAGAAGAATTTTTCTTAGTACATAACAAAAAGGAGTCTCCTATGTCTACTTCTTTCTACACAGACACAGTAACAATCTGATCTCTCTTGCTTTTCCCCACAATCTCAACATAATTTGGCTACCCCAATCTTAGTGTAAAATCAATGAATAAAAAGTCATGAAACAATGTTTCTAACAGTCAGTCCATATCCACTTTGGATACCAGCCTTTCATATTTGTCTTCCTAACTGCCCTGAGAGTCATCACGGGGTATTATATATGTGGCCCAAGAACTTTTGAAAAAAATCACAATTGATGATAACAAAGAAAAGAAAAATTTCCAGTTATTTATGGTTTATAATGTACTTACTAAAATTCCAGATTGCAGTAGACAATCTCTCCCTTGGAACAGGCACAATTAGACTCATTTTGAAGATGATAAAGTTCAGGTGAGACTGTAGGCAATTTAAGAGCTTAAGTAATCCCCTTAGATTGACTTACCTAGTAGATACAGGCAACCTAATGGCTGTGTGAGTCCACCTGTTTTGTTTTTTCTTATTTGTTTCTGTATGCTTCCTGTAGGTGAGATCTTTTTTTTTTTTTTTTACCACTTCGCTAATACTTTTATTTTCTGTCCATATTCAAGCGTGTTGAGATTATCTAGTTTCCTAAAGTAACAAATATAATATATCCACTCCACCACACATTTCAGCATTTAATACTCTTGTTTTTCCTTATGTACTAGTGACATCCTTAATACAGAAATCATCAATAGAAAAATGCAGTGTGGACATTCAACAGAGCAGGAATAAAACAACAGGTAATTGTGTGGCTTCAATTTCCTAAGAATAACTGTTAATATTTGGTAGATTTCATGTGTTACCTTAGGCACAATTCATAACAATCCATATGTTAAGATATTCTTATCATTCTGCTTTTCTGGATTAGAAAATTGAGACATAAAAAGATTCAACAACTTGCTGAGGGTCACATAAGCACCAAGTGATGAGGCTGGGAATTATATGTAAGTGGTCTGACTTATGAGCCTAAGGTTTTAACCAGCAAGGCATGCTGCCTCATGAGGAGCCTCTGCTAGGATACTCCACTGTTGATAGGAAATATGTGAAATATCTGATTATTTTAGTGAGCTGTTAAGTTTGGTCTGAAGTTAATTGATAGAACTTAAACATAGAATGAATTCTTTACTATTTATTATATTTCCTCACCATGCAGCCACATTAGTCTTGTTCCAGTGTGTGTTAATAAAAAAAGGTGACTACTGTTGAGTGACTATAGTGGAATATGATCTGTGTGCACATTCTCACAGAATGGAAGTTTTAAGAAAACCTGAAAGTCCTTCTGGAAAATTCTATCCAATAGATCACATTAAGTAGGTAAATACATCGTTTAGCAATTGGAAATTTTCTTATAATTTTTTCTCCATGGTATTTCTTATTAATTTAGTGAAAATAATTATTTGCTATGCATTTTGTGCATCATTTAAAGTCAGTACTTTTTACATGAGTTTTATATTGTTGCCTGTGCAGTGAAACAGGCACTGGTGATGAATTTAAGGAAACTGAGAAGTAGTGGGAAATATTTCATCTGACTGGCTGGACTTAAGTTATTCTGTCTCTCACTGTCTTAAAATGTAAGATGTGGCAGTTTAAATTATTCTGATGGTGTTTTCCTATTTTAATATTTTATGATTCCATTTATGCTCAAGATAACTGGTCACTAATTCCCAATTCTTGGTACTAGAATGAACAGTAGGTCTCAAAAATCTCAACTTTATAACAAATTCATTGTTCTCACAGTGATAATCAAAAACTTTGAGCATTTATAATGACCTGTGTGTGTGTGATTGGTTGTGGTGTGTCAGGGATAGGTTAGAAATATAACATTTATTTCTTATTTCTGTTTTTTACTTTAGAGAGACCGGGTCTCTTAAACTGCCCAATATATTGGCAGCAACTCCGAGAGAAATGCTTGTTATTTTCTCACACTGTCAACCCTTGGAATAACAGTCTAGCTGATTGTTCCACCAAAGAATCCAGCCTGCTGCTTATTCGAGATAAGGATGAATTGGTAAATCATTAAATAAAATACCTTAATAAAACTTAACACTTTCTTTAAACCATATTAATGTCTGTGCATTAGCCCAGGGGTTTTATGCAATGGAAGTGATGACTTTGACTTCACAATTTGAATGACTACATGGATATGTAAACAAATAATTAAATATAAGGTGATGAATACAATAATAGAAATAAAAACATAGACAGAAATATCACAAAGAAGGAATAATTAATGCTGACGACGAGTTAGGAAAGACTTCAGAGATGAGGTGATGCTTGAACTAGGTTTTAGGGGATCAAACCAGGAATAGATAAGCAGATTCAATATTTTTCTGTTCCATTTATAGATACACACACAGAACCTGATACGTGACAAAGCAATTCTGTTTTGGATTGGATTAAATTTTTCATTATCAGAAAAGAACTGGAAGTGGATAAACGGCTCTTTTTTAAATTCTAATGAGTGAGTATTAGATGAGCTAACTTTAATATTCAATTTATATCAGGTTTACACTGCAAGGTAGTAACACTGAAGATTGAGTTTTGTAGTTTTAATTTGGTTTAAAAACTCAAGAAGTTCTGAATAGGCTAAGAACATGGATGATTTCAAAGTTGGTTGGAAAGTTCTATATATGAAAAGATATCAGCTCTTTATGAGAAAATATATTTTTATCTGCAATGGAGTTTTAGGGGACAGGAAATAGACTAACTTATTTGAAACGGGCACATTAAATTAAAAATAGTGATTATCTGGAGACCACTGGCACACAGAATGTCTTACGTTGTATTTTTCAAACTGTGGGAAAATATACATTAGTAGGTAAAGAGACCAATTTAGTGGGTCACAGCTGGCATTAAAAGAAAAGAAAAAATAGTAAATATCAGAGTGTGGAACCCAGACACCCACGTTGTGACAAAAATTGCAGTATATTTGAACCACTGGTGTGAAAGACAGAGGTACTTGAGACGATGTGATGAAAACATGTCTAACCCACAAAAGAGCTATTTGCTGTTTTCTCTTCAGTGTGACATGCTTTTGTCTTGTGTAAGATGGTCAAAATTACCATCAACGTACTATGAGGCATTTGCGACACAGGCAAATTTCATGTTTTAGCAGAATTCATGGATAATTTTGCAGAAAAAGGCAGGGTGTTTTCTTCCCTCACAAGCGAAAATGTATAGGCCTTCAACCACATTTCTGTAAAGAACTTTTAATGAGTTTTTCAAAAGAGATAATATAAACAGTTATATTTAATGAGTCTGTAAATGATTTAGTCAAATTGGCAGAATTTACATTTAAAATGTATTTTCCGTCACTCAAAAAACAAGAGGTTAAAATCTAAAACATAGGAGAATGTTTTAAGTTTGTCTACATTATCCTAAGATAATTTATTAAGTATGGAAAGTATTAAACACTGAAAGAAATGTTGGCTCAATCAGCAAAGTTTTGACATTATATGAGCCACATTCTAAAATATTTTATAAAGTGTAAGATTTTAAAATAAAGATGATTTAAAATAAGTGTTCTGGACTAGAATAAATTTATGAAAAGCCAAACATACACATTATGTTTAAAAACATCTCTCTTGATTTTTATATTGCTTTCTGGGGGTTATTTTCAATATTTTATTTACAAATAAATGAAAGTAGGTTTGCTATTAATTTATTTTTATCTTTCCACACATGGTATTGGTGAATTAGCATTTATTAAGTATAGTTTGTGTGTGTGTTTCTTAATGGGGTCATAATGCAAAATGTTTATTTTATTGTGGTTCACAGTAAAAAATAAAATTTGAAAACATTGAAATGTGAACATAAATATGTGTAAAGTGGATGGAGGAAATTCAGTTGAACTTTTCATTTTATTCTGAGGAGAAAGATGATGCTTTAAGATAATAGTGATCAGGTAAACCTGGAAGGTATCACGTTATAGTAGAAAAAGCACCAGTTAGACTCTGCTTTTATTTGCAAGGCAAGGAAAGAAAGGGAAGAATCATAATTTTTTTACAGGATTATTTTGGGGGCTACAGGAGACAATGTTCAAGAGCTAGCCAGATGTCTCATCAAGGAAGGCCTGTAAAACCACTGAGGGCCTTTTGGAAAAGGAATTGTTGACTTGGCCAGATTGGCATTTAAAAAAATTACCCTGATAATTGAAGAAACAATTAAAAGGGTGGAAGAGATAAAATATAGGGAACTTTTGCAATAGCCCAGTTGAAAGAAGTTCTTGGTTTGACTAGAAGGTTGGGCAGTAGGAAGAAATCAGACAAGCAGCCCCAAGAGGCTACATGAGAAAATGGAACAAAGGACTAAAGAAAAGCTGTGATGGAGCCCAGCATGCTGCCACCACCTCATCCGTTTGAGACAAATAGGAGAGTCTTGAACTCACACCGTCCTTGCAACTCAACCCCAATACAGCCTGTCCCTTTGTTTGAATTATATCATCACCTCCTACCTGCAGTGAGCCACAGGACTCATGTCTGTTTGAAACTAATATTATGTTTCTGCAGACACCTGTTCACCTCTGTTTGGAATGAGAATGAAAGGAACCTCTGACTACATAACCATGAACTGAGCCACTTTTTCTCACTGCTTCCAAATTCTATAGACCCTGAATATCCATCATGCCTCTAGATATTTATCATATTTACTCAGCACATATTTTTGAAGTATTGCCACATTTTCATATTTCATCTCCATGCCTCCCCTAAATATTAGGTGGCTATAGCCTAAATATTTAATAAAACTGTGGCTCAGTAAAGTTAGGAAACATTTTTAATGTGACCTGTTAGTAGAACAATAAGAAGACTGAATCCCCAGTTTCCAAAGTTTCTTTCTTTTTTTAATGTAATTGTGAAGTTTCTTGTTAGAGGGATTCTTTTCCAATGAAGATGAACTTGGAAGTTCCAGAGGTTTACATTAGCTCTATCTTAAAAGTTCATACCATTATATTTGTGACCGTGTGCCTTCTTTGTTTAATAGTTTATCATTCTACTGCTTCCTGAGAGTCCTAGGAAATAATGGCTAAGTGAGAATAGCTCTGAGAAAATCATAAATGCTAAGACAGACTTTTCTTTTGCTCCACAGCTTAGAAATTAGAGGTGATGCTAAAGAAAACAGCTGTATTTCCATCTCACAGACATCTGTGTATTCTGAGTACTGTAGTACAGAAATCAGATGGATCTGCCAAAAAGAACTAACACCTGTGAGAAATAAAGTGTATCCTGACTCTTGACTATGAATCCCATCTCAATTTATTTGCTTCCCATTACTGATCTCTGTACTTGTAGCTGCACATACTATTGGTACTACCTAATAGTGCCACATTTAGTGGCACAAAGTGAACAATTCTGAGAATTGACAACTGTTATGAATCTTACAGAAGTTCATGTTTATCATATTCATTCTATTAAATGAGGAAACAGAGACATAGAGAAAAACGTGCATCGTTTTAAAGAAACAGTGATATTCTATGGTGAAGGAGTGAAGGATGTCCCCGAATATGCCAGATTGGTATATGATTGTTTTGTGTTTAAAACAGTGGAGAAATTGTAGATTCAGAAAGGGAGAGCTGACCTGTCTCTTCCCGCACGCGGCAAGCCGTGAAGATTCCTCTGGGAGGGCTATCCGAGTCATACAAGGGCAAGAAAATAGCTCTTATCGCCAGAGACCTGGAATTGGATGCTGCAATGAACCTGAATAAAGATACTTAATAAACACCTATCTTTCACCTATTTTACAGCCCCCCGCAACCAATATATCTCCTAGTGACTCCTCTAGAAAATTTATTGCCCCTAGCCAGCTTTTCTTCATCCTGTCATTTCTTTTCAAATTTATCATTCTTGGTCTAAAAAGCATAAAAGCATCTTGCTTAGGCCACTTCTATGGATTTCACTCTCTTGCGAGTTCCTCATGTACATGCAAAACGAATAAAATGTGTATACTTTTATTTTGTTCATCTGCCCGGTGCCAGTTTAGTTTCTAGATCCAATAGAAGAGCCCACTACGAGCTAACAAGGGGCTTTGGAGGTGATCTGTGGCTCCCCTTCAATGGAAAGAACCCCAGACCTGCTGAAGAGAATTAGATTCTAATCCTGACGTGTATGTGTGGACTTCATTGATCCCTTCCATGTAATGGCTCATCTCCAGGAAAATTTTAGTAAATAATTGCTAAATCCCTGTGCATCCATCATAGTCTATCATTTTTTAAACCAGTACACAATTGAGTTGTGGCAGAACATTGATTAAAGTTCATTCTTTTAACTCTGACACCAGAATCCCATAATTAAAGGAGTTTGGGAAGGGACCTTAACTCTTCTTGCCATTCCATCATTCTTCCCATTTTAATTTTAATATTACATCATTTTCTTCCATATTGTCTTCTACCCACGGCTCACACACACAAGCTATAGAAAATATGTAATTAAATCTTTAGTTATTCTGATGGAAAATAAGTTATACCTTTTAACTGTGAAGTTAAAGTTAAAAAACAGAAGTATTTATTATCATAAATCTCTTGAATGTCCACCTTTCTTAAAAATATGCCAAATTATGCATGGAAATCAAATAAATGAAAATGGTGAATGTACCTGATAAGAAGACTTATCATAATAAAATTCTGAAAAATAGACATCTGCTTACCCTAATAATTCATCACCAAATTGAATTATATAAATTCAAGTGCATATGACATGGCTAAAATAATGGCTCAATTCCTATATCCCATACATGAGGAGTTATAATACTTGTTAAAACAATAACTTTTGAAGAGATCAAAAATCAAAGCAAAATTCATTTTGTGCCAATTACTTAGAAAATAGATTACTTAGGGAAACATTTTAGGCAAATGTGTCATTACAAAATAATACACAACGAAAGTGAGGTTTGGAAGTATTTGATACTTTCGGGGAAGGACACGTAATGACACCAGTAGAGTAGAAATCTGATGAAAATTGTCCCATGATGGAAAACGCACATTCCCACCTTTTTGGAATGATGTCGATAGCAGTCTTCTAAAGTGATTCAGGATAAGGCTATATCCACCCAGTTAGTCCAGAATTCACTCCAAACATTGACCTTTTCCTCCTTCTGTACTTGTTAGATCTGAAATCAAGCAGCCTTAAAGCACACATCCAAAAGAAAATTTTGCAGAAAACTTAACCCCGAGAAGTTAGGTTATCTGTCACCGTAATGTGCTATTGCAAAATCAGATAATTAAATAAATTTACTATGTATTGGATATTATAATTCTGAGGTTATCCCTGAATCTCAAACCATGAAGGCACATTTCCATGAGGAAGGCATGTCTAACATGCAGGTTCATGTTATTTCAGGCAGGTTAAAAAATATTAGGTTTGCGGGGAAATTTTTGGTTATAGTATTTGAGTCAATGTTTATGACATAAACTGCAACTCCAAGGCATGGTGAAAATATGATCCTTAGTAAGGCATTAAAGATCTACTGTCTACCTACTATCAAAAAGAGAAGAGATAGCAAGTGTTGGTGAGGGTGTGGAGAAAAGAAAAATCTTATATGCTGTTGGTGGAGACAAAAATTGGTATGGCCATTATGGAAAAAAATAAGGTTTCTCAAAAACTAAAAATAGAACATCATACAATCCAGCAGTGCCACTTCTGGGTACATATCCAAGGGAAATTAAATCAACACCTCATAGAAATATCTGCACCCCATGTTTATTACAGCACTATTCACAATAGCCAAGATATGGTATCATTCTGGGTGTCCATCAGTAGATGAATGAACAAAGAAAAGGTGGTACGCATTATATATATATATATAAAAATACAGTGTATGTATATAACATAATGAAATAATTTGCAGCTACAAAAAAAGAAGAAAATTCTGGCACTTACAGCAACATGAATAACTTAGAGGGCATTATGCTAAGTGAAATGAGCCAGATGCACAAATACTATATGATTTCACTTATATGTGGAATCTAAAAAAGTCCAACTCATAGAAGCAGAGCGTAGAAGAGGGGCTGCTAGGGGCTGGATGGTTGGGGAAATGGGGCATGTTAGTCAAAAGGTATGAAATTTCGGTCCTAAGATGAATAAATTCTGGAGATCTAATGTACAATGTGTTGAGTGTAGTTAATAATACTGTACTGTGTACTTGAAATTTGGTAAAAGAGCAGATTTTAAGAACATATCTCCTCACACTCACACACACATACACACACAAATGATATGGGTGGTGATGCATGTGTTGATAGTGCTAATCATCACATAATGTATATGTACATTAAATCATCACATTGTACACCTTAAATATATACAATTTTTGTCAATTAAGTCTTTTAAAGTTAAAAAGAAAAAAGATCTGCCATCTATGTTTCTGACGTTGCCTTCCACTACGTGCCTCTGTGAAGCCCTTGCTCCAGGCACACGGACCATTGTCCAAACAACACTGAAGTCCTTCGCTCTTTGCCTAGAAAAATCCTAGCAGTTGTCGAAGGCTCGAATTAAACGTTAATTCCTTTGATGAAATTTACCCCAAATCTTTTTGCTCTTCATAATTTGTCATCTATTTCTTCCCACTTTTCCAAAATCTGATTGAATTCTTTGCTGTGTTACAATTAGTTGCTTTTATGTTTATAAAGCTAGTTCCACTTTTCTCATGGCTGGAGTTGGACAATCACCAAGACAGAATAATTAAAGGGAAAAAAAAGATCATCTCTGACTTCATTTTAATATAGTGGCTTAGAAATTACTCTTGGCAGAGTAATCTGTTTATATTATGGTAGAAAGATCTCAAGGCAGGGCCAATGAGATTCCTTCTGTGTATTTTCTGTGCTACATGCTTGGATTTGAAGTCTATCTCTGCTTTACCTCCCTGCCCCACCCATTCCACAGACTTCTTCAATACACATGGCATGGGTTAAAAAGTAGGCATAGTAGAAAAACATTTCTGGTAGGAAAATTAAAAATTTAAATATTCTTAATGCATCCATCTAGTTTTTTTTGTTTGTTTGTTTAACCAGTCTTTCCAATCCACTTATGTTTAGGCAGCCACCAATCAATTCTTCCCTTCATAATGCAGAAATGGATAAGAAAAAGTAACTTTTGCCTTCTATATCAAGCAGCTTGGAAAAGGGAAAATTCAAAAAAACAAAAATTAAAAAAATTCTAAAAGTAATTTTGGATTTTAAACACCTATATAGTCATGAAGCAACTAACTTATCTTGGTCTGGTGGAGATAGACTTTAATCTACTCCTTGGCGGCAATTCAAGTTTACTTCTACAACTGTTTGTGATGAGCTTCACCTGCTACCTTAGAGGCTTATTGGTTCATTTTGTTTTGTTTTTGTTTTTGCCTTTGATGTGCTCTTGTTTCCTCCCAACTGAGCAAAACAGAACAAATAAAAAACAGTTCTGTACCAATCAGAACAAGTTTATCAACTTTTCCCCTTCAGAACATCTTACTTCTTACACAATAAATAAAACTGAATAAGTATTTATTTATTTTCTTATTTTGTTATTGTTGCTACTAGTACTACTATTATTAGGCCCTCTCCATGGGAATATGAGCCCAGGAGGGCAAGGACCTTCTTAGTATTGTGAATCAACAAACGGTTCTGTTACATAGTAGATGCTCAAAAATATTTCTTATGAACAAATAAATTATTATATAATCAATTTTCTGTAATACCTGGGCTCAGAAGGTGGTTTTTCCAAAAGTACTATTTTTCAAATAATAAAGCAAGCACACAGAATAATTTTTCAACATTTACAAGGTAACCCACTAATAGGGCTGGAACCCAAGTCTGATTTCCCAGGTCTGGGAAGCCAACTGCACTCTGTATCTCAACACAATCTACCAGGGCCCTTTCAAAATAAACATGGGGACACTGTAAAACTAGAGTTTACTTTTGATTTGTCCTTTGCACTTCATGAAAAATTTTCAGTATTCTACTTTAGGAAGCAAGTAACTGCTACACAAGTAAACATTTCCAGGCAAAAATAGTCGAACAGGCATAATCACTAAACGTAATTCCAATTTTGACTGAAATTGAACCCCAGATAGTTTGTTTTGCTCACAGGTTTATGTTCAGATATTTTTATTCATCAGTAGTGATTTTTAGGCTCAAGACACAAACAGTAATGTCCAATTATTACTACTTTATTTCAATTTTTTTTTTTTGGTGTTAAAATGAAGAGTACAGGATGACTTAAATTGTTGGTTAACTTATAGGTTAAGTGATTTTGCCTAAATGGCAATGGAGGACTGGATTCCTGTACAGAATGCAAGCACCTCAATAACAATTATTTTTGCCTGATTCTTCACTGTTGTATCCCAAGGACATAGAGAAATGCCTACCACATGGTAGGCACTCAGTGGCTATTGGATAAATGATGGTGTAAAAAAAAGTATAAATTTTCCAAGACAATTTAAACTCTCTAGGAAACTGTAGCCAGTTAATAGAACCATTTTTCAGGAGACATTATAAGGAGTGAGAATGCCTTTGTTCACGTTGTTCAGATTAAACACCCTTATTTTCTACTTTGCCTGTTGAAAACTATGAATATTTTTAAGACTCAAATTATGTTTGTCTCCTATGAGGTTGCACTGCAGTAAATACTATTTTCTATGAAATCTTATTGCAATTTC
The DNA here is from genome assembly GCF_000001405.40 of Homo sapiens. Taxonomy (NCBI): domain Eukaryota; kingdom Metazoa; phylum Chordata; class Mammalia; order Primates; family Hominidae; genus Homo; species Homo sapiens. The sequence goes on along the minus strand of NC_000012.12, from coordinate 9,589,877 downwards.
AATCTATGTCATACACTTTGTATTACACATATTTTCTTTTTTCTTTTTTGAGACGGAGTCTCTCTGTCACCCAGGATGGAGTACAGTGGCGCCATCTTGGCTCACTGCAATCTCTGCCTCCTGGGTTCAAGCAATTCTCCTGCCTCGGCCTCCCGAGTAGCTGGGGTTATAGGCGTGCATCACCATGCCTGGGTAACTTTTCTGTGTTTCTAGTGGAGATGGGATTTCACCATGTTGGCCAGGCTGGTCTCAACTCCTGACCTCAGGTGATCCGCCTGCCTCGGCCTCCCAAAGTGCTGGGATTACAGGCGTGAGCCACCGAGCCTGGCCTGTGTTACACATATTTTCAATTTTCTGTCTCAATTTTGTTATTATGCTAAGAAAAATGTAGGTCTTTAGGGCCGTTTTGGTTTTTTTTTACATTTATTTGAAAATTTTCACACTACTTAGCACTTGCTTAGCGCATAATTGAGCTGCTTCTGGTTTCTCAATATTCTTTCCTAAATTAGGATTCACTGCAGTTATCAGCTAAACACGGACAAAAACAACCCAAAGGAATACTTTCTAAGAAAAAAAAAATCTTTTAACCAATCAAATCAGAACAAATGAATTACTCGAAATCACTTCAAATATAATTAATGGAATTATATAATGCTAAAATAGGGTTCTAATAGAATAAATACATATAATTGTAGTTTGCTGCCTATGTCAGTTAGGATTTTCTTCATTACAAATTACTCCAAAGTTTAGTGGCTTAAAACAAAAGGCTTTAGTTTTGCTCTGGAGATTACAAGTTAGCTGGAACTTTCTATTGATCTGGTCTTTGCTCATCTGATTTGTTCTGGGCTTACTCATGCGTCTATGGGCAGCTGACTGGCCAGCTGAGGGCTGGCTGGTCTACGATGACCTCAGTTACATCTGGGACAGTTAGTTCACTGTCCACTTGGCTGCTAGATCCATGTGTTTCTAATTCTCCATCAGGTTATCCCAGGCTGTTCACATGGTGGCTGGGCAGAGTTCCAAAAGGTAGAGGGGCCTTCACTTGCAACTAAACACTATCACCCCCCACATCCTATTAGACAAATAAGTCAAAAGGCCAGCTCAGATTCAAGGGGTGGGATAAATAGACTTCTCATCCTGATGAGAGGAGGTGTGAAGTCACATTACACAGGGCGTAGGTGCAAGGGAGGTGTAGAGAAGCAGAACTCATGCTAATTTTTAACTCAAATGACATATAACCTTTAAAATTATTTCTTTTTATACCAGACTTCACAAAGTATCTGTGGAGAAGTTTCTGATATTAATTGGGGTGTTGGTACTAAATAGCCTTGAAGGTATTTTCCAACATTAGGATTCAACAATTCTGTGATTTCACCCACAAAAACTAGAAAGGATGAAGGAGGGAAATTTCAATCAATAAAATACATGGCTTGAAATTCTGTGAATCAGGAGATTTTCCAGAAAATGTTGTTTGAAGTTGGACTAGAGTTAATCCTTCCAGCTGCTTTTGTTACAAGATAAGTTGTTGAATCATGTAATGTGACAATGGCTGTGCAAACAGCAACTAAAATTTTGGATAGGATGTAAACAGCCAACCGCAACACGGACAAACTACCAGCACAATTGTTTTAGTCCTTGGAATAGACCACAAAGCCAGGGACCCAGAACTAAACCCAGACCATTAAAACATCCCAATGTATTGCTGGGTCTGTTTCAAAGAGCTGGATGGCTTTTTCTTTTAGCTTAGTCATGGTTATTTACTTGACTGTATTTATGAGGTGTAGAAAGAACCATTTTGCTATAGCATAAGCACTCGCTCGGGAATTCCTTAAAAGGAAATCAAGGATAATACCAAACTTGGCTGATGGATTTTAAATGGTTTGTTGAGTCTTTAAAGCAGAAGTGATGTTCACATAAGAAACAGTATCCTAGAAGAGCACAGCCCCATTGGTAATATAAGTAGCCTTCATTTTAACAGGAGTGAGTCAATCATTGGTACCTTAAGTTGGTCAGATTTTCTAAGTAGAGCGAAATAATTTCTGCAAAGCAGGCTGGAGTGTTTCTGAAAAAACAGAAGACAGACTACTATAGTAATGATAGTGTTGAAATTAGTACATGTGTCTGATGAGCTATGTCTAGCTGATAAGGATATAATGACCTCAGTGGAAGCATTTCATTGAGTAGGGTTAAGATCCACTTTTTACAAGATTAAAGGTTGGCGTTAATAATGTAAAGGTAATTTAAGTAGCTGATAAGACCTCTAAAAGAGAATTGACTTTCTGAAATATTTAAGTAATGTTTGTCAACTTTTTTCAATATTATTTTCTAAAGAGCCTTTTTAGACATTTTGTTTCTAATTGCCATACCCAAGAAATTTTAATACCATATAGATGCATACCTGTTCATGTACCACGTGTAGAACCATGATTATACATAAAAACGATAAGACATTTTTAATTCATAAGAACAGATTTTTGCCTCCGTGGGGGTGATACCACTCCTGCTGAGAATGCATGTTTTAAAGAGACAGCTGTTAAATCCATGACAGCAGGGTTGGATGGAGGATGACAGAGCCAATAATCAGTTAACTGAAAGTGGTAGAAATGGTCTGAAGAAAATGCACAAGAGAATTTTGTTTCTTTTTGAGCAACTGAAGACCATAGGTGCCAACAGTAGAAAGATGGAGAGGAAGCATGTTGAGAAATTGGTCTCTTGTCAATATGATATGCCACAGTACAGTAGTAGGCAAGGTTAAAGAAGAGCAAACAGAAAGGAATAGGATGAAGAAGAATCACAAAATTGATTTTGTTTGTTCGTGCTGGGTGGCAGTTTTCTACTCCCTAGAGCTTTCTGATTTTAGAATACAGTTAAGTATCCTCAGTTGAAAGTCTCCCAATTCAACGGACACTGAGCAATTAAAAGAAGATGATATGCAGTGGTCAAAAGAAAATGATGTCTGTCTTTTTAAGAAACATGAATCCAAGGATCAACTTCTTGGAATTTTACTGCTATGCTGGTTGTTACTGTACCTGCTAAGTTCCTTTCTGTAGAAGGGTAAGGGTGGATTTTTTTTAATGGGGTTTCTTTCAGAAGACTACACTTCCATGTTCAAGGTCATGAGTAGTTATTTTAGAAATGATTTTTGTACCTGTTTAATGATAAGACTGATGATATCTAGTCATATCCATTTACCATAGGGAAGTATCCTAAATTCATGAAGTGGCCTGGAATTAAGCCCTAAGAAAGAATCTATGTATGTCATCAAGGTTTATGGCAATATCTTAGGCCTTGGAAGTTATAAAGTCTGAGAGCATTGCCAATTTTTGGTTTTGAATTCCATTTGTTATCTCTATTTTTTACTAAAGATTGCAAATAGGAACAATGAAGTTTTTGAGTAGAAAGTAAAGCCTTACCAAGATATTTAATAACATTCTCAGTGAAACATAGTCCTCAAAATAAGCAATGACCAAGCATACTACAACGTGCCTATTATTTGTATAAATGTTGATATTTGTTTCTTTTTACCTGGGAGGCTCAGATGAGGACAATGAACTCAGTTATATGAACTGATACAAATTCCAGTAGAGTTTCATGTTCCAAGATTGAATTTGAATCTGTAATCGTCTAGCCTGTTTGATAATTTCAAGTTTTTGTTTTTAAATGCAAACCATTATAAAACAAAATTAAATCAGAATTACTCAAGGAAATCTACGTTAAGCCTATGTAAAGCCCAGAAAATATTTTCATACAGATTAAATCATTGAGAGGTTTTTTTTTTTCTTTAGTAGAGGAAGGAGTCCTGGAGTCAGCATGTTACAGTGGTGGATACTGATAGGTGAAGACGAGAGAAATAGTATGGGAACTTTAACTGCAAGTTTATTAATTTATTTCATAAGGTATAAGAAGAGTGCCCCGACCGGGCACAGTGGTTCACACCTGTAATCCTAGCACTTTGGGAGGCCAAGGCGGGTGGATCATCTGAGGTCAGGAGTTCAAGACCAGCCTGGCCAACATGGCGAAAACCCCATCTCTACTAAAAATACAAAAAAAAAAAAAAAAAAAAAATTAGCCGGGCATGGTGGCAGATGCCTGTAATCCCAGCTACTGGGGAGGCTGAGGGAGGAGAATCATTTGAACCCGGGAGGCGGAGGTTGCAGTGAGCCGAGATTGCACCATTGCACTCCAGCCTGGGTGACAGGAGTGACTCCGTCTCAAAAAAAAAAAAAAAAAAAAAAAAAAGAATGCCACTAATTGACAAGAGTTTATAAATCTAGGCTCTAAAAAGCAAAATATTTTTGTAAACAATTATACCAGTCTATGCTTAAATATGAGTATGCATCTTTTAATTTGAAAAGTATACAATCATTGAAACACATTTACATTGTATCTTTCAACATTTGTAATCAACCTAAGAAGACAGCACTTTCTTCTAGATTAACCAGTTTTTAAATTTTGACTTATACTTGTTAAACAAAAGTATTCTCACAGTGGCTGTAAAATGATCAAATTTTGAATACAAACAAAGTAGATTATTTTTATTATTCTTTCCTCATTTCTTTGAATAAAACAAAGGAAAAAATATGTTACTTGGGGGCCTTTCCAAGAAACCTGAAAACTTGATTGTACATAAAAAGACTTCACAACCATTCTATTCTTTCTAATTTGGGGCCTAAATTTCAGAAAGGCAAAATTGAGTATGGTCAAAAGAAACAAGATATAAACACAATACTGTGTTTTATAGATATACCACCACAAAGGCAAAGATTATCAGGAACTTTTAACATTCCCAAAGACAAGTTGTTTGTTAAAATACATCAAGAGCAAAGTTATCAGAATAGATTGCTAGAAAAAAATGGGTATCTGTTATCTGAACACAGAAAATTTGCTCATTTTACAGAAAAAAAGGACAAATCTAATTTTACTAATGTGTACTATTTATGTGAACATTTACAGTAAAGAATTTAACATGTTTCTATGCATGCGTTTTCACATATAAAGATATATATATGCAAATAGATGATAAATTTAACTAAAGCCTTAAAAATATAATAATTAACTGATAAGTATGTTAAATAGAGCAATGTCTATATGATATTGAATTTGTCATCCTAGTAAAGTATTAAGATGTCCTTAAATAACAGATACTAATTAGTATCTTGTATACATATTCATGTTTCTCTGTAAATAATGAACCAAAACTGTTCAATCATTTATATTAATTCCCAGG